>NC_000017.11:44435980-45060980 GCF_000001405.40 Homo sapiens
ACTGCGCCATTGCACTCTAGCCTGGGCAACAAGAGCGAAACTCCATCTCAAAAAAAAAAAAAAAAAAAAAAAAAGGAATTAGGAGTCAATGAAGAAAATATTTTAGGCAATGAAAAGCAGGTATTACAGGTGACAGCCGTACCCAATTCTACAAAGGCAAAGCTTTTATCACAGCAACATTTTAAGAGCTGAGCAACACTGCCTACTGAAGCAAGTACCAAGGTCTGGATCTAAGTCTGATATTGCCTTGCTGTATAACCCTCGGCAAATCACTTAACTTCTTTATGTGCCAGTTAAAACAGCAGCTCTGTTTATATTCTATTTGTCTCAAAAGTAGCACTAAATGAAAATGTAAAATATATTTTTTAGTCATCCAAAGAAAAATATTAAAACTACATTTCATCTGATAAATGTATTCTTGCACAGACATCTGAATTTGGAATTAGTATTATTTCAAAATATCTCACAAAACTTATGAGTTAATGAGATCAATTTACCTCCATTTCCATGCGACCCATGCCCATGACATCATACTTGACAACGATTGGAATGGGATCTGTTCTCCCTGTAACAGGAACACATAATCAAGGTAAGGTGCAAAGCCAAACCAACAGCTCATTTTACACATTGGGTTTTGGGTGGTTAGAGATCTTGCCTTGGAGTGCAGAGACCAGAAAGCTACAGTGAACCAAACACAAGCCATTCTCACAGCTTACACTCAAGACCTTCCTTTCCTAGTTTAAACCCAATTAACCACCTTGGCTGACGTCCAGTTGGGATTAATTTCAAATTACTATGGCAAAATTACATTAATAAGTAATGCAAAGCACTTTTAAGCAATGGCATCAGGAGGTTTAAATTGTAAAACTTTAAAAATTCCTTTTAAGATCCCCAAATAACTTCCCATCAAGTATCACTTTACTCTGCCCACTGATATCCTCCTACACAACTTTTTAACCTAGTTTAAAAAAAAAAATCTCAACTGGCATGGTTAAATAGAAAAAGTACATTTTTAAACATGATGCAGTAAAACTTTATAATTACAACTCAGTATGTTGAATTTGTTTTCAAAAGATGCTTTACAATTTTTTTTGATGTTCCTCATAGACTAGGAGATGCTTTACAATTTAATGGGGCTGTGAAAAGTTTAAATAAAAAGAAACAATTAGTTGCCCTTAGAGAAAAGAATAGTTTTCCTTTTAATCTGGTGCTCTAAAGTCCCATTTCCTAGAGTGGATTTAACACTGGCTGCGAGGGTAACTGGTAAGCTGTGAAAAGGACTAGTTGCGAAGAAAATTGACTTTAAACTAATTGATCTATGCTGGATAATTTTTTTAATAAATATATATTTAATCCACTCATAACCAGCCAAACAAAGCAAAATGGGGCAGACAAGCACTTTACTACCACAGCTGTTTTACATCACAACCTGCGCTTTTTATTGTGATGTAAGCCCACTGAAAAGAGGACTTACCTTATCCGTTGTACACCTTTAGTGAAAAAACACAATGTTTACTTCCCTCATCATTTCACTCAGGCTGGTGTAAACAATTGGTTTTTTTGGTTGTGTTGTTGTTGTTGTTATACACACACACATATATATATACATATATTATACCTTTGGGCTAAAAATGGAGTTTTCTTAGGCTAAATCTGAGGCATTACCCTCCCAACCCCAAAAAAAACTTTTTAAAAAATAAATGCCATGATCATGACTGGTTTTGGTCCTGCAAAATAAAGAAGAAACCATGTTCAAAACGACCACAACCACTTGTACTCGGTGGCTCTATATTTGTGGAATTAATTTTTGCCTTTAAGATGGAATGAAAAACAAATTCATAAGTTTAACTACTTATGTATCCTATTATTGTTTTTAAACAATAAATAGGGAGAATTAGAATTATCACAGTAAAAAAACAAAACAAAAAAACCAAACCCAAACTGTTAAAGAACATCTCATGTCAGAAAAAAAAAAAAAACAAAACAACAACTTCTAGAATACAGCCTTCTTTTAGATACAATCAAAGGACTGCCAGTAAAGCAAAATGAAAATGCATTACTACCCTATGCCCAATGGTATAATAAATAAGCAGTGACTGCAATCTTTAGCAAAAGGACCAAATTAAAGACAGGTTATAAAAATGACTTCCTAGGTGCAATATCACTTTCATAACGTCTCAGTCAGGGATTTACTGGTAAAAACAAATAGTCCAATGAATGAATTAAAAAGAAATGTCAAAGCAATTTATTTTGGTATCTTTTTTGATCTGTCAGAATTCGTTTTGCAAGAATCAAGAAAGTTTTGGTACAAATTCATTACCTCTGTAAACCCCTGTTTATAAACTCTGCATTAGTACTTTTGCCTTCTAAGGCAGTCAAAGTTTGTTTTAATTTATTTATAAATTGCAGTAGCAAGTGCTAGTGCCCATTACATTGTGGGGAAATCAAGTTTTTGACAGTATTAGAATTTAATGTTTTAACTGATTTTATTGGCAGTTCTAACACAAACAGATACATCCCTTCTTAACATTACCCTTTAATGAACAAGGATCAGACAAGTTGCATAAGGAAAGGAAAGGAAAATGAAAAAGACCAAGCAGAAGGATGAAGGCTACAACAGAGAAAGTAAGCCTAACATATTGGTGCACTGATGACAAAAGGAGTAATTCAGTCTGAAAATAAAAAATTACCACTGCTAAGATTACCATCACCACAACAAGTCCAGGATCATAATGCTGTAAAAAAGAAATACCATTTGTTAGGCAGAAACCATTAGGGTAGGAAACAGGCCTTCTAGCAGGCAGACAGGATGGGGTAAAGTTAACAGTTGGGCTTTGTCCCTCCCCCAATCTCAGCCGGGGACAGAGGAAGGACATTTTGTGCTACAGCAGCTGTTTTCATACTGGTCAGACCAAGGTGTGAGATTTTTGTACTGCTACTTGAGAACATGAACAACACCCTCTTCAATAAGGCAGGGGGTAGGGTGTCAGTTTAAAGTAAGAGAACTAGCTCTAGTTTCCAATCTTTCATTTAACTATTCATTCTCGTAAATCAGTATTCAGGGCCCAAGGTAGGACTTTTAAAAGAAATGACATCTAAGACTCTATCAGATCAACTAACTGGACAGTAATCAAGTCATTTACTTCACCAAAAGAACTCTAGGAGGCTTGGAGTATGGGTGAGATGTCCGCAAGACTTCTCTAGAAATATATATATAAAACAATTAAGCAGTCTAGAAAATAATCTTAGATCTTCAGTGCTTGGAGAACTTTGTGCATTTGAATTCTGTTATGAATGAATACAACTCTTTAAGTGGCTCTCCTCAGAACTTTGCTTCCTGTTAACCGAGACTTCCCAGGCTGGCCAATATCCTTCTTTCAGCACACAACAAAACCAATCTTTGAAGGACAGCTCTAGAGAAACCGACATCACAAGAGCTGTCACATTTAAAATTACTCCACTCAGAGTTAACTCACAGAAAATAAACAGTATGACTTTCAAAGCAATCTTGAAGGTGACATTATTGCCTGGGCCAAGTAGTAATTTCTTAACATTATTAAAGAGGCTATAGACCAAGGAAAGATCCCAGTGGGAAAAGACACCAAACACTACATACAGGAAGAGGCTGCAGCATTAAAAAACAAAACAAAACAAAACAAAAAACCCCCTCAGTTTATTCAGTTGCTATCAATGATAATCCTAAAGAACATCACTTACAATATCTGAATACCAATTTGTAGTGATGACCTCAAAAGGTAGGTAGCAAGAGTGTCTGCTAATATGTATTCTCTAGAAAACTCAACTTTTTTTTTTTTTTTTTGAGATGGAGTTTCGCTCTTGTTGCCCAGGCTGGAGTGCAATGGCGCAATCTCAGCTCACCACAGCCTCCACCTCCTGGGTTCAAGCGATTCTCCTGCCTCAGCCTCCCAAGTAGCTGGGGCTACAGGCATGCACCACCGTGCCCGGCTAATTCTGTATTTCTCGTAAAGACGGGGTTTCTTCATGTTGGTCAGGCTGGTCTCAAACTCCCGACCTCAGGTGATCTGCCCACCTCGGCCTCCCAAATGCTGGAATTACAGGCGTGAACCACCTCGCCCGGCCTCAACTTCTTTTAAAAATAAAATCCAGGTTCCCTACTTCTTGGTTTCTTTTAAAATACAGCAAATATTATTTAAAATATATTAAATTAGTGAGAACATTTTTGTTGCTTGTTTCACTCCAAAGGAAGCAACTTCAACCAGAACACTAAATAATCTCCTTAAAAGAAACTGTCTTCCTCAGGAAAAGATCTACAGACACTTACTTGGCCAACTGGAGAAGGGAAAGGAAACACATGCAAAATCAAGAATATGCCAATATCAATGTATTAATCTGATGGAAAACAACTGATACTCATATTTTCTAAATCAAAACCTTAAATAATGTTTCACTAACTGGAATTACACATTTATTTTTTAGAGACAGGGTCGCTGAGGCTGGAGTACAGTAGCACGATCAGCTCACTGCAGCCTCCACCTTTCAGGCTCAAGTGATCCTCTTGCTTCAGCCTCCCAAAGCTCTGGGATTACAAGTGTGAGCTGCACATCAGCCTATTGCCTATTTTAAAAGGCAGTTTTACTTATGCAATAATAGAAATTCCTAAGTGCTCTCTTATATATGCAAGTCTTGCTAAAATGTGAAGGCATTATAACATAACTAAAGAAAGAATACAGTCAAACACAAAAACCCACTGATTATCACAGCCACTCTGTCATTGAGAACAATCCCTCAGGAATCAGTTCTGATTTTAAAATGGTTAAGGTTACATCAATCTACAAAACTGTCCTAAAGACTTAAACTACAGAGAAAGAACTCTTTTGTTGTTTTTTGGGAAACACCATTTTTTTTTGAGATGGCGTCTCACTCCGTCACCCAGGCTGGAGTGCAGTGACGCAATCTCGGCTCACTGCAACCTCCGCCTCCCAAGTTTAAGCAATTGTCCTGCCTCAGCCTCCTGAGTAGCCGGGACTACAGGTGCACCACTACACCCAGCTAATTATTTTGTATTTTTAGTAGAGACAGGGTTTCACCATATTGGCCAGGATGGTCTCGATCTCTTGACCTCATGATCTGCCACCTTGGCCTCCCAAAGTGCTGGGATTACAGGCGTGAGCCACTGCACCCAGCCCAGGGAAACACTATTTTTAAAGAGACAAACTCTAGGAATAGAACAACTGGGAAGAATATATTAAAGGACAACCATAATCTAGTAATCAGCCATACTTTAGAAACAGAAGACATATGATTTCCCTGCAGAAACAAATTAGAAAGGAAGAAGCTTCTACAGTGATTAAAACACTGGTTGAATTGTCAACAGATGTAAGAATACCACAATGTAAGATGTAAGAACACCACAATGCATCTCTGCTGCTTTCCCCTTACAGAGATTCAATACAAACATTTACAACAAATATTGAGTTTTGGCTAGGCATGGTGGCTCATGCCTGTAATCCCAGCACTGTGGGAGGCTGAGGCGGGCAGATCACTTGAGGTCAGGAGTTCGAGACCAGCCTGGCCAACATGGTGAAACCCCATCTCTACTAAAAACACAAAAATTAGCTGGGCGTGGTGGCGGGCACCTGTAATCCCAGCTACTCAGGAGGCTGGGGCAGGAGAATCACTTTAACCCGGGAGGCAGAGGTTGCAGTTAGCTAAGATTGCACCACTGCACTCCAGCCTGGGCAACACAACGACACTCCTTCCCCCCGCCCCCCAAAAAAATCAAAAGCCCGGGCACGGTGGCTCAGGCCTGTAATCCCAGCAATTTGGGAGGCCGAGGCGGGTGGATCACCTGAGGTCAGGAGTTCAAGACCAGCCTGACCAACATGGTGAAACCCTGTATCTACTAAAAATACAAAATTAGCTGGGCATGGTGGTGCATGCCTGTAATCCTAGCTACTTGGGAGGCTGAGGCAGGAGAATCGCTTAAACCCGGGAGGCGGAGGTTGCAGTGAGCTGACATCGTACCATCGCACTCCAGACTGGGCAACAAGAGTGAAACTCTGTCTCAAAGAGACAAAAATAAAATAAAATAAAATAATATATATATACACATATATATGTGTGTATATGTATACGTATATATATACATATATATATATATAGAGAGAGAGAGAGAGAGAGAAGGAGAGAGAGAAAGAGAGTTTCTACTATATTCAAGGCACTGTTCTGGGCACTGCATATAGTGATGATGTAAAAAAAAAAAAAAACACCACAACCGCAGCACCACGTTCCATGAATTACCAATAAATAGGCAAAATAGAGTAATCTGACCAGCTGGAACTTCAGCTGAGAATGAGAGAAAACAGAACATTTGTGAAGCTAATGCATAAGCAGTTAAAAAAGCTTAAAAATGTCTGAAGTTGTCTTTTAAAGATATCTAAAGTTGTCTTTAAAGACGACCTTAATGAAGTGCAAGTAAATATAAAAGCCATCAAAAAGTCACAAAATCCATGTTTTTTTTGAGACAGGATCTTGCTAAGTCACCCAGGCTGGAGTGCTGTGGTGCCATCTCCGCTCACTGTAAATTCCAGCTTCCAGGCTCAAGCAATTCTTGCCTCTAGGCCTCCTGAGTAGCTGACACTACAAGTGCCTGCCACTACATCTGGCTAATTTTTGTATTTTTAGTAGAGATGGGGTTTCACCATATTGCTCAGGCTGGTCTCAAACTCCTGGGCTTGAGTGATCTGCTCACCTCAGCCTCCAAAGTGCTGGGATTACAGGTGTAAGCCAATGAGCCCGGCCTAAAATCCACTTTCAAAAGACAATTAAAACTGGGCTGGGCTTGGTGGCTCACGCCTGTAATCCCAGCACTTGGGGAGGCCAAGGCAGGAAGATGCCTTGAGGACAGGAGTTTGAGACCATACTGGGCAATAGAGCAAGACTCTGTCTCTCCAAAAAATTTTTCTTAAAAAAATTAGCTGGGCATGGTGGCATGCACCTGCAGTCCTAGCCACTGAAAATATTGAGGCAGAAGGACCACTTGAGCCCAGGAGCTGGAGTGAGCTATCATCGCACCACTGCACTCCAGCCTGGGTGACAGAGAAAAACCTTGTCGAAAAAGAGAAAAGAGGGGAAAAAAGACCATTAAACTGATAAAGGCCAAGAACCTACACTGACATCTTTAAAGTACTTATTTCTTCTTTTTAAGTAATGCAAATACATATGTGAAAATCAAGATAAAAAAAATTACGCAGGTGATTCTCTGATTTGCAAAAGTATTCAAAATAGGATTCAAGTCATGTTAATGGACTTAAATATCATTTCATTTATTGAAACTGTGATCACATGAAACTTTCAGAAACACTGAATAAAAAATGGTACATTTATTTCCAAACCAAAGCTTAATTTTTGCAAATTTCTCCTGAAAATGAGTCTTTAGGTGGCATAGAAACAATTATTACTTTCAGCATCGTTTAGATATTTTTCTAAGCAACTCTAACATATGATATATGCTACCTCTCAGAAAACATTAACTGAAAACATTGAGCACATTACTTAATCCCTAGAGAGTTTTTAAGGTTTAAAAAAAAAGGAAAAACTTTCTACCCAAAATAGAGTTCAAATTATCCAGTACTACAAAAACCTACTATATTCTTGCCATGGCCTTTTTAGTGACCTATACAACAACCAAATTAATTTGATTTTTTTCTTCCTTTATTTATTTTTTAAAACAGGGTCTCACCATCGCCCAGGCTGGAGTGCAGTGGCATAACCACGGCTCACTGCAGCCTCAACCTCCTGGGCTCAAGTAATCCTCCCATCTCAGCTTCCTAAGAAGCTGGGACTACAGGTGCACACCACCACATGTGGCTAATTCTTGTTATTTTTTGTAGAGACGGGATTTCACCATGTTGCCCGCCCAGTTTGTTCTTGAACTTCTGAGCTCAAGCAATTTGCCCACTTTGGCCCCACAAGGTGCTGGGATTACAGACATGAGCCATGGTGCCTGGCCAATTTGATTTTCAAATACAGATGTTTTCTAAGGCACACAAGTTTAATTATGACCTAAACGAATTTCCATCTGATACTTTCCATCTAGGATAAAATAGTTCAATTTTAATCATATAACTAAATATATTAATAAACAGGAACAAAGGTGGGGCAAAAGGCTTTAGTGAAAGTGTTGTTAAATCAGAATGTTAGGCCTGGGAAGGATATCTCATCCAGGGATAACATGATATCCTCAAGCCCTTAGAAGAGATAATAAAGAGAATTCATGAGTTACTTTCAATTAAAAAAAAAAAACCTAAAGAAAATCATACTTTTACATGAGATACAACTGTTTTAGCTAAAATTATACTGACTCACTAAAGATTGCCTCAAGCTAACCACCATGCTAAGATCAATTTGTTTTTTCAAATGGGAAAGCCAAATTAATAAATACAATTTTGGGGTAAAATAGTCTAAAACATGGGGCTGAGGAGATACGGAAAAAAACAGTTAAGTCTTTAGTTTAAAGAAAAAAAAAAGGCCAGGCATGGTGGCTCACGGCTGTAATCCCAGCACTGTGGGAGGCCAAGGCAGGCAGACTACTTGAGGTCAGGAGGTCGAGATCAGCCTGGCCAACATGGCAAAACCTCGTCTGCATTTAAAATACAAAAATTAGCTGGGCGTGGTGGCATGTTCCTGTAATCCCAGCTACTTGGGAGGCTGAGGCAGGAGAATCACTTGAAACTGGGAGGCAGAAGTTGCAGTGAGCCGAGATCACACCATTGCACTCCAGTCTGGGGCAACAAGAGAGAATCTCCATCTCACGGGGGGAAAAAAAGTGGTAGCACTTTTGTGCCCTGAGTTTTACTTATGTTTATATCCATATCTGACACAGTATGTAGGCCAGAATGGCATTTAGTTAAAAAGCATTTGTTGACTCAGAGAATGAACATGTTCGTAGCGGGTCTGAAACTTGTTCAACTGTAAATACTTAGTCATCATGATGCGCGCCGCTTAACATCACAAGATACTAATGATTTAACTCTCATAATCAAGGAATTATTTTATCAAGTAGAACATATCACTATATTAGAAAGGTCTCCATATATCAAAAAATATGTAAACTTTTATAATGAAATATTTGAGTTTTACATTACTGGTCATTAGAGCCTTAAGGCTTGTTCAATTTCATTTCTTGTTATCACTCAGTAGTCAAGGAGAAGGAAGCATCAAATGTTTAAGAAAAAAATACTAAAGAACTTACATTCAACATATATCGACAAACTTTTAAAAAACTGAATTGGAAAGTTGCCATAACCAGTTTCAGTGAAGGAAAACCTCAAGTCAGCCCCCATAATAATGGTGTTTTCCAGGAAATTAGGTTTAGGGTAAGTGGTCTGTTAGAAATTCTGAAAACATTTTTCCTCTTTTTAAAAAACAGGTCACAGTAAAAATTAATGGCTTCCTTCAAGTACCCAGTACACTCCTATATACATGTAGGTAGACCAAAAATTACCAGTGAGCTCCAATCTATGTGAGTATTTCTTTTTCTTTTTTTTTTTTCCCCCCCTAAGATGGAGTTTCACTCTTGTTGCCTAGGCTGGAGTGCAACAGCGCGATCTCGGCTCACTGCAACCTTCACTTCCTAGGTTCAAGCGATTCTCCTGCCTCAAGCCTCCTGAGTAGCTGGGATTACAGGTGCCCGCCACCAGGTGGCTAATTTTTTGTATTTTTAGTAGAGACGGGGTTTCACCATGTTGGCCAGGCTGGCCTCGAACTTCTGACTTCAGGTGATCCACCCACCTCATACTCCCAAAGTGCTGGGATTACAGGCATGAGCCACTGTGCCCAGCCTACATGAGTATTTCTTGATTAATGAATTCCAAAAGAAAAAATATACTTGTAAAGAGTGGCAACATGAAACTCAGGGGATCTGAATTACAGTTCTGTCACTAATGGGGCATGTGACCCATTATTAGCTATTAATTTCTTTTTATTTTTAGAGACAGAATCTCACCCTGTTGCCTAGGCAGGACGGAATGCAGTGAAGTCATCATAGTTTACTGTAACACTGAACTCCTGGGCTCAAGTGATCCTCCCACCTCAGCCTCCTAAGTAGCTAGGACTACAGGCACTCACCACCATGTGTGGCTAATTAAAAAAAAAAAAATTTTTTTTTGTAGAGATGGTGTCTCACTATGTTGCCCAGGCTGGTTTCAAACTCCTAGCCTCGAGTTATCCTTCTGCCTCAACCTCACAAAGTGCTGGGATTACAGGTGTGAGTCACCATGCCGCCTATATTAGTTTCGTGATCCAAAAATAGAGGAGTTAAAGGCCAGGCGCAGTGGCTCACGCCTGTAATCCCAGCACTTTGGGAGGCCGAGGCGGGCAGATCACGAGGTCAGCAGATCGAGACCATCCTGGCTAACACGGCGAAACCCAGTCTCTACTAAAAACACAAAAAATTAGCCAGGCGTGTGGCAGGCGCCTGTAGTCCCAGCTACTCGGGAGGCTGACACAGGAGAATGGTGTGAACCCGGGAGGTGGAGCTTGCAGTGAAGCCGAGTTCACACCACTGCACTCCAGCCTGGGCGACAGAGTGAGACTCTGTCTTAAAAATAAAGGAGTTAGACAAATCTATAAGGTTCACTTCACAATTCTAAAGTTTGAAGAGTGGAAAATATTTGAGTAGAAAATATCTGGGGGGATTATGTAGACAGCAGCCAGTCTTGTGATACTATAATAAGCCAACAATCAAATGCCTTCTTAAACTTACTATTGTTTTTCCATAGCTACACTGAAAATTTTACTATTCCAGGATCACTCCATTACCCCAAAACTTTCCAGCCTCATTTAACTTTCCACTGCAACTCCTCCATTTCATCTATTTTTTTTTCCTTAAAGACTGAGTCTCACTCTGTCACCCAGGCTGGAGCACAGTGTCACAATCTTGGCTCACTGCAACCTCCGCCTCGCAGGTTCAAGTGACTCTCCTGCCTCAGTCTCCTGAGTAGCTGGGATTACAGGCATGCATCACCATGCCCAGCTAATTTCTTTGTGTTTTAGTAGAGATGGGGTTTCACCATGTTGGCCAAGCTGGTCTCGAACTCCTGACCTCAAGTGATCTGCCCGCCTTGGCCTCCCAAAGTGCTGGGATTACAGGTGTGATCCACCGCACCTGGCCTCCATTTCATGTTTAATAAAAAAAAATTTTTTTTTTTTTAAGACAGTCTCACTCTGTTGCCCAAGCTGGAGTACAGTGGCACACTCTTGGCTCACTGCAACCTCTACCTCCTGGGTTCAAGCAATTCTCCTGCCTCAGTCAGCCTCCTGAATAGCTGGGACTACAGGCACGTGCCACCATGCCTGGCTAATTTTTGTATTTTTAGTAGAGACAGGGTTTCACTATATTGGCCAGGCTGGTCTTGAATTCCTGACCTCGTGATCTGCCCGCCTCAGCCTCCCAAAGTGCTGGGATTACAGGTGTGAGCCACCGCACCCAGCCAATAAACTTCTTCCTATATTTTTCTAGGCAATCCCTAAAAAAGACTGGGCTGCAAAGCTTAGCTCTCCAATAAGAGATAATAGCTAGACACTTGTGTGACTTTTGGCAAGCAGAGCCTGAGTCTCAGCAGCCTCCTCTGCAAAATGAAAATATTATCACCACCTTTTTTTTTTTTTTTTTAAGACAGGTTCTAGCTCTATGGCTCAGGCTGGAGATTAGAGTGCAGTCACACAATCATAGCTCACTTGCAGCCTCAAACTCCTGGGCTCAAGCAATCCTCCTGCCTTAACCTCCCAAGTAGCTAGGGCTACAGGCATAAGCCATCACACCACACCTACCCCATCCCCCTTTTTAGGACTGGCATACAGACCAAAAGAGACAACAAATGGAAGATATTTTGTAAACTTTAAATCACTATGCAGAACGCTCAAGGGTTCAGAAAATAAAGAAATTAGTCTTCCTTTTATTTCCAAATTAGACATTTTGGGGGTGTTTGTTTGTGAGACAGGGTCTCACTCACTCTGTTGCCCCAGCTGGAGTACAGTGGCGTGATCTCAGCTCACTGCAACCTCTGCCTCCCAGGTTCAAGCGATTCTCCTATCTCAGCCTCCTGAGTAGCTGGGATTACAGGAGCCCACTACCAAGCCCGGCTAATTTAAATTTGGCATTTTTGAAAGTAAATACCTTAAAATGAAAGATACTCTAAAACAGAATCTGTGATAATTTCCAAATGTTTTACATACAATTTGATGGTAATGAAACAACCCCATTTACAGATGGAGAAAATTATTATCTATGATCAATAATCAAAGTATTACAGGCTGGGTATGGTGGCTCACGCCTATAATCCCAGCACTTTGGGAGGCTGAGGCAGGATGACAGCTTGAGCCCTGGAGTTCCAGACCAATCTAGGCAACATAGGGAGACCCTGTCTCTATGAAAAAAATTTAAAAATTGGCCAGACATGGTGGCAAATGCCTATATTCCCAGCTACAGCTACACAGGATGCTGAGGTGGGAGGATCACGTGAGCCAAAAAAAAAAAAAAGGGGGGGGGGGGAAGAAGGAGGAAGAAGAAGAAGGAAGAAGAAGAGGAAGAGGAAGAAGAAGAGGAAGAGGAAGAAGAAGAAGAAGAAGAAGAAACAAACCACTATCACTATATACCCTTTTGCTCACTTAAGAAGCTTCCTGGACACTCCACTCTCTTGCCTAAGTATCCTACTAACCCAGTGTCATTTTAATAAGGCAAACTAACCTAGGTCCAAAAGTCTATGAATACTAAGATAGGAAACAATGTAAATTAGGCTAAGGCTAAGACTATAAAAAAAAAAAAATAAACAGCACTATACTACTTTAGTGTAACCAATACATTTTGGATAAATTTAAAAAAAAAAACTGTCCACCCTATTTACTATAATGAAGGTAATTTTCTTAGAAGCCTGTTATTCATATGGTCCAAAAGAATGTTTTTCTAGCCCTGATCCATTCTATTTGCATTAAAAAATGGGGCAAGGGGATATTTAAAATATCATTTCCTGGGCTAGGCGTGGTGGCTCACGCCTGTAATCCCAGCACTTTGGGAGGTTGAGGCGGGTGGATGACCTTAGGTTAGGAGTTCGAGACTAGCCTGGCCAACATGGTGAAACCCTGTCTCTGCTAAAAAATACAAAAATTAGCCAGGCGTGATGGCACATGCCTGTAATCCCAGCTACTTGGGAGGCTGAGGCAGAAGAATCACTTGAACCCGGGAGGCAGAGGTTGCAGTGAGCCGAGATCGCACCACTGCACTCCAGCCTGGGCAACAATAGCGAAACTGTCTCCAAAAAATAAATAAATAAAATAAAATATCATTTCCTGAACCCTACCCCAGACCTGCTGATTTATGCTGGTCAGAATCGACATTAAATTTTTTGCTTGTTTTCTTTTTCAGTAGATACAAACTCTTGCTATGTGGCCCAGGCTGGTCTTGAACTCTGAACTCAAGCCATCCTCCCACCTCAGCCTCCCAAAGTGCTGGGGTTACAGGCGTGAGCCCCTGCACTCAGCCTCAGAATCTACTTTTTTTTTTTTTTTTTCCTGAGACAGAGTTTCACTCTTGTTGCCCAGGCTGGAGTGCAATGGCGTGATCTTGGCTCACCGCAACCTCCGCCTCCCAGGTTCAAGCAATTCTCCTGCCTCAGCCTCCCGAGTAGCTGGGATTACAGGCATGCACCACAACGCCCGGCTAATTTTGTATTTTTAGTAGAGACGGGGTTTCTCCATGTTGAGGCTGGTCTTGAACCCCTGACCTCAGGTGATCCGCCCGCCTCAGCCTCCCAGAGTGCTGGGATTACAGGCGTGAGCCACTGCACCCGGCCTGAATCTACATTTTTAACAAGAACCCAAGGTGATTCTGCTGAAAGCCATAAGACTAATAATGGAAAAAGCACTGGGGTAGAAGTAAGAAGACTTGTTTAGTAAAGGTAGCTCCTATCCTTAGCAGTTTCACCTCAGATAAACATTTAAGTTTCTCAATCTTTTAAGTGGCATTATGTCTTATTCTATATACTGGAGAGAGAAATATATAGGTATATAAAACATATAGCCATATTTAATTCCTGACACCCCCAAATCTTGTAAAAATATGGCTATATGGAGGGTATAGCAAGGTCACAGTGCTTACTAGTTGCAGAGTTAGAATTGAACCCAGGTGAAATTTCAGATGAGCTCACAAAGTAGTAACTTGCGGTTCAAATACAGCCTGGTATGTTTTGTTTAATTTCATTATTTTAGACTTCAAGCCAACATTTATCAATTAGAACATTTCACAGAAAAGGAATCTGAATTCCTGGCTGCTTTTAACAATTTTAGAAGATCCAGCAACACTGAGATTATAATCTTAGGTGGCAACAATTACCTTCTCTAAACACAGCAAAACTCACACCACTTGCTATTGTCTCACACTCACTCAATTTCAACAACGTATGCTATCATCGGGCCCCAACTCCTACTTCAGGTCTACATTCTTTGCTCCCTCCTTTTGAACCAAATGGGATTTACAAGAAAACCAAGTGGGATTTCTATCTACTGGTTTGGGAAGATTTAGTGAGAAAGGAAATACTGGATTTAAAACTAATAAACTACATTTGAAATACTACATAAAAATATATTACACTTTGTTCTCTTTTCCGAGTGTTTTAAGTGCCATTGTTTTGAATTTTGGTGGTAAATTTTAAATGAACTTTTGAAAGATTTTAATAAAATATGTTTATTATAAAACACTTTTTACTTTATGTTCTTATCATTTTCAGATTTCATTCCACTTTAAAATACCAACGCTTCTCATGGAAGAATAAAGAGATTCCACTAACTCACAGACACCTGTACTCCATGTATCTATCAGCAAGTATAGATGCACAGATAGAAAATAGTTGGTTGCTTCTTTATTCTCACAATCTGAGACTTTTCACTTGTTAATTATTATAAAAAATTTGAAATTATAACTTAAATTGCTCAATTCTCTATTAAGCTTCCACTGTACCTTTAACTTCACAATTAAAACAATCATTATACTGTATTAAATTTGTTACATTATTTGTTTCCCTATTAGAAATAAACCTCTGGAGGGCAGAGGTTCTATCTTATTCACTCTTAAAGACTTAGTACAGATCTGGCACATTCTTTTTCTCTTTTTCTTTGGAGACAGAGTCTTACTCTGTCACCCAGGCGGCTCACTGTAACCTCCGCCTCCTGAGTTCAAGCTATTCTCATGCCTCAGCCTTCCAAGTAGCTGGGATTACAGGCGTGCACCAACATGCCTGGCTAATTTTTGTATATTTTGGTAGAGAGGGTTTCGCCATGTTGGCCAGGCTGGTCTTGAACTCCTAGCCTCAAGTGATCCACCTGCCTCGTCCTCCCATAGAGCTGTGATTACAGTCGTGAGCCACCACACCCAACCCAGATCTGGCACCTTTTAAGCATGCAATAAACATATGCAGAATACAAAACAAGAAAAACAGCAACAGAGAATACATAAATGCACAGTAATTACTATCCTTTAGGAATTTACAGTCTACTGAATTAGGTAAAAGAGACACATCAACAAAAATTATACAAGATTGAATATTTAAAATGCCACAGGAGAGAAACAGAAAGTAGAAGTCAGGGAGGAAATTATAGTATGAGACATAAGTTACAGTATTTTCTTTTTCCCTGGACACCAATTTCCATCCCTAAATATTTGGCAAAAGTTCTTACCACTCAACTTTAGCCTTAAGTTTCTAGTGAATTTATACTCATCATGAAGAATATATATGACCACTTCAAGTGCCCTACGAGAATATATCACATTCAGAATTATCTCCACTTTTTCTGGCCTGAATAACTACTGTATATTTCAATTCGGTGGCACTGGTATTTCTCACCACCATCATATCTCTCCAGGATAGGGAAGTAAGCTAGCACCTACAGTTTAGGTACATTACAGCATATTGGTTAAAAGCATAGGTTTTGGCACCAAGATTCTACCACTTATCTGCTGTAAGATCTTGGGCAGGCTGGGCGTGGTGGCTTAAGCCTGTAATCCCAGCACTTTGGGAGGCCGATTCGGGCGGATTGCCCGAGGTCAGGAGTTTGAGACCAGTCTGGCCAACATAGTGAAACCCCGTCTCTAATAAAAATACAGGAAAATTAGTCAGGTGTGGTGGCATGCACCTATAATCTCAGCTAGTTGGGAGGCTGAGGCAGGGGAATTGCTTGAACCAGGGAGGTGGAGGTTGCAGTGAGCCGAGACTGCACCACTGCACTCCAGCCTGGGTGACAGAGCAACACTCCGTCTCAAAAAAAAAAAAAAAAAGAAAAAAAAAAAAAGGAAAAAAGATCTTGGGCAAAGATCTTTTGGTAAAATGCTCTTTGGGTAAAATGGGAGTATCTACCTCAAAGAGGATTTAAGTTAGAAAATCCATGTCCAAGCACTCAGTAAACACTTAATAAATGATGGCTATTATAAAAGATTAACACTAAATCTAGTGAATAGGGGCTTGCTAGTCAAACATGTGCATAAACTGACTATATATTGTCTTCATAGTTGACCTGTTTTATCAGCCTTCATAGTTATTCCTTCCTTTCCATTTCCACTATTACTCTTTCAAGTCCTTATCTATACTCATACCCAGACAACTTTCTAAATGGTTTTCCATCTCCATCCTCAGACATTCTTTGAGCAGACTATTATTTTATTTCCATCACCAATGCCTGGCTGGGATAATGAAAAGAGATTTCGATGGCAAATCAAAGAATTTGGGTTTGGGTTTCAGCCCTATCATTAAAACATTTTGGAACCCTAAAAATAAATTTCTCAACTGTATAGTGAGTTTTAACTTATCTTCAATATCTTTTTTTTTTTTTCTGAGATAGGGTCTTACTTTGTCACTCAGGCTGGAGTGCAGTGGCATGATCTCAGCTCACTGCAACCTCGTCGACCTTCTGGGCTCATGCGATTCTCCCACCTCATTCTCCCAGGTGGCTGGGACTACAGGCACATGCCATCACGCCCAGCTAATTTTTTCTTTGCATTTTAAGTAGAGATGGGGTTTTGCCATGTTGCCCAGGCTGGTCTCGAACTCCTGAGCTCAAGCATCCACCCACATTGGCCTGCCAAAGTGCAAGGATTACAGGCGTGAGCCACCACACCCGGCCTTCAGTATCTCTTCTGGCTGTAAGTCTATACCTCTGCTCTGATCAAGGTGTCTTTGGCTTACAAAATACAATTCCAGATTGGAGGAGCATTAAGGCCTTCCACATTCAGTGTGGCATGAGCTTTGGAGGCAGAAGGACTGAGATCTGAATCCTGATTCTATAGTTTACTGGTTGCTTACCCTTGGGCAACATATTGGACTTCTCTAAGACTCAGTTTCTTCCACAAAATGGGACAACAGTAATTCTCTCAGGGGCTTATTATAAGATTTAAATGAGATATTTGTTAAGTGCTTAGCATATATGAGATTTGTGCCTATATTAATATTTCCCATTTCTCCCTTCTAGTTGTAGGTAGGTAGGTAGGTAGGGGTGTGTGTGTGTGTGTGTGTGTGTGTGTGTGCAGGCGCGCGTTTTGAGACATGCTCTCACTGTCATCCAGGCTGGAGTACACTCGCAATGACACGGCACCCTGCAGCCTCAACTTCATGGCCTCTCGTGATCCTCCCACCTAAACCACCAAGTAGCTGGGACTAAGGGTGCACATCACCATGCCAGGCTAATTTTTTATTTTTTATTTTTTGGTAGAGACAGGGTCTCACTATGTTGCCCAGGCTGGTCTCAAACTCCTGAGTTCAAGAGATGTTTCGACCTCAGCCTCCCAAAGTGTTGGGGATTACAGGCATGAGCCATCGTGCCCAGCCTAGTTACAGTTTTTAAACTATTCCTGGAGACCTAGAACTCTGCTTCAATCAAAACAACTGCTGGGTTGCCCCCTCTTTCATATACTGAAGTTTAACCTCAAAAAAAAAAAATTGAGGTGGTTTCTTCTGTTAAAAAACGCATAAAATCCACTACACCATGGACATAATCTGCTCCAATTAGCCACACCTACTCTTTGTCAACTGCAATTACCTTGTATACATCAGTATCTCCTATCTTTGGTAATATCTATTCCTCCCTCCTCAGGACTTAGTGAAGTCACCCCTAGTTATTCTTCTTTTGAACACTTACAGCATTTTATTATTATTTAGAGAAAAGGTCTTGCTCTGTTGCCCAGGTTGGAGTGCAGTGGCACAATCATAGCTGTAACCTTCAAATCCTAGATTCAAACAATCCTCCCACCTCAGCCTCCCAAGTAGCTAGGAATATAAGTGTGCACTACCTTGCCTAATTTTTAGAAGGGGTCTCACTATGTCGCCCAGGCTGGACTTGAACTCCCAGGCTCAACTGATCCCTCTGCCTTAAACTTTTGAGTAGCTAGGACTACAGGCACATGCCACTGGAACTGCAACTTCTTTTCTGATTGTTATTTTGCCATGACTTAACTCACATTTAAGGTCTTTTCATTTATCCTTTAAATGTGATGATCTCCGTACTGAGAAACAAGTAGTCCCTTTCTATACAGCATGCAAGTTTATCATTCTCATTCAGTCTCCTCTCCTGCAATCCCTTTCATCTTTATATTTATTTTAATTTTTGTAGAGACAGGGTATGTTCCCCAGGCTAGTCTTGAACTCCTGGCCTCAAGCAATCCTCCTGCTTTGGTCTCCCACAGTGCTGGGACTGCAGGGGTGAGCCACCACATCCGGTCCTTTCCTTTTCTGTTTTATCCCTAAAACCTAACCTCTTACCTTAGACTGCCAATTCTGACTAATCTTGTTTATTACCTGGGCCTCTTCTCTATAGTTTATATTTATTCCATTAAAAAGGTCAAAGGCTCTACAAGCTCTATATTTTATTTTATTAAATGTGGATTGTGAATAACTAAAATTATGGTTGCCTTTGGCAACTGTATGAAGACTCCAAGACCCATTTAATTAGCAGGAAACAGAGATTATAGCTACATGCTTCTTCAAATACACCAGCTCTGTGTATAACTAAGCTTTTCTGACAATCCATACCTTGATTTGTGATTTGGGGGAGCTACATATTTGCTATTCCCCCACCAACCTATTCCTATTTTCAGTATCAGCTTTTCCTAAGAAGGGAAAAGGTATAAATATTGATTTCAAAGTTAGGCTTATATTTGAATGGCAGACCCTCGGTAGCTGTATCATCTTTCCAAAACTTTCCATTTATAAAATGAGTGGCCGGGCATGGTGGCTCACGCCTGTAATCCCAGCACTGTGGGAGGCCGAGGTGGGCAGATCACCTGAGTTCGGGAGTTCGAGACCAGCCTGACCAACATGGAGAAACCCCATCTCTACTAAAAATACAAGATTAGCCAGGCGTGGTGGCACATGCCTGTAATCCCAGCTACTCGGGAGGCTGAGGCAGGAGAATCGCTTGAACCAGGAGGTAGAGGTTGCGGTGAGCCGAGATCGCGTCATTGCACTACAGCCTGGGCAACAAGAGTGAAACTCTATCTCAAAAAAAAAAAATTAAAAAAAATAAAATTAAATGAGCATATTAATATCTATTTCATTAAATGAGACCATGCAAAACATCCAGACTCTAGATCAATATTTGGCACATAATAAATATTAAGCATTATTTCCTTTTTATAAAGGAAAACATGAATTGAAAAGGGAAAGTAAGATAGAAAGACAACTTAGCTTCTGTAAAGACTTCAGAAAAATGTATCTATGTCACTATAATATTAATGAAAATATTTTCTCAAAAAATGATTTTTCTTGACAGAGTTTCGCTCTTGTCACCCAGGCTGGAGTGCATTGGCATGAACTCAGCTCACTGCAACCTCCGCCTCCTGGGTTCAAGCAATTCTCCTGCCTCAGCCTCCCGAGTAGCTGGGATTACAGGCACTCGCCACCATGCCCCGCTAATTTTGTATTTTTAGTAGAGGTGGGGTTTCGCCATGTTAGCCAGGCTAGTCTCGAACTCCTGAACTTAGGTGATCCACCTGCCTCGGCCTCCCAAAGTGCTGGGATTACAGGCGTGAGCCATAGCGCCCAGACAAAAAATGATTTTTCTTAAGAAATCAGTAAAATATTTATAGTGATTGATTGAGACAGGTCTTGCTTATTTATTTATAGAGACAGGTCTAGCTATGTTGCCCAGGCTAAGGTGCAGGAAGTGCAGTGGCACATCACAGCTCACTATAACCTCCAACACTAGGTAGGGCTCAAGCGATTCTCTCGCCTCAGCCTCCCAAGTAGCTAGGACTACAGGCGTGTGCCATCACACCTGGTTAATTTTTCTATTTCTGTTAAGATGAGGTCTTGTTATATTGTCTAGGTTGGTCTCAAATTCCTGGCCTCAAGCTACCCTCCTGCCTCAGCCTCCCAAAGTGTTGGGATTATAGGCATGAGCCACCACACCAGGCCAGAAGTGAGTGCAATATTAATTCATATTCTAATTTAACAATAAAGCCTAAATTGTAACATTACATGTTTCTATTCTATTCTTTTGAATTCAAATCTAGTTTTCAGCCTGTAATCCTAGCACTTTGTAAGCACAAGGTGGGAAGACTGCATGAGGCCAGGAGTTTGAGACCAGCCTGTACAACATAGAAAGACCTCATCTCCAATGGAAAAAAAAAAAGTCTAATTTTCCTTTAGTCATAAAATGTAGTCTAAACATATTTGAGACTTATGTAATGCAGGCCTTACCCTACATTGTATTCACCATTTATTTCCTAACTGAAACAAGACTGGGAAGGAGGTATACATAAATAAAACCAAAGAAATACCCCCAACTCTACTCTGTTTTCATTCTGCCTTCTTTAGGTCTTTTCTCAAACAATTATATTTTTTGAATAGTAATACAAGTACAGAACAATTTTTTTTTTTTGAGACACAGTCTCGCTCTGTTGCCCAGGATGGAGTGCAGTGGCGCAATCTCGGCTCACTACAACCTCTACTGCTGGGTTCAAGTGATTCTCCTGTCTCAGCCTCCTGAGTAGCTGGGATTACAGGCACGCACCACCACACCCAGCTAATTTTTATATTTTTAGTAGAGAAGGGGTTTCACCATGTTGGCCAGGCTGGTCTTGAACTCCTGACCTCAGGTGATCTGCCCGCCTCGGCCTCCCAAAGTGCTGGGATTACAGGTGTGACCCACTGCAACTGGCCCAAATTTTAAAAATATAGTAAAATGCAACTCAGTTTCCCTTCAGAGAGTCTATCTTTAACAAAAATTTTATCTTTATGGTCAAGTAAATACAAACATAAATATACAGGCACACTCCTGTATGCCCACAGAATGTACCATTTTAATATTTCACAATAATGCCTCAGTTTTACTATACAAGCTACAGAGAATGTTCATCTCTCTCAACATATTTTTTGGCTAATGATTTTATAAAGTAAAATTTTTACATTTATTTATTTCAATCCCAAAACTTAATACAATGTTCTTAAAACGATGTGTGAGATGTCTGGAGATACACTCCAAATAAAACAAGCAAAACTTTGAAAAAGCTGCTTCAGTATCAACAAACGGAATGTACATGTTATTACATAGGAAGCAACTGTGTGTTAACAATCATATTAATTATTTAGTAACCAGGAAGATGTGCTTAAGAATTTTATATCCTAAAAATTTTGTTAATTGCATGAAAAGGCCAGGCATGGTGGATCACACCTATAATCCCAGCACTGTGGGAGTCCAAGGTGGGAGGATCACATGAGCCCAGGAGTTCGAGACCAGCCTGGAAGACTAGTGAGACCTAGTCTCTACAAGAAATTTCTTAAAAATTAGTCAGGCGTTCGCCGGGCGCAGTGGCTCATGCCTGTAATCCCAGCACTTTGGGAGGCCGAGGTGGGCAGATCACGAGGTCAGGAGATGGAGACCATCCTGGCTAACACGCTAAAACCCCGTCTCTACTAAAAAAAAATACAAAAAATTAGCCAGACACGGTGGCAGGCGCCTGAAGTCCCAGCTACTCAGGAGGCTGAGGCAGGAGAATGGCGTGAACCCGGGAGGTGGAGCTTGCAGTGAGCCGAGATTGTGCCACTGCACTCCAGCCAGCCTGGGCGATGGAGCGAGACTCCATTTCAAAAAAAAAAAAAAAAATTAGGCATGGTGGCATGCGCCTGTAGTCCCCACTACTCATGGGTCTAAGGCAGGAGGATCACTTGAGCCCAGGAGATCAAGGCTGCAGTGAGCTATGATTATGCCACTGTACTCCAGCCTGGGCAACAAAGCAAGACTCTGTCTCAAAGGAAAAAAAAAAAAAAAAAAGCTGGATTCAAGAACACATCCATTTTAATTTTTAAGTAATCCAAGTTGTTCCCTGTAATGTTTTCACTAGTTGATATTCTCATGGCTATGATGTAAGTACCTATTTTCCCATAATCTTACCAGGCTAACTTTGGTCTTTCTCAAGCTGATAAATACCTGAAGGAAACTTGTTCTTTGCCTATAATGAGATATTACAGATATTTTCCCCAGTCTGTTTGTTGACTTTGTTTATGATGAAATATAGCCAAACTTATCCTTTCCTTTTTTTGAGACAGGCTTGCTCTGTTGCCCAGGCTGGAGTACAGTGGCACAATCACAGCTCACTGCAACTTCGAACTCCTGGAGTCAAGGGATCCTCCTGCCTCAGCCTTCCAAATAGCTAGGAATACAGATGCACGCCACCATGCCTGGCTAATCTATTTTTTAAAATTTTTTAGGAACTGGGTCTTGTTGTTGCCCAAGCTGGTCTTGAACCCTTGGCCTCAAGTGATCTTCCCACCTTGGCCTCCCAAAGTCCTGGGATTACAGGTGCTTAAGTCACTGTGCCTGGCCTTAACCTTTTCTCAAGGGCTTCTAAGTTTTGGGTTATGCTCAGAAAAGCTTTTCTTACTCAAATATTATTTTAAGATAATAATTCTACCATTGTTCATCCTAATAATTTCATGATTTCATTTTTTACATTTAAACCTCTCATTCACCTGGAATCTATGTGGGGTAAGGAATGACAATGGGGACCCAACTTTTAAAATTCTGGGTTGTTATTCAGTTGTTCCAATGCCACGACTGAGTGACTGATGCTCTTTCTAGATGTTAGATTTTTCAGAAGTTAGACTCAGGAGTAGAGATGACTAGTGAGCTCAGAATTAGTGAAACAGACACCAAAATTAGGGATTTAGGGGCTCTAAAACACATCTAACATCAAAAGCACAGATCCTGAAGTCCAACATCTATCACATATAAAGCAATATTAACTATTACTGTTGTTAATCTTGGAAGCCCTAAGGATGGATTATCTCTAATTCAGTTAAAAGAACTATGTACTATACAATAGGTGTTAATAATAAGCATATATGGCATTTTTATAGTCTGTATAATGCAAGTTCACTTACTTTGTTTTCATAACTACTCTTTAAGAAGACAGGCAGAGATTTTAATATCCATTTATTGCTGAGGAAAATAATTCAGTAATGGTACCTTGTCCCTTCACTTATAGGAAATGGTAGTGCCAAAATCAAACCCAGATCTTTTATTTCCAAATGTTAACAAACTGCCATTACACCCTGCACCAAGTACTTTTACACAAAAATTAGTGAGACTTCCTACTCACAAGGGGGTTGAAACAATTTTTTAATTAAATATTCAGACTGATCACATACTTAATTTAAGTATGAAAGGAGTGCACAAAAGTAGAAAACATCATCCTTGGCTTCAAGGAAACTTCAAAGGTCTACAGCAGTTAAAAAAAAAAGCAAGACTTGAGGGACTGGGAAATAAACCTGAAAGTCAGGAACCATGTCTTATCTACTCTCCATGTCTTAGGGTATTTACTGCTGGTATAACAAGAATGTAGTGTTAGGTCAGTAAATATGTGTTGGTTGTCTAAATGTACTCATCGAACCTTCTAAACAGGGTGAGATAGGAAATAATATCAGACCCCATTCATTTTTCCTAGGAGCTAAACTTTTGTCTGTCACCAAAGAATCAGCCAAATCATCAAATAGTACTTACACAATGTAACAAAGAAACTTCAGGCACCATTTCTGGGCTACACCTATTGACTAAATGTATTTCACAGAAAAATAAAAATTTTGAACTACATTCCATTTCAAAGCTGACAAAAGGTTATAAAACAATTTCCAGAACTGAATCCAGTCTAAATGCTACAAAATACAACTATCATTCACTCTTGCTTTATTCTGAATTAAACATATCCTCTGTTTCTATAATAAACAATTGTTCATAATATTTCTCATCAGTAGTGCTTTTTTTGTGTTGTTTCCTTCAGATATCTTGTCAACATTATCTTTTCTTCAGGTCTTTTATTTTTTAATACTAATAATTATCGGCCATATATAATAACTTTTTTAAAATTTCTGAAATATTTTAACAAATACTAAAGGAGAATGAAATGTGAATAAGAAAATGGGTACAAAAATAAACTCAGTTTACAAAGTACAATTTAATATCCTGCCACAGATAACTTCATTCCAGAGTCTGCATGCCCTATTCTCCAATCTATTCAGTAACAAGACATCAGCACTGGAGCACCAAGAACTGCAACTTTTGTTGGCAAAAGCCTTGCATGGGTCAAAATAATTTTTAAAGCTTTGACAAAAAAGCCCAAAAGGACCAGGCTTAAAATTTTAGTGGATGGTTGCATGTGAGATATGTTAAGAGTCCTAAACTCAAATCAAAAGGAAAGTTGACAATGAACTAGTCAATGTGAAGAACTTACAAAAGCATAAGCCCAGAAATCACATGCGATGCCTACTGTTTACACTAGAGTGACAGGGCTTTTTTGAATGGTTATTTATATCAAAGGTTTAGTATGGTCAAAGAAATCTGTCATAAATTGCCTCAATATGCAATAAATGTGGATATATTCTAGGTTAAATTATGTGGGTACTATAGAAAGAGGTATGTGAGAGAAACCAGCACAATGCCTGCATGTACACTGCTGAATCCGACACTAGGAAGTAAACAGTCAGTTATGAAACAAACTCAATTCTTAATGTTGGAAACAGAATAAGGCTCCATTCTTTTTGGAGAATAAAGATACTAATCATTTAAAACAGATGGACTTTGCACCAACAATGTAAATATACTTCACATACACAACTGTACACTTAAAAATGATTAAGATGCTAAATTTTATGTTATGTGTTTTGGAAAGGGTGAATTTTATTTTATTTATTTATTTATTTTAAACAGAGGGTCTTGCTCTGTCACCCAGGCTGGAGTGCAATGGCCCAATCATAGTTCACTGCATCCTTCAAATCCTGGGCTCAAGTGATCCTCCCACCTCAGCCTCCCTAGTAGCTGGGACTATAGGTGTGTGCCACCAAGTCCAGCCAATTAATTTTTTTTTTTTGTAGAGATGGGGGTCTTGCTATATTGCCCAGGCTGGTCTCAACTCCTGGCCTCAAGTAATCCTTCTGCCTCAGCTTCCCAAAGTGCTGGGATTTCAGGCGCTAGCCACTGCACCCGGCTATGTTATCCGTTTTTTAACAATTAAAAAGAAAAAAAACCTTCAAATGAGCTTTAAATTTCCCTTGAATTTTTAAATGAATAGATTTATGAGTTATTGAGTACTTACTATATATACTTGTTACCATGGAGATGGAGGCAAAATATGGATAAAACCTAACTCCTCTTTTCAAGAAGCTCAAAGTTTAAAGGGAACCAAAATTCTAAACTGTTTTTTTTTCGTGTGTGTGTGAGACAGAGTCTCACTCTGTCACCCAGGCTAGAGCGTAGTGGTGCGATCAAGGGTCACTGCAGCCTCAACCTTCCGGGCTCAGGCAATCCTCCTACCTTAAACCTCTTAACTGGGACCACAGGCATGGACTACCAAGCCCAACTAATTTTTGGGGGGTGGGGTGTAGGGGGAGATAGAGATGGGGTCTATGTTGCCTAGGCTGGTCTCAAACTCCTGGGCTCAGGTGATCCTCCTGCCTCAACCTCCCAAAGTGCTGAGGTTACAGGCATAAGCCACAGCACCCTGCCTAAAATCTCCTTAAAAACAAAAATTGAAAATAACTTTGGATCATCCAAAGTAGGTGAGTAGCCATTTACCTATCCTTTCTTAAACACATTATCTATCTCTTCTCCCTCCTTTCTCTCTGCAGGTTCTAGTTGTACTTTAAAGTCTCTGATGCTTAACATAAAAAATTCTGGGATTCAAACAGATTTGCTAGCCACTATGAACCAGCCCCACCTTGTGTGCCTGAACAAAGAGAATAACAATCAACAATGTTCCTGGGTGTCCTCGAATAGAAGAGGTATTTCAAATTGGAGAGAAAAGCAAATCTAGTCTTCTGACCTTCTTCTAAAACAATCACCTCCATTCAAGTCAACCCAACACTTAAAACTATGCAAACCACTGGGACAAATTCTATCAAAAAGCCATCTCCATTTCAGTCCTGATTATCTTCTCTCTTCTGGGCTCTTACAAAATCTGTGGTCTATCCCATACGAATTGCTCTTAATCAGAGTATTCTTTGTATTGTTTGTAAAGAGTTCTTGTGCCACTGGAAAACAAGTTTAAAGGTAATTAAATCTTCTATTTCCCCAGAAGAATAGGTTAATGCTTAGTAATGAATATTTCATTAAAACATATTTATTGAGCATCTCCCATGTGTCACCAGTCAATAGAATTTGTAGAAGTAGAATTTTAAAATTAAAGGTTTTAATAACTGAAACATCCTGGCCAGGCGCGGTGGCTCACACCTATAATCCCAGCACTTTTGGAGGCCGAGGCGGGCGGATCACGAGATCAGGAGATCGAGACCATCCTGGCTAACACGGTGAAACCCCGTCTCTATAAAAATACAAATAATTAGCTGGGCGTGGTGGCAGGCGCCTGTAGTCCCAGCTACTTGGGAGGCTGAGGCAGGAGAATGGCGTGAACCCGGGAGGTGGAGCTGGCAATGAGCCGAGATCGCGCCGCTGCACTCTAGCCTGGGCGACAGAGCGAGACTCCACTTCAAAATATAAATAAATAAATAAATAAATAAATAAATAAATAACTGAAACATCCTATTTCAAGCCCTGTCCTCCTGGTTTCTCTCTTTTTAATTAATTAATTAATTTTTTCTTTTTTAAAAGATCAAGACAGGGTCTTGCTATCTCACCCAGGCTGGTTTTGAACACGTGGCCTCAAACAGTCCTCCTGCCTCAACCTCCCAAACTGCTGGGATTACAGACATGAGCCACTGCACCTGTCCTTGTGTTCCTCTCAACACACTTGAATTGATCAGACTTTGGCATTCAAACTGAAAATCCATTTCCTGAATTCAAAGAATTAGTCAACAGTAGCACACTTCTCCCCAAAGATGCCTATTATACAATAAGCTCCCGCATGACCAGATGTAGAGGCACAACGATTCCCGTAATTTTTTTCTTTTCTTTTGAGACGGAGTCTCACTCTGTTGCCCAGGCTGGAGTACAGGTGCACGATCTTGGCTCACTGCAACCTCCGCCTTCCAGGTTCAAACAATTCTCTGCCTCAGGCTCCCAAGCTGGGACTACAGGCATGTGCCACCACGCCTGGCTAATTTATGTATTTTTAGTAGAGATGGGGTTTCACCAGTTGGCCAGGCTGGTCTTGAATTCCTGACCTCATGATCCACCTGCCTCGGCCTCCCAAAGTGCTGGGATTACAGGCGTGAGCCACCGCGCCCGGCCAATTCCCATAATTTCTGAGGTAGCATTCATATCACATCTGCAAAGAACAAACAGTAGCTCTTGAATCTGAGAAAGCTAAAAAGAGAACGCAGTTGGTTGGTTTCCAACTAGGGAGAACTCAGAAGCTGAAATATTAGTATTTTGTTTTTAATACAAATGACTGGTATAAACAGAGTAACAAATGCAATGGAAACTTTAAGCCATACATTTTCCAGACCTTGATAGGAACCTGAGAAATAACCTCTCTGCTCAGAGAGCCCTCAAAAACCTCTGCTTTCATTTTATGTTTCATGGAGGTTAATTTTTCTTCTCTACCACTACATAAATTTCTTATTGCAGAGCAAAAGAGCCAGGGCAATCACCAGCTTCAGGGAGAATTTAAAAGAATAAAAATTAAATTCTGCTACTGAATGATTCTCTTTATAATACTGAAGCCAGAATACATTACTAAATAGCACAAAGAAAGCATACTCTGATATTTTGCATTCCTTTTACTCCACTCACCCATCACCTCCACCAAAAAAAAAATTTAAAACAGGCTGAGCCACACACAGTATGTTTGACTTGAAAGTTTCGATGACACAGCAGCTTACTCTTGCAAATTACTGGCAAATATAGAGGCTTAACAGTGACTTAAAATACAGTTATAGGACAAACAGACTACTCTAAGGGGAAAAAGGTAGTAGGGAGAAACCCAAGTACTTTTTTAAAAACACAACAAATACATTCAGGTACAAGATCTGCATCAGAAATGGTTTTCTTCCTTTTTCTCTGGTAAATGTAAACACTTACCCTGAAGAGATTTTCCCAATCCCTGGCCCAGCTTCCACCCATGTTTCTGGAGTAAGCGGTGTCCAATATTATCCTGACAGACAGAACAGAGAGACAAACCAAAAATATTCCAATAATATATTCTTCCCTTCCTAGAGACATTTAAACAGATGATGAGCAAGAGATACTTCTACATATATGCATGCAAAAAGGTGCTAATAATAGGGTAAATGTGCCCAATAAGAGGGACATTAATGTAAAAAGAAAAGCTGGCTAGTATTTTACATGGGAAGAACATATGGGGTAAGGGTCCTTTCTGATGGTGTGTTGGGCAACTTTTGTATATAACATTTTTAAATGGAGTAAAAGGGGAAAGGGAAAAGGGGAAGAATACATTTATGAAGTTTTAAAATAACACTAAAAAGCATAAAATCAAGGTACTTATACAGTCATATCCACCACCTAAACAGCACCACTTTAAGATTTTTTTTTTTTTAAAGAAAATCTACACTGTGTTTAGTTGTTTTGTTTATGTGTCAGGCTTTCATGATACAAAGTAAGTTATAAGTGTAAGACTGCCCCACCACTAGAAATGAAAAAACAATCAGAGCAAAATCCAGGCTAGACTTGATTGGTTTAAAAAAATAATATATATAATATAAATATTTAACTAGCATGCAGCCAATATTAAACTGAAAAAACAGTGAGGTTAGTAAAACAAGAAATTAAGTTGATTAAACAGAAAAATAAAATGAGCTCAAGCACAGACTGAGTGATGCATTTCAACATGTAGTCTAACAAAAATGCTAAGATGTTAGAATGAAACAGGCCTAGCAATAAGTTAACAGTAAAGAACCATTAGTGCATGTAGGGGTAGAAACCAACATACATAATGTCTCATCTTCCCAGGAGCACATTCGAAAAGGTATTTCAATGTAAACTGCATGAAAAAAATGCTACAAACAACAATTAAATGTCAGCTTTCGTTTAAGGGGTCAAGGTATTGGAAACATCTGCAGCCCTTTCTTTGTCCAATTCTTTGCTTTTTACAGTTATTGTGAAGTACCAAGACAAGGCTAAAATAAGCACTAACTGTATCAGAAAAAATGATCATATTCACCCAATGGACAACACTGAAAAATTCTAAACACAAAGTATTCTATATGTATTAAAATGTAATTTATAGTATTAATCCAGAAAAGATTAAAAGTCACAATATAAGTAATGTTAGCAGAAAACAAAGGTAAATCATTTGAAAATCCCATATTTCCTGAAATCAATTTATAAAGCTGACGAAACCACAAATTTCTGCATTAAAACCAAATATTGCACATTAAACTGTCTGGCATCTCCATATTCAATGATAAAGTGTTCTTTGAACTCATAGAGGAAAGAAAAACATTTTTTTACTGTTACCTTCCCTAACTAGAAGTTAGAAGAAGATTAAGCCTCCCGAATGCTCTGTTTGTTTGTTTGTTTAAGGACCATTTTCTTCTGTAAGTTTATGACAGCATGCAACCTGGAAAACTGGGCTAAACAGCTAATTATTTCATTGATGGGGGAAAACCAGGACTTTTTTTTTTCTGATACAGCATCTTGCTCTGCTGCCCAGGCTGGTGTACAGTGGTGCAATTATAGCTAACTGCAGCCTTGACCTCCTGGGCTCAAGCAATCCTCCCACCTCAGCCTGGGAGGTATGGGCGCACAACACTATGCCTGGATAATTTTTTTATTTTTTGTAGAGATGAGGTTTCACTATGTTGCCCACGATGATCTAGAACTCCTGGGCTCAAGCAATCCTCCCTCCTCAGCCTCTCAAAGTACTGGGATTACAGGCATGAACCCAGGATACTTTTCTAAAAGCAAAAACTGGAGGCAAATTATAACGAAAAATTTGTTTCTAAAACAAAACATATTGTTTCAAATATACATATAAAATCATTATGGTGCACAAAAGTGTGCTGCAAGTTATTTTTGCTCTATACCATTTGAAAGAATTAGAAACACTACTGATCCCAAGCACTGACTTCCACATTACTACACATCACAAAAATATAATATAACACTACTGGCTGCTGGGGCTTCTTCCCTTCCCCCCTCCTAACTGAACTGCCAGGAAAAACATTCCCTTACCCAGTGTTCAGTGTCTGACTATTTATAACTTTATTACCCCCTAAAACAGAAAAGATTAAAAGTCTCAATATAAGTAATGTTAGCAGAAAACAAAAAGGTAAACAGGCCCTTATTTTACTACTATGAAAACAAACTTACCTGTGCAGAAAATCCTTATTTCATATCATAATTCCTACAACTGAATAATTCTAGGAAGGACAAGGATAGCAGAATGACTTTAAGAGTATATGGTTTATCAGATAATTGTTTAATCTCTTAACAGACTCATAACTATATTTGGCACCAAGATTTAGGCATTAAACAATGCTGACAAAAATTGTTGCTCCCCCCCCCTCCATTTTGTTGTTGTTGTTGTTGTTTCTTTTTTAAAGAAAACTCAATCTTTGGCTAAGTGGAGATGAGACATTATGCTGATTGTGTTATATTATGAATGCACTCAAATAAACAGACAGATGAAGCAGTATGCTATTTCCAAAAGCAGTGCAAGTGGAGTGAAAGCATTTCCATACGAACCTGGCTTTAAAAACTGGGCTGTCAAAAGAACAGTTAAATGTAACACAAAGTAAGAAACTGTCCAATCACTAATGGTCGTTTTTTTTTTTGTCTTGTTTTCAATTCACTGCTTGCAAGTAATGTATTTATTAAAGAGTGAAAGCATAAGTAAATTCACGAGTCAAGACCAGCTGAGAGATTCAAGAGCAGCGTGTTGTGACTGACAACAGTGAAAGGAAAAGCAAATGTTAAAGGGAGAGGGAGAAAAAAAAGAAAAAATTAAGGTTATACACATTAGCACCACTTTTACAAAACCACTCAAGAGGATGGCTGTCACCTTCTCAGAAAAAAATCATTGATAGAAAATGGTAGTGGCATTTCTCTTCTAAAACTTTAGGTTAAAACTGTTCTTTAATTAAATCCACTTTCTCAGGGACTATAATAAAATATTTAACTTGCCACTCTAAGTCCTTCCAATCATAACAAAGGCAATAGAAACAATAGACACATCTCCCAGAATCTCTCCTCCCCTCACCAACCTCCTAGGGTAAATGAATGACCAACACAGAAAAACTGGACCTTTCCTATCATTTCAAACTACCTGCTTTTGGAGGAAAAAAGGCAGCTCTGTGACTCTGCAGGAAGGGCTAGTATTCAGTATGGTCTCCCTTCCTATCAGTAAAAGAAAAAAAGGTTTTATAAACACTCGTCAAAAATCCAATAGGCTTAAGGATGACGGCTAACACAAGGAGGCACACCAAAATAATTTATAACAAAGTAAAACAAACCAGACTTGTCTACCTCTGAAATGATCAAAACTATCTCTGTGAAAGAACAAGAAACTCAATAACCAGTCTTTGGGAAACAAGCAATCTATTCTCTCTGTTAACGACTGTAATTTTTGCAAATTATTCCAATTATTCCAGGATTTTTTTTTTTTTTTTGAGACGGAGTCTCACTCTGTAGCTCAGGCTGGAGTGTAACGGCAATCTCAGCTCACTACAATCTCCACCTCCTGAGTAGCTGGGACTACAGACACGCACCACCACATCCAGCCAATTTTTTTTTTGTATTTTTAGTAGAGACAGGGTTTCACCACGTTGGCCAGGCTGGTCTCAAACTCCTGACCTCAAGTGATCCGCCTGCCTTGGCTTCCCCAAGTGTTGAGATTACAGGCATAAGCCACCACGACTGGTCCATGGATGCTATTTACAACACCAAGTTGGCACAAGTAGCTTACGGCTCAAACAGGTAATCTAGACAGAACAAGGGCAATGAACATTAAATTTCTTTGTTCCTTTTTTTTTTTTTTTTTTTTTTTTTTTTTTGTGAGACAGGGTCTCGCTCTGCCACCCAGGCTGGGGTGCAGTAGCACAGTCACAGCTCACCGCATCCTTGACCTGCAAGGCTCAAGTGATCCTCCCATCTCAGCCTCCCAAAGTGCTGGGATTACAGGTGTGAGCCACCATGCCCAGCCAATTTATTTCCAAAGTAGTAATTATTTTTAAAAATAATTTTAAAAAAAAGTAACTCTACTTAATTTCAGTTACTATAATAATGACTAAAAATCTTTTGGTTTTTGTTTTTTAAATATATAATTTGGGGTTTAATTATAATCTCATAGAACCAAAAATAAATTACAGAAATTTTTTTCATTTTAAAAACTCTGGTTAACAACAAAGATACATGATAGAGGTAGGCTGCTTATAATTTTTTTCTTCTAAAGTCAACTTGATATAATTTAAATGTACATTTAAGAACTGCAAAGAAATCCTAACTTTAATAAATAAGGCAAAGCTTATTTATTATGTAGAAAAGCTGGTTTTCTACATAATTCAGAGTTCTCACAAACCACCTATTTGTTTTCTCTCTCTGCTCAAGACCCCAAAATGGTGGCTGTGCGGCCTGTTCTTTGGTTGGAAATGAAGTTCTTCTTCTAATTCTGGTTAAACCATGTAGCTAAACTGAAAACAAACTTTTTCACCTAGATTACCTCAGTTGGCCTTTTTTTCTCCCCCTATTTCTACACATAAATATATCATTAAAATGCTAATTTTTATCATTTGTTCTTCTCTAATAAACACGTGAGAAAAGGAATATAATTTTTAAGCGGGAAGATCTTTGACAACAAGAAGTCTGTATTATAAACTACCAATATGCTGAAAACACAATACCAGCAATGTAAAAATACTTCATTATTAACTGTTTCAGCCATTCCTCAACATTTTATTAATTAAATACCAAGTAGAAACTTTCTGCTCCATGAAGCTGTATGCCACCATAGTAACAATGATCATTTTGGTAACAGCACCACCAATACACATGTATGACGGGAGCCTGCCAAAACACAGGAAAAAATTTACTTTATTGTATGAAGCTGGCTGTAAGTTTTTACAGTAGGAAACGGCCTATTATGTCTCAAGAGAAAACCATGCTACAGGTATGTCCATGACTGGATGAATACTAATTCTATACTGAATTTTGTTTTAGTTGACAGCCACATTCAATTTACATCATTTAGCCCATTTTCAACAGTGACAAAATAGTAAGTCTCTTGAGTGGATTGTAAGCTTTGCTGATTGTGTATTAAAGACTATAAGCAAGAACCAATGCTACTAGGTGAACCCATGCAAACAAGTTGTAAAAATTCCCGAAACAAAAAAACTCTATAGCTCACTACAGATGACACAATGAAGACTAGAGAGAAAAGCCATATAGTAATGCTACACCATTCAGCTCCAAGAAGCACATTATTTCTAGTGCAGTCCACATATGGTCACTGCTAAATGTCAAATCAGCAGTCTTATAAAGAATTACAGTTTGGAACTAGTGGAGTCCACAGATCTAGACAGATATGCAACATCACAAAACCCAATTATACATATACTTCCAAATCCTTAAGATGCGCAAACTAAACATCAGCAACTGGAGTTTGAAGCTTACACTACATTTTTAAACCTATTAGGTCATCCTGACAACCATAAAGAAAGAATTTTAATCAGTCAGGTAGAGCAAGGACCGACTAGCGGCTGATGGGTAGTTGCACTTCCAACCACAACAGTAACAACATGTTTTAAGTCTATGATGCATGCATTCTGCCTTCTATATAGCTTAAAGTCATTCTCCCATCTGATCCCTCATCTTTTTTTGTTTGTTTGTTTTTGGAGATCGAGTCTCGCTCTGTCACCCAGGCTGGAGTGCAGTGGCACGATCTTGGGTTCAAGCGATTCTCCTGCCTCAGCCTCCTGAGTAGCTGGGACTACAGGCGTGTGCCACCACACCCGGCTAAGTTTTGTATTTTTAGTAGACATGGGGTTTCACCGTGTTAGCCAGAATGGTCTATCTCCTGACCCTGTGATCCACCCACCTCGGCCTCCCAAAGTGCTGGGATTATAGGTGTGAGCCACTGCACCCAGCGCTTTTTTTTTTTTTTTTTTTTGAGACGGAGTCTCGCTCTGTCACCCAGGCTGGAGTACAGTGGCGTGATCTCGACTCACTGCAACCTCTGCCTCCCAGGTTCAAGCAATCCTCCTGCCTCAGCCTCCTGAGTAGCTGGGTAATCCCAGCACATGCACAGGCATGTGCCACCACGTCTGGCTACTTTTTGTATTTTTAGTAGAGACAGGGTTTCACCATGTTGGTCAGGCTGTTCTCGAACTCCTGACCTCGTCATCTGCCCGCCTCAGCATCCCAAAGTGCTGGGATTACAGGCGTGAGCCCCTGCGCCCAATTCCTCATCTTCTAACTATGATAAAGGTCATAAAGGACCGTGTATCCTAAAAAACACCAATTAATTCTTCTGTGATTGAATCCTAGACGGAGCTATGGCTTTAGATCAAGCTTTGTTTTGTAAATATTTTGTCTTTAAGTAAGTGGAGGTTATAATTATAACATTTGAGACCTAAATATCTCATAAAGCAATAACAATTTTTAAAATTCAAATTCAAAGCTTCTCGTAATAGGGATAAAATGTTCACACTTTTCAACTTGTTTTTAATAGAGATAATCAAGTTGTTTAGCAATTCTCATATAATTTTCTTAAAAAGATATTTCATTCTTGAGGAAAAATCTCATTGAAAGATATCTGGTTGGTTGAAGCAAATAAGGGAAAATTAAACTTCAAAAAATATTATTAAATGCTTTACAAATACTGGATTTTGATATATTTTCAACATTTACCTAATAAAATTGAAATACCAATATCTCACTAACAAATCTAAGCTTCGGAAGTTCACTAAAAGCATAATACATTATTGCATCTTCATGTCTCATTTCCCATCTTGCTGGTTTGCATCAAATTTAGCCTACTACAAAATAAAAAGACCTTAATCCTATACTCACAATAACCCTTCACACAGGCATATTCTTGGCACAAACCTGTGCAGAGACCTCCACGGTTACCAGCTGCTGCAGATTACCTTTGGTTAAAAAAAAATGACTAGACCTTTAGCTCCTGCAATGATCTGTAGACTCCCAAAGCTGCATATTTTCAGCCACTTTTGAGTTGCATGCTGTAGCAAAACAGTCAGCACCTCTCAATAGATATTGCTGCAGAGAAAGATTTTAATTCAGCACTCTTTCTGTGTTAGAAGTAACACCATTTTCCCCTAAAAACAAAACAGCTTAATATAGCCAGCCAGCCATGTAATTAAATATTTACTTATTATTTAGTGGGCATTCCTCAGGTGATAAGGGACTTCTTTTGTTTGGTGGGAGGGAGGGAACACTACCTACTTTGATGCCAATCACTGTAGGAGTTTCTCTTAAAACTTAAAATTTTCTGTGACCAAAAAAAGTAAAAAAAAAAAAAAAAAGTTGAAAAAAGAGAAAAACACTTAAAATTTTACTCACAAATGATCAGGCAACAGAAATAAGATCCCTCTTATCTTGTGTGTCAATACTTCTTTTTTTTTTTCTTATTTTTTCTTGCATCTTTGTTTATTCTCCCAGATCCTGTGCCCTACTTCTACCTAATACAATGTAGGCCATGAAGTTCTCTCCTACAACCTAAACTATCTCATCACAAATAATGCATATATTTATCTTTCAGAAGTAAATTTTCATTAGAAGTGTAATTACTAATATACATTTCTGAACATTCATTTATTTAAAAAAATTAAATATCCAGCCTGAGTACTATATACTATTTGCTATTTTAAGTGAAGAAGGTAGCACTACTTAATAAATAAGGCATATTATCAATTCTACTCCCACTGAATGAGATTATTCAACAATGATTACTCAATTAGACTGCCTTCTGATACTGTTCTCGCTATATGTGGCAGAAAAAGTCCTGGACATTATGAGAGGTAAAATAGCATTAGCCTCATGTGCCATAGGAATGAAATTTCCAAAAATATTTCAGTGTAGCCCTCTAGGCTTAAAATATGTTAAATATCATTTAATTTAGTGGTTTAAAAAATATTTGTTAAGTATCGTAATAATGAATACTAGGTTGCAAATTTCATCTAAATTTACTGCTACTGTTGAGTATCCACAGAATTATAGCTTGTGTAAGACAATTAACCAACCATGCACCTTGTAGAATGTGGTACTGGGGAGCTGATTCTGACAGCTCTGTCTTAAACTTAGACCCTCCTGGTTTTTTTTGTTTTTGTTTTTTTATTTGTTTGTTTTTGAGATGGAGTCTCGCTCTGTCACCCAGGCTAGAGTGCAGTGGCACAATCTCGGCTCACTGCAATCTCCGCCTCCCAGGTTCAAGCCATTCTCCTGCATCAGCCTCCCGAGTAGCTGGGACTACAGGTGCCTACCACTGCGCCCGGCTAATTTTTGTATTTTTAGTAGAGACAGGGTTTCACCATCTTGGCCAGGCTGGTCTCGAACTCCTGACCTCGTGATCCACCTGTCTCGGCCTCCCAAAGTGCTGGGATTACAGGCTTGAGCCACCGCACCCGGCCAGACCCTCCAGTTTTGTAAATTGAAATGGAAAAATTAAATTAGTTTGCAAATACAAGATACTGTCTAGCCTACAGATTTCATTACAAAATTCTGCCTTGTCATAATCCCCAAAATAATTCAGAACAAGGCACAAACCAGTGATTTTTTTTTTTTTTTTTGAGACAGAGTCTCGCTCTGTTGCCCAGGCTGGAGTGCAGAGGCACGATCTTGGCTCACTGCAAGCTCTGCCTCCCGGGTTCATGCCATTCTCCCGCCTCAGCCTCCCGAGTAGCTGGGACTACAGGCGCCTGCCACCATGCCCGGCTAATTTTTTACATTTTTTGTAGAGATGGGGTTTCACCGTGTTAGCCAGGATGGTCTCGATCTCCTGACCTCGTGATCCACCCACCTCGGCCTCCCAAAGTGCTGGGATTACAGGCGTTGAGCCACTGTGCCCGGCCTAAAATCAGTGATTTTTAACTTAGCAAAGTGGGCTTGGCATTTTATCCTTATGTCAAAACACAAGACTAGGCTTTCAGTGAAATATCAGATGAGAATTCTCCCTCTGCAGCATTATCACATGCGTCATCAATTACTGCCATGCCTAAGTCTAGCATCATGCCAGCACATTAAGACAGAAGGTACTATATGCAGTGTTCACTGGACCAGAAAGACAGAAATAAGAAAGGGAGGTGGGGAGAAAGAAACCCTAGAGAAGAAATTAAAAAAAGGCAGACCGTGCAATACAAACCAGATCATGGCTGCTTAGCTAATATGGGCCAACTGCTGTGGAAGAAAAATGTCGAACACCCCAAGTTGTGTAAATTTCTGTAAACATCTAAACACACATACAAACACACACAACACCAACCTAATTAGGAACATAAATATATGTTGATCCTTTACTATGTTGCAGTTTTGAAAATAAAAGCTAAAGTTAAAATATCCGTATTCTCTAAATTGCCTTCTTATTTTCCTGAGGAAGAAGCTAGTGTTTCTTAAGGGGAAGTGGGGGGCTTGTCATGATGGTTATAAAGATTAAGATTCCCTTTTTGACTTTTTTTCCCCACTCAAGTTTTACCAATAACTCACCGAAATCCTTATTAAATATGTACACTTAAGCACAAATAGTAACTGCTGACAATAATGACAAGTTTAGACATTTTAACAATAGACTGTGTTATTTAAAAATAACGGGTTTTTCAAAGTGAAAATAATGTTCAAAAATTAAGAAGTTTTTTTAAAACTAAGAGCCAGGTAAATAAATCTCCTTGTTCTATTGCTTGATATCATCAGTGTCCAAAACTAAGCAGTGTGAAAAGATAGAAATAATCAGCTTTTGACAAAAACCACATTTCTTAAGCTACAGAGACCAAACTTGCCATGTTTCACAACAGTCTGGTAAATAAAACATATTACTCCTTAAATGTTTTTAATATAACATTTAAAAAAAAATTTCCATACATATTCTACTTATGTAGGAACATTTCATACATAATTATATTGCCCAAGAAAGGTGAAGCTATAAAGGATCAAAATACATTTTACTCCTTTATTCAATTCACAAAATGCTAAACTTTAACTTGCTACCTTCAACAAAGTATCGGTATGGGCCAAAAAGATATTTTTCCATTGAAATTCTAATGTGTTTCTAGATTTTTTTGGACTGATTTCCCAACATATTAAATATTAGATTACATCCCAAGCTTTAATTGATTACTGTATGGCATGCAAGAAAACAACTCTAAACTGTACTATTGGTTATTAATAAGTTTAACTTCACTCACATCAAGTGTCACACGAACACTACCTAACTAACTAGCTAAGACCCGAAATTAAGCACTGATTATCTTACCGATTCTATAGGCTTGTCAAGTGACGCTTGTTCAATTTCCAAGTGTCCTTCCTCATACTGATCAAAGTGATTACCCTGAAAAAAGATGATTACAGTTATTTTTCAAAAGCAGTTAAGTGTCAAATCTATTAACAGCTTAACCAAACTAAGGATTATTTTTAACTTTTCTTTTTTTTTTTTAACCTAAAAGGACACTGCAATCGTTCATTTTCAGTACACAATCAAAACCACACCACAAATTCCAACTTTTTAAAAATTTATAAAAATGGGTCAGGCGTGGTGGCTCACGCCTGTAATCCCAGCACTTCAGGAGGCTGAGGCAGGTGGATCACCTGAGGTCAGGAATTCGAGACCAGCCTGGCCAAAATAATGAAACTCCATCTCCACTAAAATTACAAAAAATTAGCTGGCTGTGGTGGTGTGCACCTGTAGTCCCAGCTACTCAGGAGGCTGAGGCAGGAGAACTGCTTGAACCCGGGAGGTGGGGGTTGCAGTGAGTTGAGACTGGGCCACCACACTCCAGCCTGGGCAACAGAACGAGACTCCATCTCAAAAAAGAAAAAAAAAAAAAGAAAAAACTTTATAAAAGGCCGGGCGCGGTGGCTCACGCCTGTAATCCTAGCACTTTGGGAGGCCGAGGCAGGTGGATCACGAGGCCAGGAGATTTAGACCATCCTGACACGGTGAAACCCCATCTCTACTAAAAATACAAAAAATTAGCTGGGCGTGGTGGCAGGTGCCTGTAGTCCCAGCTACTTGGGAGGCTGAGGCAGGAGAATGGCGTGAACCCGGGAGGCGGAGCTTGCAGTGAGCCGAGATCGCACCACTGCATTTCAGCCTGGGAGACAGAGCGAGACTCCATCTCAAAAACAAACAAACAAACAAACAAACAAAAACTTTATAAAAATGTATTAGAGCTGGGCACAGTGGCTCACACCTGTAATCCCAGCACTTTGGGAGGCTGAGGCGGGAAGATCACTTGAGGACAAGAGTTTAAGACCAGCCTGGGCAATACAGTGAGACCCTGTTTCTACAAAAAAAAATTTTTTAATTAGCCACACATTGTGGTGTGAGCCTGTAGTCCCAGCTACTTAGGGGGCTGTGATGGGAGGATCACTTAGGCCAAGGAGGTCGAAGCTGCAGTGAGCTGTGATCAAGCCACTGCACTCCAAGCCTGGGGGACAGAACGAGATCCTATTTCAAACAAAACAAAACACAACTTATTAGGAATCTAGGCCTAGTAATCTGAACTTTTAGTCTCCTAACAAGTGTTGAAATTGTAAACTAAAACACTATCAACCATTTGGGACACCAACTCTTTTAGACTGACTACATTAGGAAGACTACAGAGTCTTACAAACAAAGAGCCACGCTGTTTTACCTTTTTTTTTTTTGAGACAAAGTCTCACTCTGTAGCCCAAGCTGGAGTGCAGTGTCACAATCTCAGCTCACCGCAACCTCTGCCTCCCAGGCTCAAGTGGTATTCGTGCCTCAGCCTCCCAAGTAGCTGGGACTACAGGTGTGTGCCACCATGCCTGGCTAATTTTTTGTATTTTAGTAGAGTCAGGGTTTCACCATGTTGCCCAGGGTAGTCTCAAACTCCTGAGCTCAGGCAATCCGCCCACCTCAGCCTCCCAAAGTGCTGGGATTACAGGCGTGAGCCACCGCACCCAGCCTGTTTTACTTTTTTATATGCAATATTGCATTAAATCTTTAATAATGAAGAAAACAAGTCATAGTAATGAAAATAAAACCTATTTTTAAATAAATACTGCTCAATCTGGTAACATTATTTTAAACTAAATCTGCTAAGACATTAAACTTTAAATCAACTGATACCTCCCGGCTTTTCAAGAAATTAAAAATAAGCTCTTGACAGTTTCCAAAGCAACTATTCCTCAAGATGATCTGCAAAGGAGATAAACATGCTTTATAATGATGTATTTGATCATAATCAAGCAAGTTGTCACTGCAACTAAAATAAGTAAAAACAGTTTCAACAAATGATAGCTGCAGACAACTAAGAAGTTATCTCTAATCATAGTTTTCACAGATCTCCTTGCTTCATCAGGAAGGAATAGCTCATAATTTGCTTTTAAATCAAAATATCAATTTTCTGGTTCCCTTCTTGTCTTAAAATATAGGGCATCAGGATTTGTGAGTCCCACAATGACCTAAATCAAAAGACTAAAGACTTCAGTCTTTTGGTCTAGCCTAAACGAATTCAGTGTGTGGAAAGATATGATAACTTGAATGTTAACCTAACAAAAAGTTACTTTGCCTTTTCAAGGTAAAATTAAAATTCTAATTCAATAAATAAAATCTAATGATGGGGAGCTCTAACATGTAATTTGCCAAATTGTATAGTAAGTATTACGTTTCTCTCACTAGACTGTGAAGTCCTTGAGGACAAGAACTGAGTCTTGTTTATCTCTTACACCTAATAACATGGCAACCAAACACTAGGGAACAATTAGGTGCTAAAATTGTGTGGCAGTGATGAACAAGTTCTAGAACAAGATGGTGGTGGTGGTAGTCGTACAATATTGTTAATGTACTTAATGCTACTGAACTGTATCCTTTTTTTTAAGAGAAGGGGGTCTCACTATGTTGCCCAGGCTGCCTTCAAACTCCTGGGCTCAAGGAGCCCAGCCTCAGCCTCTTGACCAGTTGGAACTACAGGCGCCACACCAGTACACTTGGCTTGGACTATATACTTTAAAATAGTTAAAGTGATAAATTTTATGTTACACATATTTTACCACAATAAAAATAATAAAAATAAAATTGTATGGCAAAGTCTATCCAAATAAAGAAAGGGAAAAAAAAGAAGAAAAATGGAATAGCAAGGGACAGGAGGAGTATGTTTTCCAAAGACAAAAAAAAAAAGGACTTAAAAGTGGGTATTTCAGGAATGAAAAAAAGCAGTCATGAACAAATGATTTTAAAAAATTAAAAACAGCTATTAATCCTGAAAGTCTTTTTGTTTTGTTTTGTTTGAGATGGAGTCTTGGTCTGTCGCCCAGGCTAGAGCGCAGTGATGCCATCTCAGCTCACTGCAAACAAGGCCTCCCAGATTCAAGGGATTCTCCCGCCTCAGCCTCCGGAGTAGCTGGGATTACAGGCACACGCCACCACACCTGGCTAATTTTTGTATTTTTAGTAGAGATGGGGTGGGGGGTGGGGGGGTTCACACCATGTTGGCCAGGCTGATCTTGAACTCCTGACCTCAAGTGATCTGCCCGCCTCAGCCTCCCAAAGTGCTGAGATTACAGATGTGAGCCACCAAGCGCAGCCTGAAAGTCTGTCTTCAATTTACCTCCAAACACCTGCTTCTTGGCATTTTAATTTCTACTGCAACACTCAACATTTTAAGTTACTTTAAAGGTGTTAATTGCAAAGTACTTCTAAATTACTAAATAATAAATATCCAAATACTGAGATTAACTCAAACCTCATTATAGTACAGAACACCAATGTACAGCTGAATATCGATTCTTTCACTCTACAGGTCTATACAATTTAATGATACAGGAATAAACCAGGCACAGTGGCTCATGCCTGTAATTCCAGCACTTCGGGAGGCTGAAGTGGGAGCACTGCTGGAGGCCAGGAAGTTGGACATCAACTTGGGCAACATAGCGAGCAAGACCTTGTCTATACAAAAAAAACTAGATGGGCGTGGTGGTGTGTACCTATAGTCCTAGTCCTATAGTCCTAGCTACTAGGGAGGCTGAGGCAGGAGGATCACTTCAGCCCAGGGGTTCAAGACTGCTGTGAGCTGACTGAGCTACCACATTCAAGACTGGGTAACAAACCAAGAGTCTGTCTCAAAAACAAAAAAAAACAAAAAACAAAACAAAAAAACCCTCATCCTAACAATAACTATGTACTACTTTTTTAAAGTAATTAAACCTTTAGTTTGTTTAGAGACAGAGTCTCTCTCTGTCACCCAAGCTAGAGTGCAGTGGAACCATCATAGCTTACTGTAACCTTAACTCCTGGGCTCAAGTAATCCTCCCACCTCAGCCTCCCAAGTAGCTAGGGCAACAGGCATACACCATGACGCCCGGCTGTTTTTTATTTTGATTTAGATGGTCTCAAACTCCTGGGCTCAAGTGATCCTCCTGCCTCTGCCTCTAAAAGTTCTGGGATTACAGGCCTAAGCCATCAAGCCTGGCCTAGAGTACTTAATTTAGGACAACTATGTGATGGTTTTAAACAAAAAGAGAATTGCCCCAAAATATATCACTATCAAAGATGACATTTAAAGCACAAACACAGATTATTAGAGAACTACCAAGTAAGTCTACAAAAAAGAAAATGGGCACCTTCTAGGAAAAACCATTTCAGCTCATCCTTGCTGCATGAAAAATCACACAAGTTTTTCCAAAAAGATAATGAATCATTAGCAAAATCATCTTTTAATCTTAGGCTTAAAGTTATTTTAGAAAACCCTTCTGTAGATTACAAACTACTGTCAGCAAATGCCAGGTTCCAAATAAGACATTTAACAAATTTCTAAATACAGTTAGCTAATTAACTTTTCAAATCATTCTGGATCTGTCAGATGCAATACAAATCAGGATTAATAATATAGACAGTTCAACAGAGAAATTTTAATGTTTTCAATTAACGGTGCTAGAACTAGGTGTCCATATACAAAACAAAAGAGCTTCAATCCATACTTTGAATAAAAAAAGAACCCAAAATGCACTGCAGACCTAAATGTAAAACTGAAAATGATATATTCTAGAAGAAAAAATACAAGAGAAAAATCTTTGTGACCACAGGCTAGGCAAATATTTTCGTAGAGACAACCCCAAAGCACAATCAATATATGGAATAAAAAATTGATGGCTGGGCAAGGTGGCTCACGCCTGTAATCCCAGCACTTTGGGAGGTCGAGGCGGGTAGATCACAGGGTCAGGAGTTCGAGACCAGCCTGACCAACATGGTGAAACCCTGTCTCTACTAAAAATACAAAAATTAGCCGGGCATGGTGGTGCGTGCCTGTAATCCCAGCTACCCAGGAGGCTGAGGCTGGAGAACTGCTTGAACCCAGGAGGCAGAGGTTGCAGTGAGCCGAGACTGCGCCACTGCACTCCAGCTTGGCGACAGAGCAAGACTCCGTCTCAAAAAAAAAAAAAAATTGATAGGCTGGACTGGGAGAAAATATTTACAAATCTTATTCCTTTTCAAAAAAAAATCAGAAACCAATGAATGCTGAACAAATCCATACCTGATTAAAAACCTGTATCCAGAAAATACACAAAATTCTCAAAAGAGGGGAAAAAAACAACCCAATTTTTAAAGTGGGCATAAGATTTAAACATTTCATCAATGACATACAGGTGGCAAGTAAGCACATGAAAACACATTCAACATTATTAACCATTAAGGAAATACAAACTAGAATCACAATGTATTACCACCACATGCCTATTAAAATGGCATTTAAAAAAAAATGCGGCAGGGCGCGGTGGCTCATGCCTGTAATCCCAGCAATCTGGGAGGCCGAGGCAGGAGAATCACGAGGTCAGGAATTCAAGACCAGCCTGGCCAACATGGTGAAACTCCGTCTCTACTAAAAAATACAAAAATTGGCCAGGCGCGGTGGTTCACGTCTATAATCCCAGCACTTTGGGAGGCCAAGGAGGGCAGATCACCTGAGGTCGGGAGTACAAGACCAGCCTGACCAACATGGAGAAACCTCGTCTCTACTAAAATAAAAATAAAAAATTAGCCAGGCGTGGTGGCTCATGCTTGTAATCCCAGCTACTCGGGAGGCTGAGGCAGGAGAATCGCTTGAACCCGGAAGGAGGAGGTTGCAGTGAGCTGAGATCGCGCCATTGCACTCCAGCCTGGGCAACAAGGGCAAAAAAAAAAAAAATTAGCTGGGTACGATGACAGGCGCCTGTAATCCCAGCTACTCAAGAGGCTGAGGCAGGAGAATCGCTTGAACCCGGGCGGCAGAGGTTGCAGTAAGCCGAGATCACGCCACTGCACTCCAACCTGGGTGACAGAGTGAGACTCCAGTCTCAAAAACAAAAACAAAAACAAAAAAAAACAACCTAATACCACTTCATTTGTTTGGAGAGACAGTCTCTCTCAGTTGTCCAGGCTGGAATGCAGTGGCACCATCATGGCTCACTCCAGCCTCAACCCTCCTTGGGGCTTAAGCAATCCTTCCCATTTCAGGCTCCCGAGTAGCTGGGACTAGAGGTGCACGCCACTACACCAAGCTAATTTTTGTATTGTTGGTAGAGATGGGGTTTTGCCATATTGCCCAGACTGGTCTCGAACTCTTGGGCTCAATCTGCCCATCTTAGCCTCCCGAAGTGCTGGGATTACAGGCGTGAGCCCTCCTCTGATAAAATTTCAGACGAGCAACTTTCATAGATTACTGATGGGAACATAAAATAGTACACTCAACTTAAAACACCTGTCTGTGAATGTTTTTAACAACTTTATTTGTACGCTAGAAACTATCCAAATGTCAACTGAGAAATGAACTTTAAAAACTATGGTATACCCCATACAATGAGATATTACTTGGCACTAAAAAGAAACAAATTATTCATACAAGTAGTAACAGAGATGAATCTCAAATTAATTATGCTAAGTGAAAAGAAGCCATACTCAAAAGGCTTCCATATATAGGACATTCTGGAAAAAACAAAGCTAAAGAAAAGAAAAAGATCAGTGATTGTCAGAAGCTATACACTGGTTGTTGTGGTGGCTGCACTATGATGCGTTTTGTCAATACTCAAATTGTACTTTTTTTTCACCGTCTTATGGTGCTGATGAACTGTACATGTAAATGGGCGAATTTCACTGTATCTTAATTGTACTTAAATTTTTTGAAAAATGGTGAAAACAGGCTAAATATTTCTGTATTTCACCTCTAAAAAATGTATTTTTTGAATACTTAAATTAAAATCCTGTTCCATAGGCAGATTGTAGTGGCAGTTATAAGAATCTATAAATGTGTTAAAATTCATAGAACTAGGCTGGGCATGGTGGCTTACACCTGTAATCCCAGCACTTTGGGAGACCAAGGCAGGCAGATCACTTGAGGTCAGGAATTTGAGACCTGACTGGCCAACATGGAGAAACCCCATCTCTGCTAAAAATAGAAAAATTAGCCGGGTGTGGTAGTACACGCCTGATATCCAGGTCCTCAGGAAGCTGAGGCAGGAGAATCGCTTGAACCTACAAGGCAGAGGTTGCAGTGAGCCAAGGTGTCGCCACTGCACTCCAGCCTGGGCGACAGAGTGAGACTCTTGTCTCAAAAATAAATAACCCCATGTTCTCACTCTTAAGTGGGAGCTGAACAATGAGAACACATGGACACAGGGAGGGGAACATTATACACTGGGGCCTGTCAGTGGGTGGGGGGCAAGGGGAGGGAAAGCATTACGACAAATACCTAATGCGTACGGGACTTAAAACCTAGACGAGGCTGGGCGCAGTGGGTCATGCCTGTAATACCAGCACTTTGGGAGGCCAAGACAGGTGGATCTTGAGGTCAGGAGTTCAAGACCAGCCTGGCCAACATGGTGAAACCCCGTCTCTACTAAAAACACAAAAAAATTAGCCGGGTGTGGTGGCGGGCGCCTGTAATCTCAGCTACTCAGAAGGTTGAGGCAGGAGAATCGCTTGAATGCAGGAGGCGGAGGCTGCAGTGAGCCGAGATCACACCACTGCACTTCAGCCTGGGCGACAGAGCCAGACTCCATCTCAAAAAAAAAAAAAAAAAAACCAAACCAAACCTAGATGACGGGTTCGTAGGTGCAGCAAACCACCATGGTACATGTATACCTATGCAACAAACCTGCATGTTTTGCACATGTATCCCAGAACTTAAAGTAAAATTAAAAAAAATATATTTCTATCAAAAAATAAATTCATAGAAATCCATATCAAATAAGTCAATACTACTGCATGTTAATTTTCAAAACTAAACTAAAAAACATGTACAGAGCAGCTCTAGAATACATTAGAAGCTTGTAGTAGAAGTTAACTCTTAGAAATGGGTGTCTAGGCCGGGCGCGGTGGCTCACGCCTGTAATCCCAGCACTTTGGGAGGCCGAGGCAGGCGGATCACGAGGTCAGGAGATCGAGACCATCCTGGCTAACACGGTGCAACCCCGTCTCTACTAAAAATACAAAAAATTAGCCAGGCATGGTGGCTGGTGCCTGTAGTCCCAGCTACTCAGGAGGCTGAGGCAGGAGAATGGTGTGAACCCAGGAGGCGGAGCTTGCAGTGAGCCGAGACAGCACCACTGCACTCTGCCTGGGCGAAAGAGTGAGACTCCGTCTCAAAAAAAAAAAAAAAAAAAAAAATATATATATATATATATATATATATATATATATATATATACAGCCTACCTCTCATATCTCTTAGACACTCATTTCTTTTTTTTGTTTTTTTGAGATGGAGTCTCACTCTGTCACCTAGGCTGGAGTGCAGTGGCACCATCTCGGCTCACTGCAACCTCCGCCTCCCGGGTTCAAGACATTCTCCTGCCTCAGCCTCCTGAGTAGCTGGGACTACAGGCACCCACCACCACACCTGGCTAATTTTTGTATTTTTAGTAGAGATGGGGTTTCACCATATTGGCCAGGCTGGTCTTGAACTCCTGACCTTGTGATCTGCCCACCTCGGCCTCCCAAAGTGTTGGGATTACAGGCGTGAGCCACCGCGACTGGCCGAGGTAGGCTATTTTTAACTGCATTTTTTTCTTTTGAATTTCATACTTACTGCATTTTAAAATAAAATTCAAAATATTTAATCAGAAATTTACTTTATTTTTTATTTTTTTGAGACAGAGTCTTGCTGTGTCACCCAGGCTGGAGTGCTGTGGCACGATCTCAACTCACTGCAACCTCTGCCCCCTGGGTTCAAGTAATTCTTGTGCCTCGGCCTCCCAAGAAACTGGTATTACAAGCATGCACTACCAGGCTCGGCTAATTTTTGTTTGGTTGTTTTTGTTGTTGTTGTTGTTGTTGTTGTTGTTGTTTTGAGACAGAGTCTCATTCTGTTGCCCAGGCTGGAGCACAGTGGCGTGATCTCAGCTCACTGCAACCTCCACCTCCCAGGTTCAAGCGATTCTCCTGCTTCAGCGTCCCGAGTAGCTAGGACTATAGGCAAATGCCACCACACCCAGCTAATTTCTGTATTTGTAGTAGAGACAGGGTTTCACTGTGTTAGCCAGGATGGTCTTGATCTCCTGACTTCGTGATCCGCCCGCCTCGGACTTCCAAAGTGCTGGGATTACAGGTGTGAGCCACCATGCCAGACCAATTTATTTATTTATTTATTTTTTAGCAGAAACAGGGTTTCGCCATGTTGGCCAGGCTAGTCTCGAACTCCTGGCCTCAAGCAATTTGCCTGCCTCAGCCTCCCAAAGTGCTGGGATTACAGGTGTGAGCCACCATGCGCAGCCCAGAAATTTATTTTAAATGGCGTTGATTCAAACATACATTTAGTTTTCATTTTAAAAGCTCAAAGGTAAACACAAAATAACATCAAAATATCCATTAAGGTTATATGAAACTTTTTAAAGCTTAAAGTAACAGACCACCTAATTTTCTTGCCTGGCTTCTCAATATTTGACACCAGAGTCACACTTTTGCTGCTGAAAAGTTGGCTACAAAAAACACGGGCAAACCAGGTGTGGTGGGTGGTTCACACCAGGTGGGTAGGTAGTAATCCCAATGCTTTGGGAGGCCAACTCTGACACATTATTATTAACTAAAGTCCATACTATATTCAGATTATCTTAGACTTCCTCTAATGGTCTTTTTCTGTTCTAGGATCCCACAGAGGATACCACATTACATTTTGTTGTCATGTCACTTTAGGCTTCTTTTGGCTGTGAGTTTCAAAAAACTTTTAAAAAGTAAAACTTAATGTTGTAATTGTCATGTTAAATTTCGCCCTAATTTGATATTTCAATGTATCATAAGTGCTATGATGTGTCCTGCAGCATAGTGGGACCCTCTGTCTAACTTTTATTATGTATTTGTTTGTGATTCAATCTCAGCTCACTGAAGCCTCAACCTCCCAGGCTCAAGTGATCCTCCCACCTCAGCTCCCCAAGTGCTGAGACCACAGGCACATGCCACCATGCCTGGCTACATTTTTTTGTATTTTTTTTAGAGACTGGGTTCCATCATGTAGCCCAGAATGGTCTCGAACTCCTGAGCTCAAGAGATCGCCCGCCTCAGCCTCCCCAAGTGCTGGGATTACAGGTGTGAGCCCACCATGCCAAGCCTGTTTTTATTTTCTGAGACAAGGTCTCACTCTGTCATCCATGTTGGAGTGCAGTGACACAATCTTGGCTCACCGCACCTCCTGGGCTCAAGTGATTCTCCCACTTCAGCCCCCCAAGTGGCTGGGACTACAGGTGCAAGCCACCACACCCGTCTAATGTTTTCATTTAAAAATTTTTTTTTGTAGACTTGGAGTCTTGCCATGTTCCCAGCATGGTTTCAAACCCCTGGTCTCAGGTGATCCCCCTGCTTCGGCCTCCAAAAGTGCTAGGATTATAGGCTTGAGCCACAGCGCCTGGCCTTTACTAATGTTTGATTTTCTGTTTATTTTTGAGATAGGGTCTCGCTCTGTCACTCAGGCTGGAATGCAGTGGCACAATCTCGACTCACTGCAGACTCCGTCTCCTGAGCTCAAACGATCCTCCCACCTTGGCCTCCCAAAGTGCTGGGATTCCTGCTGTGAGCCATCCCGCCCAGCCTCTAATAAAGTTTTTAAAAGCAAATCTGGCCAGGCTACCATTCCCTCAATGAGAGTGTCCCCACACTCTTCCTATGCCCCCAGCCCTAAGACCAACTCACTTAACTCACTTTTACTTTGAAGTCTTGTCTGACACTCCTTCTCTGTGCTCCTTTAGCTTTATGTTTATACCTTCGTTATGGTACTTGTACTGTGACTCCCTGTTTACTTATCTCCTCTACCATAAAGCATGTTCTTTAAGTCCAGGTACTCTTTCTTCATCTATATGCCCTATATAAGAACATTTTCTAGTACACTAGTGAATATTATGTGTTTATTTAGAATAACTAAAGGTCTCCCTGTCACCCAAGCTACGGGGCAGTGGTGCAATCACAGCTCACTGCAGCTTCTACTTCCTGGGCTCAACTGATTCTCCTACCTCAGCCCCCCAGGTAACTGGGACTACAGGCATGTATTAGCACACCTGGCTAATTTTTGTTTGTTTAATGTGGTTTTTGTTTTGTTTTTGGTAGAGACGGGGTTCCACCATGTTGCCTATGTAAATAAAATGAAAAGAGGCTGGTTCATACAAGACAGTTTTTATTTTATTCAAGTTAACCAAGGTAAAGACTCAGTTCTTTCACATTCTTGCTCTTGCCCATTCCCCTTTCTCCATTTTTTCCATTTCTTTTCTTTTCTTTCTTTTCTTTAACAGCCTGTGTTGCCCAGGCTGTTTTCAAACTTGGGCCCAAGCAGTCCTGCTGCCTCAGCCTCCAGAATAGCTGGGATTACAGGCACACAGTCTTTTAAAGGTGATTTGCATTGTTAAAATTATGCCCATTAAGGGCATTTTTTTGTAAAATGCTTTTCTTGAGACATTTTATTAGACTGAGCTCATAGGGAGAACTTAAAAAAAATTTTTTTTAACAATTTTTGTAATAACTTTAATCTTACCTCTAAATATGTCATCTAGTCTGATAGCCTGGTCACAGGTGAGGAAAGGTTGTGCAAGCAATGTCTTTAATTTTTTAGTATATTGTGGCCCCCTTTATTAAAATATACTACTAAACACAAATAATACAAATGTAAAATGGGTATTGTTAAAAGTTTAGGCCACACTGTAACAAGTAAAACATGAAAGAAAGCCCTCCTTTCTCCGTTTCATTTCTTAGAGGTAATCATTGTTTTCAATTTGTTACCTTTCAGTTTTTTAGTAAAGTTTTAAATTACACATGCTCTTTGGAAGAAGTGCTTTAGAAATACTGAATATGAGTTTATTGTAATTATTAACTTTTGTGATTACTTTCAGATAGACAGACTTTATTTTTTCAAGCAGTTTTAGGTTTATCGCAAAGTTGAGCTGAAAGTATAGACACAGCATCCTGCACATTTATTATAATACATTTGCTACAATAGATGAACCAACATTGACACATCATTATCAGCCAAAGTCCATAGTACATTAAGATTCACTCTTGATGTAGTTCTATGAGTTTTGACAAATGTATACAGACATTTATCTACCATTATAGTATCATAGAGAATAATTTCACTGCTCAAAAAATCCACAGTGTCCACCTGTTCATCCCTTTATTTTCTTCCCCTCAAACTCCTGGCAATCACTGATCTTTTTACTGTTTCTACGGTTTTGCCTTTTCCAGGATGTCATATATTTGCAATCATTATGTAGCCTTTTCCAATTGGCTTCTTTCACATATTCTTGAATAAGTATCCAAGGTTCTTCCATGTCTTTTCCTGGCTTGATAGCTCATTTCTTTTTAGGGCTGAATAATATTCCATTGGTATACCACAGTTTACTTATCCATTCACCTACTGAAGGATATCTGGACTGCTGCCAAGTTTTGGCAATTACAAATAAAGAATGCTATAAACATCCATGTTTTTGGTTTTTGTGTAGACTTAAGTTTTCAGCTCCTTTGGTTAAGTACTAAGGAGTATGATTGCTGGATTGAACGGTAAAAAATAGGTTTAGGTTTGTAAGAAACTGCCAAACTGTCTTGTCTTCTCTTTCTCTTGATGGTGTCTTTTGCAGAACAGAAGTTTTAAATTTTAATAAAGTCTAACTTACCAATTATTTCTTTCATGGGTGTGCCTTTGGTTTTCCATCTGAAAAGTTATCACCAACCCCAGTGACACCTAGTATTTTGTTTACTTTTACTTGGTGTTCCTGTCATTGTGATGAGACTACATTTATGTTGGGGGTAGGTGGAAAATGTTTTGTGCTTCACTACCAGGGATTAGTGATTGCTGTTAATATTTTATTTTTACAGCAAAATATGAGGGAGTTGATGGTGTTTATGTTTTTGTGTTAACGTTAAAGAAACCAATTAGCTTTTTTTTTTTTTTTTTTGAGACGGAGTCTCGCTCTGTTACCCAGGCTGGAGTGCAGTGGCGCGATCTCAGCTCACTGCAACCTCCGCCTCCTGGGTTCAAGCGATTCTCCTGCCTCAGCCTCCCAAGTAGCTGGGACTACAGGAGTGCGCCACCACATCCGGGCTAATTTTTTGTATTTTCAGTAGAGAAGGGGTTTCACCATGTTAGCCAGGATGGTCTCAATCTCCTGACCTCGTGATCCACCTGCCTCGGCCTCCCAGAGTGCTGGGATTACAGGCATGAGCCACCGTGCCTGACCCTTTTTTTTTTTTTTTTTTTTTAAGACAGAGTCTCACTCTGTCGCCCAGGCTGGAGTGTTGTGGCGCAATCTCAGCTCACTGCATCTTCTACTTCCTGAGTAGCTGGGACTACAGGTGTGCACCACCACGCCAGACCAATTTATTTTATTTTATTTATTTTTTTGAGATGGAGTCTTGCTCTGTCACCCAGGCTGGCGTGCAGTGGCATGATCTCGGCTCACTGCAACCTTCGCCCCCTGGGTTCAAGCAATTCTCCTGCCTCAGCCTCCCAAGTAGCCTGGGATTACAGGTGCGTGCCACCAAGCGTAGCTAACTTTTTGTATTTTTAATAGAGACGGGGTTTCACCATGTTGGCCAGACTGGTCTCGAACTCCTGACCTCAGGTGATCTGCCTGCCTCGGCCTCCCAAAGTGCTGGGATTACAGGTGTGAGCCACCACACATGGCCCATGATAATTGTATTATAGTTAGTGTATGGATACTGTAGTAGGGAATATAGTGAGTGGTATACCAAAATTCTCTTGTACTATTTTTGTAACTATTCTACAAATCTAAAATTACTTTAAAATAAAACAAAAAACAGGCCAGGCACGGTGGCTCATGCCTGTAATCCCAGCACTTCATGAGGCCGAGGCGGGTGGATCACCTGAGGTCAGGAGTTCATGACCAGCCTGGCCAACATGGTGAAACCCCATCTCTACAAAAATAAAAAAATTAGCTGGGCATGATGGCGGGTGCCTGTAATCAAACTGCTTGAACCCGGGAGGCAGAGGTTGCAGTGAGCCAAGATTGCCCCATTGCACTCCAGTCTGAGGGACAGAGTGAGACTCCCATCTCAAAAAAAACAAAAACAAAAACAAACAAAAAGTAAAACAAAAAACCTTCCAGTTATGGAATAATCTCCAGGACATACAATTAAGAGGAAAAAATCAAACTGCTAGAAAATGTGCTTGCATGCTACCCTTTGGGAAAGTTAAGAGTGCATAATGCTTAGTATATGGATAATATACTAAGCACTCTGTGAAAGAACCACCATGCAATTGGAAATAGTGGGGTTGTCTTTGGGAAGGTTAACTAAGTGGTTTTCTTTTCACTCTGAATCCTTTTGTCCCCACCCCCTCTTTTTTGTTTTTTTTTTTTGAGATGGAGTCTCTGTCACCCAGGCTGGAATGCAATGGTGCCATCTTGGCTCACTGCAACCTACCCCTCCTGGGTTCAAGCAATTCTCCCACCTTAGCCTCCCAAGTAGTTGGGATTACAGGCACCCGCCATCATGCCTGGCTAATTTTTGTATTTTAGTAGAGACGGGATTTCACCATGTTGGCCAGGCTGGTCTTGAACTCCCGACCTCAGGTGATCCGCCCGCCTCGGCCTCCCAAAGGGCTGGGATTACAGGCGTGAGCCACCGCCCCCAGCTGCCTTTTGTCCCTTTTGAATGTTATACTAGAAAAACAAAAAGAGGAAGGAGGAAAAATGTGATTTCAAACCCCAAGGGCACAACTATAATAATAGTAGTAGTAATGATGACAATGATAGTAGTGGTGATATTTTATTTCTTGCCTCCTAACCCACCTCCCCACCAAAATTGAGTCATTCTGACAAACTTAGACTTATCAGGATCATTCTTTCTAAAAACATTCAGTATGGCGTCTGATTATCTGAAGGCCTCAACAGGATCTGAAAGGTATTTTTTGCTGCTGTACCTTCCCTTCAAAACCTCACTTAGATCTCTGAAATTCCTTTAGATCTAGATGATCATATATCATACAAACCACTTCGAGAATAAAATGGGGGGTAAGGCTGGGTGCAGTGGCTCACACCTATAATCCCAGCACTTTGGGAAGCCAAGTGGATCTCTTGAGCCCAGGAGTTCAAGACCAGCTGGGGAAACACAGGGACACCCTATCTTTACAAATTTTTTTTAATTTTTGTAAAAATTTTTTTTAATGATGGTGTGCACCTGTAGTCTCAGCTATTCAAGAGCCTGAGTGGGGAGGATCCCTTGAGTCCAGGAGTTGGAGGCTGCAGTAAGCTATGATCTTGTCACTTCAGTCCAGCCTGGGTAACAGAGCAAGACCTTGTCTTAGAAAAAAACAAAAAAAGAAAAAACAAAAGATGCTAACAGTAATTATTCCAAGACAAAAGGTATAAACTAAAACTCATGGTTATCCTAATAAAAATTCATAGGTCCTATATTACAGCATTCCTAAAATTTAGTTTTAATGACTGCTTGTAGGTATGAGCTGAGGGAGGTAAAAAATAAAATTTAAATTTAAAAAAATGATGACTGCTTGGAACACTTATTTCATTATCTAAATCAACACTTCCTTTCTGAATACTATATGCTTTCAAAGTTGAAATATAGTTTTTCATTTATGCTGATCAGGAATTTAAGTTCAAAAGGGTCAGACTGGAAGCAATCTAGCTTTTCTAAAAAAAAAAAAAAAGTATTAGATTTTAAATTATATGCATACACCCAACTGACTTTCCTTCAACTGCCTCCACTCTCAAAAAAAACTTCAACTTGTGGCAGATCTAATGGCAAATGAATACAACCTGGCTGACCTGCTCTGCATGTTATTAAAATACACAGTAGCTCTAGTTCCTTACAAGTCAAGGATTCTACTTCCAAACACAGGACAAATGTGGAAACTTCTCTCTTACAAATTTGGTTGTGGTGATCATTTAAGTATCAATAAAGACAGGAATTGCCTTAAATTTATCCAGATAAATGAAATCTTATTATTTGCTAACTGGTGCTGATTCTGACGTCTACATAATCCCACAGCTGTATCCTTTATGTGATTAAACTATGTAGAAATTAGTAGAGACAAATTAGAGCTGGAGAAGAAGGAATTATTAGGACAAGTCAAAGATCACAATCAAGAGCCTATAATCTCAAAAAGCAAAACACAATACGAAACTCTAGAGAGATGTTCTTAGCCTCTTCCCTCTTCCTATAACTATTAAAATTTAATACAACTTCAGTCAGGCACGGTGGCTCATGCCGGTAATCCCAGCACTTTGGGAGGCCAAGGCAGGTGGATCACAAGGTCAGGAGTTCAAGACCAGCCTAGCCAAGATGGTGAAACCCTGTCTCTACTAAAAACACAAAAATCAGCCAAGTGTGGTGGTGGTCACCTGTAATCCCAGCTGCTTGGGAGGCTGAAGCAGAGAACGACTTGAATCTGGGAGGCAGAGACTGCAGTGAGCCGAGATTGCGCCACTGCACTCCAGCCTGGTGACAGAGCGAGACTCCGTCTCAAAAAAAAAAAAAAAAAAAAAATTCTTACAACTTCTTTGAAAAACATTTTTAAATGAATAATATTACTCAAAGTTGGTGGATATTGGCTGGGCATGGTGGCTTATACTTGTAATCCTAGCACTTTGGAAGGCAGGAAGATCACTAGAGGCAAGGAGTTCAAGACCTGCTTGGGCCACAAAAGAAGACTCCATCCCTACAAAAAATACAAAAAATTAAATTAACTGAATGTGGTGGTACACACCTGTAGTCCCAGCTACTCGGGAGGCTGCAATGGGAGGATTGCCTGAGTCCAAGAGGTCAAGAGTGCAGTAAGCAGTGATCGCAAATTTCCTGGGCAAATTTCCACATTCGTCCTGTGTTTGGAAGTACAATGAAATCCTGTCTCAATAAATAAATGTATGTATGTGCCTTTAAAAATGGAATTTAAAAAGAAAATGTCCCAGGAGAAAAAGCCTATCCAAAAAGAAATGGACATCCTGGGGATTATTAGTGTCATTTCACTAGTATACTTAAAATTTATTTCAATTTACAGCCAGACGTGGTGGCTCATGCCTGTAATCCCAGCAATTTAGGAGGCTGAGGTGGGTGGATCACCTGAGGTCAAGAGTTCAAGACCAGCCTGGCCAACATGGTGAAACCCCATCTCTACTAAAAATACAAAAAATTAGCCAGGCGTGGTGGCGGGCACCTGTAGTCCCAGCTACTCGGGAGGCTGAGGCAGGAGAATGGCGAGAACCTGGGAGGCGGAGCTTGCAGTGAGCTGAGATGGCTCCACTGCACTCCAGCCTGGGTGACAGAGTGAGACGTCTCAAAAAAAAAAAAAAAAGCGCCCGTAACCCCAGCACTTTGGGAGGCCGAGGCGGGAGGATCACAAGGTCAGGAGATTGAGACCATCCTGGCTAACACAGTGAAACCCTGTCTCTACCAAAAAAAAATTAGCCAGGCGTGGTGGTGGGCTCCTGTAGTCCCAGCTACTCGGAAGGCTGAGGCAGGAGAATGGCGTGAACCTGGGAGGCGGAGCTTGCAGTGAGCCGAGATGTAGTCACTACAATCCAGCCTGGGCGACAGAGCAAGACTTCGCCTCAAAAAAATAAAAAACTAAGGACAAAAAAAAAAGAGGGGGAGATACCACCACCTAGTTTGGAGAGTTACTTGGATTAGATAAATATCTTCGAAATGTCTTTGCACCAGACCTGACATGTAATATAGCTGGCAACAAACAGTAGCTGATACTACCCTCACCATATATCACAGTAGTCAACTTTTATAAAGGTGTAATGGTCAAGGATAAGCTTGTAGAACCCTAACTTGAGAGTATCCAGTAGAAATACCATTCTCCTCTCCAATCTATTATTTTACTGGAACAAATGAACAAAATGGAATTTTGTCTTGTTTTCTTATCCTTTTATGATGCCACGATAACAATCAGGTACTCACTAATGTTTGGAAAATGGAATGGGATTATCTGCTAGACCCACAGACAGTGAAAAGACAAGCAAGAAGTCATAAATGACCAATTAAACCACTGGTTTATAACCAATTAAACCAATGGTGGTAAGCCATTAGGTTTTTTTTTTTTTTTTTAAGACAGAGTCTCATTCTGTCACCCAGGCTAGAGTGAGTGGCAGAATCCTGACTCACAACAACCTCTGCCTCCTGGGTTCATGCAATTCTCCTGCCTCAGCAGCCTCCCCTCCGCAGTAGGTGGGACTACAGGCATGCACCACTATGCTCAGCTAATTTTTGTATTCTTAGTAAAGACAGGGTTTTGCCATGTTGGCCAGGCTGGTCACAAACTCCTGAACTCAGGTTATCCACCCACCTTGGCCTCCCAAAGTGCTGGGATTACAGGCACGAGCCCCCACGCCTGACAACTATTGGTTTTTAATACTGAGATGTTCTGAAACAAAAATTATAATCTTTAATAAGCATACCAACTATTTTCTACCAGTTTATTAACTGGTACAAAATGCTGCCATGTATTAAAGAAGTACAATGTTTTGCATACTGGAGATAATACCAACACTTTACATACCACAATCTATATACCACAGTACATATACCTTGAAGAGAGGCCAATCTATATACCACAATAAACAGAATACTATACAAGAAATCAGCCAGGCTCGATGGCGTGCACCTGTAGTCTCAGCTACTAGGGAGGCAGAGGTGGGAGGATGGTGTGAGCCCAGGAGTTCAAGTCCAGCCTGGGCAATGTAACAAAATTCCGTCTCTTTTATTTAAAAAGGAAAGAACAAAAGAAGTCAAAAGAGCAAAGTTCAAACTTCAGTTCTGCACTAGGCAAAATAATTTATCTGGGCCTCAGTTTCTTCATCTTCAAAATAGGATTAGTACCTCTTCTATTTACTTCACTGAATTATTAGAAGAACCAGAAAAGAACATTATATAAGAGGCATTTATTAAACCATGACAGTATACAACTATACCATATTACCATTCTCATAACCAGGTCAGATTATCTTTGTAACATCCTGGTGCCTCAGTTCCTTAACTTCCTTTCCTACAATGATCTTGCTCTCCATTCTGCCTTAATGATGTACTCTCATGTTCATTAACAATAATCTCAACCCTTCTATTAATATAAACCCTATTTCAAACATTGTGTTCTACGACCACCACCTTCTACCTTTCTAGCTCATTCCCTACAGTACTCCCACTCTAACAAGTCTTAAACCCCATCAGAATCTACAATCCATTGATCCTACCAATTTTTCACCCTCTCACTACCTACATTGCTGCCACCACCCCCACTCCCAGAAGTCCTCATTCATCTCCTTACCACGCTTAAAATCACATGGTCCGGCCGGGCACGGTGGCTCACACCCGTAATCCCAGCACTTTGGGAGGCCGAGGTGGGTGGATTACCTGAGGTCAGGAGTTCGCGACCAGCCTGGCCAACATAGTGAAACCCTGTCCCTATTAAAAATACAAAAATTAGCCGGGCATGTTGGCATGCACCTGTAATCCCAGCTACTTGGGAGGCTGAGGCAGGAGAATCATTTGAACCCGCGAGGCAGAGGTTGCAGTGAGCCAAGACTGCACCATTGCACTCCAGCCTGGGCAATGAGAGCGAAACTTCACCTCAAAATAAAAGAAAGAAATCACATGGTCCATTATTGTAATCACTCCTCGTATACACCCTCTACTCCTTTGCTCCTATTCACATTAACTCTGGTTAAGAGAGACTGGTTATCAGCACTTTAACTATATGGGTATAGCACATCTAACAAACTATAGCTGAATTAATCTTCCTATAAGAAAGAGGGCTTTGACTGTCTATCCCTCAGCTTAAGAACCTTAAATAGCTAGTGCATGCCTGCTTACAGCATTAAAATAAAATTTATCTTTGCAGCCCTAGTCTTCACTTTTTCCCTATGCCCAATCATTAATTCATTGTCCTAAAAAAACAAATTCTGTTTGTTCCACTTCTTTACTTTTGTCCTGGCTATTTTTTCCAACTGAGTGTACTTCCATTCACTTGAAGGATGCAATCCCATCCTTCAAGATCCAGCTTAAATGCTAACTTCTTCATAAAAGCATGCCCAGGCCAACACGGTGGCTCACACCTGTAATCCCAGCACATTGGGAGGCCAAGGCGGGCAGATCACTGGAGGTGGGAGTTCAAGACCAGCCTGACCTACATGATGAAACCCCATCTCTACTAAAAATACAAAAATTAGCCAGGCGTGGTAGTGGGCACCTGTAATCCCAGTTACTCGTGAGGCTGAGCCACGAGAATTGCTTGAACCCAGGAGGTGGAGGTTGCAGTGAGCTGAGATCATGCCACTGCATTCTAGCCTGGGCAACAGAGCAAGACTCTGTCTGAAAAAAATAAAATAAAATAAAAGCATGTCCAATCATCCCACTTTAAGGATTCTCTCCTTTACTTAGAGTTATGCATTTATTAGCTATACTGTTTTTCTGATAATCATGCTGGTTTTTCTGATAATCATGCTGGTCTTATGAATAATAAACTAAACCTTACTACTTATGTTATCTCTCCAACTAAAATGAAAACTCCTTGAAAACAAAAACACTTCTTAACAAACTACCCGCACAGAAATACTTACACTACAATACGTACTTCTTCGTACAACCACTATTCAAACACTGTTTTATTTAATTAAGTTTTCAAAAATTAGTCTATATTCTAGAAACTATTCTAAAGGTAAATATACCCCTTGTTATTGCTCGCACAGATGATACCCTAGTACAATATTAAACCAATTAAATTTTCAACCACTTTTGCCCTTTCTTTAAAGATACCTCATAATTTCACTCATAGCTCTATTCATAGCAACAAGGGAAATTACTGACACTACAGCATACAATCCACAAGCATTAGCTTTAATTTCTTTTTTTGTTTTGTTTGGTTTTGAGATGGAGTCTCACTCTGTTACCCAGGCTGGAGTGCAATGGCACAGTATCGGCTCACTGCAACCTCCACCTCCCAGGTTCAAGAGATTCTCCTGCCCCAGCCTCCTGAGTAGCTGGGACTACAGGAGCGCACCACCACACCCAACTAATTTTTTGTATTTTTAGTAGAGATGGGTTTTCACCATGTTGGCCAGGCTGGTCTCGAACTCCTGACCCCGTGTGATCCACCTGCCCTCAGCCTCCCAAAATGCCGGGATTATAGGCGTGAGCCACCGCGCCCAGCCTACCTTTACTTCTTCTATAGTCAAGACCTACAGTATCAAAATAATTTCTTGATTTTGATCAGCACTGCCTACAAAAATGATGAAAAAGTAAGCTCCTCTTTTCTTATTAACTCTGGAAGAATAATGTTATGGGGGCTATAAGACAGGTACTGACTTTTCCAACAATGTCATTATTAAAATGTCAGAAAACTCTATGACTTTTTTCTATTACAACTTTAAACCTGTAAAGCTATTTTGTGTCTCAATTCTATGAAACAGTAAGATGAATTAGAATTCCTCTTTGAAATCAATGTAATTACCAAAGAGTCACAAGGATGACAACAAACAACTGGAACTTCATGAGATGAGACCAAATGCGTATTACAAAGACACTTTCTGGTTGCTTGAGTGACACGCACACAGGAATTATTGTACCTCAAAACTATCACAAGAAGAATTAAAGCAAATGGCAGGATACTCCTGTTTTGCTCACTAACAACTTTTATTCCTTACTATCTATGGGGCTTACTAAATAACAGTTACGTGCTACTCATCTGTGTACAATGTCAGAACAACTTTAGTTGCTTTTTCTTCCTAAATTAGGAATAAAATACTAAACATATTTGTTTAAATTCCAAAGAAATCATTTGGTATAAGAACGACCATACATTATACACCTTCTTTCAGCCTGGGCATATTTAACTTTTTGCATTGACTAATACGATATGCATTAAGCACATTTGCTTAGACCTCCAGAGTTAAATGGACAATTCACTTTTTATAAGTGGAAAATTATTACAACATCTTCTGGTATTCACTGCAATATCAAATCAATGACTTCTTTCAGTATTTGTGGTGGTCATCTGTAATTCCTTTGGTAATTACCATGAATCTGCTTTCACTTAATGCTAAATGGTAATGCTAATATGAAAAGAAAATTAATGCCAGACTTACAAGCAAAAGTACCAAGTTGTTTCAGGGAAGGAATTTTAATAGAACTCACGAACTGGAATCTATCTACTTCAAGCTAGAAACCATTTTCATTAATAAAATACTAGAAACTAAGTCACAAGAGCAAAAATGAAAACTTTACATAGGTTTCTGATTCATAATTAAGATCTCATGAACTTCTGCTACGCTTTCAGAAAATGGCAATCTTGGCCAGGTACAGTGGCACATGCCTGTAATCTCAACACTTTGAGGGGCCGAGGTGGGAGGATAGCTTGAGCTCAGGAGTTTGAGACCAGCCTGGGCAACATGGAGAAACCCCATCTCTACAAAAATGAAAAAAATTAGCAGGGCTTGGTGACACACCTGTAGCCCCAGGTACTCAGGAGGCTGAGGTGGGAGGATCACTTGAAGCTGGGAGGTCAAGGCTGCCAGGAGCCATGATCGCGTCACTGCACTCCAGCCTGAGTGACAGAGTGAGACCTTGTCTCAAAAACGAATTTTTTATTTAAAAAAATTAAATTTAAAAAAGTCTTGACCACATCAAAAAAACAGACTGTCAGCTGGGTGCAGTGGTGCATGCCTGTAATCCCAGCACTTTGGGGGGCTGAGGTGGGAGGATCGCTTGAGCCCAGGAGTTCAAGACCAGCCTGGGCAACAAGTTGAAACCCCGTCTCTAAAAAAAGTACAAAACTTAGCCAGTCATGGTGGTACATTCCTGTAGTCCCAGCTACTTGGGAGGCTGAAGCGGGAGGATTGCTTGAGCCCAGGAGGTGGAGACTGCATGAGCCAAGATCCCACAACTGTACTCTAGCCTGGACAAAAGAGCCAGACACTGTCTCCAAAAAAAAAAGAAAAAAAGAAAAGAAAAACAGACTGTCCTTTTAAAAATTTTTATCATGTACCCAGATAGACAGAAATCACATGGAAATGTATCTCAATTATGAAGCAGCACAATCAGGATAGCTTATTACATATGTATCTTGAAATATTTTTAAGTCACAAATTTTAGCTTTGGTTATACAATTTATCATAAAGACATGAGAAACTGTGATGAAAGAATCCCTTTGCAGTACTCTAATGAGAACTGTGTTACATGTATAGAAGAAAGGGAAAGGTACAACAGGAGTACCTGTTTTTCTATCATTTTGACTGTATTGTAAGAGCCCTGAAATAATACTCGGCATAATACTCTATTTGTCCAGATCTGTTTCTTCCTGCCTCCCATGCCTACTTTGAAAACAAATAATATACATCATCACATGAAGTCCTCTGATCACAGTTCTTCCCAACCCCAATCTTTCCTAATTACAACTTAAGTCTCTCTCTGTGATGTTGAGATGTCCTTGATATGTCCCACATTTGAAAAGTGATTATATACCATTTACCCTTCAAATCACCTCCAGGGAAACTTCTCTTATGCTGACTTTACTTTGGTCACTCTCGATCTCCTAAGAATGTATTAACCAATGTCAATATCATTTTGCATTTGCTAACAATCATGTCAATTCAGCATCAGTATTTTGAAACTGGTACAGCCCTGATTCTAATCCTTTTCACTTATCATACTATGAGACAGGGAAGAGTAATGATTTTGTATAAATTTCAGTATCCCAAGCCAAACTGACATTAATTTTCACAGCTTGTGGCATTTCTTCCAGATTACGGGAGCGAGACATAGGAAAAACGATTTAAAACACTTGTCCATGTGTCATATCTGGCATACCTGAATTACAATGCCAACTATATTACATACAGAAAATACACTAATATGCTTCTGTGACTTAAATATCTTAAAACTATGAACCTCTTCACTTAATAGTCTCAACTAAGAATTTCCTAAGGGTCACATACTGGTTACATATGGAAACACAAAGAGGATTCCTACAAACATACTGCATAAATGTAATACATGACTAGCTTATTGCTATTTACCATTATGATTACTTACATAGATTACAGAAAGTTCTTGGGCAATTTCTGTATTTTTATTACGACCTTTAACATAGCATGTCTTGTTTCTCTTATCAACTTATCACTCACTGATCTATTACTGTAGTTCCTTTTCATTAGAAATAAAATGCAGAGGGCCAGGCGCGGTGGCTCAAGCCTGTAATCCCAGCACTTTGGGAGACCGAGGTGGGTGGATCACCTGAGGTCGGGAGTTTGAGACCAGCCTGACCAACAGGGTGAAACCCCGTCTCTACTAAAAAATACAAAAAAATTAGCTGGACATGGTGGGACATGCCTGAAATCCCAGCTACTCGGGAGGCTGAGGCAGGAGAATCACTTGAACCCGGGAGGCGGAGGTTGAGGTGAGCCAAGATGGTGCCATTGCACTCCAGGTGGGCAACAAGAGCGAAACTCCATCTCAAAAAAATAAATAAATAAATAAAATGCAGAGAACACTCGGAACACGAATCATCAGTCCTCTGCAGGTACATATACTAAAGAACATTTCCTCACCAGCATTCAGCTGCATCACCAATAATAGCTGCGCAACCATAAAATGCTAAGCACTGTTTCTTAATGGCACCGTATAGCTAGCTGTACATCACTGTACAAACAAAACTTTCTTTAATGAACCTGTAATCCAAAGTGTTGATTATCTTAAGTTATACATTTTCCATTAGTTTGTGTAACACTTCAATTTGGGAACAAATATATCTTAATCTGGTAAATGCTGGCAGAAGTAATATCTCATTCAGAAATTGAGGCCAGATTCTTAAAGGAGTAGTTAAAACTCTTAAAACATTTGTAAAAATAAATACATCAGCTTAGATTACAAAGATTTCCAAAGATTAAAAAAAAAAAAAACACTTAAAAGGCTAGACAAAAGAATGTCTAAACTAAAACAGGTAACAATATATCCTCTATGACACAATGTAATTTATCATTGTTGAAAGCCTCCCTAGAAGCCGTTGGGAGACCAGAAAGAGACAGATCTGGACAAAACCAAACAAAATAAAAACTGGAACTGTATCACCTTTCTAAAAGCTCCCTTATTCTTTGTCACCTATAAGTCTATCCTCCACATTTGATGACCCAATTACAGCTACATAAAATGTATAATTGTCAGCAGCAGACAGAATGGTCATGAGGACAAGTACAAGAATCCAAAAGCCAGTATGAATTTAGGCTCTGCCATTTAACAGATGTATGTAATTGGCTAAGTTACTTAATTCTCTGTGCCTCAGCTGAAAACGGCAGTAATAACAGTACCTACCTCGTAGGGTTATAGTGAAGACTATGAGATAAGACACATAAAGCCTGTGGAATAGGACCTGTTTGTTATTATAATAAAGTTACCAATTAAAAAAAGTTAGGTCCCTGATAATTATTAATCTCTATATACATGAGTGCTTCAAGTGGCATACCACTGTTAACTATAACTTTTCACTATATATACAAAATACCTTCGCAACTTTAGGTATTCACAAATTTTAATAGCCCAACTCCCTCACTCCATAATAATTTCAAGAGACATCAAACTCTCCAAAATTTGCACTTGATAAACCGGTAAAGAGTGAAGTTCTACAACTTTAAATCATCCTGCTAAATTAAAGGCAAAGAAAATAAGTCATCTCGAACTTACCAGAGAAGATGAACAATTTCCAGTGCTACAAGATCTGTTGAAAGCAACAAGATCTATCCACTGTGTTTGGAAACCTACTATGACTTGTTTTCAAGTATAGTCAGTGGCTTCACCCAAAACCTTAAAAGGAGGCCACGTTTAATTTTGAATAACCTGAAGCTGAAAATGTTTCAGATACATTATTCACAGGAGAATCCTATTACATTACATTCTCTCACCAATAATTTTGAATCAAAATACATCATTAAATGAAAGTCAATCTGTATTTTCCCTTTATTAAAACATCTAGAAAAATACCACTTTATTTTTCAATGAATGTACTTTAGAAATGTTAACATAATTTATAAAAGTTTTAACATCTTACAACTGTCTAAAAAGGTTTCCATTCCCAATACCCTATTTACCCAAAATGCTAGGACATCTGAATTTTAAAAACCAACATTTTCGGCCAGGCGCGATGGCTCACACCTGTAATCCTAGCACTTTGGGAGGCCGAGGCAGGCGGATCACGAGTCAGGAGTTCGAGACCAGCCTGGCCAATACGGTGAAACCCCATCTCTACTAAAAATACAAAAATTAGCCGGGTATGGTGGCGGGTGCCTGTAATCCCAGCTGCTTGGGAGGCTGAGGCAGAAGAATTGCTTGAACCCGGGAGGCAGAGGTTGCAGTGAGCCGAGATCGTGCCACTGCACTCCAGCCTGGGCGACACAGCGAGACTCCATTTCAAAAAAAAAAAAAATTTTTCCTGGCTGACCCAATTTAACAGGGGTTGGTTCTTTCAACATATAAGCAGAAAATGAAGTATACGTATCATCTTCAAAGGACTACCATGAAACCAAAATCGGGTTTTGCAATACCCAACTAAAGCATCAGAAGACAGGGTCATCTTACTTGGAAACTGAGTATTGAAAAAGTACAGGCTAACCCCCTGAATGTTTTTCAGGAAACAGCATTCACACTCTGCTATCCACAATTTTCAAAATCTTCATTAAAGGCCCTGAAAATCCTGTTTGCTAAGCCTGCTGGAATTCTGTGGTTGACAGTCATCTTCCCTCAAAACTTAACTGTCCATATTATCTATTTTCGATTTTATTAGGTCACCTTGAGATTATTCTCTCCTCTGAAAAGCATTTGCGGGCTTTAGTTATCAGTATGTCTCTACCGGTAATTTAAAAATCAATAAAGCTCATACACCTTGCAGCCAACTCATATTTTATAGTGCTTGCTAATATATATATATGTGTGTATATATATATATTTCTCAGGGATCAAAAGGCTAACATGAACTGCTTCAAACTTTGGTGAATCTGCATTATATCCTTAGAACATCCTGAGACTCTCCTGTATTGTGCTGCAGCTATACAGCAGGCGCATGATCACAAGGCTTTTTAACAGCCCCCAGATCCCTTACTGCTGCAAAACTTCTCATAAGCGTTCTATGTACTAGACTGTTAACAGTGCTGAGTTAAAATTGTTAAACTGCTTTACCTATTTATTTACCAATCCTATCATCTCAGGGAATTCAAACTCTTTAAACTGCCTTCTGAAACACATCTAGAGTGCTTTCGTACTGCTTTGAGTAGGATCTGCAGCGGGATAAAAACTTGAGTTCTGAGATTCATCCCGACCCAAATTGCAGTTGCCAGGATATGCGGTAGTAATGCAGTGTTTTTTTTTTTTTTTTGAGACTCTACGGATGTATTTTACCTAGAAATAGCCAATCTCTACTAAATCCCTTTTAGTCTTCGAGATTTCCGCGGTAACAATTTCAACAGAAAGGTATTTTCAACAGCGAAAAAACAAGTTATTCTAATTTGGCCTTTATTTTTTACTCAATAGAGCTTGCCATCGTAAGGGCATTTTTCCATACTAACATTTGCAATTGAAGAAAGAAAAATCAAGCTTTTGGCACTAGTGACCCCATGCGTGGACGGCCTATTATCATCACGCTTCTCACAAATCTTTCGAGATAGGATTTGAGGTTAGGCTCACATCGGATCATAGTCCAGTAACTTACTGCTTTCCAAGCCCAATTAACAGCCTAATAACAGCAACACTTATGCCCCGCGAAATCTCAATGTATGACTAACCAATAAGGCGTCTGATAGCGAAGGCAACCTTTTCCCAGGTAAGGAAGAGGAAAAGCAGACAATGAAAGGAATTGATTTATCACAGTGAAGAAAGAAAAGAGAAGGACCCCAAAAGGATCCGTGAGAGCAAAATCCCGGGGTTCGGAAGCCTTGGCCTCAGCAATACTCTCCCCCAAGCCCTCTCAGCCCAACCCAACCACCCCTCTTGTCCCCTGGGAGCCAGCCCTTCGCCGGCACAGATCGGGCAGACCTGGAGGGCACAGCCCCTCACACGGCGCTCAGGCCCGGTTCCGAAATCCGATGCCAAACAGGCGGAAGCCGCAAGCCCCGCGGCCTGAGTTTCAGGGGTAAGAGAATGCGGGTGCGAGGAGATGCGGCCTCCCTCAAGCCGGGAGGCCTCTTGAGAAAGCAGAGACGGGAGAAGAGCGAGCTGGTTCGCAAGTCGGAGCAAAACTGGAAGGAAAGAGGGCTGGGAGCCGGAGATGAAGGAGGTTCTGGGCTAGACCAGCGCCTTCCCCGCATCCTCGGCGACGCCCGTGTTTACCTGAAAGTCTCGGTCTTCGTTGAAGCGGGAGAAGCGGTCCGCCATTTTGCCGCCTTCACTCCTCTCAGGACGACGCTCTCCGGTTCGCTCCTTCCCTCCTGCGACACCCACCCCTCCCCGGTTCCCCGCCTCCTCCCACGCCCACCGGGCGCGCGCAGCCGAGGGAGGGAGCGAGAATGCGCGTCCTGACGGGAGCCCCGCGGCGCAGGCGCCTGCCAGCCCTGGAGGCTGACCCTTCCCTCTAGCCCCTGCTCCGCGCGCGACCCGGAGCGACCCCGGTGGCCGCGCGTGCGCACTCCCGCCCGAGAGCCGCGAGAGCTTCCGGAGGGAAAGGTCAGAGGGGGCACCGTGCGGACAAATCTGGATGTTTTGCTGTTGCTCACTTCCGGGTGTCTTTTCTCACTGTTGCTTCCCCGTGTGCGCAGAAGTCCATCGTCTTCACTAAATAGCAGCATAATGTTGGGCCGAAAGCGCGACCTTAGAGCCAGACTGCTTAGCTTCGAATCTCAGCTCACCCTGAGGATTCAACGGTGAACGAGACAGGAATGATCTCCTCTTATGGGGATTTCATTCCAGTGGAAGAACTCACATAACTCGTAAAATAAATATTTTTAAATATCAACAAGTGCCACAAAAAAGTAAAACTGGCCACAGTGCTGAGAGGGACAGTCTCTGAAAGGACCTTTGACCGAGGCACAGCGAGGAGCCTACAGCATTGGGGCATAGGGAACGTTAGACCCAAAGGCCCAAAGACTGCAAGGAGCTTGACTTCGAGCCATCCTTTGAGAGAAGTATTTCACAAGGGACCGAAGTTGATCCAGATCGACTAAAGCTCTCTGGGCTTCAGTTTCCTTTTTATACAATAGGGAAATTGGATTCAGTAATCTCTGATGCTCCTGCCTAGCGCTGACTATGAGAGTCAAGAATCGGATTTTTCCATCCCTTCTGAGGACCTCACCCAGTGCTCCAGGACTCTTAGCCAAAATACATAAAACACATAGAAGGGTGGCAGGACTTCTCTCCTTTTGAAAAGAGTAGTTGACAGAAATCACACAATGGAAAAATGGGTCTTACCCTGCCCTGAAAGAGTCAAATGGAATGTAATTTTTTGAGGAAGGGTGTGTATTTTCTAGCTGTTACCCTTTGCCCCACCCATGCTTCAGCCTACGCTTCCATCTAAGGGGAGGCAGGGCACACAGAATTCAAACATTGTATTCTTTTTTTTTTTTTTTTTTTGAGACGGAGTCTCGCACTGTCGCCGGAGTACAGTGGCGCAATCTCGGCTCACTGCAACCTCCGCCTCCCAGGTTCAAGAGATTCTCCTGCCTCAGCCACCCTAGTAGCTGGGATTACAGGCGCCCACCACTAAGCCCAGCTCATTTGTTTTTTTTTTTTTTTGAAAAGGAGTCTCACTCTGTCGCCCAGGCTGGAGTGCAGTGGCGCGATCTCGGCTCACTGCAAGCTCCGCCTTCCGGGTTCACGCCATTCTCCTGCCTCAGCCTCCCGAGTAGCTGGGACTACAGGCGCCCGCCACCAAGCCCGGCTAATTTTTTGTATTTTTAGTAGAGACGGGGTTTCACCGTGTTAGCCAGGCTGGTCTCGATCTCCTGACCTCGTGATCCGCCTGCCTCGGCCTCCCAAAATGCTGGAATTACAGGCGTGAGCCACCTCGCCCGGACTTTTTTTTTTTTTTTTTTTTTTGTATTTTTAGTGGAGGCGGGGTTCACCATGTTGGCAAGGCTGGTCTGGAACTCCTGACCTTGTGATCCGCCCGCCTCAGCCTCCCAAAGTGCTGAGATTACAGGCGTGAGCCACCGAGCCTGGCTCAAACATTGTAAAGAGACTTAAGGGTAGCGTGAAAGATTGAATCACGAGGATACACATCACACTGACCTCTTCTTCCTCTCAAAAGCCCACTGAAATGACAGCAGAGGAATAAGAAGTGCATAAATTCACATGGACAAAGAGACCTGGAGAAGAGACAATGGCAGACAACAGATGTCAACATTTTGGAGGCCAGAGAGCACAGATAAATGGAAATGACTTTAGTAGAGTGGAGAAAAAGAAGTCATAGAGTAGGAGAAGACAGGAAAGAAGTTGATCAATGCTAAAGTGCACCAGAAAGGCTCAGGAAGTAGAAGCCCCTGGTGCCACTGATGATTCGATGTCTCTTTTCCCACCCAGGTAGCAAACTAGAGGTTTTCCCTCTGGAAAGGCTGAACCAGAGAGACTGGACTTTATAGGTGAGAAGGAGCAACCATGCTGAAAATGGGAGGATATGGTAAAGCCTCCATTCTGGCCAGAGAGTCTGACTTCTCCAACAAAAGAACATAGGAACCCTCTCTAGAAAATTGACTAGCTTAGGGAAGAAAATGCTTCATGTACCAACAATGGGAGTGAGGGTAGGGAGGTGTCTTCCTACATAAAGATCATGTTCCTGCCCAAATACTCCACAGAGAAGTCCATCATTCAGGAAGCCCCATCCACACAGACCTTTCACTCAGCTTTTTAGTGCCTTGTTATGAATGGATAGCCAAAGAATGCCAGACATTTGAAGGGAACCTGTAACAGGAAAGATAGAAACACCCCCAGCCTGGGCATTGTAGTAAGACCCCAACTCTGCAAAAGAACTTTAAAACTAGGCGTGGTGGCATGCACCTGTGGTCCCAGCTACTTGGGAGGCTGAGGCAAGAGGATTGCTGAAGCCCAGGATTTGGAGGCTGCAGTGAGCTATGATGACAGCAACAGCCCCCCTCCCCCAAAAAACGAATTCAGAGGAACCAGAGATAATGAAAGGAACAGAAGAAACCATCAAAAGAATTATCAACATCCACGGAGACATTATATCACATCAGGGTACAAGGGAACACATCAGGAAATAAGAGACTGCATCAAGGGGCATGGGATGCCAAAAAAGAAAAAAGGATATTGAGTTTAAGAAAGAACTTTTGGCCGGCGCGGTGGCTCATGCCTATAGTCCCAGCACTTTGGGAGGCTGAGGCTGAAGCAGGCGGATTGCCTGAGGTCAGGAGTTCGAGACCAGTCTGGCCAACATGGTGAAACCCCGTCTCTACTAAAAATACAAAAAAATTAGCCGGGCGTGGTGGTGTGCACCTGTAATCCCAGCTACTCGGGAGGCTGAGGCAGGGGAATTGGGCGACAGAGCAAGACTCCATCTCAAAAAAAAAGAAATTTTGGGGCTGGGTGTGGTGGCTCATGCCTATAATACCACCACTTTAGGAGGCCAAGGCAGGTGGATCACTTGAGGTCAGGAGTTGGAGACCAGCCTGGCCAACATGGTGAAACTCCGTCTCTACTAAAAATACAAAAATTAGCCAGGCGTGGTGGTGAGTACCTGTAATCCCAGCTACTCAGGAGGCTGAGGCAGGAGAATCGCTTGATCCCAGGAGGTGGAGGTTGCAGTGAGCTGAGGCCACGCCACTGCACTCCAGCCTGGGTGACAAGAGCGACACTCCATCTGAAAAAAAAAAAAAATTAGCCGGCCAGGGTGGCGCATGTCTGTAATCCCAGCTACTCAGGAAATCACCCAGAAAACAGACTAAAAAGACGCCCTGGTCTAAACCACCTTTACTTTCTCCTGAATTATTGCAGTAGCTACTACGTGTTCTGCTTCTACCCTGGCAGCATACATGTTACAAAGGAGCTCTGGTGATCTGTTAAAGGTCAATCAGATCACATATGTTGTCCCCTGATTCAACGCACAGTGACTTTCCACGTCACTCACAATATAAAGTTCACCTCTTACCACCCCACCTCTCACCGCCCCACCTCTCAGACCTCATCTTCCTCTCTCCACCCCTGTTTCCCTTCTCTCTGGACATACGGGCCTCTTGGCTGTACCTTGATCCCATCAGGCCTGTTCTTGCCTCAGCCTGCCTCACCCATGGGCTTATGTATTCGCTGTTCTTTCTGCTTATCATTCTTATATATCTCCTTGGCTTGGCCCTTCATCTTCTAGTCTTTATTCAAAAAGTACTTTTTTTTTTTTTGAGATGGAGTCTTACTCTGTTGCCCAGGCTGGAGTACAGTGGTGCAATCTCGGCTCACTGCAACCTCCGCCTCCTCAGTTCAAGCAATTCTCTGCCTCAGCCTCCCGAATAGCTAAGATTACAGGTGCCCACCACCATGACCAGCTAACTTTTGTATTTTTAGTAGAGACAGGTTTTCACCATGTTGACCAGGCTGGTCTTGAACTCCTGACCTCATGATCCACCCGCCTCAGCCTCCCAAAGTGCTGGGATTGCAGGTGTGAGCCACCCTGCCCGGCAAAAAGTTACTTCTTTTTTTCTTTTTCTTTTGAGATGGAGTTTTGCTCTTGTTGCCCAGGATGGAGTGCAGTGGTGTGATCTCGGCTCACTGCAACCTCTGCCTCCTGGGTTCAAGCAATTCTCCTGCCTCAGCCTCCTAAGTAGCTGGGATTACAAGCCAGCACCACTACACCAGGCTAGTTTTTGTACTTTTAGTGGAGATGGGGTTTCGCCATTTTGGCCAGGCTGGTCTCAAACTCCTGACCTCAGTTGTTCCACCCACCTCGGCCTCCCAAAGTGCTGGGATTACAGGCATGAGCTACCACGCCCAGCCCAAAAGTACTTATCACTTTTCTAGTATGTAATATAAACTCTATGAGGGCAGAGATTTTTCTTAGTTTTGTTTTTCTATCTCCCCAGCACCAAGACTAATGACTGGCACATAGTAGGCACTAAATATTCACTGAATTGATGAGGTGGAAAATGGGAAAGAATGAATAAGAACATGTTGGCATCAATTCAATATCTGAATAGTAGGACTTACAGAAATAACAAAGGAAAATGGAAGAAAAGCATATTAAAAAGCTGGGCATGGTGGCCAGGTGCGGTGGCTCATACCTGTAATCCCAGCACTTTGGGAGGCCGAGGCAGGTGGATCACCTGAGGTCAGGAGTTCGAGACCAGCCTGGCCAACATGGTGAAACCCTGTCTCTACTAAAAATACAAAAATTAGCTGGGCGTGGTGGCGGGTGCCTGTAATCCCAGCTACTAGGGGGGCTGAGACAGGAGAATTGCTTGAACCTGGGAGGCAGAGGTTGCAGTGAGCAGAGATTGTGCCATTGCACTCCAGCCTGAGCAACAGAGCGAGACTCCATCTCAATAAATAAATAAAATACAATAAAATAAAAAGCTGGGCATGGTGGAGTACGCCTGTATCCCAGCTACTGGGAAGACTGAAGGAGGAGGATAGCTTTAAGTCCAGGAGTTCGAGACTGTAGTGTGCTATGATCATGCCTGTGAATAGCCACTGCACTCCAGTCTGGGCAACAGAGTGAGACCCTATCCCTTAAAAACAAACAAACAAAAAAGGATTCGAAATCAATTTTTTTAAGTATATTAAATAATGTGTGAACATCTTCTAGTACTAAGGGCCTGAGTTCTAAATTGAGAGATCCCAAAACAATGGATGAAAAAGAATTTGCTGCCAGGCACAGTGTTGTGAAATTTCAGGGCACGTGGGACAAAGAGAACCTCCTAAAGGCTTCCAGAGAGGAAAACTAGGTCACATATGAAGGATTGAGAATTGGAATGATGTTGGTCTTCTCCAGAGAAGAGAAGACTGGGCAGTAATACACCAACTTAGAAATCTATACCCAGCCAAACCATTAATCAACTATGAGAGGGAAAAATGACATTTTTTTGACCTGCAAGCCCTCAAATAAATTTTCTCTGGGAGCCACTGAAGGATATTTTAGAGCAAAACAATTACAGAAACATATATTCAGTGTTATGGTTGAGGTGCTACAGAAGACACAAAGATGAAGAGGAAAAGATTTATTCTAGGGTTTATAAACAAAGGCATTGCCATCAGGTAAACCTGGATTTCAAACTCAACCTCTGTCACAAAAAGTACCTGTCAGTTAGGCACAGTGGCTCACACCTCTAATCCCAGCACTTCGGGAGGCTGAGGCCAGAGGATCACTTGAGCCCAGGAGTTCGAAGTTGCAGTGAGCTATGATCCCACCACGGCACTCCTCCAGCCTGGGAGACAGAGCAAGACCCTGTCTCTAAAGAAAAAAGAAAATCAAGACCAACGTGGGCAACACAGTAAGACCCTGTCTATAAAAATAAAATAAAATAAATTAGCCAGGTGTGGTGGCGTGCACCTGTAGTCCCAGCTACTTGAGAGGCTGAAGTGGGAGGATCATTTAAGCCTGGGAGGTTGAGGCTGCAGTGAGCACACCCCTGCACTCCAGCCTGGGTGACAGAGCAAAACCCTCTCTCAAAAGAAAGAGAGAGAGGGGGGAGGGAGGGAGAGAGAGAGAGATAGAGAAGAAAAAGAAAGAGAGTGAGAGAAAAGGGAAGAGAGAGAGAAAGAAAGAGAGGAAGGGGCCAGGCATGGTGGCTCACGCCTGTAATCCCAGCACTTTGGGAGGCCGAGGCAGGCAGATCACGAGGTCAAGAGATTGAGACCATCTGGCCAACATGGCGAAACCCCGTCTCTACTAAAAATACAAAAATTAGCTGGGCGTGGTGGCGCATGCCTGCACTCCCAGCTACTTGAGAAGCTGAGGCAGGAGAATCGCTTGAACCATGGAGGCGGAGGTTGCAGTGAGCCGAGATCACGCCACTGCACTCCAGGCTGGTGACAGAGCCAGACGCCTTCTCAAAAAAAAAAAAAAAAAAAAGAGAAGAAGGGAGGGAGGGAGGCAGGCAGGTAGGCAAGGCAGGCAAGCGGGGTGCAACAGCTCATGCCTGTAATCCCAGCACTTTGGGAGGCCAAGACAGGTGGATCACCTGAGGTCAGAAGTTCGAGTCCAGCCTGGCCAACATGGTGAAACCCCGTCTCTACTAAAAATACAAAATTGCAAGGAGTGGTGGCACATGCCTGTAATCCCAGCTACTTCGGAAGCTGAGGCAGGAAAATTGTGTGAACCCAGGAGGCAGAGGTGGCAGTGAGCCGAAATTGCACCATTGCACTCCAGCCTGGGCGACAGAATGAGACTGTCTCAAAAACAAAACAAAACAAACAAAACCCCCCCACACACAAAGAAAAAAGAACAGTCTGGGCACAGCGGCTCACACCTGTAATCCCAACACTTTGGGAGGCCAAGGTGGACGGATCACTTGAGGCCAGGAGTTTGAGACCAGCCTGGGCAACATGGAGAAACCCCGTCTTTAGAAACAATACAAAAATTAGCCAGCGTGGCAGTGTGTGCCTGTAGTCCCAGCTATCTGGGAAGCTGAGGTGGGAGAATCGCCGGAGTCTGGGAGGTTGAGGTTTCAGTGAGCAGTGATCACACCACTGCACTCTAGCCTGGGTGACAGAGTGAGACCCTGTCTTGGAAAAAAGAAAAAAAAAAAAGAAGAAGAAAATCAGTCCCTGTCAACAATATATGAAAGTAGTAATACAAGAAATAACACGTGAACATTTTCCAGAACTGAAGGACCTGATAGTTGGCTGTATATCAGGCGCTATGCTTAACACTTTACATGGATTATCAAAGTAATTTTTGACACATTAAAGGCAATAAACTTGATTATCTCCACTTTACAAATGAGAATACTGAGGCTTAGAGATAAGAAATGTGGGGGACCTTCTCTGTTGGCTTTGAGCCCCTCCGTCTTTCTCTGTAGAGGGGAGTTTCTTCCTCTGTCTTCTCCCTTCTTGCCTATTAAACTCTCCACTCCTTAAAACCACTCCACGTAGGCCGGGCACAGTGACTCACGCCTGTAATCCCATCATTTTGGGAGGCCCAGGCGGGTGGATCATGAGGTCAGGAGTTCGAGACCATCCTAGCCAACATGGTGAACCCCCATCTCTACTAATAATACAAAAATTAGCCGGCTGTGGTGGCACATACCTGTAGTCCCAGCTACTTGGGAGGCTGAGGCAGAAGAATTGCTTGAACCGGGAGGCGGAGGTTGCAGTGAACCCAGATGGCACCACTGCACTCCAGCCTGGGTGACAGAGCAGAGCCAGACTCTATCTCAAAAAAAAAAAAGAAACAAAATGCAAAAAAAAAGAAACAAAATAACGCTCCACGTGTGTCCGTGTCATTTTATCTAAACCAGCATGAGGACCAAGAACCCTGGTGTTCCTCCACTCATCAGAAGCGTATAATTTTGTCCATGGTCCGGGAAAGGCAATTCAATCATCAGACTGAAGCAATCAAACTCCAAATGGTGCTGTAAACTGAACCACACAGGGACACGCCATTCTTTTGACGACCCATAGATCGACTCTAGGAGGAGCCCTAGCTGCTGTTCCCCATTCGAAGCCCCTTTTCAGCAGGAAGTAGCCAGAAAGAGTCATTGCCCAAAACCCCCTAACAGCAGTTAGTGTGGCATCTCCACAGGGGGGAATGTTGTAGGAAAAGGGGTCCTTGGGAAGTTTTCATTTTTTAAAGCATCTCCGGAAAAGTTTCTTGTAAAGCCCCAGCTCTTATAGCCAGGCCAGCAACCTTTGATATGTAAATGCAGGTCATCAGAAACTGGATCCACCCAAATATGGAGATTCCTTCGGCCTTCTTGCCCTTTTCCCAGTTGTTTCTGGCAACATGGCCACTCTTACATATCCCATGTGTGTAGAACATCACAGCGCCCTGTATTTGCATATTAAAAGGCTAGGGTGGGAGGGCCAGCTTTTTCGTGGGCTATGTGAATGACATGCCTAGTCAAACCAATCCCCTGAGTCCCATGCAAATCAAACACTGCCTCCTTCAGCCTCTGCATATATAGCTGGCTGGTATCCCTGGCAGGTAGGGACCTCCTCTTTCCACGTTGGAGCCTCATTCCCTCTGTCTCTGTATGGGGGAGCTTCTTCCTTCTGTCTTCTCCCTTCCTTCTTGCCAATTAAACTCTCCGCTCCTTAAAACCAAAAAAAAAAAAAAAAAAGAAAGAAAGAAAAACCTTGTCCTGGCTCCTGTAGCTATGGAAGACAGAGCCAGATTTTATGACTGTGGTCAAGTCCCTTAGCAGCTGGTCAGGTTTCCTCCTCAGCATATCTGGAAAATAACAGCATGCAGCCCCCACACGCTCTGTTTAATGTTCAAAAGCTTGTTGTAAAATATACATAACGAAATCTGCCATTTTAACCTTTTTTTTTTCTTTTGAGGCGGAGTTTTGCTCTTGTTTCCCAGGCTGGAGTGCAATGGTGTGATTTCGGCTCACCACAACCTCCACCTCCCAGGTTCAAGCGATTCTTCTGTATCAGCCTCCTGAGTAGTTGGGATTACAGGCGCATGGCACCACGCCCGGCTAATTTTTGTATTTTTAGTAGAGACGGAGTTTCATCATACTGGTCAGGCTGGTCTCAAACTCCAGACCTCAGGTGATCTGCCGGCCTCCACCTCCCAAAGTGCTGGGATTACAGGCGTGAGCCATCGCGCCCGGCCCATTTTAACCTTTTTTTTTTTTTTAAGACGTTGTCTCGCTCTGTCGCCCCAGGCTGGAGTGCAGCGTCAGGATCTCCGATCACTGCAAGCTCCGCCTCCCGGGTTCACGCCATTCTCCTGCCTCAGCCTCCCGAGTAGCTGGGACTACAGGTACCCGCCACCATGCCCAGCTAATTTTTTGTATTTTTAGTAGAGACGGGGTTTCACCGTGTTAGCCAGGATGGTCTGGATCTCCTGACCTCGTGATCCACCACCTCAGCCTCCCGAAGTGCTGGGATTACAGCCGTGAGCCACCGCGCCCAGCCGATTATTCAATTCTTAAATTGCAAAATTTCTCTCTCTCTCTCTCTCTCTTCCTCTCTGTATATATAAGTTTATGTTTTGGGTTTTTTGTTTTTGTTTTTGTTTTTGTTTTTGTTTTCTGAACCATTTGAAAGTAAGTTGCAGACCGGGCACGGTGGCTCACGCCTGTAATCCCAGCACTTTGGGAGGCTGAGGCCGGCGGATCACCTCAGGTCGGGCGTTCAAGACCAGCCTGACCAACATGGAGAAACCCCGTTTCTACTAAAAATACAAAATTAGCCGGGCGTGGTGGTGAATGCCTGTAATCCCAGCTACTAGGGAGGCTGAGGCAGGAGAATGGCGTGAACCCGGGAAGCGGAGCTTGCAGTGAGCCGAGATTGCGCCACTGCAGTCCGCAGTCCGGCCTGGGCAACAGAGCGAGACTCCGTCTCAAAAAAAAAAAAAAAAAAAAAGAAATGTAATGTTCAATGTTCATACAATAATGTTATCTAATATAAAGTCCATATTCAGCCAGGTGTGAGGGCTCACGCCTGTAATCCCAGCACTTCGGGAGGCTGAGGCAGGAGGATCACTTGAGGTCAGGAGTTTGAGACCAGCCTGGTCAACATGGCAAAACCCTGTCTGTACTAAAAATACAAAAATTGGCCGGGCGCAGTGGCTCACGCCTGTAATCCCAGCACTTTGGGAGGCCGATGAGGGCAGATCATGAGGTCAGGAGATCGAGACCATCCTGGCTAACCCAGTGAAACCCCATCTCTACTAAAAATACAAAAAATTAGCCAGGTGTGGTGGTAGACGCCTGTAGTCCCAGCTACTCAGGAGGCTGGGGCAGGAGAATCGCTTGAACCCGGGAAGTGGAGCTTGCAGTGAGCCGAGATCGCTCCACTGCACTCCAGCCTGGGCGACAGAGCGAGACTCCATCTCAAAAAAAAAAAAAAAAAAAAATTAGCCAGGCGTGGTGGCAGGAACCTGTAATCCCAGCTACTCAGGAGGCTAAGGCAGGAGAATCGCTTGAACCCGGGAGATGGAGGTTGCAGTGAGCCAAGCTCCTGCCACTGCACTCCAGCCTGGGCGACAGAGCAACACTCTGTCTCAAAAATAAATAAATGAATAAATAAATAAATAAAAATAGGGTCCATATTCAAAGTACCTCATTTTTGGTCTTTAGAGCTACTTGCTTTTGATCCAGGATCCAATCAATGATCAGGCATTGTTTTTAGCTGTCATGTTTCTTCACTATTTTTTCATCTACAGCAGTTCCATTGACTTTGGTTGTCTTTTGTTGCATTGAACATGCCCTTCAATTGGGATTTGTCTGGCTTATGACTAGATTCAGTTGAAACATTTTGCAAGAATACTAAATAGGTGGTGCTGTGATCTTCTCAGAGCACAACATGAGGAGGCACATGGTATCAACTGTCCTCATTATTAGTGATGTCAAGTTTCATTTATTGGTTAATGTATTGTCAGCCAGACTGCTCCCTTGTAAAAGATGATACTTTGAGACCATGTGAATATCTTATTTTTCAACAGCCTTTCACTCCATGGGTTTTTGTGGAGTTTTGATTGTTTGTTTTATTTATTTATTTATATTTATTTATTGTTTTTGAGATGGAGTCTCACTCTGTCACCCAGGCTAGAGTGCAGTGGTGTGATCTTGGCTCACTGCAACCTCCGCCTCCCAGGTTCAAGCAATTTTCCTGTCTCAGCCTCCCGAGTAGGTTGGACTACAGGCATGCATCACCATGCCCAGCTAATTTTTTTGTATTTTTAGTAGATACGGGGTTTCACCATGTTGGTCAGGCTGCTCTCGAACTCCCAACCTCAAGTGATCTGCCTTTCTTGGCCTCCCAAAATGCTGGGATTACAGTTGTGAGCCACCGTACCCGGCCAATTGTTTGTTTTAAAGACAGGGTTTCACTCTGTTGCTCAGGCTAGAGTGCAGTGGCACCATCAGTTCACTGTAGCCTTGAACTCCTGGTCTCAGGCAATCCTCCCACTTCAGCCTCCCAAGTAGCTAGGACTCTAGGTGCCTGCCACCATGCAAAGCCAATTTTTATTTTTATTTTTTGTAGAGACAGGGTCTCGCTATGTTGCCTGGGCTGGTCTCAAACTCCTAGATTCAAGTGATCCTCCTGCCTTGACCTCCCAATGTGCTGGGATTACAAAGTTTATTATCCACTGATAGTCCTTGCCTGAATTGTTTATTACAAACAATGGTTACAAAATCATGATTCTTTAATTCTATTACTTCTTCTACAATTATTAGTAGGAATGCTATAAAGATGAACTTTCTCTCCTTGCCGCCTACCATTTTAGAATATCACTGTGGATTCATAGATTTTTTTCCTGAATTTTTTTTTTTTTTGGGACGGAGTCTCGCTCTGTCGCCCAGGCTGGAGTGCAGTGGCACGATCTCAGCTCACTGCAAGTTCCGCCTCCCGGGTTCAAGCGGCTCTCCTGCCTCAGCCTCTCAAGTAGCTGGGACTACAGGCGCCCGCCACCACGCCCGGCTAATTTTTTGTATTTTAGTAGAGACGGAGTTTCACCGTGTTGCCCAGGCTGGTCTCGAACACCTGAGCTCAGGCAATCCGCCTCGGCCTCCCTGTGCTGGGATTACAGGTCGTGAGCCACTGCGCTCGGCCTTTTTTTTCCTGATTTTATAATCCATTTTTGTTGTTGTTTTGCTTTGTTTGATGGAGTCTCACTCTGTCACCTGTGCTGGAGTGCAGTGGTGCGATCTCAGCTCACTGCAACCTCTGCCTCCTGGGTTCAAGTGATTCTCCTGCCTCAGCCTCCCGAGTAGCTGGGATTACAGGCACATGCCACCATGCCCAGCTAATTTTTGTATTTTTAGTAGAGACAGGGTTTCCCCATGCTGGCCAGGCTGGCCCAGAGCTCCTAAACTCAAATGATCCACCCACCTCGGTTTCCCAAAGTGCTCGGATTACAGGCGTGAGCCACTGCGCCTGGCCAGGAGCATTTTTCAAAGGAAAAAAAAAATCACCACTGGCCATACAGGACCCCCTGTGGTAGATAGCCAGTATGCTAGACTGGTGCCTTGGAGTACATTCTTTAGCACACTCCTTCCTTTATTCATCAAATATTTATCATGTGCCTAGTCCGAATCAGCCCTGCTCTAGATGCTGAAGACGCCAGAGGTGAGCATGGCAGGAAAGGTTCTTGTTCTCATTGAGTTTATGTTCTGGCTGGGGGAGCCAGGTAAGGAGACAGACAATATACAAGTAAACAAATGAGATCATTTCAAGCAGGGCGAGGTGCTGAGAAGATAACGTGGGGTGATGTGACATAGAGGAACTGTGTGAGGCTGCTTTAAATTAAGCAATGGTCAGGTGAGACCTCTGGACCAGGTGACAATTGAGCCAACAGCTCGATGTTATAAACTGGGGCACAGTGCTCCTGAGGTGCAGCCCAGGCCAGGCGAGAGGCAGGGCCACTTGTACAGGCTCCACACTCAGAAGAGCCCTTCGCTTGGTTTCATGCTCTGCCACAGCCATCTTGAAATTCTTAGTAATTTTTGTTTGTTTGTTTTTTGAGACAGAGTCTCACTCTGTTGCTCAGGGTGGAGTACAGTGGTGCGATCTTGGCTCACTGTAACCTCCGCCTCCTGGGTTCAAGCAATTCTCCCACCTCAGCCTTCCAAGTAGCTGGGACTACAGGCACACACTGCCACATCCGGCTAATTTTTGTATTTTTAGTAGAGATGGGGTTTCACCGTGTTGGCCAGTCTGGTATCAAACTCCTAACCTCAAGTTATCTACCCACGTCGGCCTCCCAAAGTATTAGGATTATAGGCGTGAGCCACCGCGCCCAGCCGAAATTCTTACTAATTTTTGATGGAGGGTCCCACAACTTCTTTTTCACTGGGCCCCACATATTACGTTGCCAGTCCTGGTTAGAGACACTGCAAGAAGGGGCTGGGGGAGAATATTTCGAGGTGAAGTGGAAAGGGAGGCAGGGGCCAGCTCACCTAGGAGGGGCTTGAAGTCACTATAAGGAGTTAGAGCTAGCCAGACCCAGCGACTCACACCTATAATCCCAGCACTTTTGGAGGCTGAGGCGGGCAGATCACTTGAGGTTAGGAGTTCAAGACCAGCCTGGCCAACATGGTGAAACTCCATCTCTACTAAAAATACAAAAAAATTAGCTGGGCGTGGTTGCGTGTGCCTGTAATCCCAGCTACTGGGGAGGCTGAGGCAGGAGAATCACTTGAACCCGGGAGGTGGAGGTTGCAGTGAGCCGAGATCGTGCCGCTGTACTCCAGCCTGGACAACAGAGCAAGACTCCATCTCAAAAAAAAAAAAAGAGAGAGAGAGAGAGAGTTAGACCTTTGACAGATTTAGAGAAGAGAAGCAATTTGATCTTATTTACATTTTCAAGAGACTCACCACTGCCTGTGTGTGGAGTATGGATTGTAAGGGTGCAAGAATGGAAGTGGGAGACCAGAGAAGATGCTGTTACAGTAATTTCCATGACAGGTGATGGACGGTGGCAACAGAAATAGAAGGTAAGTTTAAAGTATATTTTGCAGACAACTTGGCAAGAAGATAATGGATTAGATATTGAGGATGAGGAAAAGGGTAGAATTAAGAATGACTTCCAGGTTCCAGGTGTGAGGAACCAGGCTGGATTTGGAGTCATTTACTGAGATTGGTAAGGTTGAGTGGGTGGGGGACAAATTTGGTAGGGTTTCAAGAATTGCATTTTGGCCAGGCATGGTGGCTCACACCTGTAATCCCAGCACTTTGGGAGGCCGGGGCAAGGATCACCTGAGGCCAGGAGTTCAAGACCAGCCTGGGCAAAATGTTGAGACCCTCCTCTCTACAAAAAAATTTAAAAAATTGTCTGGGTATGGTGGCTCATGACTGTAATCTCAGCACTTTGGGAGAGCAAGGCAGGAGAGTTGCTTTTTGTGGAGACTCTGACTCTACATCTAGCTCACTCCTGCCCCGAATTCCTGCGCTCAAGTGATCCTCTTGCCTCAGCCTCTCTAGTAACTGGGACTACAATTGTGTGCCAACATGCTCGGCTAATGTTTTTTTTTTTTGAGACAGGATCTCACTGTCTCAAAAACTGTCTCAAGCAATGTGATCTAGAGCAGGGCTGATTCAGACTAGGCACGTGATAAATATTTGATGAGTAAAAGAAGGAATGTGCTAAAAAACACCCTCTAAGACAGCTTAGCAGCCTGGCTACCTATCACAGGGGGTCCTGCCTGGCCAGTGGTGAATTTTTTTTTCCTTTAAAAGTTAGTTGGATAAGGTGGCATGCACCGTTGGTTTCAGCTACTCAGGAGGCTGAGGTAGGAGAATTGCTTCAGACCAGGAGGTCAAGGCTGCAGTGAACCATGTTCAAGCCATTGCCCTCCAGCCTGGGTAACAGAGTGAGATCCTGTCTCAAAAAAAAAATTAGGCTGGGCGCAGTGGCTCACGCCTGTAATCCCAGCACTTTGGGAGGACGAGGTGGGCAGATCATGAGGTCAGGAGATCGAGACCAGCCTGGCTAACACAGTGAAACCTCATCTCTACTAAAAAATGGAAAAAATTAGTGGGACATGGTGGCACATGCCTGTAGTCCCAGCTACTCGGGAGGCTGAGGCAGGAGAATTGCTTAAACCTGGGAGGCAGAGGTTACAGTGAGCCGAGATCGCGCCACTGCACTCCAGCCTGGGCGACAGAGTGAGACTCCGTCTCAAAAAGAAAATTAGCCAGGCATGGGGGCACACAACTGTGGTCCCAGTTACTAGAGATGCTGAGGCAGGGGCATCACTTAAGCCCAGGAGTTGGAGGCAGCAGCGAGCTGTGATCAAGCCACTGTAATCCAACCTGGGTGACAGGGCATGACCCTGTCTCTAAAAAAAAAAAAAAATGCATTTTGGTAAATCTGAGATGTCTCTGAGTTTAAATGGATATGAAAAAATCAACTGTCTATGTGGTTCTGTGTTTAGAAGAGATTCTCAAAGTGGTAGCAGAATAACATGGGAATGTTTGAAAAATAACACTGATTATTGGGCTCCACTCCAGTCCTGCCAGTCAGAATGCCATCCTCATCCCTCAAACCATGATTCTGATGCCCATGAACATTTGAGGCAGACTGCTTCTAGAATTTCTATGAGGCAGGGTGCAGTGGCTCACGCCTGTAATCCCAGCACTTTGGGAGGCCAAGGTGGGCAGATCATGAGGTCAGAGGTTTGAGACGAGCCTGGTCAACATAGTGAAACCCTGTTTCTACTAAAAGTACAAAAATTAGCCAGGTGTGGTGGCACGCACCTGTAGTCCCAGCTACTCGGGAGGCTGAGGCAGGAGAATTGCTTGAACCCAGGAGGCGGAGGTTGCAGTGAGCCTAGACTACTGCACCATTGCACTCCAGCCTGGGTGACAGAGCAAGACTCCATCTCAAAAAAAAAAAAGAATTTCTATGAGGCCACAAGCATTTCTATGAGCCCACACCTGTAATCCCAGCAGTTTGGGAGGCCAAGGCAGGCAGATCACTTGAGCCCAGGAGTTCAAGACTAGACTGGGCAACATGGTGAAACTCCATCTCTACGAAAAACACAAAAATTGGCTGGGCGCAGTGGCTCACCCCTGTAATTCCAGCACTTTGGGAGGCTGAGGCGGGTGGATCACGAGGTCTAGAGATCCAGACCTGGCCAACATGGTGAAACCCCGTGTCTACTAAAAATAAAAAATTAGCCGGGTGTGGTGGCGCACGCCTGTAGTCCCAGCTACTCAGGAGGCTGAGGCAGGAGAATTGCTTGAAGCTGGGTGGTGGAGGTTGCAGTGAGCTGAGATGGTGCCACTGCACTCCAACCTGGCGACAGAGTGAGACTCCGTCTCAAAAAAAAAAAAAAATTATCTGGGTGTGGTGGTGACATGTGCTTGTAACCCCAGCTACTCAGGAGGCTGAGGTGGGAGGATCACTTGAGCCTGGGAGGTCAAGGCTGCAGTGAGCAAGTGGCGATCCCGCCACTGCACTCCAGTCTGGGCAACAGAGCAAGAGCCTGTCTCAAAAAAAAAAAATGTATTTCTATGAGGCAAGGGGCTGTGGCATCCACCTTCCCTCTGAAGATTCTCCAGGCTGAGAGATGAAGCAATCACCTCAAGAGACTTACTGAATATTTAAGCAGGGATTGGCCCCGGACACTTGGCACCATTCAGACTTTGGAGGAACAGACCTGATTTAGATATGATCTTCAATGTCCATGGGTCTGGTGTAGGGACAGGAAAGAGTCTGTAAGGGGTTCAGTGTGGACTGAGGTCTGACTCTCCTTGACAGGGGAAGACTGATAAGAGGTGATGAAGGTCTGAACTAGATTTTTTACTATTTTATTCTTTTAAAACGATTTTTCTACATATCAGTACAAACAATTTTACCTAAACACATTAAGTGTTATTCTATCTTCCAAACTTTTTAAAGCAGTGTTTTGTTTGTTTGTTTTTGAGACAGGGTCTTCCTCTGTCACCCAGGCTCGAGTGCAGTGGCACGATCATGGCTCACTGCAGCTTCAAACTCCTGGGCTCAAGTGGTCCTCCTACCTCAGCCTCCTGAGTAGCTGGGACTACAGGCACACGACACTATGCTCGGCTAATTTTTTTATTTTTGTTTTTTGTAGAGACAGGGTTTCACCATGTTGCTCAGGCTGGTCTCAAACTCCTGGGCTCAAGCAATCTGCCCACCTTGGCCTTCCAAAATGCTAGGATTACAGGCATTAGCCACCACACCAAACCTAGTCTTCTTCTTTTTTTTTTTTTTTTGAGACGGAGTCTCGCTTTGTCACCAGGCTGGAGTGCAGTGGCATAATCTTGGCTCACTGCAACCTCTGACTCCCATGTTCAAGCGATTCTCCTGCCTCAGCCTCCCAAGTAGCTGGGACTACAGGCGCGTGCCACCATGTCCAGCTAATTCTTGTATTTTCAGTAGAGACGGGGTTTCACCATGTTGGCCAGGATGGTCTCGATCTCTTGACATCGTGATCTGCCCGCCTCAGCCTCCCAAAGTGCTAGGATTACAGAAATGAGCCACTGCGCCTGGCCTAATCTTGTTTTTAAACTTCTTTTTTCCTCTCCTTCTCTCCCAACCAGGTAACCCATGTCCACTACCCAGTTTGTATTCATTCACTTTTTATTGCTCATATAGTCATATATATACACACATATATATGTGTACAGGAAATATAGGGGATTTGTTGTTAGTTTTCAAAAAACAGGATCACATTATTCACACTTTTTGCTTCTTGCTTTTCTTTCTCAACAATACCTCCTAAATATTCCTCCAAGACAATTGTTACAGCTCTACAGCTCCCTTCTTTTTTGTTTTTTGTTTTTGTTTTTGTTTTTGAGACGGAGTCTCGCTCTGTGGCCCAGGCTGGAGTGCAATGGTGCGATCTTGGCTCACTGCAACCTCCACCTCCCGGGTTCAAGCAATTCTCCTGCCTCAGCCTCCGGAGTAGCTGGGACTACAGGCACGCACCATCACACCCAGCTAATTTTTGTATTTTTAGTAGAGACAGGGTTTCACCATATTGGCCAGGCTGGTCTCAAACTCCTGACCTCGTGATCCGCCTGCCTCGGTCTCCCAAAGTGCTGGGATTACAGAAATGAGCCACTGTGCCTGGCCCTCAGTTCCCTTCTTTTTAAAGACTGAATAATATTTCACTGAATGGCTGTTAACCATTTATTCAACCATTCGCTGATGGGCATTTACTGTTTTCAGTGTTTTGCAACTAACTAATCCTACACTGAGCATCCTTAGACTGTACACCTATCCCTATGGATGGCTGGTTTTATTTCCATGGGATAGATTTCTAAGAGTAGGATTGCTCGGTTAGAGAGTAGATATGTGTTTCTTTGTTGTTGTTGTTGTTTGAGACAGAGTCTCTGTCGCCCAGGCTGGAGTGCAGTGGCGCAATCTCAGATCACTGCAACCTCAGCCTTCTGGGTTCAAGTGATTCCCCTGCCTCAGCCTCCCGAGTAGCTGGGATTACAGGCACATGTCCCCATGCCTGGCTAACTTTTTGTATTTTTACTAGAGACGGGGTTTCACTGTGTTAACCAGGATGGTCTGGATCTCCTGACCTCGTGATCTGCTTGCCTCGGCCTCCCAAAGTGCTGGGATTACAGGCCTGAGTCTTTTTTAATAATTGTGTTTCCATGAATCCTCTATCCATGACTTCACCATTTTTCCGTGAAGTGTTTGTCTTTTTCTTGTTAACTTGTAAGATCTTTTTGTATAGTACAGCTGTTAACTCATGGCTTGCCACCTGCATTACAACGTATTTCTAAATCTACTATTTTCCTTTTTAAAAGAAAATTTTCCTAATGCCTGTATTTATGTCCTGTTTTTCCATCCCCAAAATGTTTTAACTTTTATACAGTGAAATATTTATACCCTTTTTTTCCTGTTGTAGCTTCTCGATTTTCAATCTTGGTTAATATTTTCCCACTCTTATACATCATACATGCGGGCTTCTAGATTTTCATTAGATTTTATGCATTTAGTTTTATATTTAAATTTTTGATCCAGCTGGAGTTTATTTTTGCATATGGTATAAGATAAAGCTCTAATTTTATTTTCTTCCATTTGGAAATCCAGCTATGGTAAAATCATTTTTATTCTTTTCCCACTTAACTGAACAAACCCCTGTGTTATATATTAGAATTTCAGCCAGGCCTGGTGGCTCAAGCCTGTAATCCCAGCTCTTTGGGAGGCCAAGGAGGGTGGATCACTTGAGTCCAGGAGTTTGAGATCAGCCTGGGCAACATAGTGAAACCTTGTCTCTACAAAAAATATAAAAATATTAGCCGAGGGTGGTGGTGCAGCACCTGTAGTTCCAGCTACTAGGGAGCCTAAGGTGGGAGGATCACCTGAGGTCGGGGCTGCAGAGAGCAGAGATCACGCCACAATAAGGCAAGTCCATCCTCATTCTCTTTTTTTTTATACCTTAATTGACACTCACTATCATATATTAAAACTTTTTTTTTTTTTTAGCTGAGAATGATTAGGAGAGTGGATTGAAAGGATTTCCCTGGTCCAGAAACTGGAATTCAGTGGGGCGCCACCTTAGCACGGGACCCAAGGGGATACAGGACAGGATGGAAGGGAGGTCATTCATCATATCTTGTTTTAGGTCCTGGGGACCGAAAGAGGTCCAACTTGGAGCAGGTACATTGGTCTAAGCCTAGTTCTGTTCGGTTCCGGCTCGACCCCCAAGTACGTGAACGTGGCCCAGGGCTGCAATGGGAATGCTTGGGCAGTCACCTACTCTCCTGCCAGGGCAATGCAGTTGCCTTTAAGCCTCTACCGCCCCCTGGTGCTGTCTGACCTGGGGTTTCCAGAACCAAGCTCCCTCTCCCAGAAGCCTCCAGTTCGAGGAAGAAGGTCCCTTGGGGCCAATAGGGGTTTAAAGAAGCCGTTGGGGACAGAGGGTCTTAACCTGTACCATCGAATACCTGGTCAGACACCAGAAACTGCTTCAAACTTACTGTACTCAAATCTCTCTTATCTCCACCAACCCTTCTTATTTGCTATGATTTTGAGCTACTGGTGGGAGCTATTCCTGCCTTCCCTGATCACCTACAGAGCTGATCATCTACTGTGGAAGACAATACATCAATTCCTAAGCTATCTGATAAGTGAACAATCCAGGAGAGGTCCCCACGTGCTGCCACTGAGTAGGGGACAATCGGTTCTAGTTCTAGGGGCAGGAAAGCTCAACAGGGGCAGGACAGGGAAGGGCCGATGGAAGAGATGGGCTTGGAGACAGTCCCTGGAGAATGGCTCCAATTTGGATCATCAGGGAAAGGAGAACATACATGAAAAAGAGGGAGTGAGGAGGATGGTAGGACTTCCATTTCCTGTAATGATAGGCTAAGTTATTCAGACCAACCTTCCCATTGAAAACAAATGCAAAAGCTGGATAAAGGCTTTTTAAAAAAAAAATCCTCCTCTCCCTCTCCCTCTCCCTCTCCCCACGGTCTCCCTCTCCCTCTCTTTCCACAGTCTCCCTCTCCCTCTCTTTCCACGGTCTCCCTCTGATGCCGAGCTGAAGCTGGACGGTGCTGCTGCCATCTCGGCTCACTGCAACCTCCCTGCCTGATTCTCCTGCCTCAGCCTGCCCAGTGCCTGCGATTGCAGGCGCGCGACGCCACGCCTGACTGGTTTTCGTATTTTTTTGGTGGAGACGGGGTTTCGCTGTGTTGGCCGGGCTGGTCTCCAGCTCCTAACCGCGAGTGATCCGCCAGCCTCGGCCTCCCGAGGTGCCGGGATTGCAGACGGAGTCTCGTTCACTCAGTGCTCAATGGTGCCCAGGCTGGAGTGCAGTGGCGTGATCTTGGCTCGCTACAACCTCCACCTCCCAGCAGCCTGCCTTGGCCTCCCAAAGTGCCGAGATTGCAGCCTCTGCCTGGCCGCCACCCCGTCTGGGAAGTGAGGAGCGTCTCCGCCTGGCCGCCCATCATCTGGGATGTGAGGAGCCCCTCTGCCTGGCTGCCCAGTCTGGAGAGTGAGGAGCGTCTCTGCCCGGCCGCCATCCCATCTAGGAAGTGAGGAGCGCCTCTTCCCGGCCGCCATCACATCTGGGAAGTGAGGAGCATCTCTGCCCGGCCACCCATGGTCTGAGAAGTGAGGAGACCCTCTGCCTGGCAACCGCCCCGTCTGAGAAGTGAGGAGTCCCTCCACCCGGCAGCCGCCCCGTCTGAGAAGTGAGGAGCCCCTCCGCCCAGCAGCCACCCCGTCTGGGAAGTGAGGAGCGTCTCTGCCCAGCAGCCACCTCGTCCGGGAGGGAGGTGGGGGGATCAGCCCCCCGCCCAGCCAGCCGCCCCGTCCGGGAAGTGAGGGGCGCCTCTGCCCGGCCGCCCCTACTGGGAAGTGAGGAGCCCCTCTGCCCGGCCAGCCGCTCCGTCCGGGAGGGAGGTGGGGGGGTCAGCCCCCCGCCCGGCCAGCCGCCCCGTCCGGGAGGTGAGGGGCGCCTCTGCCCGGCCGCCCCTACTGGGAAGTGAGGAGCCCCTCTGCCCGGCCAGCCGCCCCGTCCGGGAGGGAGGTGGGGGGGTCAGCCCCCTGCCCGGCCAGCCGCCCCGTCCGGGAGGGAGGTGGGGGGGTCAGCCCCCCGCCCGGCCAGCCGCCCCGTCTGGGACATGAGGGGCGCCTCTGCCCGGCCGCCCCTACTGGGAAGTGAGGAGTCCCTCTGCCCGGCCACCACCCCGTCCGGGAGGTGTACCCAACAGCTCATTGAGAACGGGCCATGATGACAATGGCAGTTTTGTGGAATAGAAAGGGGAAAGGTGGGGAAAAGACTGAGAAATCGGGTGGTTGCTGTGTCTGTGTAGAAAGAGGTAGACATGGGAGACTTTTCATTTTGTTCTGTACTAAGAAAAATTCTTCTGCCTTGGGATCCTGTTGATCTGTGACCTTACCCCCAACCCTGTGCTCTCTGAAACATGTGCTGTATCCACTCAGGGTTGAATGGATTAAGGGCGGTGCAAGATGTGCTTTGTTAAACAGATGCTTGAAGGCAGCATGCTCCTTAAGAGTCATCACCACTCCCTAATCTCAAGTACCCAGGGACACAAACACTGTGGAAGGCCGCAGGGTCCTCTGCCTAGGAAAACCAGAGACCTTTGTTCACTTGTTTTTCTGCTGACGTTCCCTCCACTATTGTCCTGTGACCCTGCCAAATCCCCCTCTGCGAGAAACACCCAAGAATGATCAATTAAAAAAAAAAAATCCTTAGCAATATTACAGATATTTGACAAGAGAGATGAATTTCCAGGCCAAAACTTAAAGGAAAGTGGGATCCCAGAGAGGCATTGGAAGACAGAGCAGAAGAAATTACCCAGAATGCAGAAAAGGGACAAAAAGAAGAGTTTGAGACACATGGAGGATACAATGAAAGAATCTAATATCGTTTAATCAGAATTCTAGAAGGAAAAAAAAAAAAAGAAGCCAGGCATGGTGGTGCATGCATACCTTTCATCCCACTATGTGAGTATTGCTTGAGCCAGGATTTTGAACCCAGCCTGGGCAAAACAGCAAGACCCCATTTTATTTTATTTAAAATACTTTTTTTTTAAAGGAAAGAACAAGAGAATGTGGCAAGGTGAAGATTTGAAAAGATAATGGCTGAGAATTTCCCAATTCTGATGGAGCATCAATCCACAAGTTCTGGAAGCGTGAAGAATTCTAAGCAGGATAAATAAAATAGAATCTACATGCAGATACATCACAATGAAATGTCAGAATTCTGAATACAGAAAGAAAAAAAATTTTATTTTGAGAGAAAGTCTCACTCCATCACCCAGGTTGGAGTGCAGTGGCGTGATCTCAGCTCATGATCTCAGCTCACTGCAACCTCTGCCTTCAGGTTCAAGAGATTCTCCTGCCTCAGCATCCCGAGTAGCTGGGATTACAGGTGCCCACCACCACATCCAGCTAATTTTTGTATTTTTAGTAGTCACGGGGTTTCACTGTGTTGGCCAGGCTGGTCTTGACTCCTGACCTCGAGTGATCTACCCACCATGGCCTCCCAAAGTGCTAGGTGGCATGAGCCACTGCGCCTGGCCTGAATATAGAAAGAAAATCTTAAGAGCAGCCTTCTCAACAACAGCAATAATGGAAGCCATAAGCCAGTAGAATGATATCTTGAACATACTGAAAGAAAATAACTTCCAACCTAGAATTCAAGAGTAAATGTTCTTTTCTTTTCTTTCTTTCTTTTTTATTTTGAGATGGAGTCTTTCTCTGTCACCCAAGCTGGAGTGCAATGACATGATCTCAGCTCACCGTAACCTCTGCCTCCCGGGTTCAAGTGGGGCAGCCTACTCCTGCCCCAGCCTCCCAAGTAGCTGGGATTACAGGCACCCACCACCACGCCCAGCTAATTTTTGTAGAGACGGAGTTTCACCATGTTGATCAGTCTGGTCTCGAACTCCTGACCCTCAGGTGATCCACCTGCCTCGGCCTCCCAAAGTGCTGTTATTACAGGTGTGAGCCACCACACCCAGCCAAGACTGAATTTTCAAACAAGTAAAAACTAAAACAGTTTGCTATCAGCCTCACTGAAGTGCCTCATGAAAAAAATTCTAAAGGATGCAATTCAGGCAGAAGGAAAGGGATCCCAGATGGAAGGTCTGAGATGCAAGAAGGGATGAGGATTTGTACACAAATGTTCATGGCAGTATGATTCATAATAGCCAAAAAGTGGAAGCAACTCAATGTCCATCAACAGATGAATGGATAAACAAAATGTGGTATATCCATACAACGGAATATTATACAGCCATAAAGAGGAATGAAGTGTTGATACATGTTATGACATGGATGGACTTTGAAAACATTATATTAAGTGAAAGAATCCAGACACAAAAGGCCACATATTACATGTTCCATTTATGTGAAATGTCCAGAGTAGGCAAATCCACAGAAACAGAAGGTACACTTGTGGTTGCCAGAGAGGGGGGGAGGAGGGAGGAATGGCAAATAATAGGTACAGGATTTCTTTTGAGAGTGATAAAAATGTTACGGAATTAGATAGTGGTAATGGTTGTACAACCTTGTCAATATACTAAAAGCCACTGAATCGTACACTTCAAATGGTGAATATTATTATTATTATTATTATTATTATTATTATTATTTTGAGATGGAGTCTTGCTCTGTTGCCCAGGCTGGAGTACAGTGGTGTGATCTCAGCTCAATGCAAGCTCTGCCTCTGGGTTCAAGCAATTCTACTGCATCAGCCTCCCAAGTAGCTGGTGAGAGGTGACAGCGTGCTGGCCGTCCTCACAGCCCTCGCTTGCTCTCGGCGCCTCCTCTGCCTGGGCTCCCACTTTGGCGGCACTTGAGGAGCCCTTCAGCCCACCGCTGCACTGTGGGAGCCCCTTTCTGGGCTGGCCAAGGCCAGAGCCAGTTCCCTCAGCTTGCAGGGAGGTGTGGAGGGAGAGGCGCGAGCGGGAACCGGGGCTGGGTGCCGTGCTTGCAGGCCAGCTGGATGTCCGGGTGGGCGTGGGCTTGGTGGGCCCTGCACTCGGAGCAGCCGGCCGGCCCTGCCGGCCCTGCCGGCCCGGGGCAATGAGGGGTTTAGCACCCGGGCCAGCGGCTACGGAGGCTGTACTTGGTCCCCAAGCAGTGCCAGCTCACCGGCCCTGGGCTCGATTTCTCACCCGGCCTTAGCTGCCTTCCCGCGGGGCAGGGCTCGGGACCTGCAGCCCACCATGTCTGAGCCTCCCACCCCCTCCATGGGCTCCTGTGCGCCCGAGCCTCCCCGACGAGTGCCACTCCCTGCTCCACCATGCCCAGTCCCATCGACCACCCAAGGGCTGACGAGTGGGAGCGCACGGCGCGGGACTGGCAGGCAGCTCCACCTGCAGCCCCGGTGCAGGATCCACTGGGTGAAGCTAGCTGGGCTCCTGAGTCTGGTGGGGACGTGGAGAATCTTTACGTCTAGCTCAGGGATTGTAAATACACCAATCGGCACTCTGTATCTAGCTCAAGGTTTGTAAGCACACCAATCAGCACCCTGTGTCTAGCTCAGGGTTTGTGAGTGCACCAGTTGACACTCTGTATCTAGCTGCTCTGGTGGGGCCTTGGAGAACCTTTGTGTCATACTCCGTATCTAACTAATCTGATAGGGACGTGGAGAACCTTTGTATCTAGCTCAGGGATTGTAAACGCACCAATCAGTGCCCTGTCAAAACAGACCACTCAGCTCTACCAATCAGCAGGACATGGGTGGGGCCAGATAAGAGAATAAAAGCAGGCTGCCCGAGCCAAGAGTGGCAACCCACTTGGGTCCTGTTCCACACTGTGGAAGCTTTGTTCTTTTGATTTTTGCAATAAATCTTGCTACTGCTCACTCTTTGGGTCCACACTGCTTTTATGAGCTGTAACACTCACTGCAAAGGTCTGCAGCTTCACTCCTGAAGCCAGCGAGACCACGAGCCCACCGGGAGGAACGAACAACCCAGACGCGCTGCCTTAAGAGCTGTAACACTCACCGGGAAGGTCTGCAGCTTCACTCCTGAGCCAGCGAGACCACAAACCCACCAGAAGGAAGAAACTCCTAACACATCCGAACATCAGAAGGAACAAACTCCAGACGTGCCACCTTAAGAGCTGTAACACTCACCGTGAGGGTCCGCGGCTTCATTCTTGAAGTCAGTGAGACCAAGAACCCACCAATTCCAGACACACTGGGATTACAGGTGTCCACCACTATGCCCAGCTAATTTTTTTTTTTTTTTTTTGTATTTTTAGTAGAGACAAGGTTTCACTTTGTTGGCCAGGCTGGTCTCGAACTCCTGATCTCAAGTAATCCTCCCACCTTGGCCTCTCCGTGCTGGGATTACAGGTGTAAGCCACCATGCCCAGCCTAAAATGGTGAATTACATCACAATAAAAAAAATAATTTTAAGGCCGGGCATGGTGGTCACACCTGTAATCCCAGCACTTTGGGAGGCCAAGGCGGGGGGATCATGAGGTCAAGAGATTGAGACCATCCTGGCCAACATGGTGAAACTCCATCTCTACTAAAAATACAAAAATTAGCTGGGCCTGGTGGCGCACACCTGTAGTCCAAGTTACTCGGGAGGCTGAGGCAGGAGAATCACTTGAACCTGGGAGGCAGAGGTTGCAGTGAGCTAAGATTGCGCCACTGCACTCCAGCCTGGTGACAGAGTGAGACTCCGTCTCAAAATAATAATAACCATAATAATAATTTTAAAAAGAAATGAAGAGTACAGATATGTAGATGAATCTAAACAAGTACTGACTACATAAACAGTAGTAATGGTGTCCAGTGAGGTTAAAAAAAGAATGTACAACATAAATGATGTAATGAAGTTAGTGTTCTAGGATCCAAGAGGAAGGTAAGTAAAGGAAGTAAGCGAACTTTAAACCTCACCTATCTGTGACAGTGGAACCTAGGAAAGGCTGAGTTGTCTAAGGAGTGTGGGAGAGAGCCAGGAACCTCAGCACACACCTGAGTCAGCATAAGGAAGTGCAACCAGCAGGGAACAGGACAGGGGCCTCTTCCAGCAGGGCCATTAACAGGCCACCGGTTTTACCACCACCGTGACCCTAGGCCTCTTCCTAAGCTCCCTGAACCTTAGCTTCTGTGGTGGACAGATGTTTCTACCTTCTGGCATTCACCACCATCATGAAATCCCCTCCCTTGATTGTGGGTGGGACCCATGACTTGCTGCTTTTTTTTTTTTTTTTTTGTTAAAAAGAGATGGGGGGTCTCACTATTTTGCCCAGGCTAGTCTTGAACTCCTGAACTCCTGAGTTCAAGCGGTCCTCCTGTCTCCGCCTCCCAAGTAACTGGGATTATAGGCACATGCCGCCACTGTGCCTGGCTCCATGACTTGCTTCTAACCAATAGAATATGGCAAAAGGGATGAGATGTCACTCGATTTCATTACATTTTATAAGACTCCTTGCTGGCCAACTCACTCTAGAGACTCTCCTTGCTGGCTTAGTGAAGCGAGCAGCCAGGTTGGGTGTGATGGTTAGTTTCATGCATCAACCTGGCTAGGCTGTAGGTCCCAATTATTCTATCAAACACTAATCTAGGTGTTGCTGTGATGGTATTTTATAGATGTGGTTAATAGCCACAATCAGTTGACCATAAATAAAGATTATTTTCAACAGGCTGGGTGCAGTGGCTCACACTTGTAATCTCAGCTGGGAGCCGAGGTGGGAGGATGCCTTGAGCGCAGGAGTTCAAGACCAGCCTGGGCAACACGGCAAAACCTCATCTCTGCAAAAAATACAAAAGTTAGCTAAATGTGGTGGTGTGCACCTGTAGTCCCAGCTACTCAGGAGGCTGAGGCAGGAGGATCAATTAAGCCCAGGAGGTCAAGGCTGCAGTGAGCCGTGATCACACCAATGCATTCCAGCCTGGGTAACAGAACGAGACTCTGTCTCAAAAAAAAAAAAAAAAAAAGATTATTCTCGACTACGGGGATGGGCCTCATCCAATCAGTTGAAAGGACTAAAGAACAAAACTAAAGCTTCCCTAAGAAAGGGAAGAGGAAGTTCTGCCACAAGACTCCAGCATCAGCTCCTGCCTGAGAGTTTCCAGTCTGCCAGTCTCCTGTGGATTTCAGACTTGCGGGCCCCTACAGTTGCATAAGCCAGTTCCTTGGAATAAATGTCTTGCTGTGTTTGTATGTTTGCATCCTACTGTTTCTCTGAAGGACCCCGACTGATACCTTGGGAAAGCCCACGTGGAAAGGATTCACTTTCAGTTAACACCCAGCAAGAAGCTGGAACCCTTGGTCCTGTACCCATGAGGAAATGAATTCTGCCAACAACTTGAATGAATTTGGAAGCACATTTTCCAGTCAAAGCTCCAGATGAGACCATGGTCTAGCCAACACCTTGAATGCAGCCTCACAAGTCCTTGGGTGGAGAACCCAGCTAAGCCATGCCTGGACACTTCTCCATTAGTCAAAGAAGGAAAATAATAATAGTCGTCTCACAGGGCCATTCTTGGGCTTAAGTGAGACAATCCAACAGTGTGCTCGGCACAGTGCATGCCACATATCTAGTTCCTGACAGGGTGCAGGACACAGTACCCCAAAACATGGTACCTTGGCGATCACTCTTCTAGGTCCAAGCGATCCTCCCACCTCAGCCTCCAGAGGTCACACTGACCTTCTCTGGCCTTTCTGTGTGAGCACTATCTATAAAATAATTCTCTGACCTATCTCCTCTGAAATTAGGTCATAAGACCCACATGCGACAGATGTTCTGCACCATACCTGGGGAATGGTGGGGGAGGAGGTTGAAGGAAAGTCATATAGAGGCACACGCACACAAAAAGAACCTGAAAAGCTGGGCACGGTGGCTCATGCCTGTAATCCCAGCACTTTGGGAGGCTGAGGTGGGCAGATCATGAGGTCAGGAGTTGAAGACCAGCCTGGGCATCATGGTAAAACCCCGTCTCTACTTAAAATACAGAAATTAGCTGGGTGTGGTGGCGGGTGCTTGTAATCCCAGCTACTCAGGAGGCTGAGGCAAGAGAATTGCTTCAACCCGGGAGGTGGAGGTTGCAGTGAGCCGAGATCACGCCACTGCACTCCAGCCTGGGTGACAGAGCAAGACTCCGTCTCGGGAAAAAAAAAAAAAAGAACCTGAAAAGATAGGTCTTCCTGAGTTCTCTCCCAGTTTATTTCCATCAGATCATACCCCTTTTCCTCTAATCATGTTTTTCCACAGCTATCCATTTCTTTCTTCAGACTCAGCATAAAAATATACTATTTTCCCTAGGTCTTTGGTCTTCATTTCTGAAGCCTCCTATATCACATAAGACTTTGGTTAAGTAAATTTGTTATGCTTTTATTTTGTTAATCTGTCTTTTATTATAGTGGTGTCAGCTATGAACCTTGTGATGGGTGAAGAAAAGAGATGGCTTTTTCTCCCCGACATGCATGACAAACCAATAAATGTCAACCCTGACTTTTTTTTTGAGATGGAGGCTTGCTCTGTCACCCAGGCTGGAGTGCAGTGGTGCGATCTTGGCTCACTGCAACCTCAGCCTTCCAGGTTCCAGCAGTTCTCCTTCCTTGGCTTCCTGAGTAGCTGGGATTACAAGCACATGCCACCACGCCCAGCGAATTTTTTTGTATTTTTAGTAGAGACGGGGTTTCACCATGTTGGCCAGGCTGGTTTCGAACTCCTGACCTCAAGTGATCTGCCCGCCTTGGCCTCCCAAAGTGTTGGAATTACAGGCGTGAGCCACTGCGCCCAGCCAGCCCTGACTTAAAAAAAAAAAAAATTCTTTAAGCCAGGAGCTGTGGCTCATGCCTGTAATCTCAGCACTTTGGGAGGCTGAGGCAGGCAGATTGCTTGAGCTCAGGAGTTCGAGACCTGCCTGAACAGCATGGCAAAACCCTGTCCCTAAAAAAATACACAAATTAGCCAGGCATGGTGGCACACGCCTGTAGCTACTCGAGTGGCTAAGGCAGGAGGATTGCTTGAGCCAGGGAGGTCAAGGGTGCAGTGAGCCAAGATAATGCCACTTCACTTCAGCCTGGGCAATCAAGCAAGACCCTGTCTCAAAAAAAAAAAAAAAAATTAGCAGCGGTCTGAGAATCAGGAACAGAACTAGGAAGGTCTAGATTCATGGAGCACCCAGGACTTACCATACCTCATGTAAAGGGGAAAATGGCCTTGATTATTTCAGAGAAATAGTAGGAAGTGGTGGTTTTGTGTACACACTCTGCAGTCATACTGGCTCTTCTATGTCAGCTATGTCATGTTATGCTGGTGATTTAAATTTCTCTGTGCCTCAGTTTCCTCATCTGTAAAATAATATAAAATTGCACCTGGCACATCATAGGGCTATACAAGCATTAGCTGTTATTATTATTTGCCTCTAACCCACAGTCCTATAACTCCAAAGGATTACGAGATGAAATAAACTCAATGTAGTACACGTTCATCTACACCAACTGTGAGCAAATAAAGATGAACCAATAGGTGGCTACACTTCAAGACTTGCTCATTTTCTATAAACTTCCTATACTTGTTAAGGGATTCCAATCGTGTGATCCTCCTAGGGGTGCTTGGGAATGGGAAGGACCCTATCTGGCACAGACCTTTTCCCGCACATTTTGTCACCTGCTCCCACTCGTGCTGCTGCCCCAGGTCCCCATGTCCAGCAGAGGGCGCTGTGGCCCTAAAATGCAATCCTCAGATGCTCCCCTCTCCCGCGAGGCCTACCGCTAGCGAGGGAGGCCACCCGCCAGAGGCAGCGGGCCTGACTCCAATCAGACCCTTTGTCCCAACCAGCCCTTTTCTCCAAGCAATGAGCTTGGAGCTCCACATCACCCGCTGCTCGCTGGCTTTTCAAACCTCACGCTGCTCCTTGAAGCGTTTTCTGCAGGCTCCAGCCCTCTAGACCTTCCTTCTTTGAACCCCAGAAGCTTCGCTGCAGCAATGAATCATCCAGGCCTTATGCTGATGTTAGTTTCCAAATTCCGTGGCAGCCCAGCTGTAAACCTCCATCTCGCCCTACAGAGAGCCTCCCGCCACCCACAGCCTGCGCCTCTTCCATCCTATTCCAACTTCTCCAGACAAAACTCACTGGCCCCACCCAGCTCTCACTTCTGCCTCAATCGGCTGGAGGGCAAAGCACTATTTTTCTCATTTAATCTTCCAGCAAACGATTGTTTGGGGCAAGAGGCCTGGCATGGTGGCTCAGGCCTGTAATCCCAGCACTTTGGGAGGCAGGAGGATGGCTTAAGCCCAAGAGTTTCAGGCCAGCCTGGGCAATGTGGTGAGACCCTCTTTTCTACAGACAACTTAAAAATTAGCCAGGCATGGTGGCATGTGCCTATAGTCTCAGCTATTAAGGAGGCTGAGGTGGGAGGACCTCTTGAGCCCAGGAGGTGGAGGTTGCCGTGAGCTGAGATCGTCCCACTGCACTTCAGCCTGGGTGATAGAATGAGAGACCCTGTCATAAATAAATAAATAAATAAATGATTGTTTTGGGCCAAGGTTAGCATCCTGCAAAGATGAAGACAGCCAACCTTTAGTGAGCACCTACTGTATGCCAGGCATTGATCTAAGTTCTTTACCTAATCCTCACAGCAATTCTATGAGAGTTGTTAGGCCTGTTTTACAGAGGAGACAGTTAAGGCACAGAGTGGTTATGGGACATGTCTAAGGTCACACAGCTAGTGATTGAGCCAGTGTTCAAACCCAAGCAGTCTGATTCCAACAATCGGGCTTTTTTTTTTTTTGAGACAGAGCCTCACTCTGTTGCCTAGGCTGGAGTGCAATGGTGCAGTCTCAGCGCACTGCAACCTCTGCCTCCCGGGTTCCAGCGATTCTCCTGCCTCAGGCTCCTGAGTAGCTGGGACTGCAGGTGCCCACCACATGCCTGGCAATTTTTTTGTATTTTTAGTAGAGACAGGGTTTCACCGTGTTGGCCAGGCTGGTCTCGAACTCCTGACCTCAGGTGATCTGCCCGCCTCAGCCTCCCAAAGTGCTGGGATTACAGGCGTAAGCCACTGCGCCCAGCCACCCCCAGCTAATTTTTGTATTTTTAGTAGAGACGGGGTTTTGCCATGTTGGCCAGGCTGGTCTCGAACTTCTGACCTCAGCTGATCCACCCACCTCGGCCTTCCAAAGTGCTGGGAGTATAGTCTGGTTTCTCTTCAGATCGTATAAATCTTTCACCTTTTACCAAAGTGCTGGGATTACAGGTGTGAGTCACCATGCCTGGCCAAACAACTGGGCTTTTTAAACAAGACATTATCTGGACTTAATGTAAGTATAGACACAGGGCTCCATCCCTGTTCTCTAGAACTGTGCTAATATACTACCCACCAGCCACATGACTGTAGAGCACAGGACTAATCCAAGTTGAGATGTGCTGAAAGTGCAAAATACACACTGAATTCTAAGGACTTTTTGAAAAAAATGTAAAATATAGCATTAACAACTTTTATATTGATTACACGTGGAAATGATAGTATTTTGGATCTATTGGGTTAAATAAGATATATTATTAAAATTAATTTTAGCCAGACACGATGGCTCATGCCTGTAATCCCAACACTTCGGGAGGCCAAGCGGGCGGATCGCTTAAACTCAGGAGTTCGAGACCAGCCGGTGCAACATGGTGAAACCCTGTGTCTACAAAAAATACAAAAATTAGCTGGGCATGGTGGCACACACCTGCAATCCCAGCTACTTGTGGGGACTGAGGGCGGGGGAGGATCGCCTGAGTCCAGGAGGTTGAGGCTGCAGTGAACTGTGTTCACACCACTCCACTCCAGCTTGGGTGACAAAGTGAGACCCTGTCTCAAAAAATTAATTTTCCCATAGCTCACAGTAGCCTCAAACTCCTGGGCTCAATCTATCCTCCTGCCTCAGACTCCTCAGTCATTGGGACTAGGACTACAGGTATGCATCACTGTACCCAGCTAACTTTTATGTAGGTTTTTGTTTGTTTTTAACAGGTGAGATCTCACTATGTTGCCCAGGCTGGATAGAACATTTTAAATGGCATCTGTGACTTCCATCTTATTTCTGTGGGGCAGAGCTGCTCTGGGAACTCTCAGCTCAGTGGAAGACAGACAGGATCATTTGAATATTCTAAAGCAGGGGAACATGTGGTCTGTGTTTTAAGAAGTGAGAACAACTTGGTGTAGGAACCTCAGAGGCGGGAACTCCTGAGGGAGAGAGTTTCAGGGAAGCTGTCTCAGCGGATTCCAGGTTCCAGCTGTATTTCTAAAGATTTGTGGGACTCTGCCCTGGGGAGAAGAGCAGAGGGAAACACGAAGGCCAAAACAGCAAAGGCCAGGGAGGCAAGGCCAGCCAGCAGTGGGGCTGGGTGCCCAGTGCTCCTGGGTGAGTGGAGGGAGACAAGGCCTGCTGACCACAAACTGTGAGGGCCTTGACTGTGGGGCCAGACAGAGGGGCTGTCAGCCAGATGGAGCTCCAGACACCTTAGGCTAGGGAGGGTCTGGACCTGGACAGACTACAGAAATTGGTGAGCAGGAATGGGAGGTGGCAGTGAGTGGCAGGGCCCCTGGCTCATTCTCCCTCTGTCCTCATTTCCTTGCTCTGGAGGGGAGGGTGGTGAACAATCTTCTCAGAGGAGGTTAGCTGTGGGAGGACAGCTCCTAAGGAGCATTTCCTGCCTTTGGCTCACAACTGCTTCCTGTCCAGACCTCCCAACACTTGACCCCCATTCAATTCCTTCCTCCCAGGGCAGCTGGGTGGCCACGAGGTCTTCACAGGTCCAGAGACCCGGAGCTTCTCAGCAAGCTGAATGAGGCAGCGTCCCAGGGGTCCAGAAGCCCAGCCTCGCCCGGCGCTGGTGAGGAACTGGAATCCAGGCTTGTACTGAAAGCCTCAGGGATAGATTTGGAGGAGGAAGCCCGAGATGGCGCCTCTCTCCCACCGGCTAGGACCTCAGTTCCCACTTTCCTAGTTACCTCTTCCACCCCCTCACCTCCAGCTGGGAACTTACATCCCTTCTTTCATTTATAGGGCACTTTTAGGCTGGGTGCAGTGGTTCACGCCTGTAATCCTAGCACTTTGGGAGGCCAAGGCAGGCGGATTGCTTGAGCTCAGGAGTTCGAGGCCAGTCTGGGCAACATAGTGAGACCTCGTCTCTATTTTTTTAAATGAAATATAAATATTTTAAAAATTAAAAATTCAAAAAAATGAAAAACAAATGGCACTTTTTCTTCCCAAACAATGGCTGGGGACTTCTGAAGGGAAAGGGAGGCAAATTCCCTAGGAAATAATCATGAGTGATTACTTCTCCAGAAACACCTGAGGCCTCCAATGAACCCCTTCTTTGAGAGTCAATCTGCAGTTTTCTCCCTGGTTCTGAGATGTCAGGCCAGGTTCCAAAGATGTGAGGTTTTTTTTTTTTTTTTTGAGACGGAGTCTCGCTCTGTCGCCCAGCCTCGAGTGCAGTGGCGCGATCTCAGCTCACTGCAAGCTCTGCCTCCCGGGTTCATACCATTCTCCTGCCTCAGCCTCCTGAGTAGCTGGGACTACAGGTGCCCAACACCATGCCCGGCTAATTTCTTTGTATTTTTAGTAGAGTCGGGGTTTCACCATGTTAGCCAGGATGGTCTCGATCTCCTGACCTCGTGATCCACCCGCCTCGGCCTCCCAAAGTGCTGGGATTACAGGCGTGAGCCACCACGCCAGCCTAAGATGTGAGTTTTGAGAGCCCATCACAGGTTGTTAAAAGTGTGTCTGGAGTTGGTTCCTTCCCATGGGTTCTTGGTCTTACAGGCTTCTTGGGTTCTTGGTCTCACAGACTTCAAGAATGAAGCCGTGGACCTTCGCAGTGAGTGTCACAGCTCTTCAAGATGGCATGGACCCAAAGAGTGAGCAGCAGCAAGATTTATTGGGAAAAGCGAAAGAACAAAGCTTCCAAAGCAGGGAAGGGGACCCAAGCGGGTTGGGTCTCCTGGCTGGGAGTGGGGGTGGGGATGGGGGGAGTGGCCAGCTTTTATTCCTTTATTTGTCCCTGCCCACATCCTGCTGATTGGTCCATTTTACAGAGTGCTGATTGGTCTATTTTACAGAGTGCTGATTGCTGCATTCACAATCCTGTAGCTAGACACAGAGCACTGATTGGTGCGTTTTTACAGAGTGCTGATTGGTGCATTTACAATCCTTTAGCTAGCCAAGAAATTCTCCAAGCCCCCACTCCACCCAGAAAGTCCAGCTAGCTTCACCTCTCAAAAGGAGCCAGATCTTTCTCCTTTATCTCTTAAACCTAAGCCATGCCTGCCCACCCCCTAGTGCAGGGTACACTACAATACTTAAAATGGGGAGAGGACTACCCCAAATAACCCAGCCCATCTCAGCTCAACCATGAGCCTCTGCTATGCCTCTAAATCAGTCCTGCCCTCTTCCTTCCATAAATCCTAGAGACCCCTAGGAGATGCCCCTCACCAGCAGCATACCAGCCAGGAATCCCTGAGTCCTCCATAAAAGCCACACTTGGAGCTGAGATGACCCTAGGGGAGGGGGCTTAGTCCCTCTGCCTTGCTCTGCCCCTTAACCACCAGGTAGACCACAAGTGTTTGTTGCACATCATACCCCACTCCCCACAGACCCCCACTTAAGGCCAGGGCAGAATTAAAGGATGGAATTGCTGAAAGAAGGGGTCTTCTCCCCCAGGGATGCTTGGTCTCAGTCCACAGGGAAAGGAAGGTCCTACGGGTGTGGGGAGTGCAGGCCTGGCTGGTCCCCTGCTCTCTGCCAGCTCTAGAGCACCCGCTGTACCGGGGGCTCCCCTTGGTGGGGTCAGGAAAAGTCCACGGGAGACTTGGGGGAGTGGAGGGGAGGGCCCTGGGGAAAATTAATGTGGATCAAGGGCTTGAAGACGTTCCTGACTCTCCCTCCCCTCCCCTACCCCCACCCCCACGCCCGCCTCAGGTGGACCAAATACTGAGGAGTGGATTTGTGTGAGCCTAAACACAAGAGCTCTGGGGTTCTATTTCCTCTTAGTCATTTTCCAAAGCTGCACCACCCTACCACTGCCTGGCTGGTGTGGCATCAGAGGGCTCTAGGTCCCCAGCCCTGCAGAGAAGCCCTTCTGAATGAAGGAGAGGCCCACCAGCCTGGGGAGAAGAGGTGAGTCCCCGACTCCCTCCGAGACAGAGCCTCCTCCCCTTCTCAAGCACCCCGAATCTCTGCACCACCAATTCACCCTCAGATCTGTTTCTTTCTTTTTTTGTTTTGTTTTTTGTTTTGTTTTGTTTTGTTTTGTTTCCCCCGTCGCCCAGGCTGGAGTGCAGTGGCACGATCTCGGCTCATTACAACCTCTGCCTTCCAGGTTCAAGCGATTCTCCTGCCTCAGCCTCCCAAGTAGCTGGGATTACAGGTGTGCGCCACCATGCCTGGCTAATTTTTGTATTTTTAGTAGAGACGGGGTTTCACCGTGTTGGCCAGGCTGGTCTCGAACTCCTGACCTCATGATCCGCCCGCTTCGGCCTCCCCAAGTGCTGGGATTACAGGCGTGAGCCCCAGGTCTCTTTCTTAAAATGTCTTTTCCCTCTATCTTTCCCCTCCCAGTGATCCAAAAGCTACGCCTGATTTGGAGAGGGGGTGGCAAGTGGGAAAGGAGGAGGGAAGGGGCAGTGTGGATCGAGGAGGGGGTCACCCCCACCCTGACCCTGAGCACCCTAGGTTTGGCCCCTCTGGGTGCCTCCCTCTTTGGAGAACTCAGGAAGCCGATGAGCTAGTTTGCGAGCTGGGGGTGGGGCAGTGAGGAGACTGGGGAGGAGGGAGGAGAGGGGAGAGTGATGGGAGCCGCGGCTGGGAGGCTTCGGAAGGTTGAAGGCTGGGTTTGGGAGGTGAGGGCGAGCGTCCCTCTCAGCCCCGTGGGGGGATATGCAAAGAATTGCTAATTGCAACTAAACGAGGCCTCGGCGTGGGGGAAGGGGCAGTCTTGCGGCTGTCAGGGGCTACCGCCTCTTTGAGTGCCCGGGTAAGGCCAGGCCAGCCCGCTCTTCTCATGTAAAGCAGCTTTTTGTCTGGGGGAGCCAGGGCTGGGGCCAGGGGCTGGGGAAGGGGCCCAAGCCATCAGCAAGTTTCTTGTTCCCCAGAAAGGGAGAAGGGTGCCGAGGCCTCCTCAGAGTGAGAATGCCCCCCTCCTTCTCCACTCTCAAGCTTTTTATGTGGGGGTTGATGGGGTGCTGCCCAGCAGGAGGGGGTGGGCCTGGGATCCCAGTACCCCCCTTGCTGGACTGTGGGAAAAAAAAGAGCACAAAGAAGGGGGCTGGCCCCGCTGAGATGGGAGACGGGGCAGCTCTGATCCACGGATGCCCTGAGGCTGAAGTACCCATCCCTGGATCCCCTTCTAGAGAATGTCCCCATTGGCCATGTATCTTATCTGGTCATCTGGGCCCATTTCAGACTTTCTCACCCACTTTGCAAACCCTCCCTAACCTTTGTACTCTGAGGAGATGGATTTTGTGAATCCAAGTTAGTTCCTAACTGAGCCTAACTAGAGGGAGAAGAAGGACTCATACCTTTGGGGAAATCTTTGCTCTAAACATAGGGACCTACGAATAATGCTTCCAGACCCTGGGGCCACATAACCTGTTAGAGACCCAAGAATCTTGCTTTCTAATTCAGATGCCCCCTTTTATGAGCTTCTATAAACTTGGGCAAATTATATCAGCTATTGAGCCTCAGTTTTCTCATCTGTAAAATGGGGACAATATCATCCTCTCAAAATCCTTGTGAAGATATGGAAAGATGCAACGCATCCCGTATGGCAGTCCCTGGTTCTCAGTGTGTCCCCTCCCCTCCCCTGGAACATCTATCAAAAGGATGGATACACACACACAAGCACTTCAGGGATAGTGATACCTCATGTCCATATCACACTTTGCAATTTCCACAATGCACGTGACATCTCTTTCTCTTTTTTCTTCTTTTTGAGACAGAATCTCACTTTGTCGCCCAGGCTGGAGTGCAGTGGCATGATCTCGGCTCACTGCGAACTCCGTCTCCTGGGTTCAAGTGATTCTCTTGCCTCAGCCTCCTGAGTAGCTAGGACTACCACCCACCACCACTCCTGGCTAATTTTTGTATTTTTAGTAGAGACGGGTTTTCACCATGTTGGCCAGGCTGGTCTCAAACTCCTGACCATCAGTGATCCACCCGCCTCAGCCTCCCAAAATGCTGGGATTACAGGCGTGAGCCACAACGCTGGGCCACATGTCATCTCTTAATGATACACTATCTAATCAATGGAACAGACTCTTCTTTTCTATATTTGGTGAAAAAAATCAAGATTCCAAGAGCTTAAGTCAGATCCCCTGACACCTCTGCCAATGCTCATCCCACTCCATGGTGTGGCCTCAGGGATCCCATCTCACAGACTAGACAAATGGAGCCCAAGGCCAGAGCAAAACCAGCCGGAGACTGTCACCGTCCAAGGTATCACCCAGGGTTTCTCAATAGCACAGCTTGTCTTAGTGGCCACCTGCACTCTTCTCCTAAATCAGTGCTTGTGTGGAAACTTTAGGACCATGTGGGTCCCCTTCTCTCAGCTCCACACTGGGGTCCTTGAGAAGCAGAGGGCTGGCTGGAGGATAGGAAGGGTTGTCCCCTCCCCTCCCAGCAGAAAACCTCTGGGATGACACCTTCACTCTGAGAGGCAGCGGGATGACACGGATAGAATCGCTGGGCAAGTCAGTTCTTTCCCTCCTCCCTTTTCCTGCTAGAAGTCCACTTCTTCATCGAGAAATGTCTCCTCCGTTCCTTCCCCCCTCTATTTTGGGGGCCCCGGGGTCTAGCTCCCCATCCCTGTGTGTCGCTCCGGCTGGATCCCCATCCTCCCAGCCCCTCGGCCAAGTGGAGGATGCTGATCTGACTGCCTCCTGCCAGACACCTAGGGCCTCCTGCTCCCAGAGGGTCTTGGCCAAGGGGCTCTGGCGCTGGGCCGGTGCCTTTCTCACTGCCCGGCTCCCTCCTCACAGGCCCCTAATCCATCTCACCCAGCAGGAAGCCCTTAAGCTGCCTTTTCAGCCGCCTTCCCCAGCCCGCTGTGGGCTCTGTGCCTTTCTATACCACCCTTGGCAGGAGCTGTGTTATACAAGCTGGAGAGAGAGGCCCCTGCAAAGAGGTCATCGTGCCTAAGGCGGCTTCCAGCTCCAGCAGCCTCTCCTCCCTGGTCCCCTCCCCAGGGTTCCCCCACTGGTACACTGCCTGGCATCCCTGGGCACTGACAGCCCTGGCTGACTCACATCAAAGCCCCAGACTGGGTCCAGGTGAGAGGAGGGATGCTAGGGGGACAGTGGGCAGAAGGCCAGGGTCTGGGGAAGTGTGGCAGGCATGAGGGGCTCCTCTGGCTCTGTGCCATCTGTCCTTTTGGCTGGTGTCTCCATCTTCCCTCTGCTTCCAACCCCTGCCCTCAACTCCCCAAAGCCCATTCACAGGTTTCTTAGACTCAGTTATGCAGCCCAGACAGGGCTGGGAGAGCGTGTGCCCTGGAGGCCACCTCAACTGAATGTTTCAGACAGGAAGAGAGAGAGGCCAAGGGGGTGGGGGTGGGGGCAGGGGCGCCAACAGTTTCTTTCTGTCTTCCTAGGTTGTATTTGGATTTGGGCAATTGCTTGTCACTCTTGGGGCACAGACCTCATAGCTTGGATCATTCTGGGGCAGGCTTAATTTCACACCCCCAATTTCATAGCCCCTGCAAGTATACTCTCGCTGGTTCTGATGATTTTTGGTTTGGAAAATGGTTCTTTTTTTTTTTAGATGGAGTCTCGCTCTGTCGCCCAGGCTGGAGTGCAGTGGCATGATCTCGGCTCACTGCAACTTCTGCCTCCTGGGTTCAAGTGATTCTTGTGCCTCAGCCTCCCAAACAGCTGGAACTACAGGCACCTGTCACCACACCTGGCTAATTTTGTATTTTCAGTAGAGACGGGGTTTCACCATGTTGGCCAGGCTGGTCTCAAACTCCTAGCCTCAAGTGATCTGCTCACCTTGGCCTCCCAAAGTGCTGAGCCACCGTGCCCTGCCTGGAAAATGGTTCTTGTATGACCTGGTCCTTATCTTGACCTCAACCTTTCCCTCCCCTCTCTCTCCAGGAAAAAATATCCCCCCACCGCCCCTACCTAGGCCCCTTCTCCAAGGCCCAAACCCCAGTCCTGCCTCCACTCCAGGAAGCCAGCCTTTTGCTGGCTAGAAGTGGTTAGAGAAGAGTTGGGGGTGCCTCTGGGAGGTCTGTTTGTAGTTCAGATTCTTCTCATTCCAGGCTCAGCAGGCTCTCTCTAAGGGAAGGGCCTGGGATGGGGGGCGGGGATCCTTGGGGCACCAGCTGCAGGGAAGGAAAGCTTCCCGGGGAGAGGAGGGAAGTGTTTTTCTTCCCTTCCTAGTGACCCCCATCCACAAGGTAGGAACTGCCTCTCCTGGTTCCATCATTGGAGTCCCCCCCACAAGCTGCCCCAGCATTCAGGCTCCTCCCAAGGGGCCTGACAGGAGCTATGGAGAGCTGCGGCCCTGATCTCTTTCTTCACTTCTGAATGAGTCCATTTCTACCCTTTTGGGACCCTTAGAGATGTTTGGAAGAGTTTGGAGGAGGGGCACTAAGGTATGCACAACCAGATGCTTGCAGAGTGACTGGGTCAGCCCCAGCTTCAAAGAGGCTATATCAGTCTATCCCCAAAACTGAAGTCCCTTGTAGATTTTTTCTTTCTTTAACCAGTATTCACATATTTGTCCCTCTAGACTACCAACCCTTAGGCCTCGAGATTCCTCAAGGATTAATCAGTGATCCAGTCACGGGAGAAAGCAACCAACCCCCAGGGTCTTAGAAGTCTGACACCTGCCCCAACTCCCCAGCAAACTTCCTTCTCCAGCTGCCTCTGCCTGAGAGCAGGAAAAACCAACACTAAAGGCTTATATTGAGCATCCACTATGTGAAGTCACTTACCACTTCATCTTATCTTCCCCACCCTTCAAGAGAAGATTAGTGTCCCTATCTTATCGATGAAGAGTCAGAGCTTCAGAAAGGGAGAGTGACCTATCTCAGGGAATGCAGTGAGGAAGCAGAGCTGAATCCATTGAGTCCAAGTCCAGGACAGTGGTCTGCCTAGCATGCTGCCTCGTGACTAGGTCTGCCCTAGGTGCCTGTGTCCAGGCTCCCAGGCTGACCTCTGGCTAATATTCTGCTTCTGGGTTACAAAGCAGCATGTACCATCTGAGCTTCCTTTCCCAAAGCAACTGTCCCTACAAATCCAGTTTCTCTTTCAGTCCTCACTTCACAGGGAACAGGACAGACTTATTGTGCCCATTCTTCAGATGGAGAAACTGATACTCAGAGAAAAGATTCACTGAAGGTCAGAAAAGTATTAAGCACCAAGACCAGGACACGAGCATTCAGGTGTCCTACGTCCACTTCATGGGTTCTCACGATGATGTCAGATTTATTTGTCACTTCACCCCTTCTCAGATTGGAGATCAGAATAGATTTGTTTTTGTTTGTTTTGTTTTGAGACAGGATCTTGCTCTGGCACCCAGGCTGGAGTGCAGTGCTGCAATCACAGCTCGCTGCAGCTTCGACCTCCTGGGCTCAAGAGGTCCTCCTGCCTCAGCCTTCCCAGTAGCTGGGATTATGGGTGTACATTACCATGCTCAGCTAATTTTTTTTTTTTTGTAGAGACAGGGCATATTTGTAATTAAATGTGGCTTTGAGAAACTAGATACTTGTCAAAACTGGAGACTAGAAATCTGCGTCCTAGAAACCTTGCTCATTTTTCATCCTCAGAGCTGAGCTTCTCCCCTCCCTAAGTGTGGGTTTCAGAGGCAGGGCAGAATGTATGGAAAGGGAATTGGGCTCGCTGTCCAGGGCAGGATGCTTGTGTCTCTAGATTACCCAGCTCAGGGAGTTCTTCAGACCTTGCCCTATTTACAGAGAGCATTGATTCATTTAACAATTTTTTCTTGGGTGCCTATGATATGCAAGGCACTAAGGTATGCACAAAAACTAAGACACAGCCTCTGCCCTCAAGAGATTATCTTGTTGGGCTGTGGGGAGGCTGTAGTTAGACATATGTAGGTAACACATGCCACATGCTAAATGCCATAAGATAAACATCAACTCAGGGAAAGGACAGGGGTGGTATCAGGGAAGCACCACAGAGAAGGGGACTTCAAGGATTTACAGTGGTGGAATGGCTCTAGGTATTTTATCAAAAAAAGAGATTCAGGCCAGGTGCAGTGACTCATGCCTGTAATCCCAACAGTCTGGGAGGCCGAGGCAGGCAGATTGCTTGAGCTCAGGAGTTCCAGACCAGCCTGGGCAACATGGTGAAACCCCATCTCTACCCAAAATAGAAAAAATTAGCCAGGCATGTGTCTGTGCTCCTAGCTACTCAGGAGGCCAAGATGGGAGGATTGCTTGATCCTGGGAGGTCGAGGCTGCAGTGAGCCGAGATCGCATCACTGCACATTCCAGCCTGGGTGACAGAGTAAGACTCCGTCTCAAAAAAAAAAAAAAAGATGCAATACATATAGACGAAATTAAATTATGGCCCCACAAAATTAATATGTTAAAGCCCTAACCCTCAATGTGATTGTATTTGGAGATAGGGGTTTTAGGAGGTAATTAATGTTAAACGAGGTTGGAGGGTCCCCACCCCTAATCTGATAGGATTGGTGGCCTTATAAGGGGAACAGAGAGAAACCTCTCTCTCCCCACCTACACACACCAATGATAGGCCACATGAACACTGAGAAGGTGGCCATCTACAAGCCAGGAAGGAAGCCTTCGCCAGAATCCAACCATGCTGGCATCCCGATCTCAGACTTTCAGCTTCCAGAACTATGAGAAAATAAATTTCTGTCATTTAAGCTATCCAATCTGTAGTATTTTGTTATGGAGCCCAAGCAGACTAAAACAAGCAGGAAACTAGGTGTTTGTGAAACTTGGATGGCCTGGAGGAGTAGACTTTGTCACGAAGCCACAGAAATGACCCTCCAGTAGAAGCTGCTACCTCTGCCACTAGCAGGTAGGGGGATCAAGAGGCTACCATTGGGACCGGTTGCAGTGGCTCATGCCTGTAATCCCAGCACTTTGGGAGGCCAAAGCAGGCAGATCACTTGAGGTCAGGAGTTTGAGACCAGCCTGGCCAACGTGGCAAAACCCTGTCTCTACTAAACAAACAAAAATTAGCTGGGTGTGATGGTGCACACCTGTAATCCCAGCTACTCAGGAAGCTGAGGCCTGAGAATCGCTTGAGCCCGCGAGTGGGAAGTTGCAGTGAGCCAAGTTCACACCATTGTATTCCAGCCTGGGGGACAGAGTGAAACTCTATCAAAAAAAAAAAAAAAAAAAAAAAAGGCTTCCATTGTAATTAAGCCAAGGTAACTGCACCTAGGGATCACTAGAAATTGCCACTGCAGCAAGAACATGACCTCATTTCCCTTCCACCTTCCAAATCTCAAATAAGCGTATTTTGCATCCAGAGCTCTAGCTGCAAGGGAGGCTGAGAGGTGAGGTTTTTGGCTTCCAACCTCTGCAGTATAGGAAGGTGGTGGGAATGGTGGGAGGATCTCTTGAGCCCAGGAGTTTGAGGCTGCAGCGAGCTGTGATCGTGCCACTATACTTCAGCCTGGGTGACCGAACAAGACCTCATCTGGAAGAGAAAAAAAAAAAAAAAGTAACTAGGGCTCTGAAAGCTAATTGAATGGTCTGGAGGTTTGGAAAGCAGATAGCTTTAGAGTGAACGTACGAATCACTTGGGGATGGTATATTTGGATAAGTGGGCAGGGCCCAGGAATCTATATTCCTAACAGGCAAACCCCAGTTCCCATTTCCCCTCCTGCCATAATGGACTCAGCATGTGGACTGATGCATGTGGACTCAGCTTTCAGAAACTTTATCCCTGGGCAGGAGCTCTGATGGGGCAGTCCCAGACACTACAGTGAGCAGTGAAAGGTTAGATTTGAGCAGTGAAAGGTTAGCAGTGAGCAGAAAAGGCTAGATTTGTGCTGAATTAGTCCCTTTCTCTCCTAAGAGCTAGTCCTGAAAGTTGGATGCTGAACCCTGAAAAATGCTGCTGTGATGGAGGCTCAGGAGAAGGGGGGGGTCTGCCTAGAACCCAGGAGTCCAGGGATTTAAACTCACCACCCCACCAAGGAGGACTGGATGGAGTCAGCTGACAACATGAATAAGCATTTCCTGAAGTTATGACTCATTTTGTTCTGAATTTCTACCCTGGCCCCGGGGGTTTAGGACCTTCGGGATCCTATTTCTATTGCAGGGGTTTGGTTAGAGAGCCCCTTCAACCTTGAGGGGTTTAAGAATTGGACAGAGGAGAAGAAAAGTAAAACAGAGGGTACAAGAGAGGAAGGGAGGAGAAAGGTAGCACTTCCACCCAAAATGGCCTCAAGTCCCTACCAGAACCCAATGTCCTCCATAGCTCACATTGAATTTCAACACAAAATAGTCTATTACAATAGATGTTCCTTTTTCCTTCTCAGTCATTTTCTTTTCTTGGCTCTTACCAGGCAGCCTTGGACCCTAAGCCCCCCAGTTCTGAGGGGAAGGCCATAGATAAATGAAAAAGCCCTGGCCTTCTTCCTCTGTGCCCCCATCCCAGCCCCACATCTCAGGGAGGGGGTCGCCCCAAGCCAGAGCAGGGCTGAGTCTGCCTGGGCCAGGCTGCCTGGCCAATAGGCTTTCCTCCTTCCCAGGGGTATCCATTCTCCTACCCAGTTCCTGAGATGCTGGGCCCCCTTCAGCCGCATCTGCAGCCTGACTGAGCAGAGTCCCCCAGGCCTTCTTCCTCTAGGCTGGTCCTCCCAGGTTAAGAGCAGGCTTCCATGTTGGAAGGGGGTCCGTCCCCCCTTCCCCCAGTTATCACCACAAAGCAAAGTCCAGGGAAGGAGGGGGAGTGGGCAAGGGTGGGGGTAGTGGGAGAGCCAGGTCCTTGCTAGTAAATCAAAGTTGGTTTCCCAGATGGAGTTGCAGCCGCTTTGATTTCTCAAGTCACCCCCCTCCCCCTCTGCTGCCTCCCCTCACCCCCAGCTCCACAGTTTCAATTCCTCCCTGAAAAGCAGCAGGGCCTCCTTTCAAACCAGCCCAGCTCCTCCAACTCCCAACAACAGCTTCAGTTACAGGAAAGGGGAAGGGGAGGGGGTGAGGTGGCCCAGCCTAGAGAGAAAGGAGAGACATTCTGGGAGAAGCAAGAGGGAGAAGGAGGAGTAGAAAATGAGGAAGGGGGAAAAGAAAGAGCAGAGTGAGAAGATGGGAGGGGGGCAGCCAGGGTGGAAGAGTGGGGCTCTGCTGGAGCAGGAGGGGAGCTCCAGCTGGGAAGCCAACCTACCTTTTCCTCCCTCCCAAGGGAGCACCCCCACACCCATCACCCCAAGGACCCCTCCATAGCTACAGAGCTATGATTCAGGCTTCCCTATTCCTCTCCCCTTGGCATTAGGTTCTAGAAGGTTCTGGAAGACAAAATATCGAAACCGTTCATTCCTAGGGACATTTATTTCCTGTTCTAGAAGGCAGAGTCACCCAAGAACCTCACTAGCCAAACCTAGCACTGGCTTTCTAGATCCTGTTTCCCCATTTGGCTCTGAGCAGCCCACACCTTGGTCTTGCTCAGCCCAGGCTTGGGCCAATGAAGGCCCTTAATTAATAGATCATCTGTTACATCTGTTTAATCCTTTTATGGCCCATTTTGCCTGCCAGAGACCTTGAAGAAAGACATTGGAGAGATAAAGGGGTAACAGCTATGCTCTGCTAAGTCTCCTTCCTCCTCTGCCCCAAAGCCAGGGGCAGCCTTGGAACTTGGCAGGGGTGGGGCAGGGTGCACTGAAGGAACCTACAAGTTGTCAGGAATTGGAATTCCAGGAGTCCTAGGTCTCCTGATTATTTGGTGGCCCATTTCTTTATTTCCTTCTTCCTTCCTTCCTTCCTTCCTTCCTTCCTTCCTTCCTTCCTTCCCTCCCTTCCTTCCTTTCTCTTTCTCCCTCTTTCTCTTTCTCCTCTCTCTCTGTCTCTCTTACTTTTATTTCTCTCTCCTTCTCTTTTTTTCTTTCTTTTTGAGATAGTGTCTCACTCCCGTTGCCCAGGCCAGAGTGCAGTGGCAGGATCACAGCTCACTGCAGCCTCCACTCAGGTGATCCTTCCACTTCAGCCTCCTGAGTAGCTGGGACCATAGGCATGCACCACCACACCAGGCTATTTTTATTTTTAAGATTTTTAAATTTTTAGTAGAGACAGTTTTGTCATGTTGCCTAGGCTGGTCTCCAACTCCTAGGCTCCAGTGATTCACCAGCCTCATCTTTCCAAAGTGCTGGGATTACTACTGTGCCCGGTCTGTGGCCCATTTCTAAGGGTCATTTCCCTGAGATCTAAATGGAGGATGGAGTGCAGGGAGAAGGAATTTGATACCTCACCTGAAGGTGGATTCAAGGTCTTGATGGACAGGTTCAGGGAGAGAGGAGGAAAGGTGAATTCACCTAAAGCAGAGGCATATTGTGTGGGTCAGGGGAGAGGGGAGCCAAGGAGACTGATTCTCTGAATGCTCAGACCTGTTTTCCACAAAGTATCTAGGACCCACCCCGTTTAGAGCAGAACATTTTTGCTTAGAGAATAAAACCATTGAGGCTCCTAAAGTATCTGAAATTAAGTCCTCCTCCTTGATCTCTGTCTCCTAAACAGATACACATAGCCCTTCCCTCTTTAGGGTGGAGGGACCTCAGTGCTTTGAAAAGGAAAGAACACTGACCCAGAATTGAGGAAACAAAGAGGGGACCTGTCCTCTGGCAGGCTCATTGGAGCAGGGGGAATTCCCTCGGGAGTCACCATACCAGGCATTGTCCCTTAGATTAGCCCTCAAGGACAGAGGGGACAGCTTCTCTGGAAAGCAAGGGCTCTAGAGGAAAACGTGCAAGGAGACCTGGACATGTGTGATTACCTAAACTGTGACGGGGGAAGGTGAAAGGCCAGAGACAGGAGGATATTTTGCGGGGAGTGGGAGCCCTAGGCAATCTCCCCAGGTTTCCTTAGCGGGGAGAAGTTCTCCGTGCTCTCCTCTCCTGAGCATGCCTGTGTGTGTTGGATGTTGCTGACTGTCATTTCACTTATCTGTGACACACAAGTCTTTCATCTTGTTTGGGTGGCATGAAGCAAGGAGAGTTTCAATGATCCAAGCATCATATTCTCACAGCCTCCTACATCTGGCTCAAGGGTAAAATCAATAAATTGTTTTATGATCCCTTTCTACTGATGAAAAAGCTGCAGCTAAGGAAGGGATGGTGACTTGCCTAAGCTACTGGGCCAGTGGGGCTGGAGCCAGGCCTGCAGCCCAGACATTTGGAGCCCCAGACCAGGTTTCTTTCCACTCCAACAGCTATTTTCTCTGCTCTCCTGTTAGGTTGAGATTTCTGCTCCTGCCAAGCCCATCCTACAGAACGGGGGAATGGACCCTGCAGCAGATTTACAGTAGGTACCCAACAATTATCCCAGATATCAGATTTGGTTTTTTTTTTGTTTGTTTGTTTTTTGAGATGGGTTCTCACTCTGTTGTCCAGGCTGGAGTGCGGTGGGGTGATCACAGCTTATGCAGCCTCAAACTTCTGGGCTCAAGTGATCCACCCGCTTCAGCCTCCTGAGTAGCTGCGACTACAGGTGCATGCTACCACACCAGACTAATTTTAAAATTTTCTGTAGAGATAGGGCCTGGCTATCTTGCCTAGGCTGGCTCAAGCAATTCTCCCACCTTAGCCTCCTAAAGTGCTAGGATTACAGGTGTGAACCACTCCACCTGGTCCTAGATGTCAGATTTGTAAGCAGACACGATTAACAGTGGTACTTCGGGGTTTGGGGGAGAAGTGGCACTTCTGTGCACTGGGGACACCTAGGCTCCCAGCCCACAGCAGAAGCCCAAGACTAAAGAGAAATGTTCCTTAGGGAGCGATAGCAGAATGTGGCCCCCTAGACTGTAGGCTCCCTGAAGCTGGAGGCTGAGTCTCTGCAGACTATCTGCTTTGCATGTAGTAGATGCTCAATAATTTATTGGATAAAATAATAGCTACTATTACCAAGCTTTTAGTCTAGCACCAGGTCATAGTGAGTGTCATATGCTGTCTCATTTAATTCTCACAACTGAAATAAGAAAAATAAAAATTCTGGGCCAGGTGCGGTGGCTCACACCTGTTATCCCAGCACTTTGGGAGGCTGAGGTGGGCAGATCACTTGAGGTCAGGAGTTCAAGACCAACCTGGCCAACATGGTGAAACCCTGTCTCTACTGAAAATACAAAAATTAGCCGGGCATGGTGGCTTACGCCTGTAATCCTAGCACTTTGGGAGGCTGAGGCGGGCGGATCACGAGGTCAGGAGATCGAGACCATCCTGGCTAACATGGTGAAACCCCATTTCTACTAAAAATACAAAAAAATTAGCCGGGCATGGTGGTGGGCACCTGTAGTCCCAGCTATTCAGGAGGCTGAGGCAGGAGAATGGCGTGAATCCAGGAGGCGGAGCTTGCAGTGAGCTGAGATGGAGCCACTGCACTCCAGCCTGGGGGACAGAGCGAGACTCCATCTCAAAAAAAAAAAAAAATTAGCTGGGCATGGTGGTGGACACCTGTAATCCCAACTACTCAAGGAAGGAGAATCCCTTGAACCAGGGAGGCAGAGGTTGCAATGAGTGAGATCGAGCCACTGCACTCCAGCCTGGGCAATGGAGCAAGACCCTGTCTCAAAAACAAAAACAAAGAAAGAAAACAAAAACCTGACTTGAAGCTCTCAGACCCAGAAGAAACAAACCTTGTGACATCCTCATGTTGGCTAGAATCTCTGCTGGCCCAAACACCTCTTCTCAGTCTCCTTCCTTATTGGCCCCAGGGCCTTTAAATGTTGACATCCCCAAAGCTTTGGCCTTCCCACCCTATCCATCTTCCCTAGGTGATCTTAGCCATGCTCATACCATCAGACATAGGCTGAAGGTGCCAGATCTAAATCTAGCCCAGAGTTCTGACCTGAGCACTGAGTTAGATTATTCGCCTGCCTTCTGGACACCTTCTCTTGGATGTGCCATAGGACCAGGCTTGCATGACTGCACTCATTATCTGCCCTTTCCCTGCATTTCCCAGCCTGGTTAATAGCATTAGGGCACCTAGGTCAGAGCCTTGGTTGATCTCGTCCCTTACTCTCTCTCCTTACCATCTGCACTGTCACATCTCAGTTCCTGCCGTCACCATTTCTTGCCTGGTCTCTTGTGATCAATCTGTAACTGGTATCTCAGGCTCCCGGCATGATGCTCCTCAAAACTGCCCAAATGCACTAGTTAAAATGCAAATGTGACCTCTTCCTTTCCCAAAATTCTCCAGTATATCCTCATCTCCAGGAGCCCAGACCGTGTGCAAGGTATCCAAGATCTCTGACTACTTAAAGCCTCCTCTGCCGTCGTTCTCCTAGATGCACGTGGGACTCTCACAGGGCCAAAGTCTTGCGCTGCCTCCCTACTCCATCTATTTCACCCCACCACGCCCTTGCACACAATGTTCCCTCTGTCTGGAATGCCTGTCCCTCCCTTGTCTGTTTACATGTCTGTTTCCCTGTTAGATTGTGAGTTCATGTTTCTACATCCAACACCTCACACGTGATCTGTGAGGCCCTGCAACTCTGATCCCTGCTGGCCTCTTTACCTCGTCCTACTTTGCTCCTCACTCCAACCACACAGCCTCTCTTGCCCTCCCCGACTCAGTCAGATTCCCTCCCCAATTATGCTTTCAAAGAACTACGGATCTTCCCTTCACAGCACTGAATCCCATGGCACTTTTACATCCATGTCAGTGACTGTGCAGTCAACGTGAGTGTCTCCCACTAGGACATGAGCTCCATAGGAACAAAGGGTTGGGTCTGGTATTCAGTGTAATTTTTTTTTTTTTTAAGAGATGAGGCCGGGCATGGTGGCTCACACCTGTAATCCCAGCACTTTGGGAGGTCGAGGTGGGCAGATCATGAGGTCAGGAGTTTGAGACCAGCTTTGCCAATATAGTGAAACTCCGTCTCTACTAAAAATACAAAAATTAGCTGGGTGTGGTGGTGCGCGCCTGTAATCCCAGCTACTCAGGAGGCTGAGGTAGGAGAATCGCTTGAACCCAGGAGGTGGAGGTTGCAGTGAGCTGAGATCGCACCACTGTACTTGGCGACAGAGTGAGACTCTGTCTCAAAAAAAAAAAAAAAAAAAAAAAAGAAATGAGTTCTGGCTATGTTGCCCAGGCTGGTTCCAAACTCCTGACCTCAAGTGACCCTCCTGCCTCAGCCTCCCAAAGTGGAATTACAAGCATGAGCCACCGTGCCTGGCCATAAATTTGTTAAGTGAATAAGAGCACACAATTCTTACAGATATTAGGGGCTATGTGATGCAGGAGACAGAACACAGCTTTAAGAGCCAAACAGGCCTGGGTTTTAATCTCACCCCTGCCACATACTATGTGACTTTGGGAAAGTTGCCAGATCTCACCTAAGGTGGATTCTTCATCTATAAACAAAAAACAATACCCACTTTGTAGGCATATACATGTGCAGAACTTAGCAGGAGCTCAAAAAATGGTAGCAATTGGCCGGGCGCAGTGGCTCACGCCTGTAATCCCAGCACTTTGAGAGGCCGAGGTGGGTGGATCACAAGGTCAGGAGTTCGAGACCAGCCTGACCAACATGGTGAAACCCTGTCTCTACTAATAATACAAAAATTAGCCAGGCATGGTGGTGCCCGGCTGTAATCCCTGCTACTTGGGAGGCTGAGAGAGGAGAATTGCTTGAACCTGGGAGGTGAAGGTTGCAGTGAGCCAAGATTGTGCCACTGTACTCCAGCCTGGGCGACAGAGCGAGACTCCGTCTAAAAAAAAAAGGGTAGCCATTACCCTAGGTCTCCCAGGATGCCTGCTGAATAAATATTTAATTCAACGTAACTTCTTGTTTTAAAAGGCGCTTTATGATTATGAAATGTATTTTTGTCATTCTGAAATTATTTTGGATGTGGAGTCTCACATTTTTAAAATCTGTTGGTTTCCTACTTGGCAGATGGGAAAACTGAGGTTCAAAGAAGTAAAGTGACTGTTCCAAGGCTGTATAGTTAGTGGCAGAGTTACAAATGGGTCCAAGTCAATGACCAAGCTAATTTATTTATTTATTTAGAGGTCTCACTCTGTTGCCTGGGCTGGAGCACAGTGGCATGATGACAGCTCACTGTAGCCTCAACCTCCTGGGCTCAAGCAATTCTCCCACCTCAGCCTCCCAAGTAGCTGGGACCACAGGCATGCACCACCATGCCCAGCTAATGTTTTAAAATTTTTGTAGAGACAGGGGTCTCACTTCTTGTCCCAGCTGGTCTCAAATCTGGCTTCAAGCAATCCTCCTGCCTTGGCCTCTCAAAGTGCTGGGATTAAAGGCATGAGCCATTGCATCCTGCCCAAGCTAATTTTTAAAAACTCAGAAATAAATGCTGTATCTATCAAATAACAAATTACATCCTTTAGTTACAGGGCTCCTGTACTCAAGAGGCAGGTTGGCAGAATGAGAAGTGCTGTAGGTAGGCCTGTAATCTGAAGATGCAGGTTCTGGTCCTGTTCACACTCAGGTCCCTCACGTGAAAGGCAAGAGTAAACATGAAATACCGTGATTTCTCCTTATTTCATGTACAAATGCTAGACAAGTGTAACATCTTTGTGGAATCACTTTTCTTCTGGGCTACTATAAACTCTTTTTTTTTTTTTTTTTTGAGACAGAGTCTCGCTGTGTTGCCCAGGCTGGAGTGCAGTGGCGCGACCTCAGCTCACTTCAGCCTCCGACTCCCGGGTTCAAGCCTCAGCTCCTGCCTCAGCCTCCTGAGTAGCTGGGACTACAGGCATGCACCACCATGCCCAGCTAATTTTTGTATTTTTTGTAGAGACGGGGTTTCACTATGTTGGCCAGGCTGGTCTCAAACTCCTGATCTCAGGTGATTGCCCGCCTTGGCCTCCAAAAGTGCTGGATTATAGGCATGAGCCACTGCCCCCGGCCTACTATAAATTTTTGAAGGGCAGATGCTGTCATCTTTTTCCACATTCTCCATAGCCCCTATTATGGTGGTTTGAAATAAGAAAAAAAGTGTGTTGAAGGAATGAAAGGTTGCCTGAGTGAATGGAAGAATGTCCTCTATTTCCTGTTTCCAGCTCCCCAGCTCCCCATCTGCCTTGGGGTGGCTGGGAGGGGATAACTGTCATTCAGACCTGGCCCTAGGCCAGGAAAACGGGTTTGTCATGGAAGGAAATTGAAGATGCTGCGTTTACATTGGAGATTTGCTCTCAATTTCCTATCGGACTGCGAGCTTCCTGAATGGGGTATAGGAGCCTGTCATTCATTTTTGTTTCCACTGCTCAGCTTCCATGTTTGGTACCGGCTCTCAAGATGCTTTGAGATGGACTAGGCAGGAGATCTGAGGATCAAAAGCTCAGGCTCAAATGGAGCAGAGAGAGCACAACATTCCCATCCTTAGACTGCTCTGAGAGAAAATGGGCTTGCTGGTGGAATAGAGATGGGTGGGCTGGAAATGGGATGCACAAAAAAAGGCATATCCCCCTCGACACCCACTCATGCCCCAATTTTGAAGGAAAATTTTCATCCTGGTGTAGGGAAAAGGCAAATTCCCCAGGATGTAATAAGGAACATTTTCAAGTTGTAAGAAACCGGAACATCTTTATATCATTCATTCGATCAGGAAAAAAAAATTTTTTTTTGAATCCTGTCAAACCTGGATCCCTTTGTATCCATCTACTTAGAATATTTTTTCCTTCTCCCTACTCCTTTCCTCTTTTTGTTATTTTTCTTCTTCTGCTGTTGTTGTTTAAAACAATTCTTTTCTATATTGGAGCAAGAAACATTTCACCAGACTGTGAGGATTTGGCCCATACTGTGAAGCAAAGGGGCTTTCTAAACTCAATTTTCTTTCTTCTTTTTAAGTCCCCCCTTTCCCCTGTCCCTCGGGAGAGACAACAGAAAATAATTGATCCATCATCCAGTATCAGGCCCAGGAGATTTACATGCAAATTCCTCCTCGACCCCTTTCCAAATTTAAAATCCTAGAAGGGAAAAGAAAAATTCTAAAAGTAGCAGGAACCCTGCTGGCCACACCCCACCCCTTACCAGGTGAGAGATGTGGAGGGGATAATTCACCACAACCCCCCAGTTTCCTCCCGCGTCACACACGCCACCCCTCTCTGGTGTGGAACCACTTAAGATTTGGGTAAAACTCCCCTCTCGCCCTGGAGACGGGATCTGGAAGCTTTTAGGGGGCGGAGGTAGAGGTGGGGAGGCAGAAGGAAAATTCCCTCAAACGTTCGTCAGGCCTAAGAGAGTCGTCCCTTCACTCAAAATTGCCCGTCACCCCCCGCCCCCCACCATTAACTTTCGATTAAGACCTCCTCCTTAGGGCAACTAAACTTTACTTTGCACAATTAAGATTTGCCGCAGAAGAAGCGGGAGGGAGAAGCCGCAGCTCCGGGCCATTCTCCTTTCCCTCGCTCCCTCCAAGCCCCCCGCCCCAACCCTCCAGCTCCGGGCCTCCGAGTTCCTGAGTTTTCTCACTTTGAGGTGCCACCGAACACAAAGAACCATAATGGGCTCCTTTGTGTTGGCTACGGGGCAATTACGCCTCGGAGTCCTGGTCCCTTTAAGAGTCTCTTAAAGAGACAGGATCCCATTTTTCAGAGGGTTTTTTAAGGGTGTGTGGAGGGGGAGGGCGAGGGATCTACGTGTAAAGTGAAGTGAAACTTTCGCCTGGGCTCCAGAAAGAGCGGACAGAAAAGGTCTTTGTAAATTGTTAGTTTTTTTAAAGTCTGTTTTAATTTTTAAATTTGAGATTTTTCACTCGATTTGAAAAATTGGACTAGGAATAGGTGGGGTTCGAGGATCGGGGGCGGGGGCAAGGGTTTAAAGAGTCCCCACCCGGCAGAGCACCTCGGCCCGGGAAGAGGAGTGAGCCAGGGTCGAGTAGTGTCCCCCGATCTCGCCGCGGCAACTCCGGAGAAATCCCGGGCTGGGCAAACAGCCCTTAATATAATAATAGCTTGTCTCTTTAAAAAGCAAAAGGGGGGGAAAGTTTTGTTGGCATCTGGTTTCTGATCTCATTATGTTGTGGTCGACCAATCCAGCCCTCGGGCCTGGTCCTCGGGTTTAAATCTGATTGGCCGAGAGCACATTTTGGGTTGGTGCTTAGAGCTCGACGGGGCGGTTTCAAGGATCCCTTTTTTGGGGGGCTGAGGAGAGGGCGGGGCCGCCAGCGGGGGCCCCCTTGAAACCGACTAATTGGGATCGGAGAGGCCGAGGTGAGGGCTGGAGGAGGCACAAAGAAGTCGCTGGGTGCAGAAGGGAGGGGAGAGGGGGAGCTGAGAGGCGAGAGGAGGAGGAAGAGGAGAGAGGGCAGCAGCGCGCGGTGTCTCCGGCTGCTCAGTCCGACCGCGGCAAGCAAGCGGGCAGGCGCACCGCCCCCTCCCCCGCCCGGCCTCCCCAACTCTGCGGCCGCGAGTAAAGTTTGCAAAGAGGCGCGGGAGGCGGCAGCCGCAGCGAGGAGGCGGCGGGGAAGAAGCGCAGTCTCCGGGTTGGGGGCGGGGGCGGGGGGGGCGCCAAGGAGCCGGGTGGGGGGCGGCGGCCAGCATGCGGCCCCGCAGCGCCCTGCCCCGCCTGCTGCTGCCGCTGCTGCTGCTGCCCGCCGCCGGGCCGGCCCAGTTCCACGGGGAGAAGGGCATCTCCATCCCGGACCACGGCTTCTGCCAGCCCATCTCCATCCCGCTGTGCACGGACATCGCCTACAACCAGACCATCATGCCCAACCTTCTGGGCCACACGAACCAGGAGGACGCAGGCCTAGAGGTGCACCAGTTCTATCCGCTGGTGAAGGTGCAGTGCTCGCCCGAACTGCGCTTCTTCCTGTGCTCCATGTACGCACCCGTGTGCACCGTGCTGGAACAGGCCATCCCGCCGTGCCGCTCTATCTGTGAGCGCGCGCGCCAGGGCTGCGAAGCCCTCATGAACAAGTTCGGTTTTCAGTGGCCCGAGCGCCTGCGCTGCGAGCACTTCCCGCGCCACGGCGCCGAGCAGATCTGCGTCGGCCAGAACCACTCCGAGGACGGAGCTCCCGCGCTACTCACCACCGCGCCGCCGCCGGGACTGCAGCCGGGTGCCGGGGGCACCCCGGGTGGCCCGGGCGGCGGCGGCGCTCCCCCGCGCTACGCCACGCTGGAGCACCCCTTCCACTGCCCGCGCGTCCTCAAGGTGCCATCCTATCTCAGCTACAAGTTTCTGGGCGAGCGTGATTGTGCTGCGCCCTGCGAACCTGCGCGGCCCGATGGTTCCATGTTCTTCTCACAGGAGGAGACGCGTTTCGCGCGCCTCTGGATCCTCACCTGGTCGGTGCTGTGCTGCGCTTCCACCTTCTTCACTGTCACCACGTACTTGGTAGACATGCAGCGCTTCCGCTACCCAGAGCGGCCTATCATTTTTCTGTCGGGCTGCTACACCATGGTGTCGGTGGCCTACATCGCGGGCTTCGTGCTCCAGGAGCGCGTGGTGTGCAACGAGCGCTTCTCCGAGGACGGTTACCGCACGGTGGTGCAGGGCACCAAGAAGGAGGGCTGCACCATCCTCTTCATGATGCTCTACTTCTTCAGCATGGCCAGCTCCATCTGGTGGGTCATCCTGTCGCTCACCTGGTTCCTGGCAGCCGGCATGAAGTGGGGCCACGAGGCCATCGAGGCCAACTCTCAGTACTTCCACCTGGCCGCCTGGGCCGTGCCGGCCGTCAAGACCATCACCATCCTGGCCATGGGCCAGATCGACGGCGACCTGCTGAGCGGCGTGTGCTTCGTAGGCCTCAACAGCCTGGACCCGCTGCGGGGCTTCGTGCTAGCGCCGCTCTTCGTGTACCTGTTCATCGGCACGTCCTTCCTCCTGGCCGGCTTCGTGTCGCTCTTCCGCATCCGCACCATCATGAAGCACGACGGCACCAAGACCGAAAAGCTGGAGCGGCTCATGGTGCGCATCGGCGTCTTCTCCGTGCTCTACACAGTGCCCGCCACCATCGTCATCGCTTGCTACTTCTACGAGCAGGCCTTCCGCGAGCACTGGGAGCGCTCGTGGGTGAGCCAGCACTGCAAGAGCCTGGCCATCCCGTGCCCGGCGCACTACACGCCGCGCATGTCGCCCGACTTCACGGTCTACATGATCAAATACCTCATGACGCTCATCGTGGGCATCACGTCGGGCTTCTGGATCTGGTCGGGCAAGACGCTGCACTCGTGGAGGAAGTTCTACACTCGCCTCACCAACAGCCGACACGGTGAGACCACCGTGTGAGGGACGCCCCCAGGCCGGAACCGCGCGGCGCTTTCCTCCGCCCGGGGTGGGGCCCCTACAGACTCCGTATTTTATTTTTTTAAATAAAAAACGATCGAAACCATTTCACTTTTAGGTTGCTTTTTAAAAGAGAACTCTCTGCCCAACACCCCCACAAGGTTTGTAATTAAAACTGTAAATAGTCTTTGTAAATTTAATTATATATATTTTCTATTTAAAAGAAAAAAGGAGAAAAAAAAACAGGGGTGTGGGCGCCAGGACTGAAGAATGAGGTGTGTGTGTGTTGGGGAGTGTAGTTGGGGGGAGGGTTCTCTTTCTTAAGTGCCCTTCAAAACCCGCCCCACTTTTGGAGTTTTTTGGTGATATGGCAGGGCTGGGCCTGATGGGAGAGGCACCCAGCCTGAGCGCTGTTTTTGTTGGCTTTGAGTCGTTAGGAGTTTGTTCCATTCAACTAATATAAAAGCCAAATTTGTGAGCCTCCTCTCTGACGCTGGGCCTGTGGAAGCCGTTGGATATTTTTGAACAGGACTTGGATTCGTTTTGTTTCCTTCCCCCTTTTCTTTCCCTACTCATTTGTCCTGTCTTCTTCACTCACTCTTGGAAAAGTCCCAACAGAGATGAAGACGTGGAAAAAAAAATCGGGGTCGGGGTGTGCTGGTGGGGAGAGGGCAGAGATCCGGTGAGGAATGGCTTCCACCCCCTGGCCCATTCCCCTGCAGGCTGGAAGATCTTTCTCCTGTCTGGCTTCTCTTCTTTTCAATTCGCTGCACCAAGTGCTTCCAGTGGCCCAAAAATGCTTTTTGAAGTGTGTTTTGAAACAGCCCCCACCAACATACACCCCACCAGGAGTACTGATCCTGCCTCCCTTCATGTCTAGGGGAAGCATTCGCCTTTGAGCACTTGTTTGCAAATCTGGGGAGTTTGAGACCTCCTAGCATCTCTTCCCTTCTTTCCCTGCAGTCTATTCACTCCCGCAGCCAAAAATCTCTGGCGTTCAGGTTAGCAGTTTCTGGGTTGGTTTGTGTGGGTTTTTGTTGTTGTTTGGGGCTTATTTTTTTCAAAAAGTGATAAAGACGGGTGGGTTGGAGGGAGGGGACTGATGGGCTGGTGGGCTTTTTAGTTTTCCTTTGAGAAAAAGACTGGTTTATTTAAAATTTGTCCAGAAAAAAATGAAAAAAAAAAAAAAGGTGGTATCTTTGCTTTAGAAGAAGTCTCTGGATAGGCCCTTTGTGGCTGTGGGGGTGGGTTGAGTGTTTACATTACATTCTATATCACAAGATTGATAGGATGTTTAAAGCAGATGTTTCTTATCTTCCCCTGAGCCCCTACAAATAAAGTCAAGACTTTTCTTTTTTTGAGACGGAGTCTTGCTCTGTCGCCCAGGCTGGAGTGCAGTGGTGCGATCTTGGCTCACTGCAACCTCCACTGCAGCGTTTCTCCTGCCTCAGCCTCCCAAGTAGCTGGGACTACAGGCGCACGCCACCACTCCTTGCTAATTTTTGTATTTTTAGTAGACACAGGGTTTCACCATATTGGCCAGGCTGGTCTCGAACTCCTGACCTCGTTATCTGCCTGCCTCGGCCTCCTAAAGTGCTGGGATTACAGGAGTGAGCCACAGTGCCTGGCCTGTCAAGACTTCTCTTAAGTTAACTTCCTGAGAAGTGATGTCTAAAAGTATCTTTGCTGGTGTGAGAACTCCAGTTTCCAACACATATTATTTCCCTCAACTATTTGGAATATTTTAGAATTTTAATTCCAAAGGATTAGTTTGAATACAAGTATGCCACATAACTCAGTTTTCGCCATCTTCCATTTCTTAACAGTGTAAATTAAAAGCTAATAATCATAATAATAAAGTGCATTTAATTATCTTTGAGAGATCTATCCTTTTAATTGTATTTAACAGGGTTGTAACATTTTATTAGTTTAACCAAACCACACCTCCTCCTCCCCTCTCTCCCTTACCTACTTGGCTGGGGGTGGGGCAGAGAAGAGTGCTCCCAGCCCTGGACCTTGCTTTCTTAGCTAAATGGTGATGGGAGAAATGGTGCCTTACCACCCTTTGTTGGCTGTCTTCCGGACAAGGGAGAAAGTTAAGTTAGAACCCCTACTTCGAAGTGTTTGCTTGTGTTAGTTTATGTTGGGGGAGGGGAACTGGAAATGTTTGGTGGTAATTGAAGTGATATGTGGGGCTTTGTTTGGAATTGTATGAAGCCTGTGGATTTCAGCAGCGCCCCCTCCCAAAAATATATAATTTCCCCCCAAATCATCTGTGTCAGTGGCCAGTTAAACCTAGCTTTTTATCAAATGATGACAAGTGTGAGATCTCAACATGAGGTTCCCTCAATTATCAAAGAAGCAGGCGGGAGGAGGTGTCACCGCCCCCGGCTCCATTTGTTGCAGGATTCTAAAGGGACCCCGCAAAGGCTGCAGGAAAGAGTAAAATTACAAACAAATTGTGAGTGCCTCTCCTTGTAATAATGGGAAAAGCCAGAGAATCAGGTGGGATTTTCCAGTACCTGGTATTGAGCTCAGTGGGAAGAGGAGCTGGTCTCTGTTGAAGATTGGGGAGAGCCTCTCCCACCTATAAGCCACCCAAGATCTTGGCTCTGTGTGCTTTGGGTACATTTGTCCCTGGACCCTCGCACTGAGCAACCCCCTCCTCAAAGTCTCCTGCCAACATAAAGGAAGAGAGCCTGAGACACTGACAAAATAGATTATATGACTGAGGAGGAAGACAGATAATAAGACAGTTCCATCTTTTGGAAAGAACAGATCTTAGAGATACCCTTCCCCTTCTTCAGGGGGAGTAGCCAAGGGCTGAATTACCCTACTGAAAATTGTTGTGGGGGAACCCTCCTCTCCACACCCTTGTCCTGTTTCTTAAATGAAACACTCTTAGAGGAAGGGAAGCTTTAGACCACAGTTTGGGGAATTTGGGGTAAAGAGGAGAAAGCACCCTGGAGGAAGACTCAGAGGTAAACCACCTGAACTCACTGCCTCACGGGAGAGGGCACCTCAGCTCCCTTGTTCAGAAAACCCAGTTAAAAACAGGAGCTTAGAGATCTGCTTTTGGAGATTTCTAGGTCGTCCTTTGAGCAGAAAAGGGTTTCCATGTTGTAAGTGGGCTGGTCCCTCCCTCTGGAAGAGCGAGGCTTTGTGTTTGCTGGAGGGTCAGGGCCAAGAAGGAAATACACTCACCTGTGGCACCTGGGCCTGGGGCAGGTCTCAGGCCCACGCTGCTTTCTGCCTGCTCTTCTGCCCTCCCCCAGGGCAATGGTCTGGGGTTTCAAGGTCCCAGGCATTTCTCCTCCAGACTCCCCCCTCTTATTGATCAGGCTTTCCCTCCTCCCAGCCCAGACTTCCCTCCAGAAGACTTTAACGTTAGTTCCAAACTTTTTGCCCTTTAAGATTTTTTGAAGAGCTAGCTCTAGAAAAAGGCCACTAAAGTTTCTCAAGACAAAATTCTTCTGAACATCCCCAAAGAATTAAGATTAGGTTCAGCCCAGTGGGATGGGGAACTGCTTTTTGTTCCAAAATCTCTTCAGGAGGGTGGGGAGATGCTGTCCCGGGGGTGCCTGCCATGGGGTCTGAGCCGGGCGAGCCCTCCCTTCTGCAGTCTTGCTACTCACTGTACCAGGGTCCCTCCTCCTCTAGAATCACTCTTCTTACCTTAAATGGATCTTAAACTTCTGGGGGCCACTGACCATCTGAGAATCTCAAAACTCTTTGGACCTCTTCCTGGAAAAAAAAAATAGCCAGATCCCCCATGAATATGCAATTGTGTGTAGCTTTAGGAAGTTTCTAGATCATCCCTCCCTGACCTCTCTCCCTACCCGCCTGCCCCCAAACTAGTTTTCGAGTCGCTGGTCTAGACATTTTTTTTTTTTTTTTTTGAGACTGAGTCTCACTCTGTCGCCCAGGCTGGAGTGTAGTGGCGCGATCTCAGCTCACTGCAATCTCCGCCTCCCGAGTTCAAGCAATTCTCCTGCCTCAACCTCCTGAGTAGCTGGGATTACAGGTGTGCATCACCACACCTGGCTAATTTTTGTATTTTTAGTAGAGATGGGGTTTCACCACGATGGCCAGGCTGGTCTCAAACTCCTGACCTCAGGTGATCCTCCCGCCTCGGCCTCCCAAAGTACTGGAATTACAGGCATGAGCCGCCGTGCCTGGCCTGTCTAGACATTTTCTAGTCCTGATTACTAGCTACCTCTCCTTCTCTAAAGGACAGCCCTTACCTTCTCAGACTCCAGTATCCCCCGGTCTCTAATCACCTCTGCTATGGAAAGGGGGTGGGGGTGAGGAGGGAAAGCCACTGGGCCTACAAAACCAGGAGTACCCCGGAACCAGATTATTCACTCAGTTCAATCCTGCCCCTTGATCAGGTAACAAGTGATCAAGATGCAGCAGAGTGGAATATGGATGAATGAAATTTGTAGTTGGGAAAAACGGAGAGAGAGACAGACAATGTATGGCGAGCAGAGGCTTTGACATGCTTTGGTACCACTCACTGCAGTAGTAGCTGTGAGCACTTGTGGCATTTTTCTAACCTCTGAGCGTGTGTCCTCATCTATAAAAAGGCTGATAGTACCTGTCTGGTAACATGAGTAGTAGACGGGACCATACATCTACAGAGCCCTCAGGCAGTAGTTCAATAAATTGTAGCACTTTTCCAATTACTTAGAATACATTTATTTATTTATTTATTTTGAGACGGAGTCTGGCTCTGTCGCCCAGGCTGGAGTGCGGTGGCGCGATCTCGGCTCACTGCAAGCTCCGCCTCCCGGGTTCACGCCATTCTCCTGCCTCAGCCTCTGGAGTAGCTGGGACTACAGGCGCCCGCCACCACGCCTGGCTAGTTTTTTTTGTTTTGTTTTGTATTTTTAGTAGAGATGTGGTTTCCCCGGGTTAGCCAGGATGGTCTCGATCTCCTGACCTCGTGATCCGCCCGCCTTGGCCTCCCAAAGTGCTGGGATTACAGGTGTGAGCCACCGCGCCTGGCCCCCACTTAGAATACATTTCCAAAAATAAAATCAGTGGATCAAAAGATCTAATTTCTTGACAAGAGAAGTGTTACCAATAGTTTTTAAACTGTTCCCTATCATTTAAAAGGACCACAGTCTTCCCTTCCCAGCACTTCCCTATCATTTCCTCCGTGTGAAGAGGTACATCTAACTGCCCTTAGAATATGGACGATGACTGGTCTTAGCTGCTTCATGCTGATAGGGGGCATTGTTTTGGGGAAAACAGCAGTCAGACTCCTCCTAGAGGTCTATCTAAGGGTTCCTAGGAAAGGGGAGCCATCATCCGAGGCTCCGATTGCCTGACCGTTTGCAGTTTGGTGGCTTCTAGGCGCAAGAGAATAAAACAAGTTTTATAAGGTTAAGTGTGCATAAATTAAACGTGTATTATACAAGGAAAGAATTTAGTGCCAAAGATTCCAGAGACAAGAAGTAAAATATACTAACAACATTGTACCCTGAGCTGTAAGAAATTAAACCTTATATAGGAGCAGTTCAACTTGAGAAGAGATAACTGTTCTTGCCATATCTTTTAGCAGTTAACAGGTGCACCCTGGGAATTCTGGGATTTGTGGACTTGCACGATGGCCATTAAAGCTTTTGCCTCTTTCCTGTATCTCCTCTCTCTTTCCTGGGCCTCCCAGTCTCTATTATAAAAGACCAAGGTGGCTACTTTCAGGAGTTTCTTCAAAGTACTATCTGGTCCCGGGGCCTGTTTTTGTATCTTCCTTCTGATGTCAGGAGCTGCCCAAGTAATAAATTGATCCTTTAGAATTAGTTGTCCCTCTACTGAATCAGGAGATAGAGAGAGGTGCTTTACCAAGCTCCCTCTTAGCCTCTCCAGGAAGGCAGTGGGATTTTCATCAAATCCCTGGTCAATCATGGACAATTTAGTATAATTGAGGGGCTTGGTCCTAGTTCAATGGTATTGAAATGAATGGTCCCTTCCTGAGGCCACGCCAGTCCTTCCTATAAATCATAATTTGGCCAAACCTTTGTGCAGAGGGCTATGAGGTGCTTTTCCTTCAGATGCTGAGGGTCAAAGCAATCCCAATGGTTCAGAATACATTATACTCCAGAAGAGTATAAGCTGGGGGTGGTGAAGAGAACTGGTTGCCCATTCTGAAAGACAGGGAAAAAAGGCGTCCCCTACTCCCTTCCTTCTTTCAGCGAATACTCAGAGTGTGATGGAGAGAGAAAGCGAGTATCCTCCCTGCACCCTCCACCTCTTGTCCCTGAGCCCTGGTGACCTTGTCAGGTGCCAGCCATGGGTACCAATGCGGTATGTACCCATGAAGCAGGGAAAACCTGGAGAATAGGAATTAACTGCTCTCATCTACACCTCCCTTTCTCCCTCCCTTTCTTCCTGCTGTCAGCAAACTGAGTTCCCTGGGCCTGTTTGTGCCATGGAACATGGCCTCCTTCTATGTGGTGGGGGGTTCACTCGTCAGGAATTGGTTCTGCCCATTTACATTGTGCCTGTTGCCTGGCTTTGGATCCCTCGGACCTGGTTTTTCTCTCTAGGGCCTCAGCCTGAAGCCTGGAATCGAATTTGGGATTGAAAAGTTGGTTTAGAGGCTGTTTGTATCTGTTCAGAGTGTCTCAGATGTGCCCTGCTGAATTTGCAGTTCTCAGCCAGCAGGGGTCGCTCCTCCGTTAACTTCCCTATCAGAAACTACTGGGATGGGGGAGCCCTCTCACTTAGAAAAGGAAAAAAAGAAAAACAGTTAAAAGGCCAAAAAGAGGAGGATTCTGGGAGAAGAACCCCTTGCTTACTGCAAGTGGGCCCCCCTAATCCTTATATCTTTCCTCTAGTTCAGACCGTGTTGAATTCTTTGGCCAGGGGAGGAAAGGTTTTATTGGCGCAGCCGGCAAGAAGCGCCCATCCGTTTGCCCTGTTTGGCTACCACCACGGCTTTCTCCCGCCCACTCTTGGCTGTTGGGCTTGGCCTTTGCCTGCTGCGGGCACGCATGGGCGCCTGAGCTGGGAGGGGAAAGGGTGAAGAAAGGTGCCCTGAGCCATGCCTGTGGCTGTCAAGGTAAAGGTGTACATGGCACCTCTAGGAAAAGTTGGTCTGATTGGCACATTTCAAACCGTGTGAGAGCGGCTGGGTGCGCTGGCTCACGCCTATGATCCCAGCACTTTGGGAGGCCGAGGCGGGCGGATCACAAGGTCAGGGGTTGGAGACCAGCCTGACCAACATGGTGAAACCCAGTCTCTACTAACAATACAAAAATTAGCCGGGCGTGGTGGCGCTTGCCTGTAATCCCAGCTACTCAGGAGGCTGAGGCAGGAGAATCGTTTGAACCTGGGAAGCGGAGGTTGCAGTGAGCCAAGATCGCACCACCGCACTCCAGCCTGGGTGATAGAATGAGACTCCGTCTCAAAAAAAAAAAAAAAAAAACAAACAAAGAAAAGAAAAAGAAAAATGAGGCCCAGAGGCCAGAGAGACACTGCCTGAAGCTCACAGGTAATTGCAGAATTGGAGCTCAAACCCAGCTTTTAGTCCTTATGCTTTTTTTTAGACTAATTTTTTTAGAGGAAGGTACAAGAGTTCCCATATACCCCTGTCCCTACACATACATAACCTACCTTCCCCATTATCAACATCCCTCACCAGAGGAGTACTTTTTTTTTTTTTTTTTTTTTTGAGATGGAGTCTCGCTCTGTCGCCCAGGCTAGAGTGCAGTGGCACATCTTAGCTCACTGCAACCTCTGCCTCCCTGGTTCAAACGATTCTCCTGCCTCAGCCTCCCAAGTAGCTGGGATTACAGGCATCCACTACCACGCCTAGCTAATTTTTGTATTTTTAGTAGAGATAGGGTTTTACCATATTGGCCAGGGTGGTCACGAACTCCTGACCTCAGATGATCCGTTTGTCTCAGCCTCCCAAAGTGCTGAGATTACAGGCATGAGCTACTACATCCGGCCACCAAAGGAGTACATTTGTTACAATTGATAAACCTACACTGACACATCATTATCAATCAAAGTCCACAGTTTACATTAAGGTTCACTGTTGGTTTACTTTCTTGTTTGTTTGTTTTTGAGACAGGGTCTCTGTCACCCAGGCTACAGTGCAGTGGTACGATCTCGACTCACTGCAGCCTTGACCTCCTGGGCTCAAGGGATCCTCCCACCTCAGCCCCCCAAGTGGCTAGGACTACAGGTGTGTGCCACCACAGCTGACTAATTTTTGTGTGTGTGTGTGTGGTTTTTTTGTTTTGTTTTGGTTTGGTTTTTTTAGTAGAGACAGGGTTTTGCCATATTGCCCAGGCTGGTTTTGAACTCCTGAGCTCGAGTGATCCGCCTGCCTTGGCCTCCCAGAGTGCTAGGATTACAGGTGTGAGCCACCGTGCCTGGACTTGTGTTGTACTTTCTATAATGTATAATGACATATATACAACATTAAAGTATCACACAGACTATTTTCGCTGACCTAAATATCCTCTATGCTCTACCTATTCAACCCTCCCAGCCCCACCAACCCCTAGCAACCACTGATCTTTTTACTGTCTCCACAGTTTTGCCTTTTCTAGAATATCATAGAGTTGGAATCATACTATATGTAGCCTTTTCAGATTGGCTTCTTTGACTTAGTAATATGCATTTCAGGTTCCTCCACGTGTTTTTGAGAGGTGACAGCCTGCTGGCAGCCCTCGCTCACTCTCGGCGCCTCCTCTGCCTGGGCTCCCACTTTGGCGGCACGTGAGGAGCCCTTCAGCCCACCACTGCACTGTGGGAGCCCCTTCCTGGGCTGCCCAAGGCTGGAGCTGGCTCCCTCAGCTTGCGGGGAGGTGTGGAGGGAGAGGCGCGGGCAGGAACTGGGGCTGCACGGGGCGCTTGGGGGCCAGCGCGAGTTCTGGGTGGGCGTGGGCTCGGCGGGCCCCGCACTCGTAGCGGCCAGCCAGCCCGCAAGCCCCGGGCAGTGAGGGGCTTAGCACCTGGGCCAGTAGCTGCTGTGCTGGATTTCTCGCCAGGCCTTAGCTGCCTCCCTGCTGGGCAGGGCTCGGGACCTGCAGCCCACTATGCCTGAGCCTCCACCCCTTCCTCTCCCCCACGCCGTGGGCTCCTGCACGGCCCGAGCCTCCCGGAGAGCGCTGCCCCCTGCTCTAGGGCGCCCAGTCCCATCGATCACCCAAGGGCTGAGGAGTGTGGGTTCACAGCGCGGGACCCGCAGGCAGCTCCACCTGTGGCCCCGATGCGGGATCCACTGGGTGAAGCCAGCTGGGCTCCTGAGTCTAGTGGGGACTTGGGGAGCTTTTATGTCTAGCTGGGGGATTGTGGATACACCAATCAGCACTCTGTATCTAGCTCAAGGTTTGTAAACACACCAATCAGCACGCTGTGTCTAGCTCAGGGTTTGTGAATGCAGCAATGGACACTCTGTGTCTAGCTAATCTAGTGGGGACGTGGAGAACTTTTGTGTCTAGCTCAGGGATTGTAAACGCACCAATCAGCACCCTGTCAAAATGGACCAATCAGCTCTCTGTAAAACAGACCAATCGGCGCTCTGTAAAATGGACCAATCAGCAGGATGTGGGTGGGGCCAGATAGGAGAATAAAAGCAGACTGCCCCGACTCAGCAGTGCAAGCAGACTGCCCCGACTCAGCAGTGGCAATGTACTCGGGTCCTATTTCTCCGGGGGGGGGGGGGGGGGGGGGGTTGGGGGGTGGAGAGAGGAAGCTTTATTCTTTCACTTTTTGGAATAAATTTTGTTGCTGTTTGTTCTTTGGATCTACACTACTTTTATGAGTTGTAACACTCACCGGGAAGGTCTGCAGCTTTGCTCCTGAAGCCAGCGAGACCACGAACCCACCGGGAGGAACGAACAACTCCAGATGCGTCGACTTAAGAGCTGTAACACTCACTGCGAAAGTCTGCAGCTTTACTCCTGAGCTAGTGAGACCACGAACCCACCAGGAGGAAGAAACTCTGAACACATCCGAACGTCAGAAAGAATAAACTCTGGACACGCCGCCTTTAAGAACTGTAACACTTACCGCGAGGGTCTGCGGCTTCATTCTTGAAGTCAGTGAGACCAAGAACCCACCAATTCTGGACACATTTTCGTGGTTTGATAGCACGTTTCCTTTTAGCACTGAATAATGTCTGGCTATTCCACAGTTTTTCAAAGCAGATTAATTATGCCCTGGCTACCAACTTGCTTGAGTTGGGTGGAACAGAAAAACCCCCCCAATCAAATAAGCTACACGCACCAGATGTATTACTTACAGATAGGCAGCAAGGGACAGCGTAGCCTAGGACTCAGCCAGTCCCCCGAGGCTCACAAAAGCTGCCTGGGGTGAATGGAGTCTTGTCAGTGTGTATGTCTTGCTTACCTCACTAGCAAACTGCCCTGGGTTTTGTATCCTAGGGACAACAGGACTTGGTGGGCTAAAATGTTGAAGGACGTCCTATTTCTTTCTTGTTTTCTTTTTTTTTAAAGGATATTCTATTTCTAGGAGGGCCTGGAATAGAGCTCAGGCTGTGCTGTCCAGTCCCTCGTTATCCCAGGATGCTGCATTCCCAGAACAATCTACGGTTATTCTTGAATACTATAAGTGAGAAAGCGGAGAACTGGGTGGCCCAAGGCCACCCGGAGAACTGTCTGGTAAGTTTATTCACCTATCGAAGGGCATCTTCGTTGCTTCTAAGCTTTGGTAATTATAAAGCTGCTGTAAACATCCATGTACAGGTTTTTATGTAGACATAATTTTTTTTTTTTTTGAGACAAAGTCTCGCTCTCTTTCCCCAGGCTGGAGTGCAGTGGCATGATCTAGGTTCACTGCAACTTCCGCCTCTCGGGTTCAAGCGATTGTCCTGCCTCAGCCTCCTGGGTAGCTGGGATTACAGGTGCCTGCCACCACACCCAGCTAATTTTTGTATTTTTAGTAGAGACGGCATTTTACCATGTTGGACAGGCTGGTCTTGAACTCCTGACCTCAGGTGATCCGCCCATCTCGCCTCCCAAAGTGCTGGGATTACAGGCGTGAGCCACCGTGCCCGGCCACCTAGACGTAAATTTTTAACACGTGGGTAAATACCAAGGTGCTTGATTGCTGGATTGTATGGTAAAAGTATGTTTAGTGGTGTAAGAAACTGCCAAACTATCTTCCAAAGTGGTTGTACCGTGTTACATTCCCACCAGCAGTGAATGAGGGTTTCTGTTATTCCACATCCTCCACGGCATTTGGTATTGTCAGTATTCCAGATTTGGGCCATTCCAATAGATACGTAGTAGTATTTCATTGTTTGAATTTGCATTTTCCCGATGACATAGGATATAGAGGTCTTTTCATATGCTTACCTTCCATCTGTATGTCTTTGGTGAGATGTGTGTTAGGGTCTTTGGTCCTTTTTTTTTTTTTTTTTTTGAGGCACCTGCCGCCACCACGCCTGGTTATTTTTTTTTTGTATTTTTAGTAGAGATGGGGTTTCGCCGTGTTAGCCAGGATGGTCTCAATCTTCTGACCTCAGGATCCGCCCGCCTTGGCCTCCCAAAGTGCTTACAGGCGTGAGCCACTGCGCCCGGCCTGGTCCATTTTTTAATTGGGTTATTTGATTTCTTATTGTTGAGTTTCAAGAGTTTTTGGCTCGGCATGGTGGCTCATGTCTGTAATCCCAACACTTTAGGAGTCAAGGCAGGAGGATTTCTTGAGCCCAGGAATTTGAGGCCAGTCTGGGCAACATAGCAAGACCCTGTCTCTACAAAAAAAATTTAAAAATTAGCCGGGCATGGTGGCGCATACCTGTAGTCCCAGCTACTCTGGGGGGCTGAAGCAGGAGGACTACTTGAGCCCAGGGAGATGAAGGTTGCAGTGAGCCATGATCATGTCACTGCACTACAGCCTGGGTGACGATGCAAGATCATGTCTCAAATAAATAAATAGTGGCTGGGCGCAGTGGCTTACGCCTGCATTCTCAGCACTTTGGGAGGCTGAGGCAGGCAGATCACTTGAGTTCAGGAGTTTGAGACCAGCCTGGCCAACGTGGCGAAACCTCGTCTCTACCAAAAGTATAAAAAATTAGCCGGGTGTGGTGGCATGCACCTGTAATCGCAGCTACTTGGGAGGCTGAGGCATGAGAATTGCTTGAATCTGGGAGGAGGAGGTTGTTGTGAGCCGAGATCGCGCCTCTGCACCCAGCCTGGGTAACAGAGCAAGACTCCATCTCAAAAAAATAAAAAATCAGAAAAATTTTAAAAGACTTATTTCTTTGTATATTTTGGAGAACAGTACTTTATCAGATGTGTATTTTGCAAATATTTTTTCCCAGTCTGTGGCTTGTTTTCTCATTCTCTTGACAATGTCTTTCTCCATATGCCTTCACACACTCATTAGCAGAGTTTTCCAAACTGCAATATGTAATCCATTAGTGAGTTGCAAAATCAATTAGTGAGATGTAACTAGCATTAAAAAAAAATTAGAACAGAATGGAATAGAAAAGATCACAGTGCAGCACCAATAGGAAAGGTAAGTAATGTCTGGAGAAACTTTGATTTCCACTTATATGATTATATAAGTGCATGTGACCTGGATCATACATAAAATGTATGGATTATATTTTTTTTTTTTTTTGAGATGGAGTTTCACTCTGTTGCCCAGGCTGCAGTGCAATGGGACAATCTTGGCTCACTGCAATCTCCATCTCCTGGGTTCAAGTGATACTCCTGCCTCAGCCTCCCGAGTAGCTGGGATTACAGGCATGCGCCACCATGCTTGGCTAATTTTGTATTTTTAGTAGAGAAGGGGTTTCACCATTGGTCAGGCTGGTCTTGAACTCCTGACCTCAGGTGATCCACCCGCCTCGGCTTCCCAAAGTGCTAGGATTATAGGTGTGAGTCACCACACCTGGCCTTCATAATTTTTTAAAGTCTAAAAACTGCTACTCTAAAGGGACATCTACTCTGTCCTCAGGTTCTCATACTCTAAGTCAATAAAAGAATAAACGTATATGAACTAATTAAAGAACACTTTGAAAACATTATAGAATATGTCAATTTGTACCAATTTTGTTTCTGTTCTCAGGGAATGCAGAGGTAAATGCCTGATTGGTAAATTAGGGAAGACTTGGCTCCCACAAAATCCCCACTAGCCTCCTTTAAAACTTTTAGTTGTCCTGCTTGGGTTGAGGCCTTTATCAGATCTCAAGCTTTTGATAATAAGGAGTACATCTCTCTTTTTTTTTAAAAAAAAAAAAAGACAGGGCCTCTCTCTGTCACCCAGGCTGGAGTGCAGTGGTGCTGTAACCTCGAACTCCTGGGCTCAAGCTATCCTACTGCCTCAGCCTCCTGAGTAGCTAGCACTATAGGCGCATGCCACGACATCTGGCTAAATTTTTTTTTTTTTTTTTTTTTTTTTTTGTAGAGACAGGGTCTTGCTATGTCACCCAAGCTGGTCTTGAACTCCTGGCCTCAAACAATCCTCTCAGCCTTCCAAAGCATTGGAATTACAGCCATGAGCCATGACTGCCAGCATTTGGCCATTTAGAACATTTTGTCGTGAGCTCTTGGACCTGGCCAACTCCAAATGTTATCCCTTCCTGCTCCTTCTCCCTGCCTCTCACCCTAGAGAGATACTCAGGCTGATTCCATTCCTAAAGGAGTGCCCAAATGACTCTTGGATTCAGACCAGCATAGGAATAAATACTAGGAATATGTTCTTTACATCTCTGGCTAGGCAAAAAACATTTTTTTTTTGTATTTGTTTTTGTTTTTTTAAGACAGAGTTTCACTCTTGTTGCCCGGGCTGGAGTGCAATTCACAGTCTCCAATCACTGCAACCTCCGCCTCCCAGGTTCAAGTGATTCTCCTGCCTCAGCCTCCCAAGTAGCTGGGATTACAGGCATGTACCACCACACCCAGCTAAAATTTTGTATTTTTAGTAGAGATGGGGTTTCACTGTGTTGGTCAAGTTGGTCTTGAACTCCTGAACTCAGGTGATCTGCCCACCTCGGCCTCTCAAAGTGCTGGGATTACAGGCGTGAGCCACCACACCCGGGTGTAATCGTATTTTTAAAGCCACATTCAAGTTACAAGGAGTGCATGCCCTGAGGCAGGTCTGGCTGTAATTGGGAAATTGAGACCCCTTGACTTATAAAATTTTGGGCTCCATTCTTGCTGCTTATATCTGTTTCTGGGACTTGTTGGCTTGAGGATCCAACCCTTAATGTTCAGCCCTCTGCCTGGTGCCTGGCCTGTTGCTTTCCAGTCTCCCAGTCTGGATTCCTGCTTCCTGACCCTTGATTTCCTAGGCCATGCCTCAATCGTCTCCCTACACTCAGCTACCCTCCAGGGATCCTGGATTCCTGGATTTGACCTCTTGCTTGCTTACCCCATGGTTCATGCATGCTACTCCTTCTGTCCTTTACTTTCTGTGATTTCTTGTCCTCCCAACTTACTTAGTTGCATTGCCTGCCCGCCCTTAACTCCGGCTCCTCCTACCACTATGTTCTTGTTATTCCTCAGTTTCTGGGGTGACTCTTCTGCTTCACCCTTCCTTCATGTTCTGATGCTTAGCTCCAGCTCCAAACTGACAAGTTAAGAGGCTGAGGCTGGACACGGTGGCTTACGCCTGTAATCCCAACACTTTGGGAGGCTGAGGTGGGCAGATCATGAGGTCAGGAGTTCGAGACCAGCCTGACCAACGTGGTGAAATCCTGTCTCTACTAAAAATACAAAAATTAGCTGGGTGTGGTGGCGGGCGCCTGTAATCCCAGCTACTTGGGAGGTTGAGGCAGGAGAATCGCTTGAACCCAGGAGGCAGAGATTGCAGTGAGCTGAGATCATGTCATTGCACTCCAGCCTGGGCAACAGAGCGAGACTCCATCTCAAAAAAAAAAAAAGAAAAAGAGGGTGAGATAACCATTCACCATGTACCCTGCCTTCATTTGTCACTCTTTAAGAGTCACTTGGTGTCCTTACTGGGCTGTGGCTGCAGGACATGGCCTATCTTTCATAGCCTCAATTCCCTCCACAACAGCCAATCATCAATAGAATTTCAGACCAATTGTCTTGAATGCAACAAAGCTGCTAAATCCTCTCAACTCCCCTGGACCCAGCACTTTGCATGGGAAGAGAATGGAACCAGGATGATTATTTCCTGTAGCCATCCACATGGCATCGAAGGAGGAAAGGTGTAACAAGCCATTTTGTCCATTTGAAGCAATTACTCAAACTGCTCCCACCAAGACCAGAATGTTTCAATGATGTCTGTGAGCAGGCACCAGTTAGGAGGTTATTATAATAATCTGGAACGTAAGGACAAGAACCTGAACTGGAGAGACAGCAGTGAACAGATAAGAGAAAGCAAGAGACAGAAACAAGGTATTTTCATGAAAAAGAGCAATATCACTTGGAAACTAAATAGAGGGAAAGGAGAGAAGGATTAATCAATGCCAAGGCCGTTGTTGGATGTAATCAGGTTATCTCCAGTTGGATCACCCCATGGGCAGCTACAACCAACGAATCTAAAACTTAACAGATTTAGGCCACCTGTTACATTCAGTGGTTCTGTCACTCCCTCAGCCATCTGCATTTGAAACTTTAGATGGTCTTTGATTCTACTCATATGTTCTTTCTTTCCTTTTTTTTTCTTTCTTTCTTTTTTTTTTTTTTTTTTTTTTTTTTTTTTTTTTTGAGATGGAGTCTTGCTCTGTCACCCAGGCAGGAGTGCAGTGGTATGATCTTGGCTCACTGCAACCTCTGTCTCCCAGGTTCAAGAGATTCTCCTGCCTCGGCTTCCCGAGTAGCTGGGACTACAGGTGTGTACCACCACACCCAGCTAATTTTTGTATTTTTAGCAGAGACAGGGTTTCACCATGTTGGCCAGGCTGGTCTTGAACTCCTGACTTCAAATGATCCGCCTGCCTTGCAAGTGTTAGGATTACAGGCGTGAGCCACTGCGCCCGGCCCATTTGCTCTTTCTTAGTTCCAGTAAATCACCAAATCCTACTGATGTTTCCTTTAAAAATGTCTCTTAAAATACACCCCATTCTTTTATTTCTAGTGCTCCTACACTGGTTTAGGATCTCAGAGATTCTAGCCAGCACTCGTCTTAGTTCTGCCTTCAGCCTTCTCTGCTTCAATCCATGCCACACACAGCTGCCACATAATCTTGCCAAAACACCACTTTAAACATGCTACCTCACTTGCCAAAAAAAAAAAAAAAATACACCCATGACTTCTGTCATGTGGGAAATTATCTTGCTGCAATAGTAGCCTCCAAGTTCATGACCACAGAGCTATCTCTGAGGTCACACAACAGAAAGGCTCCTAGACAAAGCTAAAATGCTCGAATCACATGGTTTATTAAATCAACTTAAAACACAGAGCAAGATGCAAGGGAAAAGGGATGGGGCTATTTAACCAAGTTAGGGTAGGGTGCAAGCTAGGTGGAAGGACCATACTACCTGAATCTAGGGTGCACAGGTTCATCTGTTTTGTATCTTTTTCTATTGCATCTCCTTCCCTGATGAGGATGTTACAAGGGCCAGCGTTGACATTTAAGCAGGGGTACCCACAGATAGATGTCCTGGTCCAATGACACACTTGCTTTTTCAGACAGAGGAAGTCAAGTTTGCAGGGGCGTAGCTGTAGCTTGCTAATTAGTTTGATGAGCAGCCACGATTATATTTGTATATCTTGAGCAGAGGGCACATGGGCCAGAATAAATGTCACCAATAGATTGAATTAAAACCTCGTGTGGGAGGAGGGAGAGCATCAGGAAGAATAGCTCAGGGATGCTGTGCTTAATACCTAGGTGAAGGGATGATCTGCACAGCAAACCACCATGGCACACGTTTACCTATGTAACAAACCTGCACATCCTGCATACATACCCCTAAACTCAGAAGTTGGAAATTAAAAAAAAAAAAAAAACCTCATGAGAGGGGCCAGGCGCTGTGGCTCACACCTGTAATTCCAGCACTTTGGGAGGCCAAGGCAGGCAGATTGCTTTGAGTTCACGAGACCAGCATGGACAACACAGCAAAACCCCATCTCTACTAAAAATACAAAAAAAATTTAGCCAAGAGTGATGGTGCATGCCTGTAATCCTAGTTACTCAGGAGGCTGAGGTGGGAGGATGGCCTGGAAGGCAGAGGTTGCAGTGAGCTGAGATCACACCACTGCACTTCAGCTTGGGAAACAGAGCCAGACCCTGCCTCAAAAAAAAAAAAAAAAAACCTTATGAGAGGTGATGGATATGCTAATTACCCTGATTTGATGGTTACACAATGTGTATATGTATCAAAACATCACACTGTACCCCATAAATATGTACAATTATTATGTGTCAATTAAAATCAAACTTATTTTTTAAAAAACCTCACGGGCCAGGTGCGGTGGCTCATACCTGTAATCCCAGCACTTTGGGAGGCGGAGCAGGCAGATTGCTTGAGCCCAAGAGTTTGAGACCAGCTTGGGCAACATGGCGAAACCCCACCTCTACTAAAAATACAAAAATTAGCTGGGCCTGGTGGCGCGTGCCTGTAGTCACAGCTACTTGGGAGGCTGAAGTGGGAGGATCACTTAAGCCTGGGAGGCAGAGGTTGCAGTGAGTCATGATTGCGCCACTACACTCTAGCCTGAGCGACAGAAAAAGACTGTCTCAAAACAAAAATAAAAACAAAAACAGGCCAGGCATGGTGGCTCATGCCTGTAATCCCAGCACTTTGGGAAGCTGAGGCAGGCGGATCACGAGGTCAGGAGATCGAGACCATTCTGGCTAATACGGCAAAACCCCGTCTCTACTAAAAATACAAAAAAATTAGCTGGGTGTGGTGGCAGTCACCTGTAATCCCAGCTACTCCAGAGGCTGAGGCAGGGGAATCGCTTGAACCTGGTAGGCGGAGGTTGCAGTGAGCCAAAATCGTGCCATTGTGCCACCGTACCCCAGCCTGGGTGACAGTGAAACTCCATCTAAAAAAAAAAAAACACACACACACACATCCGGGCACGGTGGCTCACACCTGTAATCCCAGCACTTTGGGAGGCCGAGGTGGGTGGATCACCTGAGGTCGGGAGTTCAAGACCAGCCTGACCAAAATGGAGAAACCCCGTCTCTACTAAAAATACAAAATTAGCCAGGGTGGTGGCACATGCCTGTACTCAGGAGGCTGAGGCAGGAGAATCGCTTGAACCCAGGAGGCGGAGGTTGCGGTGAGCCGAGATCGTGCCATTGCACTCCAGCCTGGACAAAAAGAGCGAAACTCCATCTCAAAAAAAACAAAACAAAATCTCATGAATATTGAGTGCTCATACATATTTGGTGTCTCCTGAATATTAGTGCCTTTGGTGTATTTAGTGCTTTGTATGTCTTACGCATGTTTAGGATATTAGGAATCTTTAGTACCTTTTGTGCATTTAGTATAGCATGGCTGTTTAGTACCCAGGTGCCTCATGAATGTTAGGCATCTCTTGGTCCTTTCTATGTTTAACACACAGATGCTCTACTTGCTAACTATTTAACACACCGTTCTGCCTATGTCTAAAAAACATTTTGTTGAAACATCTTAAAATGTTTCACCCATGTTTTCCAAACTACACACTTATCTTTTCTAGCAGGGTTGAGTATTCTCAGGGTAAATTTACATTACAGTCTTCTCTTTGCCACATGAACTAAGCCCCTGATCTACTCCCTCCTGCCTCAAATTGCTTCCTCCTTCAATCTTTTCAATCTCAGAAGTGGCATTTCCTGATCTCAGAGTCAGCGTTGTCTTCAAACACTCTTAACTCTCCTCATACCCAATTCAGCCACATCTCACACTTCTATTCCTAAAATAGACTTTCATGTACTTCTGTCTGTCTCCACTGCCACCCCAGTCCAAGCCACCACCAATCTTCTGAGATAACTGGAATTTGGTTCTCTCTCTGCTCTTGGCCACTTCAATCCTGTTCCACACAACAGCCCAGAATGCTCTTTCCCCAACATCAGTTGGATCCCCTGCTTTAACTGTTCGGTAGTTTCCCATTGTATTTAGGATCAAATCCAAAGTTCTTAATTTTGGTGTATGAGAGTCTGAATGGCAGACTGTGTTACCTCTCTAGCCCCATCTCAGCACCAGATGGAGTTTCACCATGTTGGCCAGGATAGTCTTGATCTCCTAACCTCAGGTGATCCACCCACTTCGGCCTCCCAAAGTGCTGGGATTACAGATGTGAGCCACCGCACCCAGCCTCAGCACCTGTCTTGCTTTAGTAATACTTCACAGGATCTTTAGTTTCTTCCTTATGGCTTTCGCAAATCCAGTTTTGTTTTGTACCCCCCCCCCTTTTTTTTTTTGAGATGGAGTCTCGCTCTGTCGCCCAGGCTGGAGAGCAGTGGTGCCATCTCAGCTCACTGCAAGCACTGCCTGCTGGGTTCAAGTGATTCTTGTGCCTCAGCCTCCCGAGTAGCTGAGATTACAGTCATGCGCTACCACGCCCGGCTAATTTTTGTATTTTTAGTAGAAACGGGGTTTCACCATGTTGGCCAGGCTGGTCTTGAACTCTTGGCCTCAGGTGATCTGGCCACCTCAGCTTCCCAAAGTGCTGGGATTACAGGTGTGAGCCACCGTGCCCAGCCTTGTTTTGCTTTATTTTTAAGAGACAGAGTCTTTCCCGGTCACCCAGGCTGGAGTGTAGTAGTGAGCTCATAGTTCAGTGTAACCTTGAACGCCTCAGCCACCTGAGTAGCTAGGACTACAGGTGCTCGCCACCACACTAGCTATTTATTTATTTTTAGAGATGGGGTCTTGCTGTGTTGCCCAGTCTGGCCTCAAATTCCTGGCCTCAAGGAATTGTCTTGCCTCAGTCTCCCAAACTTTTAGTGAGTTATTTAGCCTCTCTGATTCTCAACATTTCTCACTTATGAAATGGGGATAGAGATAAGTGTCTCACAAGTTGCTGTGAGGATCCAGTAGGAATAGGTCCTGGAAAGCCCCTGGCAGGTAACTGACCAAAGCGTTCAGTAAACCCTTGTTCCTGCTCACTGCTTTCAGGGCCAGCACATTTCCTCTACTCCTCTGCCTGCCCTGCACCTCATTCTTCTCAACCTCAGTAGGTCCCTCAAGGTCATGTCTTCAGGGAGCCCCGGAGCCCCCTTCAGCCCAGCCCCTGATGAATGCCCACGCCTCAAACTCTTTAGCTTCTCATTTCCAGTTTGTGGAATGTACTATGGTAACTGTTTTCTGTTTGTTTAAATCTTTCATGCGTCTGTCCTGTTTCTTTAACTAGATCCCAAACACCTTTGGCAAGAGGCTTCCCATCTCACAGCTTCTCGTATTCCTCCTAGTACCTGGCTCAGTGCCCTACGTAGAGATATTCAACTTAGATGCATCTAATGTGTGTGAGTGCCAACGGGATGCCAGGCACTGTGCTTGGCCTCCATGTTAATTATCACCTAACTTCATTTTTTATGATAATCCTGCCAGGTAAGTATTGCTATGCCTGTTGTGAAAACGGAGCTTCAGCGATTTAGTCATTTGCTTAAGGGCACCCAGTTAACAAACAGTAGCCTTTTAACTCTCTGGTTTATAGCCTGGTACATAGTAGATACTCAATAAATACTTGTTAGTGCTCTTTCCATTATACCATGTTGCCTTTTTGGGGGAATAGTTATTCATAGGGCAGATGAATAATTTTCATCGTGTTCTCAATTCTTACCCACCTCTGCACCCCCCACAAGAGCTTAGCTGAAAATCTCCTATCCTTGATTCTGTACCCTAAAGTTCTTCCAGGGTCCTGCAACCCTAATTCTCATTTCCTGTTATTCTAATTCAGTTTCCTATTAGTGCCACATCTGTTTGCTAAGTTCTCATAGAGCCTGAAGCAGGATACCCATCTGTCTCCCCACAAACCCCGTCCTCTCTTTCTTCCAAAGCTTCTCTTCCTCATGGTCCCCCTTCCTCTGTTCTCCATCTATCCCTGCTTTAATTCAAGTTGTTAATTCAGGTTGTGCCCTGTTGGAGGAATCTCCATAGCATTATCTGCTTCTGCTGCTTATGATGATGATGATGATGATGATGATGATGATGAGAGGGAGTCTTGCTCTGTCGCCCAGGCTGGAATGCAGTGGTGCGATCACAGCTCACTGCATCCTCAAACTCCTGGGCTCAAGCGATCCTCCTGCCTCAGCCTCCCAAGTAGCTGGGACTACAGACAGTCATGTGCCACCAAGCCAGGGTAATTTTTTACTTTTTGTAGAGATGGGGTCTCTCCATGTTGCCTAGGATGGACTCGAACTCCTGAGCTCAATTAAGAAATAACACCCCTACCTGGGAATGCCCTCTAAACTACAGCACTTAAGTCTAGGAGGTGCCTAGAGTTCTTTGGGGTGGGCGTTTGGGCAAGTTATGTCCCCTCTCCTGGCCTGAATTTCCTCACATGTAAAATGGTACTGCTTGTTAACACCTATCAAGTCCCTATGTAAGGTACGTAAGGTACATTAGCATTGCATGTATGATGAAAAGTCAGTCATAGCAGATGCTTACACAGCATCTACTGTGTGCCACACACGATGCCAAGTGCTTTATATATATTTATTCACTTAATCCTCACAACAACCCTATGAAAATGTTATTATTAACCCTATTTCACAGGTGAAAAACAGAGGTCTCCAAATTAAGTAATTCACCCTGGATCACCCCTGACGGCAGTGAAGCTGGGTTTCAAATTCTGGCAGTTCTGGGCTCCAGAGTCCCTGTCTTAACCACTGCCCTATACTTCCTCTTATTACCTCATAAAATGAGGGGGGCTAGTTAAAAATAATCCCCTAGCATTTTTATAGCACTTTTCTAATTCTAAAGCACTGTTCACATTCTGTGCCCTATTTGATCTTCACAACAACCCTAAGGGAAGGCATTATTAGCCCAATTTATGGGGCAAGAACTGAGACTTATTAGAAGGGTCATGTGTCCAAGGGCTCACAGCTGACAAAGACAGATTCAGTACTCAAATCCAGGACCATCCGTTCCCACTGCCCCTTCTGCTATGCCTGGGATCTCAGACGCCAAACAATACTTTCTGTCCTTTCATTTTTCTTTTCCTTTTTTGAGACAGTGTCTCACTCAGTCGCTCAGGCTGGAGTGCAGTGTCGATCATAGCTAACTGCAGCCTCGAACTCCTGGGCTCAAGCAGTCCTTCTGCCTCTATCCTCCAAAGCGCTGGGACTACAGGTGCACACCAGGGCACCCAGCTCATCCTGTCCTTTCCAAGGCTCTTGCAGCTCCAGCATCATACACTGTTTTTTTCTCTCTGCGTTTCTTTAAAGAGGATGCAGTGTTCCCTGAAAGAATCCACCACCCTGGCCAGGCGCGGTGGCTCACGCCTGTAATCCCAGCACTTTGGGAGGCCGAGGTGGGCGGATCACCTGAGGTCAGAAGTTCAAGACCAGCCTGAGCAACATGGAGAAACCCCGTCTCTACTGAAAATACAAAATTAGCCGGGCATGGTGGCTCATATCTGTAATTCCAGCTACTCGGGAGACTGAGGCAGGAGAATCACTTGAACCCAGGTGGCCAAGTTTGCAGTGAGCCGAGATCAAGCCATTGCACTCCAGCTTGGGCAACAAGAGTGAAATTCTGTCTTAAAAAAAAATCCCCCACCCTGTCACCTCCCCCCGAGCCCTGCACAGCGCATGCTCACAAACAGCAGCAGGGGGTGCTGTAGATGAACACACAGGCACTGCCAGGCGGGCACCCTGTTGGAGGAATCTCCATGGCACTTGCTGCTGCTGATTATTATTATTATTATTAGACAGGGTCTCGCTACGTCGCCCAGGCTGGAATGCAGTGGTGCGATCACAGCTCGCTGCATCCTCAAACTCCTCGGCTCAGGTGATCCTCCCACCTCAGCCTCCCAAGTAGCTGAGACTACAGACAGGTATGTGCCACCATGCTGGGCTAATTTTTTACTTTTTGTAGAGGTGGGGTCTCGCCAGGTTGCCCAGGATGGGCTCAAACTCCTGAGCTCAAGCAATCTGCCTGCCTCAGCCTCCCAAAGTGCTGAGATTACAGGTGTGAGCCACTGCAGATGTTTTTTTAGCAAGTACCGCTTGTACGTAGTATAAAATTTAAAAGGTACAAATGAATATGCAATGTACCTGCCTCCCAGCTGTGCAGTTCCCCTTCCTGGAGCAAGCTGAGGAAGTTTTGTAGTGTTTCATTCTAGAGACAGTTTATGCTTATATAAGCAAGTATATATTGTTTTCCACGTCAATGTTAGCATACAAACATGCACATATTATTTTTTATGCCTCACACAAATGATATCGTACTATACACACTATTCTTCCCCTAGCTTTTTCAAAGTAATTTATCTTGCAGATTAATCCATATCATAATTCATAATATTTAATTGAATAGGTTAACTATAATCAATTTTACCAGCCCTCTATTTTCTAATCCTGTACAGTTACAAGCAAAGCTGCAATAAATACATTTCTCCCTAAATCGCTTTGCACGTGTGCATTTCTGCAGGATAGATCCCCAGAAGTGAACCTGCTTACCTGAAATGGCATGCATTTGTAATGTTGATCAATACTGCTAAATCACCTTGCACAGAAGCTACCCATTTACAGCTGCAATCGGGGGGCACACAAGTCTGTTTCCTACACCCTCACCAACTCAGAATTTTATCAAGCTTTCTGATCTTTGCCTATCCTATAGGTAAAAGATGGTTTCTCACTGCAGTTGTTTTTTGTTTGTTTGTTTGTTTGTTTTCTGAGACAGAGTCTTGCTCTGTCGCCCAGGCTGGAGTGCAGTGGCGCGATGTTGGCTCACTGCAAGCTCCGCCTCCCGGGTTCATGCCATTCTCCTGCCTTAGCCTCCTGGTAGCTGGGACTACAGGCACCCACCACCACGCCTGGCTAATTTTTTTGGTATTTTTAGTAGAGACGGGGTTTCACAGTGTTAGCCAGGATGGTCTCGATCTCCTGACCTCATGATCCGCCCGCCTCAGCCTCCCAAAGTGCTGGGATTACAGGCGTGAGCCACTGCACCCAGCCCTCACTGCAGATTTGATTGCATTTCTCTTATAATAAGTGCTTCCTGATTTCTGAGATTCATTAATACAATGCATAAATAATTAGCAGGTACCTCCAGGCACTGTGTTGGGGTAAACTCCTCCATCTGTCCCTGGTCCAACTCACTGTGTCATTTCCTGCCTGCCCTGTACTGTCTTGCCTTGTTGCATCCGTTAGGAAGCCATTTTCATGGCTTGGCCATCCTCAGCAAGTCAAGGAGGGGTGACCTCACTTGACCTCTTGTAGAGGGTTAGGAGTGAGGAGAATGTGTTTTTTTTTGTTTTTTGTTTTTGTCTGTTTGTTCTTGTTTTTACCTTTTCTTTGTTTCTCAATAATAATTTCTGCAACCCAATTAAGCAAAGCTGAGGGATGGGGCACAGGTTTTTTTTGTTTGTTTGTTTGTTTGTTTTTCTAGAGACAGGGTCTCACTCTCTCACCTAGGTTGGAATGCAGTGCCACAATCATAGCTCATGCAACCTCGACCTCCTGGGCTCAAGCCATCCTCCTACCTTGGCCTCCCAAGGTGTTGGGATTATGGGTGTGAGCCACTGCACCTGGCCCAGGCACATTTGTCTTGTGGTCAGAGTTACCCCTGAGTCCAAGGGCTTCCCAGAGTCACTCAGTCCAGTGGGCCACTCAGTGCTTCGGTCTTCTCATCCTAACCCCTCTGTGGTGTCAGGATGGTGGACAAAGAGCAGGTAGCTGGACACTTGGCTGTGTTCAGCGGATGTTGTTTGCTTCATGACTGGCAGGTTGAAACTTCCTCAGATTAGGTGCCAGCTAAACATAAAATGTGTTTGCTAGCAGCGCTTTTAGATTAAAGTAAGACCAAGAAAAAGCTAGGGTTCCTGTTCCCTTCTGTGTGGGAAACCTTTGCAGGTTTCTTTGCAGTGCAGAGCACTTCACCTTGACAGGAGGGAGTCCTGGCCCACCAGGCAGAGTAACTGCTTGCTCACCTGCCTGCTTCATAAACCTGTGATCAACCTGAGGCTCACACCTTATTGAGGCCTCCTCAGAATAAGGGCAGAATCAACACCTGGGAACTTTGAATGACTCTCTTCCCGGTTCCAGTTCCCAAGAACGGCAACCTGAAGGAGCCCACATCTTTCTTTGGCAGCTTAACTAATGTAATGAGACCTGCAGTTCATCCACAGCCTGAAATTTTCCTCCTAAAGCGCGCTTTTAATCCAGTCACTTGTAGAGGTTCCCCGTGGCCTACTAAATGAAGTGCAAATTCCTTAGCTTGGAATTTAAGGGCCTCCGTGATATGGCTCTGGTCTACATTCCCAGTCCCTTTTTCCACTACCTCACGCTCCAGACTGACTCAGTGTTTCCCCGTGTGCCCACGTTCCCACCCTGCGCCTTCGCCCCAGTCGTCCTTTCTCTGCCCAGAACATGTACCCCTGCTCCTCTGCCATGGCGGATGCCCTCCTCTCTCTCTCTTTTCCCAGCCATGCTTTGTTTAGAAAGTAAGAATAATGAGGTTTTTCTTTTTAAGAAAAATATAGGCCGGGCATGGTGGCTCACGCCTATAATCCCAGCACTGTGGGAGGCTGAGGCAGATGGATCACTTTGAGGTCAGGAGTTCAAGACCAGCCTGGCCAACATGGTGAAACCCTGTCTCTACTAAAAATACAAAAATTAGCCGGGCATGGTGGTGGAAGCCTATAATCCCAGCTACTCAGGAGGCTGAGGCAGGAGAATCGCTTGAACCCAGGAGGCGGAGGTTATAGTCAGCCGAGATTTCCCCACTGCACTTCAGCCTGGGAGACAGAGCAAGACTCTGTCTAAAAAATAAAAATTATATATATATATATATATATATATATATATATATATATATAAATTTCCCATATCCTTCAGGGTCTTTCTCAAAGGTAACTGGCCCACAGCTGCCTGCTCATCCCACGTCTCAGGGGATGATCTTTCCTGGCCTGGCTCCCACTCAGGCTTCGTTTCTCCACCTCTCATGTCTCAAGTCCCCTCTATCTTGCATCCTCGTTCCTGCCCCACCCCAGTGAGCGCTGGAGAGCCAAACAGGTGTCTGTCATCTATGCACTGTCTACCGCTGATCAGTATCAGCCAATCGTCTGATCTGAGTCACTCTGAAATTGGAGACTCCTCCCCTGCTGCCACCTCCTCTTTCTGCTTTGAGTATGAGAAATGGGAAGAGTTTGGAACCTGTCACTGCAACCGCTGCTGCCACCCCTTCAAGTCCTTCCCTATGAGGGCTCTCCTTTTAACTCACAGCCTCCCCTCTAAAGTCAGGAGATGAGGTCAGCCCTGAACCCCACCCTATGTCCCATCCCCCAGCCGACACAAACACCACAGAGATCAATGGGGACCTGTGTTCTAGGCTTGGGATGAAACTGTCCCGTTTGCTCTTTTCCTGAGGTAGGTACCATGGTTACGTGTCTGGCCGGAACATTTGTTCACTTTGAGTTCTTGGAATGAATGCGCCAGAAAAGGGAGAAATCAAAAGCCATCTCTTCTGTGGCCCTGGTCTCTTGCGTGTGCAGATAGGCATGGTCACCTCTCTGCTAATGACCTGTGTGGTATTAGGTGGTGATGTATGCACTGGCGAGGCTGGAGGAAGACAACCTGGCCCTTCTCCAGGGCTTGCTTCTGGCACCTTCTGCAGAGCAAAGAGTGGGACCTTGGAGTTAGAATACCTGAGTCCTAGTTCTTACTCCACCATTCGTTCCATAGCAGATGCCCTTGACCAAGGTCCTTAATCCCCCTCAGCCTAAAAATAGAAAATAGTTATATTTTCTTTACCTTCTACATGGGCTTTTCTGAGCATCAAAAGAGAAAATGTATGTGAGAGTGTTGTGCAAATTATTATTATTATTTTTAGACAGAGCCTTGCTCTGTCTCCCAGGCTGGAGTGCAGCAGCACTATCTTGGTTACTGCAACCTCCGCCTCCTGGGTTCAAGCGATTCTCCTGCCTCAGCCTCCGAAGTAGCTGGGGCTACTGGCACGCACCACCCCGCCTGGCTAACTTTTTTGTATTTTTACTAGAGAGGGGGTTTTACCATGTTGGCCAGGCTGGTCTCAAACTCCTGACCTCAGGTGATCCTCCTGCCTCGGCCTCCCAAAGTGCTGGGATTACAGGCATGAGCCACCCTGCCTGGCCACAAATTATATATATATATTTGAGACGAAGTCTCGCTCTGTCGCCAGGCTGGAGTGCAGTGCTGCGATCTCGGCTCACTGCAACCTCCGCCTCCCGGGTTCACGCCATTCTCCTGCCTCGACTTCCCAAGTAGCTGGGACTACAGACGCACACCACCATGCCCAGCTAATTTTTGTATTTTTAGTAGAGACCGCGTTTCATCACGTTGGCCAGGACGATCTTGATCTCTTGACCTCGTGATCTGCTCACCTCGGCCTCCCAAAGTGCTGAGATTACAGGTGTGAGCCACTGTGCCCGGCCTTTAGCCTCTTGTGTTGAATGCCATACCAATCCAGCCTTCTTTGCCACACAGACCTCCTTGGTTCCTTTTCCTTTGGTGTCTTCCTGCCCTGATTCTTTTTTTTTTTTTTTTTTTTTTTTGAGACAGAGTCTCACTCTGTCGCCAGGCTGGAGTGTAGTTGTCCAATCTCGGCTTACTGCAACCTCCACCTCCCTGGTTCAAGCGATTCTCCTGCCTCAGCCTCCTGAGTAGCTGGAACTACAGGCGCCTGCCACCACACCCAGCTAATTTTTGTATTTTTAGTAGAGGTGGGGTTTCACCATGTTAGCCAGGATGGTCTCGATCTCTTGACCTCGTGTTCCGCCCACCTCAGCCTCCCAAAGTGCTGGGATTACAGGCGTGAGCCACTGCACCCAGCCCTGATTCTTAACTCCCTAAGAGTTCTGGGCTTAAAAGTTGCCCCATATTTCCAGCATTTTGCACCTCTGACCCATCGCTTTAGCTGGGTTCCCCATGAGATTGCCTATGCTGAAAAAAATAACTGGATCTGGGGCCGGTGGGGAGTGCACAGAAAGGCACCAGTGTGACCTCCACATTTGTGAGATTGAGGACACCCAATGAGAATCCAGGCTGAGAGAGGCCATGGGCATGACCAGCCAGGGAGCTGCAGCACTTGACAGATAACATTGTTAGACTGTGACTCACTCTCTGCAGTCTGGAAAGCTCAACCTCTCTGCTTGGCCTTCCCAGGAGGGCCACTCAGATCATGCAACCCTCTGAGCTCCAGGTTGGGCAGGCAGAGCGGGGGCCTCTTAATTCCAGAGCTGGACTGTTTCCTCCCCTTCACCCCACATGGAAAATCCCACATGTTAAAAGGTTATGTGTTGGGAGCCTGCAGGGAGAAAAAAACTTGCCCCGTTTGTGCTTTCCAAGAGAGAAGCAGGAGCCATCGGAGCTCCTGACCCTGTCCAGGACCCTGTCCTCTGCTGACCCACGGTGGGGACCCAAACCCAAGCTCTGGGGTTATTTTCTTCCTTTGCTGAAGGCTGTTCCTCGACCTTGAGGCACTCACATCACTCTCTCCTCATTCCCCTCTCCTCCTTCCCTCTCAGGTTTCTCTCCATCATTCTACTGTTTTTATTTTATTTTATTATATATTATTTATTTATTGAGACAGAGTCTCACTCTGTCTGGAGTACAATGGTGCAATCTTGGCTCACTTCAACCTTTGCCTCTCGGGTTCAAGCAGTTCTCCTGCCTCAGCCTCCCAAGTAGCTGGGATTACAGGTATCTGCCATCAAGCCTGGCTGATTTTTTGTATTTTTAGTAGAGACCGGGTTTTGCCAATGTTGGCCAGGCTAGTCACAAACTCCTGACCTCAGGCTAGTCACGAACACCTGCCTCGGCCTCTCAAAGTGCTGAGATTACAGGCGTGAGCCGCCGCGCCCAGACTTTATTTTTATTCATATTTTGAGACACGGTCTTGCCCTATTGCCCAGGCTGGAGTGGAGTGGTGTGAAGACAGCTCACTGTAGCCTTGACCTCCTAGGCTCAAGCGATCTTCCCACCTCAGCCTCTCAAGTAGCTAGAACCACAGGTACACGCCACGATGCCTAGCTAATTATTTTTTCAATTTTGTAGAGATGGGGTCTCGCCATGTTGCCCAGGCTGGTCTTGAACTCCTGGGTTCAAGCAATCCTCCCACCTCGGCCTCCCAAAATACTGGGATTACAGGCATCAGCCACGGCACCCAGCATTCTCCTGTTTCCCATCAACCATATCAGCCCATCAAATCTTTCACAATACAAGAAGGGTGGGTGGGGAGGGGGAAGAGTTTTCCTTTTCCGTCTTACTCCTTTTTCTTCTTTGGATTCCCTATATTTTGGGTGTCGGTAGAAGTCTGAAATGCAAATAAGAATGTCCCACTCTGAAGGCACAGGGAGGGGCTGCTGAATTATTACCCTCTAAATTCTAGCACGTTAGACAGTTCTGGTCTCCTTGCATTCTTGGAGGATGCAAGGACCTGACTGTAATGTGCGGGGGAGACAGTTTGGTCTCTGGGAACCCCCAGTCTGGTGGAGGAACTTAGACTAAAGCAATGGAAGACTGACAGAGCAATATGGTCACAATTGCAAATCCTTCAAAATGCCGGTGCTACAGAGAATAATCAGCATTGTGGCATGACTGTCCAGAAGCAAGTTTTGAACCATTCTGAATAACGGAAGTCCCAGGATCCTTTATTTAAAAAAAAAAAAGTGTAGAGACAGGGTCTTGTTATGTTGTCCAGGCTGGCCTTGAACTGCTGGTCTCAAGCAATTCTTCTGCCTTAGCCTCTCAAGGTGCTGGGATTACAGGCATGAGCCCCTGCACCTGGCCACTCACCCAGGTTTCTTGAAGCAGTATTTTCTCTTCTTTGGGATTAGCCAAGGGCATCTGGAGAAGCAATGAGAACTACCTCCTTTGAGGGGAGAGCGGCCACTTGCACACAGGCTGGGACACCATCTCATAGCTAATAATGACGTTGGTGTGGTCATTTTTCCCAGCTACACAAGCACAAGTCACTTACCACTCACAACCACCCTGTAGGGCGGGTGGCTATGATCACCCCCATTTTCTAAGTGAGGTTCTAAGAAATGAAATCACTGGCAGCTGGCTCACTGATTTGGGGCCAAGCCCAGGTCTTCTGAACGTAAGTCTAGTGGTTATTCTGCTATGCTGCTTGGTCACTTATGAGGCTGGTGTCTAGAGTCATTACTGAGTCTCCAAGTCCCCACTGTCTGCCCCATCCTTGACCCACACAAGTGCCCTGTTCAGTGTTCTGAGGGAAGGCGGAAAGACTCATGCTCAGGACTCAGGCTTCCCAGGCTCCTCATGCTGTTCCTAGGCTTGGTTTGACACCTCTCTTCCCCTATCCTGCCTACCCCTCCCACCCACACCCTCCTAGCCCCAGCTGACTTAGAGGCAGGGAGAGGGAGGCAAGGCCAGAAGGCTTTTGTTTTTCTACGATGGAGAGATGACTGAAATCCCGCCATCTCCCGCAGAAGACAGAGGCAGCTCTGGATTTCCTGTTGCTCTCAACACGGGCCAGATAATTGGAGACAGATTTTGGACTTGGGTTGGGAGGTGAAGTTTGAAATACAGTCGTCAGGCCTCCTGTAAGTTCGTGTGTGTGAGTGCACACTGCTTGGTTGGGGTTTTTTATTAGCTATATGTGTATCTGTGTGTGTGTGCAGATACTTGTATTGGAAATAGTGTATTGTGTCTAGTGTGTGCATGTGTGTTTGTGTGTATTGTATCTAGTGTGTTCATGTGTGTATTGTGTCTAGTGTGTGCATGTGCGTTTGTATGTATTGTGTCTAGTGTGTTCATGTGTGTTTGTGTATTGTGTCTAGTGTGTGCATGTGTGTGTATTGTGTCTAGTGTGTGCATGTGTGTTTGTATGTATTGTGTCTAGTGTGTTCATGTGTGTTTGTGTATTGTGTCTAGTGTGTGCATGTGTTTGTATATGTTGTGTCTAGTGTGTTCATGTGTGTTTGTGTATTGTCTAGTGTGTGCATGTGTGTGTGTACTGTGTCTAGTGTGTTCATGTGTGTTTGTGTATTGTCTAGTGTGTGCATGTGTGTTTGTGTATACCGTGTCTAGTGTGTGCATGTGTGTATGTATTATGTCTAGTGTGTGCATGTGTGTTTGTATTATGTCTAGTGTGTGCATGTGTGTTTGTATGTATTATGTCTAGTGTGTGCATGTGTGTTTGTATGGTGTCTAGTGTGTGCATGTGTGTTTGTATTGTGTCTAGTGTGTTCATGTGTGTTTGTATTGTGTCTAGTGTGCATGTGTGTTTGTGTGTATTGTGTCTAGTGTGTTCATGTGTGTTTGTGTATTGTGTCTAGTGTGTGCATGTGTTTGTGTGTATTGTGTCTAGTGTGTTCACGTGTTTGTATTGTCTAGTGTGTGTGTATTGTGTCTAGTGTGTTCATGTGTGTTTGTGTATTGTCTAGTGTGTGCATGTGTGTGTATTGTGTCTAGTGTGCATGTGTGTGTATTGTGTCTAGTGTGTTCATGTGTGTTTGTATGTATTGTGTCTAGTGTGTGCATGTGTTTGTGTATTGTGTCTAGTGTGTGCATGTGTGTTTGTGTGTATTGTGTCTAGTGTGTGCATGTGTTTGTGTGTATTGTGTCTAGTGTGTTCACATGTGTTTGTATTGTGTCTAGTGTGTGTATTGTGTCTAGTGTTCATGTGTGTTTGTATTGTGTCTAGTGTGTTCATGTGTGTTTGTGTATTGTGTCTAGTGTGTGCATGTGTGTTTGTGTGTATCGTGTCTACTGTGTGCATGTGTTTGTGTGTATTGTGTCTAGTGTGTTCATGTGTGTTTGTGTATTGTGTCTAGTGTGTGCATGTGTGTTTGGTACCTGTGCTCCTTGTACATCTTTAGTGTTTAAGACTCCGCGTGTATGTGTATGTGTGAGAAAGTATGTAAGTGTGTGTCTGGGGCTCTGTGAGTGGCTCCCTTGTTTTGTTTAATTTTTTTTCCTTTGTGAGATTCAGTCTGGCTTGGAGAGTCCCCACCAGTCCTTTCAGGATCTTATTACTCACGACTTGGTGATTAAATGTAATACAATAATTAAGATTTTTTTTTAAAAAGGAAGGAAGGCAGATGGCCTTCGGGGAGATAACATGAGGGGTAGAAAGCAGCCAGAGTGCCTTGAGAGCAGACAGCCAAGGGTGAAGGGGACCTGCAGGGCAGAGGGGCTCTTTTAGGAGGTACAGACAAGGCCCCAGTTTCCCCCCATCTCTCTGATGGAAAAAGGCAACACGCGCTTCCACAACGGTTTAGCTGCCTCTACCCCTGAAGGTTGGGCAGGGGAGGGGCTCCTATTGCCTTCCTGCCTGAATCTCTACCCTGGAAGAAGAATCAAGCCCCTTTCTTCTAAAGGCCTACGTGCACATTCACTAATGCGAATTTTGCTATAAATGACATGCAGACCAGTTAGGAAGTAGTCTTCTCATAACAACAACCACAGCTAGCCATGGTGTACCTGCAGCACATCAGACTCCAGCTGGGTACTTTACATGTGTTTTTGTATCTGTGTGTGTGTGTGTAAAATCACTTATAAGCTTGTTATTACCTTTTTGCAGAGGAAACTGAGGCTTATGATAGATGAGTAAGGACTTTAACCCTTCATGGTGATAGTTCATTTGTTCATCCAACAAATGTGTATTGAATACTTTTTTTTTTTTTTTTTTGAGACAGGGTCTGGCTCTGTTACCCAGGCTGGAGTACAATGATATGATCTTGACTCACTGCAGCCTCCACCTCCCAGGCTCAAACAATTCTCCTACCTCAGCCTCCTGAATAGCTGACACTACATGCGTGCGCCGCTACGCCCGGCTAATTTTTTTTTTTTTTTTTTTTTGTAGAGACGAGGTTTTGCCATGTTGCCCAGGCTGGTCTCGAACTCCTGAGCTCAAGCAATGGACTGCCTTGGCCTCCCAAAGTGCTGGGATTACAGGTGTGAGCCACTGTGCCTGGCCCCCATGTATTGAATACCTATCTGCTCAGGCACTACGCTAGATATGAGGGACACAGAGGTGAACGAGACATAGTCCCTGCCCTCACAGAATCCACTCTCTAGGGAGGGAATCGATGCTTCAAACATTGAAGTTCTCCAGCCTGGACAACATAGCGAGACCAAATCTCTAAAAAAAAATTAAAAATTAGCAGGACATGATGGTGTACACCTGCAGTCCCAGCTACTCGGGAGGCTGAGGTGGGAGGATCATTTGAGCCTGGGAGGTTGAGGCTGCAGTGAGCCATGATCGCACTACTCCAGCCTGGGCGATAGGGTGAGAGAGCAAAAGAGAGAGAGAGGAAAAAAGACAGAGGACACAGGGAGGTAGGGAGGGAAGAAGGAAGGAAGGAGGGACGGAAGGAAAGAAGGAAGGAAAGGAAGGAAGGAAAAAAGGAAGGAAGGAAAGAGGTTGAAGTTCTTCTCACTCTTTAGTTGGGGCAGACCATTCCCAGTGCCAGTGCAGCGGTGGCTGTTATGGGGCTGAGGACTTTTTGGACTGGGGCAAGATTTACTCCCCAGATTAGCTGTTCCTCATAAAGAAATTTCCAGTGAGGACTGGATAGGGAGGAGAAGGCATGGCAGACATGGAGGGGGATAGATTTGTGTTCTGGGGGCTTGAGAGTGGAGGGGAGGAGAGGACACAGCAGTGGCCTGCTTGCCCACTCATCTGCTTCGTAGCCTGGCATTGGCTGGGAGACACGGTGTCCTCAGATGGTCCAGTCCCCCTGGCAGGAGGAAGAATCACGACGGAGTTACCCATGCCCTTGCCTCTCCAGATGGGTCTCTGAGAGCCCAGAGTGGTGGGTTGGGGAGGGTAGGGTGGGGGTAGCGACCCTCCCTGCTTCTGGCGATCTGACTCAGTTCCCCAGGGCAGCTGCTACAGCACCGCTGCAGCCTTCCTGGCCTAAATCGCTTCCAGCTTGTTTAGTCGAAATCCTTGGCCCCAACATCAAAGCCCCTTTGGAGTTTCTGGGGATTGCTGTTCTTATATGGTGTTTATTTCAGAGATGGTTCTGTTGTCACTGGCTGCATGGGGTGGGGCAGGAGGGGCTTTGGAGGCCCTTGGGTTTCAGAGACACCAGGTTAGGCGGGTAGAGGGACAATTTCCATGACAACTGCCCCCAGGATACTATCTCCCCCATGCCTGCCTCTACCTGGGGCATAGGTGCACAGAAAGGGAGGCTGCCTTCTTCCCTGCCCAAGGCCCCAGAGAGGAGCTTCTATTCCCTTCAATTGTATGCCAGACATTTTAGTCTGGGCTCCCAGGGGTCAAGGCCATGCCACCCCCTGCCCTCCCATCCCAGCCCTCATCTTAGAACCTATGAGCTCACTCCAAGCAAACAGCTCTCCATCTCCAGCATCAGCTTAGCCCTCTATGCCTGGGCCAGGTCCCAGCTCCTTCACCTGCATGCCCCTCCTTCAGAAGGGCCTTTTCTTCCTCTTCTTTCACTCTGATTAGCTGGATGCCTACTTGGGCTATTGGAATTTCCATTTGGCTCTGGAATCTGCACCTTTTTGCCTCTGAGTTTGCAGGTTCCAGCAGGTCCCTTCCTTCCTGCAACTTGTTCCTCAGTGCCTAGCACAGGGGAACACACAGAGAAGAGGGGATGCTCTGTTCAAGTTGAGGCAGATGGGGCTGACAGTGAGGAGGTGCGGCTCATGGTTTGGGTGGAGGTAGAGCTCCTAGGAGTCTCCCCAGGAAAAACCGGTAGATGAAGAAGCCAACTCTAGGTCTCAGCCATTGTCTAGAACAAGAACGAATGAAGGAAAGAGACACAGGGAAAGAAGGAGGGAGAGAGAGCGAGGAAGGGATGAGGATGTGTATGTGTAACAGGGCCAGGTTACAACCTGGCTTACAAAAAGCTTACAACCATGATCTACAGGGACAGACTCCTTCTGGACTGACGTTCACTTTCCCGAACGTTCCTAGGAGTCAGAGGGGGTCTCCGGACTCCCCTCAACCTTTCTACCCTCCCCCTACCACCTCATCTGCCTCTGATTTTTACTCCTATCATCTTCCTGGGCTATGCCCTTCTTGCCCCCTTGCTTTGTCAATGTCCCCAGACAAAGGGAACTCCTGGTGTACCAGTGGCCACCTTTTTTTTTTTTTTTTGAGACAAAGTCTCTCTCTGTTGCCCAGGCTGGAGTACAATGGCGCGATCTCAGCTCACTGCAACCTCCACCTTCTGGGTTCAAGTGATTCTCCTGCCTCAGCTTCCCGAGTAACTGGGATTACAGGCAACTGCCACCACGTCTGGCTAATTTTTGTATTTTTAGTAGAGACAGGGTTTCACCATGCTGGCCAGGCTGGTCTCAAACTCCCAACCTCAGGCAATCTGCCCACCTCAGCCTCCCAAAGTGCTGGGATTACAGGCGTGAGGCACCGCGCCGGGCCCAGTGGCCACCTTTTAACCTCCCCCATTGGATAATACTTTAGAGTTGCTTGTTAAAAATGAGAGCCCAGCTGGGAGAGATGGAGTTAAGACAAGGAGTAGACTCAGCTATCGTCCCTGCCATGGGACAATGAGAAAGGCTCCGAGCCTGAGCCTCCCACACTTTTGCACACACTGAGACCCAAGAGGTCAGCATTTACAGGGAGCTCCCATCTAGGAACCTGGCCAGACAAGGTTGAGCGTCCTGTTGTGTGGACTCTCCCATGGGGGAGCCTAACTGGGGGCCCCCTGCAAGACGTGGGAGTTCAGAATCCCTGAACATAGGCTCCCCGTCTTCAAACCAGTATCTTTAATGCCCTAAGGAGCTGACCTCCTGATTAGGCGGAATGCAGTTTTGAGCCACCCTCTCCCAGGGTGGCCCCTTGGCTCGGTTGTACAGCAGGTGCCTCCCTCTGCAGCCCAATTCCTCACTCTATGCCCACCCCACCTTAGCAGACTGCTTATTAGTTAGTAATGTTACTATGGCTGCAGCTGGTGATTAAAACCATTGGTTGGACTGAGGGTTAGCGATCAACATCCCTGGCACGGTTGCTAATCCCTTGGAAGTATGTTTGTAATAATCATAGGGGAGGAGGTCAGGGTGGGTGGTCCTGGGAGCTGGGATCCAGTCGTCTCCTGTTGGATCCCGCAGTTCCTGTGGTTTCTCCTGGGCAAGACTCTGAGGTGTGTTGGGGCTGGGCAACCACTTGGGGAGACCGGCCAATACCTCAGCAGAGGGAGGTGGTGCCTGGTGCACAGCTGCCTCTGCCAGCAGGACAGGGACAGGGTTGTGCCAAGTGTGCAGCTCGGGTGGTTAAATGAAGTGCCCAGGGTCAGGATGCTTTAGCTACATGGAGGGATTAATTCTGAGCCCCGTACTGCTCACTCCTGTGCCAAATGCCCAGGGAGGAACTGTGTATTCCAAGGGTCCGTTCGAGGCTTCCTCATTCTCTCTTTTTTTTCTGAGACAGAGTTTCACTCTTGTTGCCCAGGCTGGAGTGCAATAGTGGGATCTCGGCTCACTGCACCCTCCGCCTCCTGGGTTCAAGCGATTCTCCTGCCTCAGCCTCCCGAGTAGCTGGGATTACAGGCATGTGCCACCACGGCCGGCTAATTTTGTATTTTTAGTAGAGATGGGGTTTTTCCATGTTGGTCAGGCTGGTCTCGAACTCCTGAGCTCAGGTGATCCGCCCACCTCAGCCTCCCAAAGTGTTGGGATTACAGGCGTGAGCCACCGCGCCTGGCCCCTCATTCTCTCTTAGAAGAGCCTTAAGTTGGAAGGGACCCATTTCCACTCCCTTAAGTTCCTCACCTCCCCTTCCACTCCTGCCTGTCCCATTCAATCATTTAATTTATATAATGCCTCTAGTAATATATAATTAAAACTGACATATTAATAATAAAATTCCACTAAGGAATGTGTGACAACTCACCTGCCAAATCGAATTTTAAAAAATAAATAAATAATATGATAGACTCTTTCCCACCTGGAACCATGGAGAATGTCAAAGAGAAGAAAAGGAAGGTTCTGGCTGTGCCAGAAATCGTTGAGAAAAGGAATTTCTCAGAGGTGAAGATCAAGTGCCTGAGAAAAATATTTGCCCAGAAGACACTTCAAAAGGCAAGGAGAGGGCCTTGCACAGTGGCTCATGCCTGTAATCCCAGTACTTTGGGAGGCCAAGGCAGGCAGATCACGAGGTTGAGAGTTCAAGACCAGCCTGGCCAACATGGTGAAACCCTGTCTCTAGTAAAAATACAAAAATTAGCTGGGTGTGGTGGCACGTGCCTGTAATCACAGCTACTCAGGAGGCTGAGGCAGGAGAATGGTTTGATCCCAGGAGGTGGACGTTACAGTAAGCTAAGATCACACCCCTGCATTCCAGCCTGGGCAACAGAGCAAGCCTCCGTTGCAAAAAAAAAAAAAAAAAAAAAAATCCAAAAGGCAAGGAAGGGCCAGGTACAGTGGCTGAGGCCTGTAATCCCAGCACTTTGGGAGGCCAAGGTGGGCGGATCACCTAAGGTCAGGAGTTCAAGACCAGCCTCGCCAACATTGTGAAACCCCCATCTCTACTAAAAATTAAAAAATTAGACGGGTGTGGTGGTGCGTGCCTGTAATCCCAGCTACTCAGGAGGCTGAGGCAGGAGAATCACTTGAACTTGAGAATCACTTGAGATCGCGCCACTGCACTCCAGCCTGAGTAACAGAGTGAGACTCCATCTCAAAAAAAAAAAAAAAAAAATGAAGCAGCAGCAGCAAATTTCCGTGACAGATAACACTTTACTGCTTGATCTCTTTGTTAATGTGGCGTCACCTGCATGAAGGATCTGATTCATGAGATCTGTATTGTTAAAAAACAAAAACACTTCAAAGAAGCAAATAACTTCCCAGGGCTATTCAAATTATCTTCCCAACGAGGTGGAATGAAGAAGACGACCACTCATTTTGTAGAAAGTAGAGATACTAGTAACAGGGAAGACCAGATTAACAGGCTCATTAGAAGGATGAACTGGGAAGGGGTCCACCACCATCATTTTTGTAATTCAGTCAGTTAATAAACAATTACTGCTTTCAAATTGAAATATATATATATGTATATACATATATGGCACATAATACATGTAAGCTATATATTAATACATTATGAGTTATAATACAATTATGGTTAACATTTTATTGACTTCCTACTTTGTCAGACCTTTTCTATACGTTACCTCTTTTGTTCACAACACCCTGCCAAGCAGGGCTTATTGTCCCATTTTATTTAGTTTTATTTCATTTCATTTCATTTTTTGAGACAGGGTCTCACTCTGTCACCTAGGCTGGAGTGTATTATCCCATTTTATATATGAGAAGTCAGACTCAGAGAGGTTAACTTGCTCAATCACACAGCTAATAGGAGGCAAGGCCAGCAGCAACCTTAGGTCTCAGGCTAACTTCAAACCCATTCTTTTCCAGGCTTGACACTGTAGGGAACATGAAGAATAAAAGAATACATAGTCAGTGCTGTCAAAACACGGATCACCCAGCAGCCCGGACATGGCGCACACACGCTAATAGTTAAATAACAGCATGACATTGCTTTTGGGGGGCTGTTACCAAGCAGTGTGGGTGATGGCTCCGGGAGTGGGACTGGCAGTAAATGTCACAGGCTTGGAGGAAGAAGGCCACCAAGGCCAGCAGGGACCACTGATGACTGCACAGAAGAAGGGGACATAAAGGCTGGGCTGGATTGGCAGTGTGGGAAGAGCAGGAGCAGAGGTTCACGGTGCACACGGCAGTGAGCCCATCAGATTGGCTCACTCCATCCTGACAACTTCTGTCCCCCGACTCCCCAACCCTGTAAATGGGCCCACCTTTCACATTTGAGGACTTGGGGCAAAAGTACACATAAGAGGCCTCAAACAAAATTTCTAAATATTTAAAACATATAAATCAAGCAAACAAACTTAAATAAAAATGTATCCTATCCTCTTACCTTGACAAATATCCTTTCATAATGACTGGAGTTGTGCACTGGAACATGGCGGTGCTGCCTCCACCCTCTGGCCTACCCCCACTTTCCTCTGCTGTGCCCCTGAGGGGACACTTCAGTCAGCCCTGTGGGCAAACTCCTCCCACCCCTGTACGACAGCCATCCCTAGACCACCCCTCAGCCCAAGGGCATGCGCACTTGCAGCTTGGTCGGCCCTCAGGAGGATGGACAGGGCAAAGGCTTCCTCAGGCCTTGGAAATAGGCTGAGGTCACTTGGATGGGGAATTCTGGGGACCAGGAGACGGCCAGGACTGGAGTGAGTCCATTGAGGCCCTCACCCAGGTGCAAAAATGAAGGTACACACATACAACAAAACTCAGTAATAAACATAGGTGATTTTTTTTTTTTTTTTTGAGACAGGGTCTCACTTTGTCACCCAGGCTGGAGTGCAGTGGCGCAATCTCAGTTCACTGCAGCCTCTATCTCCTAGGATCAAGCAATCCTCCCACCTCAGCCCCCTACATAGGTGGGACTACAGACATATGCTGCCACACCTGGCTAATTTCTCTGGTTGTTGGGGTAGAGATGGGGTTTCACCATGTTGCCCAAGCTAATCTCAAACTCCTAGCCTCAAGCAATCTTCCCGCCTTAGCCTCCCAAAGTGCTGGGATTATAGGGGTGAGCCACTGCACCCAGCAGATAGAGATGATACTTTAATGCAATATTTTAAAAATCAAAATTAATGTAAAAATCCATAATAAACAAAATATCAAATTTTTAAAGACAGGATCAGTATTACTGATTTTATTTATTTATTTATTTATTTATTTATTTATTTATTTTTGCCTCAGGTTCCAATAAGATCTTACACAGCTCTGGGCCAGGAACCCAGAGCATGTGTAGAAGGGAGGGCGAAGTGGGCTCTGCAGGCTCTGGGCATGCATATCCCAGGGAATCTTTGCTCTGTGGGGCTGGGAGCAACCAGAAGCTCCCAGAACAGGCTGCAGAACAGGGACCTGTCTTGCCTGGAGCCTCAGTGTGGTATTACAGTAACTGAGAGCTCCGTGAGGGCTTCAGCATCTAGTGGAGTCTCTAGCACTTAGTAGGCCCTCAGTGAGAAATTCTTGAATATGTAAATGAATAATGCTGACTTTTCCAAAATCACCATTGCAGTCATATTCATTACAAGGGTTACTAGGACAGCCGCTCTCAGCACAGCACGCTGGCTGGAGGCTGAGTCAGGGCATGAGTAGGGGCTGGCGAGAGTGGAGACAGGGAACCTGCCAAGACTTAGAGGAGACTGGGCTAGGATCTTGGAACGGGTGATATGGAGGTCAGGGGTCTCAGTGACTCAACAGAGCAGGGTTTAGAAGGCAGGAGGGAGGGGGAGGAGAGGCAGGATTATGGTGAGGGATGGAGGGGGAGGGCAGAGCTGGCTCAGGGAGGACCAAGGGGCAGGCCTGGGAGTGAGCAGGAGTGGAAGCAGGGAAGGGAGTGGTAGACCCCTGCAGGAAGAGCCCAGGGCTCTGGAAGGAGTGAGGGGTGTGGGGGGCATGTTTCTGCTCAGTCAACAGAGGCCTGGAGAATCAAAGGCTCCCAGAAGCCCAGACCAGGTCAGTTCATCAAGGAAGGTTCTCGGCAGCCCTCTCCCCATCCTCTCGGGTTACACACTGGTGTTCCCTATTTCAGGCCCTCGCACTTGCCAATGGCCCAGCCTCTCCTCCCCTCTCCTGCCCCCACTTTCCCCAGGGAGGGACAAACACACTTGATATATGAAGTGTTTCCACCTAGACGCTTGGGAATCCCACAAAGCCTTCAGTGTGTGACAGCCCCTCCCCCTTCCTCCCCCAGCCCTTTCCTCTCCTCCTTCTGTCTGGGAGTCTGGGAATGGCTCCTTTACCTGGGAGTGTCACAGAGAAGGGGGGACATGCGGTGGTTGGGGATGTTCCTGGGCCTCTTAAGCCCAAGATCGGGTGGGTGAATGTGGTGAGTGTTGGGGGCGCAGGGTGATGATCGCTGGCTTCTCTGGCTTCCCAGAGGCTGGAGGGGCTTGGTTTCTATGACTGCCTCTCTGCCCACCCTGCCCACCTCCCTCCTTGCTGCTGATGCCCCATCCACTGGCCCGGGGGAGTGTTGCACACCCCGCTTTCCTCCACATAGGAACCCAGAGGAGAGAGAAAACCAAATTGTCAAATGCTCCCTATGTGCTAGGCATTGTGCTAGGCCATTTTACAAAAATAATCTCAGCTCCTTCCTGGAAAGCTTGTGAGAGTTTACAGCTGAAGACACAGCGAGGCGAGTATGGCACACTGATCAAGACCATGGACTTGGATGGCAGACAGACCCGGGACCAGATCCCAGCTCTTGGCCTCATCAGCTCTGTGAATGGGGCAAGTTTCTTTACCTCTCCTCCCCCAAGCCTCAGTTTCCCCATCCCTAAAGGAAGGATGTACAGCCCTCCACAGAGTTGTTAGAAGTATTAAATAAGATGGGTGTGGTGTCTCACACTTGTAATCCCAGCACTTTGGGAGGCCAAGACGGGAGGATCACTTGAACCCAGGGGTTCAAGACCAGCCTGAGCAACACAGGGAGACCTCCTCTCTACAAAACATTTACAAATTAACCGGGCATGGTGGTGCATGCCTATAGTCCCAGCAATGTGGGAGGCTGAGATGGGAGGATCACTTGAGCCTGGGAGGTCGAGGCTACAAAGAGCCATGATCGTACCACTGCACTCCAGCCTGAGTGACAGAGCAAGACCCTGTCTAAAATAAAATAAATGATATTGGCCGGGCGTGGTGGTTCACACCTATAATCCCAGCACTTTGGGAGGCCAAGGCGGGCAGATCACTTGAGGCCAGGAGTTTGAGACCACCCTGGGCAACATAGCAATACCCCATCTCTACCAAAAATACAAAAGTTAGCTGGGCATGGTGGTGCACGCCTGTAGTCCCAGCTACTTGGGAGGCCGAAGTGGGAGAATCACTTGAGCCCAGGAGGCAGCAGTTGCAGCGAGCTGAGATCACGCCACTGCACTCCAACGTGGGTGACAGAGCAAGACTTTGTCTCAAAAATAAATAAATAAGACATTGTTCATGAAATACCTGGCAACCAGCCTTGGTAGGTGCTGAGATTATAATTGTTGCCACAGTCCCATCCCCGTCTCTGGGCGCTCTCTGCCAAGGTCTGTCTCAGAAGGCAGGGGCCGTGGGCCCTGTGGCATAGGCTTGCCCCTGGAGAGCGGGGTTGGGCAGAGGAAGCACCTGCAGGGGAGAATGCCAGTCCCAGGAGCCCTCAATGGAAGCACAGCGACAAAGGCGATGGTATACTTGACTCCAAGAGCCTGAAGTCAGGGGGCGCGGGGGACACAGACATCCCACCTCCCACCCACAAGCAGGGGAGGATCCCTGACATCGCAGTGGGTGGTGGCTCTGGCCCAGGGCTCCTCCTCTGACTCAAGGAGAAGCCGCAGCTGGCCTTGGGCCACACCAGCCACTTACATGGCCCACACACAACCTGTGTACATCACTCTAACTCCTCTCGCCGCCAGCGGTACAGTGAAGAGGGGAAACGGGAACACGTGGATGTTGGGAATAACGTGTTACGTGTGAATGAGCCAGTTCGCATTGAGCCTGCAAGCGCAGGCACCCGGCACCCATGTGGGGAGTACATGTGGGGTGTATGTGCCTTACATTTTATTTCTACATGTGGGGGTGCATGTGTGCGTACATGCTTGTGGCCGCACAACTCCCAGACTCACCCTGGGGTCTCCGGGTGCATGTGTGTGCCATGTGCCAGGATGTCTGCATGTGTCCACGTGTGTGACTGCTTGTCAAACAAACTCCCTGGAGCTAGGGCTCTGCAGGAAGGGTCAGACGGCAGTCTGAGACACTTTTCATGTGTCAGGAAAACCAGGCTCCCCTTTCAGGAAGCCTGCCCAAGGAAAATAAACTAGCCCAGCTCCTGGGGCAGAGGGGGAGGGCGCAGGGGGTGGGGAAAGAGAGAAGGTGGCTGAGACGGGTGGCGGGGGTCACAGAGCAAGGCCGTCAAATGATGCCCCTTTGACCCCACTCCATCGACCCTCCTGGAGACCCTCTTCCCTCAGCTTTGTCCTAAGGGGGCTTTGTCCTCTTTCTCTTCTTCAGGCTCTGTTTTCTCCTCTCCATCTCTCTTCTGTCTCCACGATTTCTTCTCTGCCTTCTTTTTCATTTGCCCTTCTCCCTCCATGTTTCTCTCTCCCAACTCCCATTACTTTGCAGCTGGCGGCCTGCCAGTCACCTGTCTCCTTTCTTATCTCCACTGCAGAAGCCAAAGCCGTGGTCTACCTATGAGAACAGGTGGTCAGAAAATCCCGAAGGCCACGGTGCAGGTTTTTATTAACTTTTATCCTTCGATGCCAGGTTGGCTGCAAGTCTCTGGCCATTACCTCCAACATGGAGGTGATCTTTCATTCACCAACTGGCTAATTGATGTCATCTTTTATCTTATATTGATTAAGCACCTGGTTTGTGCCAGGCACTGTGGTTGGCTCTAGAGCTGCCGTGGTGGGCAATAAGCGGGAGAAATGAATGGGTTCTGCCTCGCAGAACTTTCAGACTGATGGGGAGTCAGAAATTAGTCAAAGTCACACACAAATGTAAAAGTAACTTAAGGGCTGCAGACAGAGGGGTAAATACCTGTATATAAGAGCCGCTAATGAGGGAATTAACATAGGAGGATGGGAAAGGTTTTGTAAGGAAGTGATAGCCTAGGTTGGAGGGAAAAGCAAGAGTTAATCAGGCCAAGGAGTGGAGGGGGTGAGTGTGCATGAGGCAGCTGGTGGTAGGCAGAGGGAACAGCAAGTGAAAAGGCCCTGAGGCCAGAGGAACAAAGTCCATTTGTGTAACTGAAATAAGGCCTGGAAGAGAGGGGGATCTGGATGAGGCTGGAACAGTAGCCTGGGCTACATTAGGGGTCATTCATCACCACGGAAATCATCTTGATTAAAAAGCCAATATGTTTTATAAGTGTGATCTATTTTATAATTTTTGGCTTTAGAGATGGTCACTGTCGCCCAGACTGGAGTGCAGCCCCAACCTCCTGGGCTCAAGAAATCCTCCTGCCTCAGTCTCCTGAATAGCTGGGACTATAGGCATGCTCCACCATGCTTAGATGATTTTTTTTAAATTTTTGGTAAAGATGGGGTCTTGCTATGTTACCCAGTCTTGTCTTAAACTCCTGGCCAAAAGCAGTCCTCCCACCTCAGCCTCCCGAAGCACTGGGATTATAGGTGTGAGCCACTGCACCCAGCCTTATAATTTTTAGAAGTTAAGAAAGTATAATTTATCTTTTTTTTTTTTTTTGAGACTGTGTCTTTGCTGCCCAGGCTGGAGTGCAGTGGTGCAACTGTGGCTCACTGCAGCCTTGCTCTTCTGGGCTGTGGTGATCCTCCCACCTCAGCCTTCTGAGTAGCTGGGACTGCAGGCGTGCACCACCACGCCTGGCTAAATTTTCTATTTTTTGTAGAGATGAGGTTTTGCCATGTTGCCCAGGCTGGTCTCCAATTCCTGGCCTCAAGCAATCCTCCTGTCTCAGCCTCCCAAAGTGCTGGGATCAGAGGCATGAGCCACCGTGCCCGGCCAGAAAGTATAAATTAATCAAGAAGTTTTAAATAATTTTATGTTTTTTTTCACCACAACACCCTCCACACGTATTTGGAGAACAATGGGGCACAAACCTAGGCAAGAGTGGAAAATATTAATGCATGGTCCACATAGGATGCTTGGTCCACTTATAATTCCCAGAATCTGTGCAGATTGAGGGCCATTGTGCTGGAGAAGAGAGGAAAGGAGGGAATAGAGCGTCACCCCAGTGTGTTGCAGGGGCCTGGGCCAGACAGAAGAAACCAGGCTGAGCCCTGTTCTACACCTCCCCACTCGGACTCCCACACAGGGTCCCTCCCACCGCAGGGTCTGACCCTGGCCCTCTGCCATGCCCACCATGTGCTTAGCCCCTAACAGCTGGGGTGGCTTGTGTTTAGGGAGGGGAGAGGGATGAGACAGCTGACCAGAGAGGGGAGAAAGAAGCATTCAAGTGCTACTCAAAGTGGGGCCTGTGCACCAGCACCAGCAGCATCGCCTGGGAACTCACTGGGAATTCCAATTCTTAGCCCCCACCCTAGACCTGCTGATCCAAAATCTCTGAAGTGAGGCCAGCCTTACAGCCCCGTGTGTTTTCACAAGCATACCAAGTGATACTCAGGCACTGCTGAAGTTGAAGGACCCACACTGGAGAGGGCAAAATGTTGGAAGTGCTCAAGGCTGAATCAGCGACAACAGGAGTTGAGTCCTCCATCCAGCTGTCATCTGTTGCCACCTCCTCTATGTCACCCAAGCCATTTTCATGGAAGCCTTTTTGTTGGAAAGGCACAGAGATGGACATGACCTGGCTGTCTTAGGCCAGCCCCTCTTGATTCTCTCCCCAGTCTCTGTCTAGCCTCTTGTTCTGGGTGGGTGGAGAGTACCCCCCTCATTCTCGTCCATGAGTGTGGGGATGGGAGAGGAAGCGTCTCAGGAGGGATGTCAGGCAAGGCTTCCTGCAGACCCAGCTGTCCCTTCCAATCCACATCCCACCCCCTCACCCAACTCCCTCACAACAAGCACACCCAGCAGCTGCAGCAACCACCCTGGCCCAATGCTGGCCCCAATGTCCCCAAGCTCAGGGGAAGTGGAGTTCAACCCGTTCTTCCATGACTGCTCCTCCCAGGCCTCCCCAAGGAACCCAGACCCACCACAGCCTGAACCAAGACATCTCCTGAACCCTTTTCTCCCTCCCCTCAAATATCCTCTTCTGGAGGGCATTGGGAAAAGCTGCCAAAAGTCAGGTCCTCACCCGAGAACCCCCAACCTGAGCCCCAAACCTAGCTCCTCAGGTCACAGCCACTCCCAGCGAACACCACCCCTCGCTGTGGGTGGGATCCCATCGCCACACAGGCCAGGCAGCTGCCTGGACCACCTGCCCCAGGAGAGACCAAATGGAAGGCCAAGAGGAAGGGCAGCGGTGGGGAGGCTCTGGGGGAGAGGAAGCGGGGGCGAAAGGGCTGGGGCCAGGAAGTCTAGGATGTGGGAGCTGGAAGGGATCTGAGGGATCAGCTCATGACTTTTACAAGCTCAGAGAGGTTGTGTCTTGCTCAGTGTCACACAGCAAATTGGTGTCAGAGCCCAGCACAAACCTGATCTCCCAGGCCAATGCTCTTTCCAGACCTCACCCAGAGGGGAAAGGTAGCCAGGGGTAACTGTTCAATGAAAAGCTGCAGCCTACACTACTGCAGCCCACACTACTGCAGCCCACGCCATCACACAAGATCTTCCTCCAGGGAGCTGCCCCAGTGGACGCCTCATTTCTTCTCCCCTATCACTCATTCCACTACTCACAACTGCCTAGAACTTGATCCATTAGTTTATCTCACATTCACTCCATCTTTTGTCTTTGTTTTTGTTTTTGTTTTGAGACAGTTTTGCTGTTGTCGCCCAGGCTAGAGTGCAATGGCGCAATCTCGGCTCACTGCAACCTCCGCCTCCTGGGTTCAAGCAATTCTCCTGCCTCAGCCTCCCAAGTAGCTGAGATTACAGGCATGTGCCACACCCAGCTAATTTTTTTGTATTACTAGTAGAGATGGGGTTTCACCATGTTGGCCAGGTTAGTCTCGAACTCCTGACCTCAGGAGTCCGCCTTGGCCTCCCAAAGTCCTGGGATTATAGGTGTGAGCCACCACGCCCGGCCCACTTCATCTTTAAAACTCTCTGTGTCGTAGGAGAGAGGGAGAGGGAGAGAGGGAGAGAGTGTGTGTGTGTGTGCATCTGTGTGTCTTGCCTTCACCATCAGATGAGGGGGTTTCTTAGACAGAGGGTATGTCTCCACCATCACACTGGGCGTTCCTAGAGGACAAATGGTGTCTCCCTTCGGTTAGAACAGGAGCTTCCTGAGGTCAGGGACTGTCTTCCCTACTAGACTGGGGTTCCCTGAAGGCAGGAGCTGAGCCTCCAGAATTTTGTGGGTCTCCTTCCCACCTCCGCAGTTCTCTTCAACTGAGACAGCCCTGGTGTTAGACTTTAACAGGAGGAGGCCCTCAGAGTGCCTGGTTCAGAGACCACCTATGACAGAAATGCCGCTGGCATTTGAAGCCACTGGGACTACCACCTCGGGACATGATTGGGGATTCTCGGACAGCTCTTATTCTTTGCGCATCCCGAGATTTCCATTTGTTGTCTCAGTAATCACCAGCCTTGGTGTTCTGTGGTTCCTGTTCCACCAACCCTCCAGGGAAATCCTCTCTGAAGTTTTGAAGAGAACTCACCATACCTAAGCTGACCCTCTGAACAAAGGGAGGCTTGTGGAAACAAGGGGTTAGAGGAGAGGGTTTTCTTCTTCTCCTTCACCAAGGCTTCTGGGGATGGCTAAGGCCGATGACTGTCTCTCCAAAGCCACCCTCCACCCCGCCCCTGTCCCGCGTTGACCTTCCTTCTAATATACCAGCCCGAAGTCACACCTTCTCCCAGGAAGGGTTGGACCGCAGTTCAGCAGAGGCCGTGCAAGCGAACCCTCTCTCTAAGGAATGGTCATGGCGTCTTCCTCCCTGTTTCCCAAACGGGGTGCTGGGATTTTCGTCACAGGTCCCAACTTTCCCAAGTTCCAGTAGAATTCTTCCTGGAACCTTTCTGGTATCATCACCCTGTGCATCTAACAGTCTTAGCCCCCAGCTGGAGATGTGGCAGGGCCTGAGTGAGAGCAGTAAGTACAAGGGGACCTCAGCTCTGTACCAGATGTACCAGAGCATCCCCCCACAGCTGTCTATCACACGGCGCTGGGCCTGACAGGAGACAGGTCGCTGCCAAGATGGCATCCTGAGAACACACATGTAACAGGCGGGCAAGCGGTGCTTCCTCTGCCACCCTCCATGGCACCAAGTTAGAACACTACTATGAGGTACATAGGACAGACCCAATGCCCATCTGTGGATAAAGGAAGTAAGGCTCAGAGAGATTAAGCTGGGCTCAGTGGCTCACGCCTGTAATCCCAACACTTTGGGAGGCTGAGGTGGGTGGATCACCTGAGGTCAGGAGTTCAAGACCAGCCTGGCCAACATAGTGAAACCCTGTTTCTACTAAAAATACAAAAAATTTAGCCAGGTGTCATGGCGGGCACCTGTAATCCCAGCTACTCAGGAGGCTGAGGCAGGAGAATCTTTTGAACCTGGGAGGCGGAGGTTGCAGTGAGCCGAGATCGTGCCATTGCACTCCAGCCTGGGCAACAGAGCGAGACTCTGTCTCAAAAAAAAGAAAAGAAAAGAAATAGATGCAAGGCCCCATGCTATTCAGAAGAGCTGGAACATCATGCCAGGCCTACATTTGGTTTCAGTGTCATCACCCTTTGTGCCACATCTTACAGCAGTGCCAGCTTGGAACCAAACTCAGGCCCCCAGACTCCCAGCCTACTCCCAGGAGCACTGTGTGTAGCTGAGCAGGTCATACACTGCACAACCCCAGGATTGTGCTCCTCACATTGAGGTCAGGGCAGATGGCGTCCCCTGTAGCTGTTGCAGGACATGACCCCCATGGCTCCACGTGGAGGTCCTGCCTCCACACTCAGTCCTCAGCAATCTGTGCACACATTCAACACTTGGGCCACACAAATCCATCCCCTCCTTCTCCTCTTCTCCCACTAGCCAGAGTGGCAGGCAGCAGGAGCTCTTGGGGGCAGGTGGGGATCCCTGAGGAGTGTACACACCACCTCCCAGGACCACCATGTGCTCCCTGCCTCTCCATGTAGGAGCGCTTTCTGCCATACCCCCCATACCCTCTGTACCTCCCCATACCCCAGTTGCCCCCTCACTGTGCCCACACCCCTGCCTCCACACTCATCCCCACACACATGTGGGTACATACACCCACACACACATGTGCACCATGCAAGTGAAGTGCAGGGCCCCAGATCTCCAAGCTCCTGTCTGAGACTCCACCAAGCAGGGGGCTGAGGGCTGAGGGCTGGGGGCTGGGGGCTGGGGGCTGGCCTCCCTTAGCAGAGCCCTCTCCCCCTCTACTCGTGTGCAGGGCCCTGGCCCCTCCCGGGGAACAAGGCTGGGATTAATAAGCGGCCTGGCTCTCTCCCCTAATGGGCTCCAGCTGCACAAACATTCCCAGAATTCAGAGCCGGCTCTGTCTGGGGCGGCCCAGGCCTCAGCCCCAGCATTCCTGGCCCCCTCCCCCAAGGCCTGGGCCAGCTGCTCCGGAACTCCAGCAACTGGCTGGGGATCGAATCCCAATTCAGCTTCTCCAGAGGTGGGGGGCAGTGGAGTGACTGGGGCTGGGGTGGGAGGTGAGGGGACAGGAAGAGGTGAGTAAACTCTGAAAGGACACCTCCCTACCTGCCCTTCCCCCGCCTGCCAGGCCCACCCCTCCCCCAACACTGCTCACACCCTTAGCCTAGGTGCCAGGGCCCAGCTTGGTCTTCCCTAATTTGTCTCACCAGGCAGGGCCCTTGGCTGGCAGTGCCAGGAGGAGGTAACCCAGGCAGGGCTAGGAGAAAAGATAAACATCTCCCCTTGTGTTTTAAGAGATCCAGCTGGGTCTCCATGGAGTCTATGGCCTGGCAGCAGCTTAGTTTAAACAGATTCTTATCAAGCAGTGGGAAGGGGTGGCAAAGGGAGCAAGAGGAAGAAGGAAAGTAGGGGTTCTCACCCTCCCATTATCCAGCTGGGAGTGACACTCAGGGCCCCAGTGGGAGGAATCCTAAGTGGACAAAGATGAGCCCGTGAGGATGATGGCTCTGAACCTGTCTTCCCAGATCCCAGGCTACAGGGGTCAGTCATTCCACTGTCCCTGATCTGTCCTTGATCTGTTGCCCCCAGTTACGCCTGCTGTGGACACCAAGGGCTGAGGCCATGGAAGGAGTCCCATGACTCCTGTTGGTGCCAGGGTCCATCTGAGCAGGGACTAGTGGAGAGCACGCCACCTAACAGAGGTGTGTGTGGCTGTGTGTGTGCCTGTGTCTCCCTGGCCAAGCGGAAGCAGCTGAGTCAAGTAGCACCTGCATGTGGATGTGGCAGTGTGTGTGCGTGTGCCAGTGCACGTCAGCCTCTCTGTGTTCAAAAACGCCGTAAGCTCCACGCTCACTCAGAAAGGCTGCCTGCTGGCCACCCCTCCCCGAAGCTGCAAGTGTCCCTCCCACGGGGCATGCGCCAGAGAGAGGCTGAGAAGAGAAAGTAGAGGACAAACAAAAGAGAGGTAGTGCCGGGAGTGGTGGCTCACGCCTGTAATCCCAGCACTTTGGGAGGCAGAGGCGGGCAGATCACTTGAGGTCAGGAGTTTGAGACCAACCTGGCCAACATGGTGAAATCTCATCTCTATTAAAAATACAAAAATTAGCTGGGCGTGATGGCACACGCTACTTGGAGGCTGAGGCAGAAGAGTTGCTTGAACCAGGGAGGTGGAGGTCGCAGTGAGCCGAGATCACGCTACTCCACACCAGCCTGGGCGACAGAGTAGGACTTCGTCTCAAAAAAACAAAAGGTTGATGAGGCGAGAGCTCTGAGGGAGGCTGTGCGGGCAGCTGAGGCACTGACTTGGGAGTTAGGAAACATAGGTCTTGGCCTCAACTCTGCCAGAGACCAGCCAGGACGTTGGATGTTTCACTTCCCTGATCAGTATCCTTCCCTTGAATAAGAGAAGATTGGACAAGAGTCTCTCCTGAGTCCCTTCTTGGATTCCACTGTGATGACAGCTGGGTTGGGGGACACGGGAGGATGCTACATCCTCTCAGAGCTGCAAGAAAGGGGCTCTGGAGGGGCCACCAAGAGCAGCCTATAGGGACTGCGTAGAGGGTCCCTAGTCTCTCTGGCCCTGAAGAGGAAATTGAGAAAGGGGTGTGCTCCCTGTCTTGGGGAGTCCCGTTCTGCAGGGAAACCAAGTACACCACAACATGGAGACAGATAAAGGCAGGTGATCTCAATTGGCTGAGCTCTTGGCGGCCGTCCTGGGTTGAAGGGGAAGAGGGCCATTGAGCCAAACAACAAGGATCTGTTTACTCTCTACTCTCTTTTTTTCACGTGCACACAGCAAACACATGCGGCCCCTCCTCAGGCCTCTGCAGGCCAAGGAATGCAGACCCACCGCTCCAGGTCTTGGTCCCCATCAATCACACTGCCCATGCATGTCACATCACCTGCTTCCTTGCAGTTCTGGCCATTTCCCCATGGAGGCACAGAGGGAATGACACTCTGACAGCATTTGAGCCCTTTAACTCATCATTGATCTGTATCTCCACTCCCCACCCCACCCCCAGCTATGGGACCAGCTCCTGAGCTGCAGGGAAACAGTAAGGTGAGACCTCCTTTGCATACATGGAGAAACTGAAGGGCTCTGGGTGGGACGGGAACTCAGGAATTGGACCCCATTTAGGACTCTATCCAAGTGAGCCTCATCTAGCTGTTCATCTGGCATTTCGTGAACACCTACTTTGTATTCAGACTTGTGTTATTAATAGAAGCTGAATAATACAAAGAAATAACATTTCTCCCAGGGGTATCAAATCAGAGGAAAAAAAATCCTTCCCCCAAACCAAAGGTGGACTGGAACCTACCATAGACTGACCAAAGAAACAGAGCCATCAACATGCTATTGAATTTTAGAGCTGTTTATTTGGGCACCAGAGAAACAGCAGACCAGATGCCTGAACTTCCCAGGCTGAAGCTCTGGACTACAAAGCTGTAGACGCTTAGCAAGGAAACAGGAAAGGAGGGAAGCAGCCGGCCATGGTTGTGAAATTCTGAGGTCTAGAACCCTAAGGCAACAAACTGAACCCAAAGCCTCTCTCCTCTACTCCCCACTCCCTTCATTTTTCAGTTATCTATTGAGTAAATAATCCACCCCAAAACTGAGTGCTTACAACAATACAAGTTTTTCTTTTCTTTTCTTTTCTTTTTCTTTTTTTTTTTTTTTTTTTGAGTCTTGCTCTGTTGGCTAGCCTGGAGTGCAGTGGCACGATCTCAGCTCACTGCAACCTCTGCTTCCCGGGTTCAAGCAATTTTCCTGCCTCAGCCTCCCAAGTAGCTGGGATTACAGGCATGTGCCATCATGCCTGGCTAATTTTTTTATTTTTTATTTTTTATTTTTAGTAGAGACGGGGTTTCACCATGTTGGTCAGGCTGGTCTCGAATTCCTGACCTCAGGTGATCTGCCCGCCTCGGCCTCCCAAAGTGCTGGGATTACAGGCATGAACCACCACGCCCAGCCAATAATACAAGTTTTTCTTTGCTCACAATTCTACAAATTGGGCAAGATTCAGTGTGGACAGCTTGCCACACTGGTTCTGGAGCATCCAAGATGCTTCACAAATATATCTGGCCCCTCTGCTGGGACGGCTGGAGGAGAAGGGGGCTGGTTGGGGCTCTCTCTTTTCCTTCATAGTCTCTCATCCTCTGGTGCTTCTCCCTCGCTCTCTTTCCCTATAGCTCCCTCTCCTCCAGGGTGGCCAGACCTCTTTACATGGTGACTGGCTTCCAACAGGGAAGAAGTAGAAGTTGTCAGGTCTCTTAAGACCTAGACCTCAGGTTGGGCGCGATGGCTCACGCCTGTAATCGCAACACTTTGGGAGGCCAGGTGGAAGGAACACTTGAGGCCAGGAGTTTGAGACCAGCCTGGGCAACATGGCAAAACCCTGTCTCAAAAAAAAAAAGAAAAGAAAAGAAAGAAAAATTAGCCAGGTGTAGTGGCACAGGCCTGTAGACCCAGCTACTCAGGAGGCTGAGGTGGGAGAATCACTTGAGCCTGGGAGGCGGAGGTTACAGGGAGCTATGATCACACCACTACACTCCAGCCTGAGTGACAGAGACCTGTCTCCAAAAAAAAAAAAAAAAAAAAAAAAAGACCTAGACCTCACCTGTCAGGGCATCAGTGTTGCTGCCACCATTGGTCAGAGCAAATCACAGGCCACCCTGGATTGATTGATTTATTAAGTCAGAGTCTCACTCTGTCACCCAGGCTGGAGTGCAGTGGCGCACTTGGCTTGCTGCAACCTCTGCCTCCTGGGTTCAAGCCACTCTCATGCCTCAGCCTCCCGAGTAGCTGAGATTACAGGTGTTCACTACCACGTCTGGCTCATTTTTCATATTTTTTGTAGAGATGTACTTTTTGTTGGATTTTGTCATTTTTCGTATTTTTTGTAGAGATGGGGTTCACCATGTTGGCCAGGCTGGTCTCAAACTCCTGAACCCAAGTGATCTACCCGCCTTGGCCTCCCAAAATGCTGGGATTACAGGCATGTAATCAGGTGCCCGGCTCCACCCTGGATTTAAGGAGACAGAAAATGCACTAACGGAGCAGCATGCGCATGAGGGGACGGCATTGCTGGTGGCCCATCTTCGCGGACCACCCCGCCATCCCCCTAACTTGGCTCCCCTTTTGTTCCTCCTTGGCACACTGAAGCACTATCTCCTCTCTGGAGTGTCGTCCTTCTTCTTCTCCTATACCCCATGTCCAATCAGTCCCCAGGTTCTGTTATTGATGCCTCCTCCATGTCTCTCAAATCATTCTTTTTCTTTTCTTTTCTATTTATTTTCTTTTCTTTTCCTTTTCTTTTTGTTTTGTTTGTTTGTTTGTTTGTTTTTTGAGACAGAGTCTCGCTCTGTTTCCCAAGCTGGAGTGCAGTGGGGCGATTTCGGCTCACTGCAAACTCCACCTCCCGGGTTCAAGCAATTCTCCTGCTTCAGCCTCCTGAGTAGCTGGGATTACAGAGGCGTGCCACCATGCCTGGCTAATTTTTGTAGGTTTTTTTTTTTTTAGTAGAGACGGGGTTTCACCATGTTGGCCAGGCTGGTATTGAACCCCTGACCTCAAGTGATCCACCCGCCTTGGCCTCCTAGAGTGTAAAATCATTCTCACAGTCACTACCATCCGCTGTTATCCAGAATGCTCAACGGCTTCCTAAAGGGTCTCCTGTTTTCACTCTTGCTTCAATACCATGTTGCTTTTCAACTTGCAGCCAAAATGAGCATTCCAAAGGCTACACCTGTGGGGTGCTGGATGGCCGGGGACAGGAAAGTCAGGGGGATTTGTGCTTTAATATGTGCTCTTTTGTACCATGTGTGTACCTTTGCAAAAACTAAAATGACTTTTAGGGCCTGGTGCAGTTGCTCACACCTGTAATCCCAGCACTTTGAGAAGCCGAGGCAGGAGCATCGTTTGAGCCCCCGGAGTTTGAGACCAACTTGGGCAACACAGGGAGACCCTGTCTCTACAAAAAAAAAAAAAAATTATTTACGTAATTTTATTTTATTTTATTTTTGGAGACAGGGTCTTGCTCTGTCACCGAGGCTGGAGTGCAGTGGCACAATCTTGGCTTACTGCAACCTCTGCCTCCCGGGTTCAAGTAATTCTCATGCCTCAGCCTCCCGAGTAGCTGGGATTACAGGCATAAGCCACCGCACCCAGCCTTACACAATTTTTTTTTAATTAGCTGGCCATGGTGGTGGTGTCCCAGCTACATGGTGGAGGGAGGGTGGGGGCTGAGGGGGGAGGATCACCTGAGCCCAGGAGGTCAAGGCTGCAGTGAGCAGTACATCACTGCACTCCAGCCTGGGGCAACAGAGTGAGACCCTGTCTGAAAAAACAAAACAAAACAAAACCCCCCACACACAAAACAATTGACTCAAAATCAAATTTAATAATAAATAAAATAAACCAGATCCTCACTGTGTCACTCTTCTACTGGAAACTCCTCAGTGATGGTCCATGGCTCCCAGGATAAAATCTAGACTCTCAATGGAGCTTAGATACCTTTCAAGATCTGCCGCGCCTGGCCCTGCAGGCACTCTTCTCAATTTTGCGCTCTATGTTCCAGTCGAGCCGAACTTCTCTGAATTTCTTGCATTTCCTTGAAAGTACAAATTCTCTCTTGCTTGCAGCTTTTGTACAGGTGACTGCTCACAACACTCTATTTATTCTTCAGGTCTCGGCTCAGGTGTTTCCTCCAGGAAGTATTTCATGGTCCATAAAGTTGGGGTTTGAAGTCTCTTCTACAAGTTCCCATAGTGCCCTTGACTTTTCTAGCATTCTGCTCATCACATTCTACCGTCTTTTTGTTTGTTTGTTTTAGACAGGGTCTCACTCTGTCACCTAGGCTGGAGTGCAGTGGCGCAATCTCGGCTCACTGCAGCCTCGATCTCCTGGGCTCAGTTGATCCTCCTGACTCAGCCTTCTGAGTAGCTGGGACTACAGGTGCATGCCACCACACTGGCTAATGTTTTGTATTCTTTTGTAGAGACAGGATTCCACCATGTTCCCCAGGCTTGTCTCAAACTCCTGGGCACAAGGGATCCACCGGCCTTGGCTTCCCAAAGTGCTAGGATTACAGAAATAAGCCACTGTGCTGGCCTGTTTTGTTTTGTTTTGTTTTGTTTTGAGACAAGATCTCATTCTGTTGCACTGGCTGGAGTGCAGTGGTGCGATCATAGCTTGCTGCAGCCTTGAACTCCTGGGCTCAAGCAATCCTCCTGCTTCAGCCTCCTGAGTAGCTGGACCACAGATGTGCACCATGACGCCAGGCTGAGTTTTTAAATTTTTAGTAGTGATGAAGTCTTGCTATGTTGCCCAGACTGGTCTCGATTTCCTGAGCTCAAGCAATCCTCCCGCCTCAGCCTCCCAAAGTGCTAGGATTACAGGCTGAGGCACCACACCCAGCCTCACACTCTATTGTCTTTACCTGGTTCTTCACTTGTCCCTCCCACCATAGCATACACTTCCAACAGGGCAGGAACCAAGACTGTGATGCTCCCTGCTGCTTCCCTAACACCCGTGCAAAGGTGCTTACTACTTACCGATGGAGGGAGGAAAAGGAGAGGGAGGAAGAAAGAAAAGGAGGAGAGAGAAAGAGAAGAAAGGTAAGTTGGTTTAAAAGCTGCAGCAGGTCAGGAAGCTAATTTTGGAATATGAAGTGGGGAGTTTTACTGTAAGGAATTATGTGGCCATGTGGACTCAACCATGTGAATAAATATCATAGACATTAGATACAAAAGAGATACAACCATTACATGATTCCTTTTCTAGAAGTTCTGTAACAGGCAAAATTAATCAATAGTGATAAAAGTCAGAATAGTGGTTACCTGTAGCACAGTACTCACTGGAAGGTAGCAGGAGCAAAATGTTCTCTCTCGTTACTTAGGTAGTGTTTACATGAGTGTAGACACATGTAAAAATTAATTAAGCTGGCTGGGCACGGTAATCCTAGCACTTTGGGAGGCCGAGGTGGGCAGATCACCTGAGGTCGGGAGTTCGAGACCAGCCTGACCAACATGGAGAAACCCTGTCTCTACTACAAATACAAAATTAGCCAGGCGTGGTGGCACATGCCTGTAATCCCAGTTACTCGGGAGGCTGAGGCGGAAGAATTGCTTGAACCCAGGAGCAGAGGTTGTGGTGACCTGAGATCGCACCATTGCACTCCAGCCTGGGCCACAAGAATGAAACTCCATCTCAAAAAAAAAATTATTAAGCTGTACTTAAAACTTAAATGCACTTTACATCCTGGGCAATATGGCAAGACCCTCATTTCTACAAAAAAAAATTTTTTTCCAAAAAGCTGGGCATGGTAGCACATGCCTGTGGTCCCAGCTACTTGGGAGGCTAAGGCAGGAGGATCATTTGAACCCAGGAGGTTGAGACTGCAGTGAGCTGTGTTTATACCACTGCAGTCCAACCTGGGTGACAGAGCAAGACCCTGTCTCAAAAAAATTTTTAAAAAGCACTTTATGCATTTTAGTCTATGTTATTTCAATAAAAATTAGAAAGGAAGGAAAGAATTTAAAAAGGAATAAATAAAATTATTTAGGCCAGGCATGGTGGCTTATGGCTTGTAATCCCAGCACTTTGGGAGGCCAAGGTGGGTGGATCGTCTGAGCTCAGGAGTTTGAGACCAGACTGGCCAACATGGTGAAACCCCATCTCTACTAAACATACAAAAATTAGCCAGGCGTGGTGGTGCACGCCTGTAATCCCAGCTACTTGGGATGCTGAGACAGGAGAATTGCTTGAACCCAGGAGGTGAAGGTTGCGGTGAGCCGAGACTGTGCCACTGCACTCCAGGCTGGGTGACAGAGCAAGACTCCGTCTCAAAAAAAAAAAAATTTGGCTGTAAATTGAAGTCAACTGCCTAGTTGAGTGAGAGTGATAAAGCAGTTACAATCTAGGACTAAGGCATGGAACTGGGATCTAGGCAGAAAAAGCAGTGTCACACGTATGTGTACACACGTGTGCATGCAAGTGAGTGAGGAAACTGGTTTATATTGATAGGAAGAAAGTACTGCAAAATAAACTGCTCATCACTCTTCATGCACTTCCCATTCCCTCCCAAAGCCTCCACTGGATTTTCCATTACTACACTTAAAGCCCAGACTCCTTGACCTCACATTAAAGCTTTCTTCTATCTGCGCTCCCAACCGTCCTTCCAGGTCTGTCTCCCTTTCTTCGTGCCCTCTCTCCCCACATCCACCACACAATGCATACTTCTTTGTACTTTTTTTTTTTAATTTGTTGTTAAATTATTATTATTATTATTGAAACAAGGTCTCACTCTGTCGCCCAGGCTGGAGAGCAGTGGTGCAATCTCGACTTATTGCAGCCTTGACCTCCCTGGCTCAAGTGATACTCCCACCTCAACCTCTTGAACAGCTGGAACCACAGGCAAGCACTACCACGCCCTGCTAATTTTTGTATTTTTGGTAGAGATGGGGTTTCGGCACGTTGCCCCCGCTGGTCTTGAACTCCTAAGCTCAAGCAATCCATCTACCTTAACCTCCCAAAGTGCTGGGATTACAGGTGTGAGCCACCACACCCTGCCGTTCCATGCGCTGTTTACCTGTATGGGTGTACCAGTCCACAGAGAGATCAGCTATTATTGCCTTTTCCTTATTGAACTCCTACTCGCCATTGTGGATTAACTGCTCCTCTGTCGTTCTTTTCATGGCCCTTTGCTCACAGCCAGATAGCATGTAAGTTGACCTCTGGTAGATCACAGCTATTTGTGTATGATTCTGTCTCCGTCTGTAACATAAGCCCTCCAGAAGTCAGGGACAATGTCAGTGCCCAAACCTACAGCTCTAGCTCCCAACTCTTGTCGGCATCACAACCACATTTGCAACTGCCTACTAGATATCTCCTCCTCAAAGTATATGTGTTCAAAACTGAGTTGATTATAGATAACCCAGAAATAAACTCTCACATATATAGTTAAATTATTTTTGACAAGGGTGGCAAGACCATTCAATGGGGAAAGGATAGTCTTCTCAACAAGTGGAGTCGGAAAACTGAGTATCCACACACAAAAGAATGAAGTTGGACCCTTACACGTCATATACAAAATTTAACTAGAAATGGATCAAAGGGCCAGGCACAGAGGCTCATGCCTGTAATCCTAGCACTTTGGGAGGCCAAGGCCAGTGGATCACCTGAAGTCAGGAGCTCGAGATCAGCTTGGCCAACATGGCGAAACCCCCTCTCTACTAAAAATACAAAAATTAGTTGGGCATGGTGGTGCATGCCTGTAATCCCAGCTACTCAGGAGGCTGAGGCAGGAGAATTGCTTGAACCCGGGAGGCGGAGATTGCAGTGAGCTGAGATCGAGCCTTTGCACTACAGCAACCTGGGTAACAGAGCAAGGCTCCGTCTCAAAAAAAGAAAGAAATGGATCAAAGACCTAAATGTAAGCAGAAGCTTCACTTCACTGGATTTGGCAATGGTTTTTTGGTATGACGTTAAAGACACAGACAACAAAAGAAAACATTGTAAATTAGATGTTACATTATAAAAGTGTAAAATTTTTGTGCATTAAAAACAATATCAACGGAATAAGAAGGTAACCCACAGAATGAGAAAAATATTTGTACATCATATATCTGGTAGGGGATTAATAGCCACAATATATAGAGAACTCCTAAAACTCAACAACAAAAAAGCCCACCTGATTTAAAAATGGGCAAAGAAGCCGGGTGCAGTGGCTCACGCCTGTAATCCCAGCACTTTGGGAGGCCAAGATGGGCAGACCACAAGGTCAGGAGATCGAGACCAGCCTGGTCAACATGGTGACCTTGTGTCTACTAAAAATACAAAAATGAGCCAGGCTTGGTGGCATGTGCCTGTAATCCCAGCTACTCGGGAGGCTGAGGCAGGAGAATAGCTTGAACCCAGGAGGTGGAGGTTGCAGTGAGCCAAGATCGCACCACTGCACTCCAGCCTGGACAACAGAGCAACTCCATCTCAAAAAATAAAAAAATAAATAAAAATGGGCAAAGGAGTTGAAAAGATATTTCTCTCAAGAACATATACAAATGGCCAATAAACAAATGAAAAAATGTTTAACATCACTAATCATTAGGGAAATGCAAATCAAAACTATAATAGGTGGCCAGGTGTAGTGGCTCACAGCACTTTGGTATGCCAAGATGGGTAGATCGCTTGAGCCCAGAAGTTCGAGACCAGCCTGACCAACGTGGAATTACAGGTGTGAGCCACCACGCCCGGCCCCAAAATTAGTAGTGGTTTTTTGTTTGAGACAGTTTCGGTCTTGTCACCCAGGCTGGAGTGCAATGGTGCGATCTCAGCTCACCACAACCTCTGCCTCCCGGGTTCAAGCAATTCTCCTGCCTCAGCATCCCAAGTAGTTGGGATAACAGGCATGCACCACCACGCCCAGCTAATTTTGTATTTTTAGTAGAGACAGGGTTTCTCCATGTTGGTCAGGCTGGTCTCAAACTCCCAACCTTATGTGATCCGCCCGCCTGGGCTTCCCAAAGTGCTAGGATTACACACATGAGCCACTGTGCCCAGCAAGCTCTACTTCATCTTCTGAGGAACAAATGAGTTAATACATGTCAAACACTTAGAACAGTGCCACATATATAAACTTAATTTTTTTTTTTTTGGACAGTGTCTTGCTGTGTCACCAGGCTGGAGTGCAGTGGCCTGATCATGGCTCACTGTAGCCTCAACCCTTCCTGGCTCAAGCAATCCTCCTACCTCAATGTCCTGAGGAGCTGGGACTACAGGTGTGCACCACCACGCCTGGCTAATTTTATTTATTTATTTATTTAGAGATGGAGTCTTGCTCTGTCACCCAGTCTGGAGTGCAATGGCGTGACCTCGGCTCATTGCAACCTCCGCCTCCTAGGTTCAAGCGATTCTCCTGCCTTAGCTTCCTGAGTAGCTGGGATTGCAGGCGCCCACCACCACACCCGGCTAATTTTTGTATTTTTAGTAGAGACGGAGTTTCGCCATGTTGGCCAGGCTGGTCTGGAACTCCTGACCTCTTGGTCCACCCGCCCCAGCCACCCAAGATGCTGGGATTACAGGCATGAGCCACCGCGCCCAGCCAATTTTTTTTTTTATTTTGAGTAGAGACGAGGTCTTGCTATGTTGCCCAGGCTGCTCTCAAACTCCTGGCCTCAAGCAGTCCTCCCACCTCAGCATCCCACGGTGCTAGGATTATGGGTGTGAGCCACTGCGCTCAGCGATAGCTTAATAATTATTATTACCATTTGTTTCAGTTATCTATTCCTGCATAACAAAGTACCCCAAAATTTAGTAGCTTAAAACAACAATTGTTTTATTATATCTCACGATTTTATGTGTCAGGAATTTGGGCAGGGCTTGGCTGGGGAGATTCTTCCGCTCCACACTCCACAAGGTGTTGATAAGGACATTTGATGATATTCAGCTGGCAGATGGGCTGGTCAGGAGAATTCAAAACAGTTTCACCTACATGTCTATTGTATTGGTGAGCATGGCTAAAGTTAGAACTATTGGCCGGGCGTGGTGGCTCATGCCTGTAATCCCAGCACTTTGGGAGGCCGAGGTGGGTGGATCACCTGAGGGCGGGAGTTCAAGACCAGCCTGACCAACATGGAGAAACCCCATCTCTACTAAAAATACAAAATTAGCCAGGCATGGTGGCACGCGCCTGTAATCCCAGCTACTTCGGGGGCTGAGTCAGGAGAATCGCTTGGACCCAGGAGGCAGAGGTTGCAGTGAGCCGAGATCGTGCCATTACACTCCAGCCTGGGCAACAAGAGTGAAACTCTGTCTCAAAAAAAAAAAAAGTTAGAACTATTAACTCAACTAGAACTATTAAACAGAACACCTCCATATGACCTCTTTAGCATAGTGAACTCAGAATAGTCTGACTTCTTACATGACAGCTCAGGCAGCTCAAAGGGCACGGGTTTGAGCGTTACAAGGACCAAGGTTGAGGCTGCATGAGCTTTTTTTTTTTTTTTTCTCCCTGTAGCCTCAACCTCCCAGGCTCAAGCAATTTTCCCCCTTCACCTCCTGAGTAGCTGGGATTATAGGTGGGCACCACCACGTCCAGCTAATTTTTTAATTTTTATAGAAACAGGGTCTCCCTATGTTGCCTAAGCTGGTCTCAAATTTTTTTTTCTTTAGAGACAGGGTCTTGCTCTGTCTTCCAGGCTAGAGAGCAGTGGTGAAATCAAAGCTCACTGCAGCTTCAGACTCTGGGCTCAAGCGAGCCTCCCAACTTAGCCTCCTGAGTAGCTGGGACTACAGGCATGCGTCACCACACCCAGCTGATTAAAACAATTTTGATAGAGACAGGGTCTTGCTATTTTGCCCCAGCTAGTCTTGAACTCCTGGATTCAAGCAATCCTCCCGCCTCGACCTCCCAAAATGGTAGGATCACAGGCACGAGCCACTGCACCTGGCCCTGCAAAGGCTTTTATAACCTAGACTTGGATGTCACATAGAGTCACTGCCACCATATTCAGTTGGTCAAAGTAGTCCAGATTCAAGGCAAGGAGACACAGACCTTACCTCTGAATAGGAGGAGTGTCAAAGAATTTGAAGTTATACATTAAACCCTCCTCACTTTTTGACCCCCAAAAGAAGTTTCCCGGAGGGATGAACTCCAGAGGGATGTCGATGGAACAGTCTATCCTTCTTTCTCTGACAAGGAATTAGGATTATATCTCCTGTGATTTAGAGGCAACCATTTCACACCCTTCCCTGGAGGTGTGCGGGTATAGCCTCACCCATATCCATCCACATGCACACACACAGGTATTCACACAGGCAGATCTGGTACATCTGTGTAGCCAGCCCTCTCTCCATTTCTATCCGTTTTTCAGGTCAAGGAGACCCAAAGTCCTGCCCTAGAGTTTTTCCTGGGAAGTTAATTAACTGACCATTCCTGCTCCCACTAGTGTGAACAGGGGGTGTCGGTAGGGATGAAACCCAGTCAGTCACTGACTGGGGAGTCTGACTTTGATGTGTTCTCTGGGGTGTGCATGCACGTGTGTGCATAAATGCCTCCTGGTTCTGACTGGCTCGAGTCAGTATAGAAGTAAGTTCTGGTGCTAAGAGCAGGCTGGATGGCTCACACACATTCTATAAATCCAAGGAAGCCAAAGTGAGATCCAAATTCTGCAGGGGTCAGCCCAAATCCTCCATCTAACCAGCCCTGCCACACTCTTCCCCATACTCATCCTCTGTCCCATGCGTACTCACCGCTCCCTGATCATGCCACATTCTTCCATTCTTCTGCAGCTTTGCCCATACTGTTCTCTCTGCATGGAATGCCCTTGCCCCCTCTTTTTCCTGACAACCCTAGTGTCTGCCTTTTGTATCACATGATATTGCAATGATCTGTATATATTATTATTATTATTATTTTAGACAGAGTCTCACTCTGTTGCCAGGCTAGAGTGCAGTGGTGTGATCTCTGTTCACGGCAACCTCCGCCTCCTGGGTTCGAGCAATTCTCCTGCCTCAGCCTCCCGAGTAGCTGGGATTACAGGCATGTGACATCACACCTGGCTAATTTTTGTATTTTTAGTAGAGACAGGGTTTCGCCATGTGGGTGAGGCTGATCTCGACCCCTTGACCTCAGATAATCCGCCTGCCTGGGCCTCCCAAAGTGCTAGGATTACAGGCGTAAACCACCATGCCCGGCGATCTGTATATATTAATAGCTCCACTTTCCTCAAGAGCAGAGACCATGCTCTACTCATTGCCATATCACTAGTGCTTGGCACACAATAATTTTCAACAAACACTGGTTGAACTAATGATTGAATGAACAGCTATTGCTCCCAGATTCAGCAACTATTTCTCCTCCATGTCTTTGCTCTGTCCAACTCCACCCCAATTCCCCGGGCTGCTATGAGAAGGGGCAAGGGTCCCAAAGGCTAGAGTGTAAAGTTTGGGCTGCATTCTTGAGGCCCCAGGGAGATTCTGCAGAGTCTCCGAAAACAGGGAAGGATTCCATGTTGTAGAGGTGGGCCCAGCAGGCCCACAGGCCCTCACACCCATAGTGGGAAAAGCCAGAGAATTCTGCAGGGTTTTTCTAATGTTGGGGAGGATGTCTCAAAGTCCGAAATAGCCTGTAAACATTGGGTTAAGTGTTAGGGTCTGCTGGGAATACTTAGACTGGGACTGAGCCAGTACCCTGCTGGAAGAAAATAATTCTGGCTGCTGAGGTGGGGGCAGGTGCAGTTGAAAAAAGCAGTCCTCAAGATCAGTGCTCCTGGCTGGGCGTGGTGGCTCACGCCTGTAATCCCAGCACTTTGGGAGGCCGAGGGGGGCAGATCACTTGAGGTCAGGAGTTCAAGACCAGCCTGGCCAACATGGTAAAACCCCATCTCTACTAAAAATACAAAAATTAGCCAGGTGAGGTGGCTTACACCTGTAATCCCAGCTACTCTCCTGAGGCAGGGGAATCACTTGAACCTGGGAGGCGGAGTTGGCAGTCAGCCGAGGTTGCACCACTGCACTCCAGCCTGGGTGACAGAGCAAAACTCCATCTGAAAAAAAATGAAATAAAAGATCAGTGCTCCTCACACTTGAATGTGCAAATTCCCTGGGAATCTTGTTAAAATGCAACTTCTGATTCAGAAGGTATGAGGTCAGCCCCAAGATCCTGCTTTTCTAACAAGCTCCCAGGTGATGGCACTGTTGGAAGGGTAGAGGAGGGGCCAGAACGCAGTTGGAATCACACTTTGAGTAGCAAAGACCTAGAAAACTAGCATTATGATCCAGACGCTGAGGATTCAGCCCTTAAAGGGAGTAGCTGCCATCAGCAACATCAGTAAGGTGTTCAGAAGATGATGCAGGAGACAATACACAAAGCAAGCCTGACAAAAATCTGGCCCGCGTGCCTACCCTTCCATTCTTTGATTCTGTGACCATGGCAGACATCACTAGTGGATCCCAGCACTATCTCCCACTAAGCCAAAAGGATGCTTCAGAATCCATCTCACCACAGTACTCCAGGTAGTCACCCAATTAATTACAGTTGGCATGAGAAATAACCCCACTTGCTATTTCTGGTATTGTGGTTAAGAGTCTGACTACTTTTGCTCCACTCTGGCTAGTTTGATGCCCTTACAGCAGCTTTCATGAACATCAGTTATTTAAATATGTTGTAATTTGAGGTAAAGAGAGCCCTCATTTTGTAGTTTTGGATGTTAAATGAGGCTGGGTGTGGTGGCTCGTGCCTGTAATCCCAGCACTTTGGGAGGCCAAGGCAGGAGGATTGCTTGAGCCCAGGGGTTTGAGACTAGCCTGGGCAACATAACAAGACCCCAACTCTACAAAAAAATTTTAAAAATTAGCCGGGTTTGGTGGTACACGCCTGTAGTCCCAGCTACTTGGGAGGCTGAGGCACAAGGATCTCTTGAGCTCAGGAGTTCAAGGCTGCAGTGAGCTATGATCACGCCACTGTATCCAGCCTGGGTGATGGAGTGAGATCTCGTCTCAATTAAAACAACAACAACAAAGAACATTAAATGATATTATGAATGTTAAGTGTCTGGCACATAGAATGTGCAGATATTCAATAAATGGTGGCTAGGCCTGTCACGGTGGCTCACGCCTGTAATCCCAGCACTTTGGGAGGCTGAGGAGTGCGGATCACTTGAGGTCAGGAGTTTAAGACCAGCCTGGCCAACATGGCAAAACCCCAACTCTACTAAAAATACAAAAAATTAGCTGGGTGTGGTGGTGTGCATCTGTAATCCCAGTTACTCGGGAGGCTGAGGCAGGAGAATCACTTGAACCCGGGAGGCAGAGGTTGCAGTGAGCCAAGCTCCTGTCACTGCACTCTGGCCTGGGCAACAGAGCCAAACTCTGTCTCAAAAATAAATAAAATAAAATAAAATAAAATAAAATAAATGGTGACTACCATGTAGAGGGGTGAATATATTGCCTGCACAGTTTGACAGGACATGGTGGTGGAATGGGAAAGAGGAAGAGAGGGAGACAGGAGCCAGAGTGCTGGGGTGGAGAAGAATAGGTGACAAAGGCTATTCCTGCCTGAGACTGTGGGCAGATTCCCAGCTCTCTTTGGTTGGCCCTGGGCTCCCTACTGACACTAAAGCTCTTTGAAAGAGGTGAGTGGCACTTGTCATCTTGAAATACCTGAGTACAGAACTTCTTTTCAAGGAGAGTTGTGAAAGACTCCAATATGGTCAAAAAGATTATTGTCTGTCCTTGTGTGTTATTTTCTAGTTTTATGGTCATCGAGCTATTTTACCACCCAATCAATGGAAATAATTCTTGTCCATAGAAATGCAAATTGCCTGGTGCATATGCAATTGATTATTGCTCAGTGGTTATTGACCAATTTAGCATCTATTAAGCAGATTTACTTCATCTTTTTTTTTTTTTCTGAGACAGCTCTGTTGCCCAGGCTGGAGTACAGTGGTGTGATCATGGCTCACTGCATCTTCAGCTTCCCGTGCTCAAGTGATCCTCTTGCCTCAGCCTTCTGAGTAGCTGGGACTACAGGTGTGCATCACCATCCTTAATTTTTTAAAATTATTTTTTGTAGATAAAATTTTTTGTAGATTATTTTTTGGATCTCATCATGTTGCCCAGGCTGGTCTTGAACTCCTGGGCTCAAGTGATCCTCCTACCTTGGTCTGTCAAAGTGCTGGCATTACAGATGTGAGCCACTGTGCCGTGCCTACTTAATCACTCTTTTTGTTTGGTTTGTTTTGTTCTAAGACGGGGTCTTGCTCTGTCACCCAGGCTGGAGTGCAGAGGCATGATCTTAGCTCACTGCAGCCTCAATCTCCTGAGTAGCTGGGACTACAGGTGCACATCACCATGCCTGACTAATTTTTTAAATTTTTGGAAGAGACAGGGTCTCACTATGTTGCCCAGGTTGCTACTTCATCATTCTTTTTTTTTTTTTTTTTCTTTTTTTTGAGACAGAGTCTCACTCCGTTCACCCAGGCTGGAGTGCAATGGTGCGAACGTGGCTCACTGCAACCTCCGCCTCCCAGGCTCAAGTGATTCTTATCCCTCTGACTCCCTAGTAGTTGGGATTACAGGCATGCACCCCCATGCCTGGCTAATTTTTGTATTTTTAGTAGAGACAGTGTTTTGCCATGTTGGCCAGGCTGGTCTTGAACTCCTAGCCTCAAGTGATCCACCTGCCTCAGCCTCCCAAAGTGCTGGGATTACAGGTGTGAGCCACAACGCCCAGCCTATTTCATCATTCTGGATGGCCTAAATACGTCTCTGCTCTTTGGATCGTCCTTTGAACTGACTGTAACATCTTACTGGTTCCTTCACTAATTAATGAGTTAAATAAAAATTTTGACACGATTATTGTATATTTCTATGAGAGTAATTATTTTGCTTTGTAAAAAAAACCTTTTTTTTTGACATTCTCATTAACAATGAAGATTGGGCAGGAGGTTTCCAAGACCCTCTGCCCCGGACAAGCTTTTCCACAGGCTCCAATCGCCATTACATCTGTCAGGTTGTTTTTTTTGTTTTGTTTTGTTTTTGAGACGGAGTCTTGCTCTGTCTCCAGGCTGGAGTGCAGTAGCACGATCTTGGCTCACTGCAACCTCCGCCTCCCAGGTTCAAACGATTCTCCTGCCTCAGCCTCCAGAGTAGCTTGGACTATAGGTGCACGCCACCATACCCAGATCATTTTTGTATTTTTAGTAGAGACAAAGTTTCACCATGTTGGTCAGGATGGTCTTAATCTCTTGACCTCATGATCTGCCCGTCTTGGCCTCCCAAAGTGCTGGGATTACAGGCATGAGCCACCACGTCCGGCTCATCTGTCAGGTTTATAGGGGATTACCCCCACTTCATTGCTTGTTTTATGCCATCCAAATAGATACATAATTATTCAATATTTGAGCTGGACACATTCTCAAACATTTATATGAGTTTGTTTAACAAAACATATAACAAACCTACAAGTACCACACCAAATACTTATCCATGTATTCATTCAATGATAGGAAGTTGCATGTGGCAGGGACTGCATTTGTGCCTCTTTTGAGCTTAGCAAGTGCCTAACTCATGGTAAGTACTAAAGACACATCCACTGAGCCAACACATGAATGAATAAGCCCAGCAAGACTTTACTAAGTGTTTACTATGTGGTGAACATTGTTTTAAACACTTTATTTAATTTAATCCTCAAACTAGTTACATGGTAGGTACAATTAATTACTATCCTCATTTACACATAATACAGAGAGGTGAATGAACTTGCTCAAGGTCAACAGCTAGCCATGGCTGAGGCAGAATTCAAGCCCTGGTAGCCTGGCTCCTGAGCCTATGATCTTGGGCACCCATATGCGCCAGGCATCTTGCTAGGTTCTGATATACAGAGATAAAAGACACACCAAACACAGACTTTCCTTAAGGAGGTCACACTGAAGAAAGGCAACAAATAACTAAAAAGAATGTGACGTGCTCTGGCAAGTGAGAACACGATGCTAGGGACAGAGGGTGTCAGAGGGTTGGACAGGTGTGGTTGACGGCAGAGGGGCCACCTGACCTGAGGCAAGTTCTGAGGCTACTGGTAGTTAATGTTCAGATCAGAGGAAGGGAAGAGCATTCAGGCCACTGGTATGGTTGGTCTGAGAAGGTGAGAGTCCCGAGGCCGGAGCCCAGAAGTGCAGAGAAGTGAAACTGGAGAGAGGAGCCAGGTCCAGATCCTGGAAAGCTTCACTTGCTGAGGGAGGAAGGGTGTTGGGATACCCCTTGGAGGCCTCGCAGGACTGTTCGCAAGGGAGATATGAACTCAGATGCCACACTCCACCTGCCCTGCCCAGGACACGAAACCCAGTACACAGAATTCCCTACAAGCTGTATCCCACTCGGGAGAGTTCCCCGGGAGGGCTAGACAGGAGGGCAGTGCTAACTGAGTGTGGGACACAGCCAGTGCCACCTGGGAGCCATGGCTGGGAGTCTCTCTCCAAGCCCTCCCCCACAATCCCTTCAGTCACCCCCCACCCACCCTTGCCAGCTCAGACACTCAGGCACACTCCCTCCGGTCACATCCCCCTTGAGGCCAGAGATAAGAATAAGCAACATGTCTCTTCCCACATCCCTTCCCTGCCCGCCCTCTGATTCTACCATCCAAAGCAGCTGCAGAGCCTGGAACACCCCAGGCCCCAGTCAGAGGAGGGAGCATGGGGAGATGGGAGCTTCCTGGGGGGGCCGTGGCTATGGGCTGTGCCCTCCCCTCCCACAGGGCTGAGGCTGGTGATTAGTTGGGTTAATTATATCCGAGCCATTTCCGATTGGCACAAGCCCACCCACCCACAGAGCCTGCCCAGAAGGCAGGCAGGCCGGGCCCAGGTCAGGATGCTGGGGCACCAGCTCCTCTAGGTGGATTCCTGACCCCTGTGCTGATGGCCAAACGGAGGCTGATTGTCCTCCCTGCTCCAGGACGGCCTCCTCTTCACTCACCAACTTTCTTACCCATCCCTCTGTTTTCTTTGTACCAACACAAGTCCCTCTCACTCCCCTCTCCTCCCCCCAGGTTTGGAATGAAATCATGGGGCCCTGAGTTCCGCAGTAGGCCCTGACATAAACACTTTGATTGGGGCTAATTATAAGGGCCAGGCTGAGAGGCTGGAGCCTTCGGAAAGCTTTGGCTTTCAAATAAAGGGCCCACGGCTCAGTCCCTAGCCCAGGCGGCTCTCTTCCAGGCTTCCTTATGAATGAGGGGTTCCAGAAAGAGGCAGTCCTCTAGAAACCCCGTGGTCTGTGGGCTCGCTCCATGTCCCACGCCTCATCTTGTCCCTTCTCGGTTGCTTTTGCCTTGGCCCTTCCAGGCCTCAGATCCCAGGGCCTTGCCGGATGGCTTGGCAGAGCCACCAGTCGGCCGTGGAAGACAAGGCAGCAGGGGAGGAGCTCTCAGGCTGGGAGGCAGGGGCAGCGGCAGGGGCAGGGTCAGGGGAGGCGCAGGGGAAGCCAGCTGTGACAGCCCAAGCCCTAATTAGTCGGCTTCAAAGCCGGCCGGAGAGAGAGCCCGCCTGCTTGTGTGCCCTGCTCACTCAGGCGAGTAAGACATTTCTGTCCCAATCAGAGGAGAGAGAGAAAGAAAAACACGGCCCACCGCCACCCCGAAGAGCCTTTAGACACTGGGCTGGTACCCCGAGTCAGGGAGAAAAACTGAGAACCCAGGAAATCATTCTCTTCTGTTGAAACTGATACGTAAGTGCTAGGAAGGGAAGTGTGTGGTGCCTTTAAATGATACAGAAAGGGGTAACGGAAGTGCTGGGTACAGGAGGGCGTAGTCCTTGGCTAGGGCTCCACCCCCACGGACCTAGGTGAGGACAGGCATTTTTGTTTTCCTGCCCAAATGTTGCGTTTCCCAAGTCCACCCTGTCCTGCCACGCCCCCATCCTGTGCCTATAAAAACCCGAGATCTACCCCCCCCAAGGAAAGCCAAGCCAAGCCGCTGGATGTTGAGGAGGAGCACGTCAGCGGAGGCACACACATTGGCTAGGCGTTGAGAGGAACGCACTGATAGGCACCGGCATGCTGGCAGGCCACTGATCAGGCAGAGCAACACAGAGTTTGGCTGAGGCAGTCAGAGGAGAGCGCGGGCCACCGAGCGGCCTGATTCCTAGGCGACAACCATTTACCTTCTGGCTGTCCCATATTCTGAGAGCGACTTCCACTCAATAAAACCTTGCACTCATACTCCAAGCCCACATGTGATCCGATTCTGGTACACCAAGGGAAGAACCCCGGGATACAGAAAGCCCTCTGTTCTCGGTCTCTGCGCCAAGGAAGAAGTCTAATTGAGCTGGTAAGACAAGCCACTTATCGACAGCAAAGCTGAAAGAGCACCCTGTAACACGCGCCCACTGGGGCGCCAGGAGCTGTAAGCATTCACTCTTAGACACTGCGGTAGGGCCGGAGCCCCACAGCCTGCCTGTCTGTATGTCTCCCCTAGAAGTTTGAGCAGCGGGGCACTGAAGAAGCGAGCCACACCCCTATCGTATGCCCTGCAAGGGGGACAAGGGAACTCTTCCCATTTCACTAGCACTTTGGGAGGCCATGACAGGAGGATCACTTGAGGTTAGGAGTTAGAGGCCAGCCTGGGCAACATGGTGAAACCCCATCGCTACAAAAAATACAGAAAAAATTAGCCGGCCATGGCACACGTCTGTAGTCTCAGCTACTCAGGAGGCTGAGGTGGGAGAACACCTGAGCTCAGGAAGTCCAGGCTGCAGTGAGCAGTGGTCAGGCCAGTGCATTTCATCCTGGGCAATGGAGTGAGACCCTGTCCAAAAAAAATTTTTTAAAAAAGTTGTTTTGGTAGAGACAGGGCTTTCTCCATGTTGCCCAGGCTGGTCTCAAACTCCTGACCTCAAGCCATCCTCCCCTCTCAGCTTCCCAAAGCACTGGGGTTACAGGCATGAGCCACGGTGCCTAGCTAACAGTTTTCTAATCTTGGAGAAGGAGGAAACTGGACATAATTATTTCTAAGCATCCTTCTAGCATTTAGTTTTCTTGCTCATCGTCCCAGTGCTCCATATCCCCACCACTACCCCACTCCCAAACATACTCATATGTAGCACCAGGGGCTGGGTTCCTGCATGCAAGTCATCTAAAAGTGACGCTATTGACTGAATGACTGTGACCTAGGAGGCTGGGCTGATAAGGATCACCTAACAAAAACCAGTTACTGATGTTAGTGCTTACACTAACATCCCCTTGAAGGAAAAGTCTTAAAGCCATTTTATAAATTGTCAACCTATTTGCCCTAATGTGGTCATTTTCATCACTTATTACCCTCCTCAAAGTCTTTATTATGCAGCTAAATTACAATAATGGTTTAATAGTTTTTGGCAAACTGGAACCATGATGTCACAAAAGCCATACAAGTAGGTAGTAAAGATGTTATAAATTCCTCCCCCTTTTTTAAAGCAGATAAGAAAAAAAAATTTTTTTTGAGACAGGGTCTTGTTATGTTGCCCAGGCTGGAGTGCAGTGGTGCGATCTCAGCTCACTGCAACCTCTGCCCCCCAGGCTCAAGCCATCCTCCCACCTCAGCCTCCTGAGTGAGTAGCTGGGACTGCAGGTGCACACCACCACACCCCGTTAATTTTTGTATTTTTTGTAAAGAAGGGGGCTCGCCATGTTGCCTAGGCTGGTCTCAAACTCCTGAGCTCAAGCAATCTGACCACTTCATCCCCACAAAGTGCTGAATTACAAGCGTGAGCCACCACGCCCTACAAGGGCCAAATGTCCAGTGGCAAGGCCATAAGAGCTGCTAAGTGACATTGCTTCATCATGAACTCATGCCCTCTAATTCCACATCCAGGGCCTCTGTCCTCTGAGAACACACATCCAGGACCATACCATCCCAGAGGTGACCTGTCTTTGCAGCTGTGAAGGGGAGCTAGAGCTGGGTGTGCCCAACTGATTAGGATTTGCTGAAACAATCCAACCCTTCTTCCATACTTAAAATCCCATCTGGTCTTCGTCCCATATATTTTCCTTTCCGTTTTAAAATGTGAGTCTCTTCTGAGGGAAAGCCAATCCATGTGTTTCTGATTCATTTAAACTTAATTTCTCCAAATAGCACTCTCTAACATCCCTGAATTTCATACATTTTTAGAAGACAGGAAATAGGAAGAGGCCAAGTATGGGCAGATTGGGAAGAGATGGAGCTCCCAGGCACTCACTGGGATTCTCTTCCTTAGGAAAATAATGTCTCCCATCCTTACAGTGGAGGCTGAGCCTGGATTCAATTCCATATTCTTGCTCCAGCTCTAGCTAAGGTGACAGTTATAACACGTGGGCCAGACAGTATGGGACTCCATCCGGCACACTTTTTTTTTTTTTTTTTTTTTTTTTTGGTGACGGGGTCTCCTCTGTTGCCTAGGCCAGACTGCAGTGGGGCAATCCCAGCTCACTGCAGCCTCGACTTCCCTGGCTCAAGTAACTGGGCTTAAGTGATCCTCCCACCTCAGCCTCTCGAGTAGCTAGGACCACAGATGCATGCCTAACGCCCAGCTAATTTTTTGTTATTTTTTGTAGAGACAGGGTCTCCCTATGTTGCCCAAGCTGGTCTTGAACTCCTGGACTCAAGGGATGCTCCCTACGTGGCCTCTCAAAGTGCTGGGATTACAGGCATGAGCCACCGTGCCAGCCCAACGTGGTTTACTATCTAGAACATAGTAAAGCGAGGAATTAACTTGATCCTTGATAGCTTGGCCAGGGCAGGAAGTAAGGTCACCTGTGAGAGAAGCAATGATTCTGTGGTGCTTCTTGAGTATCTCCATCATATACCTCAGCAGGAGGGCTTGGATGCTCCCTCTAGGCAAACATGACTATGACAATGAAGTAAAAACAAACCTGGATAACATGATGGGTGGGCTTTGATGGAGAAAGTATATGGAGGCAATATAGCATGTTAGAAAGTGCTGTGTAGTCAGACAAAACTGGGTTCAAAGCTTGGCTCTGACAATTAAGCCCAGGGACTTTAGGCAAGTCACTTAACCTCTGTGAATATCATCAGTAAGCTTCCGCTGCATGAGATTGTTATAAGAATTAAATAAAACCATTTGTAGGGTATGACAATTAATAGGCACTTAAATAAATGGCAACCAGTAGTGTCATATTATCTGAAAGTAAGATACAGTGTGTTGAAATTTCTTAATTCAACTCCCACTTAAATCATGCCCCAGACAGTCTCCTGACACGCTGATGAGGGTCTAATATGGAAATTTTGAAAGAAATCAATCAACAATAATTTGATGGGCATGTGATGGTACAAAGCCAGTGCCAGATGCTATGGATGGGTGGGCAGGGGAAAAGAAAAAAAAGTAGAGGGTTTGCAAGATTGTTCAAGGCTAGACACAGTGTCTCACACCTGTAATCCCAGCACTTTGGGAGGCTGAGGCAGAAGGATTGCTTGAGTCCAGGAGTTTGAGACCAGCCTGGGCAACATAGTGAGACCTCATCTCTACTAAAAATAAAAATAAAAAATTAGCTAGGCATGGTGGCATGCACCTGTAGTCCCAGCTGCTTGGGAGGTTAAGGCAGGAGGATTGATTGAGCCCGGGAGGTGGAGGCTGCAGTGAGCCTCGATTGCACCATTGCACTCCAGCCTGGGTGACAGAGAGATACCCTGTCTCAAAAACAAACAAAAAACATTAACAACAACAAAAACAAGGTTGTTCAAGAGACAACAGAAGTCATAGACACTTGAGAAGAATCACAAAGCAATTTAGCAGCAAATTTTCAGAATCCAAATTGAGTCTTGGGCTACTGGGGATGTAGAATCATGCTTGGAGGATGCAGACACCCTGCCGGAGGACGATCTAAATCTGGAAAACCTGTATGATTCTGAACTGGGACTTGATTTTTAAGCTTCCTTAATACCTGGTAAACCTGAAGCTTGGGATTTTATAACAAGTTTATTTTTTATGTGTTAAAAATGTGTGGAGAGGGTGAAATGGGAAAAACTGCCTAATGAATATAGAGTTTTGTTTTGGGGCGATGAAATGTTTTGGAACTAGATGGAGGTGATGGTTACATGACATTGTGAATGTGCTAAATATCACTGAATTGTTCACTTTAAAATGGTTAACTTTATGCTACAATTTCACCTCAATTTAAAAATTCATAGAAATTTAGAAATAGGCCAGGTGTGGTGGCTCACACCTGTAATCCCATCACTTTGGGAGGCTGAGGTGGGCGGATCACATGAGGCCAAGAATTTGAGACCAGCCTGGCCAACATGGCGAAACCCTGTCTCTACTAAAAATATAGAAATTAGTTGGGTGTGGTGGCGCATGCCTGTAGTCCCAGCTACTTTGAAGGCTGAGACAGGAGAATAGCTTGAACCCAGGAGGCACAGGTTGCAGTGAGCTGAGATGGCGCCACTACACTCCTGCCTAGGCGACAGAAAGAGACTTGGTCTCAAAAAAAAAGAAGTAAAAATAAAATTTTAAAAAAGCTATTTGGCTTGGCACAGTGGCTTACGCCTGTAATCCCAGCCCTTTGGGAGGCCAAAGTGGGCAGATCACTTGAGGTCAGGAGTTCGAGACCAGCCTGGCCAACATGGCGAAACACTGTCTCTACCAAAAAATAGAAAAGTTAGCTGGGCGTGGTGACGTGCGTCTGTAATCCCCGTTACTCGGGAGGCTGAGGCAGAAGAATCGCTTGAACCTGGGAGATGGAGGTTGCGGTGAGCCGAAATCACGCCACTGCACTCCAGCTTGGGTGACAGAGTGAGAGCCTGTCTCAAACAAACAAACAATTTTTAAAGGAGTACCCCTACCAGATATTAGAAATTTTTTTAACCTATGCAAATTAAAGCAATATGAGATTGGTACAGAAATAGGAAAGGAAAGAATGGAGTCCAGAGGCAGATTTAAATATATATGGGGATTTTTTTGTTTGTTTCTTTTTATTTTTTTTTTATATGGGGATTTAGTATATGCTAACGAAGACCGTTAAAATCAGCAGGGAGGCCAGGCATGGTAATCCCTGCACTTTGGGAGGCTCGGTCGATTGGATTGCTTGAGCCCAGGAGTTTGAGACAAGCCTGGGCAACGTGGTGAGACCCTGTCTCTACAAAAAAATACAAAAACTAGCCAGGTGTGGTAGCATGTGCTTGTGCTCCTAGCTACTCAGGAGGTTGAAGTGGGAGGATGGCTTGAGTCTGGGAGGTGGAGGCTGCAGTGAGCTGAGATCGCGCCATTGCCACTGTACTCCAGCCTGGGCGACAGAGGAAGACTGTCTCAAAAAAGAAAAAAAGCAAAAAGAAAGAAAATGAAAAGAAAATAAGAATGGATAATTTAGAAAGGAATTCTGAGTGGTCAATAGACATATGAAAATATGTTTAACCTCATTAGTAATCCAGAAAAACGATACAAATAAAACTAACAATGATATTGTTTCTATTGCTTTTTTTTTGAGGCAGAGTCTCACTCCATCACCCAGTCGGAGTGCAATGGCGCCATCTCAGCTCACTGCAGCCTCTGCCTCCTGGGTTCAAACAATTCTCCTGCCTCAGCCTCCTGAGTAGCTGGAATTACAGGCATATGCCACCACACCCAGCTAATTTCTGTATTTTTAGTAAAGCAGGGTTTCGCCACATTGGCCAGGCTGGTCTTGAACTCCTGACTCCAGATGATCTGCCTGCCTCAGCCTCCCAAAGTGCTGGGATCACAGGAGTCAGCCACCACACCTGGCCTATGTTTCTATTGCTTAACAGATTGATAAAGAAACAACCCTCTCTGACCTTCTAGTGAAGGTATAAAATTGTATAACTTTCCTAGAGGGCAATTTTGTCTCATGAATCAACATTTTTTTGTTTGTTTTTTGAGACTGAGTCTAGCTTTGTCGCCCAGGCTGGAGTGCAGTGGCGCGATCTTGGCTCACTGCAACCTCTGCCTCCTGGGTTCCAGCAATTCACCCACCTCAGCCTCCCGAGTAGCTGGGACTACAGGTGCTTGCCACCATGTCCAGCTAATTTTTGAATTTTTAGTAGTGACGGGGTTTCACCATGTTGGCCAGGTTGGTCTCGAACTCTTGACCTCAGGTGATCTGCCCGCCTTGGCCTCCCAAAGTGCTGGGATTACAGACATGAGCCACCACACCCAGCCTCATGTATCAACATTTTAAATGAGTTTACCCTTCAACCCAGAAATCCCACTATTACAACTATTATAACTCTATTATAACTTTATCATTCAGAGTTAATAAGACAAGTAAACAAAAATAATAAGTGAAAGCTAAGGAAAAAACCCTGTGTCCCTCAATAGAGGATTGCTCCATATTCTGTGATATGATGTAGTCATTTTAAAAAAAACACCTGGCCCAGCACGGTGGCTCATGCCTGTAATCCCAGTACTTTGGGAGGCAGAGGCAGGAGGCTAACTTGAGCCCAGGAATTCAAGACCAGCCTGGGCAACATAGTGAGGCCTCATTTCTATGAAAAATTTAAAAATTAGCCAAGTGTGATGGTGCATGCCCATAGTCGCAGTGATTTGGGAGACGGAGGTGGGACAATCACTTGAACCCAGGAGCTTGAGGCTAAAGGAAGCTGCAGTGAGCCATGAGTGCGCCACTGTACTCCATCCTGGGTGACAGAATCTCAAAAAAAAAAAAAAGAAGAAGAAAAGGTAAATAATTAATTTAAAAAACCATATACCTCGATATTTGTACCATGATATATTTATTGTTAGTTAAAAAGGTTGCAGAATCATAGTACATTATACTATGACTCTGTTTTTGTTTTAAAAAAATTAAAATTTAAAAATCCGCCAGGCATGGTGGCTCATGCTTGTAATCCCAGCAGTTTGGGAGGCTGAGGGGGGCGGATCATGAGGTCAGGAGATCGAGACCATCCTGGCCAACATGGTGAAACCCCATCTCTACTAAAAATACAAAAATTAGCAGCGTGTGGTGGTGCATGCCTGTAATCCCAGCTACTCAGGAGGCTGAGGCATGAGAATTGCTTGAACCCAGGAGGCAGAAGTGAGCCGAGATCGTGCCACTGCACTCCAGCCTGGTGACAGAACGAAACTGTGTCTCAAAAATAAAAATAAAAATTAAATAAATAAATAAATATCCAACTATATATTACTTTTGTTTGTATCAAAGGTAAAAAAGGTCTGGAGGAATAATTCCAAACTATTAACTGAATACTTCTGGAAGGGGGTGGGGAAGATGGGGGAAGAAACTTAAATTTTACTTTGTACATTTGTGTACTGTCTTAAAATGTTTTACAGCAAGCATGTATTAATTTTACAATCAAATCAATTAAATCTGAAGATTAATGATAAATTACAGAATATTCAAATAAGGAAAGACTTTAAAAGGATTATAAATATCATATATATGTATATTCTAACTTGGAAAGATTTCCATAAAATACTGTCTGGTGAAAATTGGGTACACATTACAATGTCCTCCTCATCTCTTTTATAACATTTTCCAAAGAAACAATGTAATGACCAAAAGCCCCAAAGGGGCGAAATTTTATAATCACCCTAAATACAATAAAACACACACAAAGATGTGTATGAACATTAAAGGGCATGAACTCACCTACATAAATTTTGATTGTAATTTCACAATAGTCAGGATGGAAACTAAAACTAATCTTTGAGCACCATCTCATGGAGATATTTACCACTACCATGTGGTAGTTAAAATTGTGCCCAGTGTTTCTCTGTGTGTGTGTGACTGAAGGCTTTTCTTTAACAGTATGGTGCAATCTCTAGGAGATTTTTTTCTTTTTCTTTAACCCATTGTGTATTACTTAACCTTTCTACAACCAGCAGTGCTTTCTTTGTAAAATGTAAAAACCATACTTAAGAAAGAAGTGGAAATTAAAGTTAAAAAACTATATATATACAGTTTTTATACGTTCATAATTTTATTTATATATATATAATTTTAGTTTTTCAGTACTGCTCCCAGCATGAGAAATTCCTGAAAATGTTTTCTAATAGTGCACTGGTCAAAGTCATGACCCATGCAACTCCCCCACCAAATGTTTGACATTTTCCTAAAGCCAAATTGAAAGCTCAAACAACAAAAATAATAACCAAGATGGCAGGAGGAGTGTGAGCCTGGGAGTACTGAGTAAACAGAAACAGTCAAACTCTCCAGGCGTGGTTTGATCTTAATAGCTAGTGGGCTGACCTGCAAACCACATCACCACAATCCCCTTAACTCCCTTTGGAGATCATTTAGGAGCTCTAACCAATACAGAATATAGCTTTCCACCAGGCTAATCAGATGGGAGTCCTCCTTTCTTTTAAATTAGAACAGTGCAACAACCACACAAATAACCAGACAAAACTGCATCTAACTATAGCTGGATGGGACTGGATGGACCAGTCCCATCCAGCTACCTGTTTATTTGGAGGTTTTATCTGTACAACACCAAAACAGCTCCATAATTGGTGGAATTCACTCGATTGACAAAAATAAATAGGTATGTCAATAAAATATTAACACAACTCATTAAAAAGTAGAAACTACAGGAGGCTGAGGTGAGAGGATCGCTTGAGCCCAGGAATTCGAGGCTACAATGAGCTATGATCGTGACACTGCACTGCAGCCTGTGTGACAGAGTGGTGAGACCTCATCCCTATAAAAAAAAAGTTCACCTTTTTATTTTGATAGAGAAGGGGTCTCACTATGTAAAAGTGAAACATTTTGATACTGGTGTCTTGGCCTACTCTACATAATACCAAATAACTTACTTTGATTTTCAGTTCAAGAGATCATTATTTTTATTTATTTATTTGTTTTGAGACAGGGTCTCACTTTGTCCCCCAGGCTGAAGTGCAGTAGCACCATCTCAGCTTACTGCAGCCTCGACATCCTGGGCTCAAGCAATGCTCCCGCCTCAGCCTCCCAGTAGCTGGGACTGCAGGCGCGGGCCACCACACCCAGCTAATTGTTGTGTCTTTTGTAGAGATAAGGTTTGGCTATGTTGCCCAGGCTGGTCTCGAACTCCTGGACTCAAGCAGTCCATTCAAGAAGCCTCTCAAAGTGCTGGGATTATAGGCATGAGCCACGGCACCTGGCTAAAACAGAACTTCTCAAAGTCCCCTAGCCAGGAACATCAATATCACCTCAGAAACACAAATTCTGGGGCCCCACCCGAGATCTATTGAATTTGAGACTCTGGGATTTGGGCCAATCTGTTTTCTAACAAATGCTCTAGGGTAATGGTCCCCAACCTTTTTGGCACCAGGGACCAGTTTCCTGGAAGACAGTTTTTCCACAGACAGTGAGCAGGGGATGGTTTCGGGATGATACTGTTCACTCCAGATCATCAGGCATTAGATCTCACAAGGAGTGCCAACCTAGATCCCTCGCGTGCACAGTTCACAATAGGATTCGCACTCCTATGAGATTCCAATGCCACCACTGATCTGACAGGAGGCAGAGCTCAGACAGTAATACTGGCTTGCCTGCTGCTCACCTCCTGCTGGGCAGCCCAGTTCCTAACAGGCCATGGACCTCCACCAGACTGGTCCATGGCCCAGGGGTTGGGGACCCCTGCTCTAGGTAATTCTGATGTAGGCTGAAGTGGGAGATCCACTAATTTAGATAAAATTATTCAACTGATGGTTGAAGCTAGCCATGTTGTTAATGACAAAAAAAAATATGATTGCGGCAGATCAAAACAAGGTGATTGGCACAGAACACAATTTTTAAAATGTGTTTGATTTCCAAAATTTTTATGGGTATAGTCACAAACTTATGTCTTATTTCAAAGGTCCCCAGCATTTGTATGTTGAAGAGCCACTTTTATTGTCCTCAAGTCTTCGAATGTGCTAGGTATAAAACCCTAGTTATATATATAAAGAGAGAGGCTGGGCATGATGGCTCACACCTGTAACCCCAGCACTTTGAGAAGCCAAGGCAAGAGGAGTGCTTGAGCCCAGGAGTTTGAGACCAGTCTGGGCAACATGGCAAGACCCTGTCTCTCCAAAATATACAAAAATTAGTTGGGTGTGGTGGCACACACCTGTGGCCCCAGTTACTTGAGAGGTTTAGGTGGGAGGATGGCTTGGGCCCCAGAGGTTGAGGCTGCAGTGAGCTGAGAATGTGCCTGTACTCCAGCCTGGGTGACAGATTGAGACCCTGTCTCAAAACCTCCCACCTCCAAGAAAAATTATTATATAAAAAAAGAGAAAGAGCAAAGGAGAGTGAGAAAAAGCATTAATATATTTTACATTCTCCTTCCTACCAAAGAAATTGGAGGAAACTCGGGACAATTGTTCCTAAATTTATGGGCAAATGCCTAACTTAGTTAGGGAGTCTGACATATATGATGCCAAAATACCTGCATAAAAAAAGAAAATTATTACAAATAAGATATTTGCTGCTTTTTTTTTTTAAGAGACAGGGTCTCACTGTGTCACCCAGGATGGAGTGCAATGTTGTGATAGAGGTGCACTGCAGCCTCAACCTCCAGGCAAGCTCAAGCAATCCTCCCACCTCAGCCTCCAGAATATCTGGGAATACAGACACACGCCACCATGCCCAGCTAAATTTTTGTAGAGATAGGGTCTCACTATGTTGCCCAGGCTGGTCTTGAACTCCTGGGCTCAAGTGATCCTCTTACCTCAGCCTCCCAAAGTGTTGTGATTATAGGCATGAGCTACCTCACTCTGCCTATATAAGCTTTAAAATGTTGGTATCAAAAACTTACATTTTATCTCTTTAAAAAAAACAATTTTACTATATCCCCCTCTGCCCCTTATTTTACGGATTATTTTCAAAAGATGGCAACATTGTTTTGAGTACTAGGAAATTATCTCAATTATAAATGATTATAATGGTGATTACATGAGTAGATTATGAGAAGATTATGAAGCCTTACTACAGACTGAGAATTAAGCACAAAGTAATCATGACTTTATTAGCATCCCTTTCTCCAGGAGGCAACCCTTGCAGGAAACATGAATTCTAGAACCATCCGTGGCACCACTAGCTGTGTGATTTGGACTTCTCTGAGCCTCAGGATTCTCATCTGTACATTTGAGAGTTGGGACAAATGATTCTCAAGGGCCCATCCAGATCTAAAATTTTGTAATTCTATGTTTCCAATAACTTGAATTTTTCTGGCTGGGCACAGTGGCTGATGCCTATAATCCCAGCACTTTGGGAAGCCGAGGCAGGTGGATCACCTGAGGTTAGGAGTTTGAAACCAGCCTGGCCAACATGGCGAAACCCCATCTCTACTAAAAATACAAAGAAAATTAGCCAGGCATGGTGGCAGGTGCCTGTAGTCCCATCTACTTGGGAGGCTGAGGCAGGAGAATGGCTTAAACCTGGGAGGTGGAGGTTGCAGGAGCCGAGATCGTGCCACTGCACTCCAGCCTGGATGACAGAGCAAGACTCCATCTCAAAAAAGAAAAGAAAAAAAAACTTGAATTTTTATATATTCCAATTTTATAAGAAGGAAAAATTACAAATAAACAAAACTTTCAAGAAACAAGTATGCATATATATAAATATATTTATATTTTTATATTTATATATATTTATATATATACAAAAATATATATAAATATATTATATATATATATATATTTTTTTTTTGGATACAGAATTTCATGCTCTTGCCCAGGCTGGAGTCAAGTGGCATGATCTCAGTTCACTGCAGCCTCCATCCCCTGGGTTCAAGCGATTCTTGTGCCTCAGCCTCCCCAGTAGCTGGGATTATAGACATGTGCCACCACACTCAGCTAATTTTTGTATTTTTAGTAGAACTGAGGTTTCACCATGTTGGCCAGGCTGGTCTTGAACTCCCAACCTCAAGTGATCTGCCCGTCTCGGCCTCCCAAAGTGCTGGGATTACAGGTGTGAACCACTGCATCCAGTCTACAATTATATATTGTTCACTTAGCTCAATCTTATCTGTAGCTGCAGTGCCATACAATGATTATGAGTTCAGAATTCTGTTGTGAGGGCCCTGTAACAGACTGAATAAAAAATTTATTATGGTTATGGTAATTCTATTGTGTATTTTAGAATAAATACCTAAATATTTAGATAATATTTAATTATCTAAATATTTGTTAACCATATATAGTATATAACAACTTCCATTAACCAACACATGGAATTAATTGAAATATCTCATTTCTTGCTCATTCTGAATAAGTGGGAGTTCGATAATCTATCTCTCTTCTGAGGAATTCAACAAGTTTTTATTTTTGGTATTTCATTAGCATTACTCAATCTTCGAATGAGAATAATAGAGATTATTGTCTCTAGGCTATCAATGGGGATGCAGAATCAGAACAATTTGAAGTTGGAAGGAACTTTAAAAGTTGACTAATCAGACCCTTTAATTTACAGATGAGAAGAGTGAGACCAAGCCCAGTGCAGTGGCTCATGCCTGTAATCCCAATACATTGGGAGGCTGAAGCAGGAGGATCCCTTGAGCTCAGGAGTTAAGGCTGCAGTGAGCTATAATCATATCACTGTACTCCAGCCTGGGTGACAGAACAAGAACCCTCTCAAATTAAAAAAAAAAAAAAAAGAAAGAAAGAAAGAAAGAAAAGTGAGACCCGGAGAAGGTAAAGGCCAGAAATATGGAGATCATCTGGATAAGAGTAGGAATAAAATACTAGGCTCCCTGATCCCCCAGCTTACTTTCCAACATTATGAGAAGATTATGAGGCCTTACTACAGACTAAGGATTGAAAACAAAGTAATTGTGATCTTATTGACATCTCTTTCTCAGGAGGCAATCCTTTCAGGAAACATAAATTCTAGAATCAGCTAGAAGCCCTCAATAGATTTCCGTCATGGTGCCCAAAATGTAGGATAAGCTAGATAGAGAAATTCAAGTGTTTTTAGGATTTTCCTATGTTATAGGGTTCTTGCCTTTCCCCACCCCTACGCCTAAATTCAACTCTACTATAAAATCTAAAGGCAATTCTCTAAAGGAAAGAGTTCTTAAATGAAGAGAGATATAAGATCCCTCCCTAACTTTGACAGTTTACATTTTAACCATTAATATTCCATCAATAACCAGGATAACATCATTATAATGGTCAGGGAATTTACTTAGAAACTAATATTAGAAAATTAAACAGTCTTGGCCGGGTGTGGTGGCTCACACCTGTAATCCCGGCACTTTGGGAGGCTGAGATCGGTGGGTCACTTGCGTCCAGGAGTTCAAGACCAGCCTGGGCAACATGGTGAAACCCTGTCTCTACATAAAATATAAAAAATTAGCCAGGTGTGGTGGTGCATACTTGTGGTCCCAACTACTCAGGAGGTTGAGGTGGTGGGAGGATCACTTGAGCCCAGGAGGCAAGGGTTGCAGTGAGCCAAGATCATGCCAGTGCACTGTAGCCTGGGTGACAGAGTGAGACCCTGTCTGAAAGAAAGAAGGAAAGGAAGGAAGGAAGGAAAGAAGGAAGGAAGGAAGGGAGGGAAGGAGGGAAGGAGGGGAAAAGAGGGAGAGAGGAAGGAAGGAAAGAAGGAAGGAAGGGAGTGAGTGAGTGAGTTAAACAGCCCTAAATATAATCAGTAGAGCAAGGAAAAAAGGAATGGACATGTGTGTGTGTGTGTGTGTGTGTGTGTGTGTGTGTGTGTGTGTGTGTGTGCGCGCGCACGCTAAGAGAGGGGAATGACAGAGAACTCCAGACTGGTACTAATCTATTAAGAATAAATGTTATTATTGTGGGTGGAAGAAACAGGTTATGGAGGAAAAGCCAGGAAGAGCACTGTTGCCAAGAACCGTTATCAATTAACATTCTGAAACCATAGCCTTACTCCTCTTCCTTAGGAATCCTATAACATGAGAACATAAAGATTCACTAAGCCAACAAGGCTTTGGTTGCACACTGGGATCAAGAAGCTCACTAAAGGATCCAGATGTCTGCTTCATTGGAGTGGAAAAAAATGTCATAGTGAGTTCCACGAAATATCTGGCAGGAACAGACCATGCAGAAGCCAACTACACTGACTGAGAGTGAGCATAAGCGAGAGCAAGAGCGAGAAAGAGAGGGAGAGAGGAAGAGAGAGAAGATTTAATTCAAGAGGCGTTGCTGGCCGGGCATAGTGGCTCACATCTCTGTAATCCCAGCACTTTGGGAGGCCGAGGCAGGCAGATCACTTGAGGCCAGGAGTTTGAGACCAGCCTGGCCAACATAGTGAAACCCCATCTCTACTAAAAACACAAAAGTTAGCCGGGTATGGCAGTGCATGCCTGTAATCCCAGTTACTCAGGAGGCTGAGGCATGAGAATCGCTTGAACCTGGGAGCCAGAGGTTGCAGTGAGCCAAGATCAGGCAACTGCACTCCAGCCTGGGCAACAGTGTGAGACTCTGTATCCAAAAAAAAAAAAAAAAAGGAGGTATCACTGAGCTGTGAAAAGAAACTGGCCAGCCAAATCATAGGCTCCCCTCTCAGTCTGATGTTGTATCAATCCTGGATTTGCTTGTCCTCTGAGAAGGAAGTCCCTACCTTTGGAGAAAGAAGCTATTGAACATCTCTCTGTTCTCTTTTGCTAGATCCACCAGTTCCTGTGCAGCTCTAGGAAGGCAAGAACATTTTTGGCTGACTTCTTTGTAGTCTAAAGAATGCATAGGTCAGCTCTTGTAACCCCAAAATACCACTGAGATTTGGGCAGTGGCATATCAAGGAGTTGGGCCTAAAAGCTAAGCAAAGATTGAGAACAAAAAAATAGGAGTAAGTTAAAAGCAGGGTCCTCTTCCAGGGAATATATGAAAGCTGATGGTCTAGAACGGGGATCAGCACACATTTGCCATAAAGGGCCAGATAGTAAATATTTTAGACTTTCAAGCTGCACATCCTTATCACAGCTACTCAGTTCTGCTACTGTAAAGCAAAAGCAGTCATAGATGATAAACAAATAAATGAGTGTGCCCGTGTTCCAATAAAACTTTACTTATAAACAATGAAACTTGAATTTCATATAATTTTTACATGTCAGAGGACATCATTCTTTTTAAAAATTATTTTCAACCACTTAAAAAATGAAAACCATTCTTAGCTCATGGGCTGCACAAAAACAGGTGGTAGGCCAGATTTGGCCCACAGGCTGTAGTTTGCAGACCCATGGTCTAGAACAACGCTGTCCAATAGAAATATGAGAGCTGTTGGGTACAGTGGTTCACACCTGTAATCCCAGCATTTTGGGAGGCCAAAGTGAGATGATTCCCTGAGCCCTGGAGTTTAAGACCAGCCTGGGTAACATGGCAAGAGATCATCTCTACAAAAAAAAATTAAAAATCAGCTGGGCATGGTGGTGTGCACCTGTAGTCCTAGCTACTGGGGAGAATGAGGCTGGAAGAGGATTGCTTGAGCTCAGGAGTTCAAGCATGTAGTGAGCTATTACATCCACTATTACACTCCAGCCTGGGTAACAGAGTGAGACTCTGTCTCTTAGAAAAGAAAGCCGGGCACAGTGGCTCATGCCTGTAATCCCAGCACTTTGGGAGGCTGAGGCAGGCAGATCATGAGGTCAGGAGATCGAGACCATCCTGGCTAACATGGTGAAACCCCATCTCTACTAAAAATACAAAAAAATTAGGCGGGCGTGGTGGTGGGCACCTGTAGTCCCAGCTACTCGGGAGGCTGAGGCAGGAGAATGGTGTGAAATATAAGAGCTGAAGGCAGGCACAGTGGAACATGCCTGCAGTCCGAGTTACTTGCGAGGCTGAGGTGGGAGGATTTGCTTCAGCCTGGGAGTTAGATGTAGCCTAGGCAACATAGTGAGACCCATCTCTAAAAAAATAAAAAGAAAAAAAGAAAGAAAGAAAAAAGAAAAAAATATAATGAGAGCCATATATGTAATTTAAAATTTTCTAGTAATCTCATGTAAAAACTTTTAAAAGGGTAAAATTAATATTTTATTTAACCCAGTATATGAAAAATATGATTTTAATGCTATCAATATGTAAATTACCAGTGAGATATTTTACTTTCTCTGTTTTCATATTAAGCCTTTGAAATCCAGGATGTATCTTACACTTATAGCCCATCTCGGTTCATTCTAAATATATTATAAGAATTCAATAGTTACAGACTGCTAAAGATCAGTAAAGATGTTGTCCATTTTCCCAGCTGCACCATCTGAGAGTGTTGCATGTTGAAGACATGATCTGTTACAACAAATAAGTCAAGTCACCTGTACTGGAAATCAGTTTGCTGAAATTATTGAATCAAGTTGAAGAAAAGGAGGTTCCAGCCTTGACAAGAGGATTGTGGCCCTTTTTGGAATCCCTCTGGACACAGCCTCCCAGCATCTTCTAGGAAAGATGAGGCAGCTCAAAGGGAAGCCCAGGAAGGAGACATGGAAGGACAAGAAGGAGCAGAAGCAAGCCATGCAGGAGGCCCGGCAGCAGATCACCACGGTGGTGCTGCCCACGCTGGCCGCGGTCGTGCTGCTGATTGTGGTGTTTGTGTATGCAGCCACACGCCCCACCATCACCAAGTGAGCACCGCGGCCATCCACGGACCCAGTCGGCAGGGAAAGGAGGCACAGGAGGTAGAAGCAAATGAAAAATGGCTTTCATATTCAGAGATGTTCATGCTGCTGAGCTATAAGCAGGAGCACCCTGTCTTCGCTGCTTTTTTTTTTTTCTTTTTTGAGACAGAGTCTCGCTCAGTCACCCAGACTGGAACGCAATGGTGCAGTCTCAGCTCACTGCAACCTCTGCCTCCTGGGTTCAAGCGATTCTCCTGCCTCAACCTCACGAGTAGCTGGGATTACAGGCACATGCCACCACGCCCAGCTAATTTTCGTATTTTTAGTAGAGACAGGGTTTCACCATATGAGTCAGGCTGGTCTCGAACTCCTGACCTCGGGATTCACCCGCCTTGGCCTCCCAAAGTGCTGGGATACAGGCGTGAGCCACTGCACCAGGCCCTTCTCTGGCCTTTGACTTGATTAAAGTGTCTCTGCTTTTCTTGGGAGGGAGTAGGGGATGTTTTATCAGTGAACGTGCCATATACCTTACGGTCCACTCATATGCCTTTCAGACTTCAAAGCAGTGTGTGTGTGTGTGTGTGTGTGTGTGTCTGTCTTTTTCTCGCCTAAAAATCGATAAGTAGCTCCACCTGAAGAGGGGCAGAACTTCTGGGTCAGGAAGCAGCTGGAATCCACACTCACCTCATCCCCATTATTTGGATCATGCCTCTTTCCAACACGTGTTCACAATCTCCAAAGGGAATGTATTTCCTCTCTGTGCTTAATGTAATTTGAAATATGTTGAATCAAAGTGAAATATTTATTTTTGAATAAAGGAGATAATAGCATTAAAAAATTCAATAGTTAGAAGCTACCATATTGAACAGTGCAGAGCTCTTAGGTTGGTGCAAAAGTAATTGCGGTTTTTGCCATTACTTTTAATAGAACAATGTTTTCAAACTTAAGTTTGCATCAGAATCACTTGATTCTGATTTTAACAGTCGTTAAAATAAAGATTGCTGGGACCCATCCGCAGTTTCTGGTTTTGGCAGGGTGCAAGAACTTCCATTTCTAATAAGTTCCTGGGTGGTGATGATGCTGTTGGTTGAAGGACCACACTTTGAGAACCACTTATCTAGAAGCTGGAGCAGTAAGAAAAAGTAGAAAAGCAATTAGGAGCCAGGGATATGTAAAAGAAAGTGGTTTAAAAAAAAAAAAAAAGTCCGGGCGCAGTGGCTCACGCCTGTAATCCCAGCACTTTGGGAGGCCAAGGCAGGTGGATCATTTAAGGTCAGGAGTTTGAGACCAGCCTAGCCAACATGGTGAAAACCCCATCTCTACTAAAAATACAAAAATTAGATGGGTGTGGTGGTACATGCCTGTAATCCCAGCTACTCGGGAGGCTGAAGCAGGAGAATTGCTTGAACCTGGGAGAAGTAGGCTGCAGTGAGCTGAGATCGTGCCACGGCACTCCAGCCTGGGTGACAGAGTGAGACTCCCTCTCAAAAAAAAAAAAAAAAAAAAAAAAAAAGAACTAGGCCAAGCAAGATGGCTCATTCATGCCTGTAATCCCAGTACCTTGGGAGGCCAAGGTGGAAGGATCACTTGAGCCCAGGAGTTTGAGACCAAACTGGGCAACACAGGGAAACTCCCTCTCTACAAAAAAAAAAAAAAAAAAAACCTAAAAATCAACAAAGCATGATAATGACTAGTCCCAGTTACTTCAAAGGTTGAGGTGAGAGAATCGCTTGATCCCAGGAGGTCGAGGCTCCAGTGAGCTGTGATCACACCACTGCACTCCAGCCTAGGTGACAGAGCAAGACCCTGTAAAAAAAAAAAAGCACTAAACAATGAGATACCACTACACATCTATTACAATGGCTAGGCCAGGCATGGTAGCTCACGCCTATAATCCCAGAACTTTGGGAGGCCGAGGTGAGCAGATCATCTGAGGTCAGGAGTTTGAAAATACCCTGTCCAACATGGTGAAACTCCATCTGTACTAAAAATACAAAAAAAAAAATTAGTTGGGCGTGGTAACATGCGCCTGTAATCCCAGCTACTTGGGAGGATGAGGCAGGAGAATCGCTTGAACCCAGGAGGCGGAGGTTGCAGTGAGCTGAGATCGTGCCACTGCACTCCAGCCTGGGCGACAGAGAGAGACTCCACCTCAAAAAAAAAAAAAAAGAAAAAGAATGGCTAAAATCCAAAATACTGACAATTCCAAATACTGGCAAGGATGTGGAACAACAGGAACTCTCATTCATTGCTGGTAGGAATGCAAAATAGTATAGACACTTTGGAAGATAATTTGGCAGTTTCTTACAAAACTAAATATACCCTTACCATATGATCCAGCAATTGTGCTCTTGGGTATTACCCAAATGAGTTGTAAACTATGTCCACACAAAAACTTGCACACTGGTGTTTATAGCAGTTTTAGTCATAATTGCCAAAACTGAAAGATGTCCTTCAGTAGGTGAATAGATAAACTGTGGTACATCCAATGAAATATTATTCAGTGCTAAAAAGAAATGAGCTATCAAGCCATGAAAATACATAGAGGAACCCTAAATGCATATTACTAAGTAAAAGAAGCCAATCTGAAAAGTCTACACATGGTATGATTCCAATTCTATGACATTCTGTAAAAGGCAAAACTATGGAGATAGAAAAAAAAAAATCAGTGGTTGCCAGGGGTTGAGGGGGGGGAGAAATGAAGAGGCGGAGCATAGAGGATTTTTAGGGTAGTGAAACTATTCTGTATGATACCAAAATGGTGGATACATGTCACTATATACTGTTCTAGACCCATAGAAAGTACACCACCAAGAGTGGATCCTAAAGTAAACTATGGACTTTGATTGATAATGATATGTCAATGTAGGTTCATTGATGATAACATATGTACCATTCTAGTGCAGGATGCTGATATTGGGGGAGGCTGCATCTGTGAAGGGGCAGCAAATCTGTATATGAGAACTCTTTGTACTTCCCTCTCAATTTTGCCATGAACCTGAAACTGCTCTAAAAAATAAAGTCTTTTTTGGGCTGGGCACAGTGGCTCACACCTGTAATCCCAGAACTTTGGGAGGCCGAGGCAGGCGGATCACCTGAGGTCGGAAGTTCAAGACCAGCTTGACCAACATGGAGAAACCCCATCTCGACTAAAAATACAAAATTAGCTGAGTGTGGTGGTGCATACCTGTAATCCCAGCTACTCGGAAGGCTGAGGCAGGAGAATTGCTTGAACCCGGGAGGCAGAGGTTGCGGTGGGCTAAGATTGCGCCACTGCACTCCAGCCTGGGTGACAGAGAGAGACTCCATCTCAAAAAAAGAAAAGAAAAGAAAACAACATTAATTCTCACTTTTGAAGGGATAGCAGGAAGATGCATATTAATATTACAGCATCTTTGATAAAAACCAATCTATTTGGCCGGGCATGGTGGCTCATGCCTGTTACCCTAGCACTTTGGGAGGCTGAAGAAGGAAGATCCCTTGAGTCCAGGAGTCCGAGACCAGCCTAGGAATACAGTAAGACCTTGTCTCTACAATAAATACACAAAATTAGTGAGCATAGTGGCAGGCACCTATAGTTGCAGCTACTCTAGAGGCTGAAGTGGGAGGATCCCTTGAGTGCTGGAGGTCAAGGCTGCAGTGAGCCAAAAAAAAGACCAATGAATTCAAGTGTCTACCCCCTAACCCAAACAGAAGCAGACCCTAAATCTTTCAGGGTGTCATCCTAAGCTAAGTAGAAATCTAAAAGTTTCCTAGAGCACAGATAAGAGTGACCTAGCACTCCAGCCAACCAGAAAGGGAAAAGCAGAACATAAGCTTACTTTCTACAAAGGAAGCAGCTATACAAATTATGCCAGAGAACTAGAAAAACACTAATTTGAGTATCCAAAAGGGGGGAAGTAGTTCCAAATATTTCTAATAAAGAGCATTCTGTAAGCCTTCCAACAAGCTATTAAAGGTTGAGAAAACCTATCTGGCAACCCAGTTAATTTCAGGACACATAATTACAGGAACTTAGTCCCTCAAGTCAGAGATGCCTGTGAGGAATTGCACGGTTTGAATCACAGCAGATTTGCAGCCTATTTAAGTTTTTGGACCACTAGAAAACTGGAAAAACAATTCATTTAATATAGTTGAGAGAATACTTAAAAATCCTACATCAATTCAATTATATACTGACTTAGAATTATATGATTACTTCCTATGGAGGGTTAATTCCCTGGCATTTAGGTTGAGCCCCTACATATACCTTCAATTATCAAAAAAAAAATCAAAACTTTATTTGAACTCAAAGTTTTACTTATGAGAATAATGAAATCTTACTTAGATTAACACTCAAAACATTTCTTGGGGATAGGCTTTTTAAAATGAAACCCATAATTTATTTTTGTTACAAAAGGAAATGTTTACGTCCCTGTTAAAGTATAAAAAGGGTCTCATTAGTGTATCTGAAGAGTACTACATTGTACATTGTCTTCCAGAGGTGGAAAAAAAAAGAAGTTAACTTTTACATATACTTGAAAGGGAAAGTCTGCATTCTGCACTAAGTTTTCTTGAATGGAATAAGTTTAAATTGTCCTCAGTTCTAGCAAAGAATGTTCTTAAATATCTGTCTTTAAAAATCCAATAGTAGGGCCGGGTGAGGTGGCTCACGTCTGTAATCCCAGCATTTTGGGAGGCAGATGGATCATCTGAGGTCAGGAGTTCGAAAACAGCCCGGCCAACATGGTGAAAACAGCATGGCCAACATGGTGAAACCCTGTCTCCGTAAAAATACAAAAATTAGCTGGGCGTGGTGGCGGGTGCCTGTAATCCCAGCTACTTGGGAGGCTGAGGTAGGAGAATCACTTGAACCTGGGAGGTGGAGGTTGCTGCGAGCCGAGATTGCACCATTGCACTCCAGCCTGGGCAACAAGAGCAAAACTCTGTTTCAAGAGAAAAAAAAAATCCAATAGTAATTTCAGATTCACTTAAATATCCCCAAAATAGTAAGTGGAAAAAAAAGTTTTTTACTTGGGAAGCCGAGGCAGGCGGATCACAAGGTCAGGAGTTCAAGACCAGCCTGGCCAACATGGTGAAACCCCGTCTCTACTAAAAATAGAAAAATTAGCTGGGCCTGGTGGTGTGTGCCTGTAATCCCAGCTACTCAGAAGCCTGAGGCACGAGAATTGCTTGAATCTGGGAGACGGAAGTTGCAGTGAGCTGAGATCGTACCATTGCACTCCAGCCTGGGCAACAGAGTGAGACTCCAAAAAAAAAAAAAGAAAAGAAAAGAAAAAGAAAAAGTTTTTTTTACTTGAGGGCAGCATCATTCTGAATTGGATCAAAGTTACTGAAATGTAATTAATCTTATTGTATAAACATGTCTTTCGTCATTGTCCCTGTATAGAAACAATAAATGGAGAAAGAGGGTCAATAGTCTCTCCCTCCACAAAATTTTAAGTTCAGATCAAGGCAGAGAAGACATAAAACAATTATTTGAGTATTCCTAACTCTTTCTCACTTTAATCTGAGGTTTGTATATATGTCTGAGTAAGACTGGGAAACTAACCCCACCCAACCCTCAACACACACGTTGAAAATGAGATCTTCCAAAAGAGAATGAAAGAACTGAAAGAACTAACTACATATTATATACTTACTCTGTTCATAACCAAAATGTTTTCTTTGTTAATGTATTCACTCGAATTCAATAGAGTGTTAAATTTGCCAGTAATTTTTATTTCTACGACAAACCATATTAATACACGACAAGACAGTATGACTTCAAAAAATGAGCCAAGAACTTAAATAGGTATTTCTCCAAAGAAGATATACCAATAAGCACATGAAAAGATGGTCAACATCATTAGTCACTAGGGAAATGTAAGTCAAAACCACAATGAGATACCAATTCACATCCTCTAGGATAGCCATCTTTTTTAAAAAAAAATTTTTTTTGAGAGATGGGGTCTCTCATCTCTCATGCACGCCAGCATGGAGTGCAGTGTCATGATCACAGCGCACTGCAGCCTCAAACTCCTGGGCTTAAGGGATCCTCCCACTACAGGCTCCGGACTAGCTGGGACTACAGGAGCATGCCACTGTATCCAACTGGCTTTTTAAAAAAAAAAAAGAAGAAGAAAAAGAAGAAGAAGAAAGAAAACAAAACAAAAAGGCTGAGTGCAATGTCTCACACCTGTAATTCCAGCACTTTGGGAGGATTGCTTGAGGCCAGAAGTTCAAGACCAGCCTGGGCAACACAGAAAGACCCTGTTTTTACAAAAAAAAAAAAAAAAATATATATATATATATATATATATGTATGTATATATATACATATATATATATTTTTTTTTTTTTTTAAAGAAAGAAAAAGAGACTGGGTGTGGTGCCTGTAATCCCAGCACTTTGGGAGGCTGAGTGGGGAGGATCACTTGAAGCCAGGAGTTTGAGTATTCAGTAAGCTATGATCATGCCACTGTGGTCTACCAGTCTACGCTGGGCAGCAGAGCAAGATCCCATCTCTCTCTCTCAATCTCTGTGTGTGTGTGTATACATATATATATATATACACACACATACAGTAATACATATATATAGTAATTTCAGATTACCATAGATTACTATATATAGATCTATACAGGGATATATAGATATATATAGATCTATAGATATATCTCCCTGTCTATATATAGAGATAGATATATATAGATAGATATACAGAGATAGATCTCTCTATATCTATTTATATCTATCTATATGTATATCTATAGAGAGAGAAATTTTAAAAAGAAAAAATAGGCTGGGTGCAGTGGCTCACGCCTGTAATCCTAGCACTTTGGGAGGCCGAGGCAGGCGGATTGCCTGAGCTCAGGAGTTCGAGACCAGCCTGGGTAACATGGAAAAACCCTGTCTCTACTAAAAATACAAAAATTTAGCCAGGCGTGGTTGTGCGTGCCTGTAATCCCAGCTACTCGGGAGGCTGAGGCATGAAAATCCCTTGAACCTGGGAGGCAGAGGTTACAATGAACCAAGATCGTGCCACTCTACTCCAGGCTGGGTGACAGAGGGAGACTCTGTCTCAAAAAAAAAAAAAGAAAGAAAGAAAGAAAAAGAAAAAGAAAATAACAAGTGTTGGTGAGGATGTGGAGAAATGGGAACTCTCATGCATTGTTGGTGAGAATGTAAAATGGTGCAGCCACAGTGTAAAACATTTTGGAATTACTCAAGACATCGAATACAATTACCATATGTCCCAACAATACCACTCTTAGGTATATACCCAAAATAATTGGAAAAAAAATTAATCAAATACTTGTACACCAATGTTTCTAGCAGTACTACGCACAATAGTGAAAAGTTGAGAGCCAAGCGCGGTGACTCATGCCTGTAATCACTTTGAGAGGTCAAGGCAGGCAGATCACTTGAGGTCAAGAGGTCGAGAACACCCTGGCCAACATGGTGAGATCCCATTTCTATTAAAAATACAAAAATTAGGCGGGGCACGGTGGCTCAAACCTGTAATCCCAGCACTGTGGGAGGCTGAGGCAGGCGGATCACCAGAGGTCAGGAGTTCGAGGCCAGCCTGTCCAACATGGCAAAACCCTGTCTCTACTAAAAATACAAAAATCAGCCAGGCATGGTGATTCATGCCTGTAATCCCAGCTACTCAGGAGGCTGAGACAGGAGAATCACTTGAACCCAGGAGGCAGAGGTTGCAGTGAGCTGAGATCATGCCACTGCACTCCAACCTGGGTGACAGAGCAAGACTCTGTCTCAAAAAAAAAAAAAAATTAGCCAGGTTTGGTGGCACATGCCTGTAATCCCAGCTCCTGGGGAAGCTGAGGCAGGAGAATCATCTGAACGATTCCTCCGATAAGGGGGAGGTTGCAGTGAGCCAAGATTGCGCCTGCACTCCAGCCTGCAGCACAGAGCAAGACTCTGACTCAAAAAAAAAAAAAAAAGGTGGAAACCACCCATGTGTCCATAAACAGATGAATGCTTGAACAAAATGTGGTATATCCATACAATGGAACCTTAGTCAGCCATAAAAAGGAATGACATTCAGGTATATGCTATAACATGAAGGAACCTTGATGACAAGGTTTATTTTACCTTAGTAAAATAAGCCAGGCACAAAAGGATAAATATTGTATGATTCCACTTATATATGGTACCTAGAGTAGTCAAATTCATAGAGATAGAAAGTAGAATGGTGGTTGCCAGAACTGGGAGAAGGGGGCATGGGGAATAATTATTTATGGGATGCTGCAGAGTTTCTGTTTGTGATTAATGAAGTTCTGAAACTGTAGAGCGGTCATGGTTACACAACATTATGAATGTGCTTAATGCCACTTAACCAAACACTTAAAAACGACAAATCTTATGTATATTTTACTATAAAAATACATAAGGGGATTCATAGCTTTTCAAAATGCTTCTAGGGAGTATAGGAGAGGGGGAAAAAGCCAGTAGTCCTCAATGCAATGAGCCCTACACCAGCAACTTTAAGGCTGAGGCAGAGAAATGTAACTGTTAGAGCCACACCACCTGGTCAGCTTTTTTTAAGTGTGTGTGCGTGTGTGTGTGTTTGTGTGTGTGTGTGTGTGTGTGCATGCACATTTTGTTTTTCCTTTTTGTGGAGCACTATATTCCCCAGGCAAATCTCAAACTCCTGGGCTCAATCTATCCTCCTGCCTTTGCTTCCCTAAATGCTGGGATTACAGGTGTGAGTCCAGCAGCTTTTTTTCTTTTCTTTCTTCCTTTTTTTTTTTTTTTTTTTTTGAAACAGGGTCTTGCTCTGTTGCCCAGGCTGGAGTGTGATGGAGTGATTATGGCTCACTGCATCCTCCAACTCTCCAGCTCAGGCGATCCTCCCATCTCAGCCTCCCAAGTGCAGGTACCTGGGACTACAGGCACACACCACCACACCCAACTAATTGTTAATTTTTTTGTAGAGACGAAGTCTCCTTATGTTGCCCTGGCTGGGCAACTCCTGGGCTCAAGCAATCCTCCTGCCTCGGCCTCCCAAAGTGCTGGGATTACAGGCACAAGCCACTGCGCCCAGCCTTGGTGAGCTTTCTGAACTCAAAGCTGAGTAGAGACCTGAAGTAACTATCAGGACAATATGGGTCAATAAAACTCATCCTCCTACTTCCATTCGTGTCTGAGTTAAAACAGTATCTTCCACTTAAGTGCTCATTTCTCAAGTTTTGATTTTAAATATAAAAACAGCCTAAAGGTGCTTACTGTGTTTACTTCTTTTATATTTCAACTATCTGATTTTTTAGCAGTGTCTAGGGACAAAAACTAGCATTTCTCTGAGACCATCACATCCCCAATCTGACTGCTATGTGAATGGTTTGTTGGGTGCCTGGAATGGCTTGTTTATGTAAGCTCTCACCTGTAATCCCACACTTTGGGAGGCCGAGGCGGAGGATCACTTCAGGCCAAGAGTTCAGTTCAAGACCAGCCTGAGCAACATAAGGAGATCCAACCCCCTACCCCCATCCCCACCTCCAACCCCAGCTCTACAAAAAAATTAAAAAATTAGCTAGGGCCAGGCGCCGTGGCTCACGCCTGTAATCCCAGAATTTTGGGAGGCCGAGGCGGGCGGATCACGAGGTCAAGAGATCGAGACCATCCTGGACAACATGGTGAAATTCCCGTCTCTACTAAAAATACAAAAATTAGCGGGGCGTGGTGGCGTGGGCCTGTAGTCCTAGCTACTCGGGAGGCTGAGGCGGGAGAATCGCTTGAACCCGGGAGGCGGAGGTTGCAGTGAGCCTTTGCGCCACCGCACTCTAGCCTGGCGACAGTGAGACTCCATCTCACCAAAAAAAAAAAAAAAAAAAAAATTAGCTGGGAGTGGTGGCACGCGCCTGTAGCCCCAACTACTCGGGAGGCTGAGGCGGGAGGATCGCTCGAGACCAGGAGTTTGAGACCAGCCTGGGCAACATAAGGAGACCCAACCCCCCCGCCCTTCAGCTTTACAAAAAAATTAAAAAATTAGCCAGGAGTGGTGGCGCCGCGTGCCTGCAGCCCCAGCTACTCGGGAGGCTGAGGCGGGAGGGTCGCTTGAACCCGGGAGTTCAAGGCTGCAACGAGCTATGATAGCGCCACTGCACTCCAGCCTGGGCGACAGAGCAAGACCCTGTTTTACACAGACAAACAAAAACGAACAAAAAGGTCACAGCGAACTTTGTTCAAAAGTCACATTAACACTTAAATGCCTTAACCCGGACTGAAAGCCCGGGCTTAGGACACAGGGCAGCTCTCCCTCAAAAAGGGGTCTCCCAGCAACACCCAATCCACAAGTTGCTCCTCGCCCTCCCCAAACCGGTACAAGATATATCAGTCTCTGGGCAGCTCCAACGGATTCTGAAGCTACGGGAGGGACTAAGGAACAAATATGAAATGTCGGACAAATGAAATGTGCGCAACAGCTAGGTTTTGGAGGATAAGCCAGTTGCTGAGCGACTTCTCAAATCTTCCAAGTGCCTCCAACACCTCTCCCACCCGGTAGGGCTGCGCTCTTTAGCTCTTTCAACCTTCCACGACCGGCCTCTCCGCTGCCCTATCAGCAAATCATCGGGCCGGTGCCTGCCAGTCCGGGCCAATCCCGAACACATTTACTTTGAGCGGGAAAAGCTCAGAAGCGGCGAGAGAGCGTGGTCCGCTAACCGCCCCTTCCTCTCCTTGTCTCTGGGGGGTAACGGAGCCTGGAGTGGTCGCCCATTGGATGGGCATCGGACCAATGGCGGGCTGCGAAACGGGAGGGGCGGGCCTCACAGCGGGGCGGGGCGCGCCTGTGCCGTGTCGCGTGCCGAGCCGCGAGCCCCAGGCAGGCCAGGTAACGGCCTCTGCCCCCGCCCCTCCCTCCCCGCTCGGACTTCCCTTACCCGCACACTGGCTCCAGGCAGCGCCCGGGCGGCGGAGGCGGCTGCGGAGACGGCGGGGTGCGGGCTGAGGGAGCCGGGCCTGGACGCCCCCCCCATCACCCCCGTACCCCAGGAGCTGTGCCTAGTCCAGGAGAGGCTGGGGGGCGCCCCATGGAGGTGAGACGCGGAGACACCTGCCCGCGCCCTCACCCCTCAGGCCTGAGGGAGGAAGGACTTGAGGTAATGGATGAGGAAGGGCAGGGTCCAGGGGGCGGCCAGACTTGCAAGAGGCGACGAGGAGGAGAGGCTGAGGAGGGGGCGCGTCCCTAGACGGGGCGGCAGAGGCGGGTCGTCGGTGGGGAGGCCGAACGGGGCGGGCGGGCGGGGGGCGCGGCGCGGGCTGACTGGACGGGCCGGACGGAGCGCGGGTCGCCGCGATTCCCGGGAGGCAGCCGTCGCGCTGAGGCGGTGGCCGGGGAGGGGCGCCCCTCGGGGTCAGCACTCAGGGGGCCCGAGGGGAGAGTGAGAATCCCGAGGCTGGAAGCGCGGGCCCCCACATTCGTGTCCTCTGAGAGGGTTCGGAATTGAGCCGAACAGCCGAGGTAGAACAGGTGTCGGGCCGTTTCAGCTCCGGCGTCACCCTCGTGACCACTTTCTGATATTTCCTATTCCCGTGTGCTGCAGCCCAAAGTCGCGTTCCCCGGAGGTGCGAATCGCTGTTGGAACCTCGGCGCCGACGCCGGCAGCAGGTTAACCGACGTCTTCGGCAGCGTGATGTTGACTGGCTCCGCTTCCTTCTACGATTGCTACACATCGCAGGTCCTTTAGTAAACTCTGCCTCTGTTAGACGATTTATTCTCAAATGGATTTACTCGAGCCACCGATTCATAGGTGTTTAATGGCTCCACAGTTAAGGAAGAGAAAACCAGGGAAAACTTTTTTTTTTTTTTTTTTTTTTTGAGACAGAGTCTTGCTCTGTCTCCTAGGCTGGAGTGCAGTGGCGCCATCTCGGCTCACTGCAACCTCCGCCAGCCGGGCTCAGGCGATTCTTGTGCCTCAGCTTCCTGAGGCACGCGCCACCACGCCCGGCTGTTTTTTTTGTTTGTTTTGTTTTTGTTTTTTGTTTTTGAGATGGAGTTTTGCTCTTGTTGCCCAGGCTGGAGTGCAGTGGTGCGATCTCGGCTCACCTCAACCTCTGCCTCCGGGGCTCAAGTTATTCTCCTGCCTCAGCCTCCGGAGTAGCTGGGATTACAGGCATGCGCCACCACGCCTGGCTAATTTTGTATTTTTAGTAGAGACAGGGTTTCTCCATGTTGGTCAGGCTGGTCTCGAACTCCCAACCTCGGGTGATCCGCGCACCTCGGCCTCCCAAAGTGCTGGGATTACAGGCATGAGCCACCGCGTCCAGCCGTTTTGTTTTGTTTTTTGAGACGGAGTCTCCTTCTGTTGCCCAGGCTGGAGTGCAGTGGTGCGATCTCGGATCACTGCAACCTCTGTCTCCCTGGTTCAAGCAGTTCTTCCGTCTCAGCCTCCCCAGTAGCTGGGATTACAGGCACCTGCCATCATGCCCGGCTAATTTTTGTATTGTTTTTAGAGACCGGGTTTCACCATGTTCCCCAGGCTGGTCTCGAACTTCTGGGCTCCAGCCATCCTCCCGCCTCGGCCTCCCAAAGTGCTAGGATTTCAGGCCACAGCGCCCAGCCCAGGAACAATTTTTTTTTTTTTTTTTTGAGACGGAGTCTTGCTCTGTCGCCCAGGCTGGAGTGCAGTGACGCAATCTCCGCTCACTGCAAGCTCCACCTCCCAGGTTCACGCCATTCTCCTGCCTCAGCCTCCCGAGTAGCTGGGACTACAGGCACCCGCCACCACGCCCGGCTAATTTTTTTGTATTTTTAGTAGATACGGGGTTTCACTGTGTTAGCCAGTATGGTCTCGATCTCCTGACCTCGTGATCCGCTCGCCTCAGCCTCCCAAAGTGCTGGGATTACAGGCGTGAGCCACCGCGCCCGGCTACAATCTTTTAAATACAGTGTTTGCAGAATACATACTTTGCTTTGAAAATAAGTTAAGGGCCGGGCGCCATGGCTCGTGCCTGTAATCCCAGCACTCTGGGGGGCTGAGGCGGGTGGATCACCTGAGTTCGGGAGTTCAAGACCAGCCTGGCCAACATGGCGAAACCCCATCTCTACTAAAAATACAAAAATCAGCCGGGTGTGGGGGCAGGCACCTGTAATCCCAGCTACTTGGGAGACTGAGGCAGGAGAATCTTAAACCAGGGAGGTGGAGGTTGCAGTGAGCCAAGATCATGCCACTGCACTCCAGCCTGGGTGACAGAGTGAGACTCCCTCTCAAAAAAAAAAAAAAAAGAAAAAAGAAAACAAATTGAAGAATAAGATTTTTCATTGATTCGTTTCCATCTTGTCCTTAGCATAACATAATTCCAGAAATGTAAGAAAATCCATTATTTAGTAAGATTAAAATATGTTTTTTTTCGTTCAGGCATTTATTGCAAGTTGGTACAAACATATTTTTGATAATTTAAAGGTGAAAATTTCACTTTACTCCTTTATTTTCTGGTTTTAACAATGTCTTAAATTATATGCTACCACTTACCTCACCAAGACATTTAGATTTATTAATCAAAGGAAATAAAGCTTGGGTAATGTAAGTAATTTTCATTTGAAATTATTTAACCAGGACATCAATGTTGATATTGTTGTACTTTGAATTATAACAATATCTAGAAATAAATTATTTTATTTAATCCACACTAAGAATCTTGTATATTATTATGCCACTGTACAGATTGAGAAACTGAGCCTCAGAGAGCTTGATTTGTGCCCTAAATGACAAAGCTCAAGTGGAACCCAGACCATAGTTCCACTGCTCTCTGCAGTGTTTACATCCGGACTAAAATTTATTTGGATTTAATTTCAGTTCACTGTTTTAAGTATGTTAAGGATATAAGTGATACATTTTAAAGTTAATCCAGTTAATATGCCCACTCAAATATTTGCATATTTCCTGGCCTCTGTTAACGAAAGGGATGCAGATATTTCAAGTATGATTGTTTGAATCCACCACATTACTTTAGTTGTTTTAACCCAAGAATACAAAAGTTAAGTCAGTCCTTTAAAAGGATTTTATTTGTAATATTCAAAATGTATTTTAAAATGTAAAATGTACTTGAAAGAATACTCCCAAAATATTTTCAATTTCCAATACTGTTTATTCATTTGACATTACATAATCTGAAAATGTTCCTTTTGTTTAAGCAACTATTTCAAAAAGATGAACAATTATTTATGTCACTTTGGATACTTCACACATAAGAGTGGGCCTATGATGATAACTTTAGAACTCAAAGGATAAAATTAGGAAAGAAAGATAAAAAGCCTTTGTAAAAGTTGCTGCTAACCAACAAATTCTGGAAAGGTAGTTTTTAGTTTTAGCTCTCAGCAAAATCCCTTCTGTGTTTCCATTTCCTCAACTTGAGAATAGTCATAATATAAACTATAAACAGAAAAATTATAATGTGTGGGTTTTAAATAGAATCATAACCAGAACTTAAACAAATGGTTGTAAAATATTTTGAGATTCTTGAAGATGGATGATTGGAAGGTATTTCTTAATGTTCACATTTTGTTGGTATCATATAACGTTGTATAGTTTAAATGTTTTTCAGTGATCATATCTATTAGGAACAAAAATTTAGAAATATTAACAGAATAAAAGCAATTAGAAAATACTTTTAGCCAGAATTATATCTTTTCCTTTTTTATTTTATTTTATTTTATTTATTTATTTATTTATTTTGAGATGGAGTCTCCCTCTGTTGCCCAGGCTGGAGTGCAATAGCTCAATCTTGGCTCACTGCAACCTCCGCCTTCTGGGTTCAAGTGACTCTCCTGCCTCAGCCTCTTGAGTAGCTGGGATTGCAGGCACCTGCCACCACACCTGGCTAATTTTTGTATTTTTGTCGAAACGGGCTTTCGCCATGTTGATCAGGAGTTAAACTCCTGACCTCAGGTGATCCGCCCACCTAGGCCTCCCAAAAGTGCTGGGATTACAGGTGTGAGCCACTGCGCCCGGCCAGAATTACATCTCTTCTGTATTTATAAGAAAATACTATTTTCATTGTGTTTATGTCTGGGTATTTATAGTTATTGCATCTCAGGTTTTAATAGTTACTTATCTGGAGAGTTAAAAATTTTGAATTTATACTTTCAGTCTTCTTTAAGGAAGCATTTTCTAGAATAAACAATGTATAAATTAGCTTAATCTTTTTTTGTTTGTTAAATTCACTTTCCCTACATGGTCCCTTTTGGAAGGAGGCAGGGTTTAAATCATTAAAATCTTAAAACCCAAGGCCCGGCAAAGTGACTCACACCTGTAATCCCAGCACTTTGGGAGGCCAAGGCAGGAGGATCGCTTGAGGCCAGGAGTTTAAGACCAGCCTGGGCAACACAGTGAGACCCCATTTCTATTTAAAAAAAAAAAAAGAAACTTAACACCCAAAGTTTTTGTTTACTCAGGTTCATTACAGAAGCATTCACCGAGGCTGGGTGCAATGGCTCACGCCTGTAATCCCAACACTTTGGAAGGCCCAAGGCGGGCAGATCACTTGAGGTCAGGATTTGAGACCAGCCTGACCAACATGGTGAAACCCTAAAACTCTCTACTGAAAATACAAAAATTAGCCAGGCATGGTGGCAGGTGCCTGTAATCCCAGTTACTTGGGAGGCTAAGGCAGGAGAATCGCTTCAACCCGGGAGGCAGAGGTTGCAGTGAGCCGAGATCTCGCCACTCTACTCCAGTCTGGGCAACAGAGCCAGACTCTTGTCTCAAAAAAAAAAAAAAAAAAAAAAAAAGATACTGTATAAAATGTCCTCAAATAGGAGGAAAAAGACCTTCAGTTTTGGTTTTAGATTTGTTACATATTGGCTGAGTGACTTGCAGCCTCAGTTTCCTTGTTTTTAAAGTAGAGATAATACTCATGTCACAAGGTTTACTGGATATGATAATATATGTGAAATTTATTTGAATAGTGTAAAATTCCATATAAATATACATTAACTTTTTTCAGAGATTGGGGACATTAAGACTGAAATTTATTTATTTATTTTTGAGACAGAGTCTCGCTCTGTCGCCCAGGATGGAGTACAGTGGTGCTATCTTGGCTCACTGCAAGCTCCGCCTCCCGGGTTCATGCCATTCTCCTGCCTCAGCCTCCCAAGTAGCTGGGACTACAGGCGCCCATCACCACCACAGCTGGCTAATTTTTTGTATTTTTAGTAGAGACAGGGTTTAGCCAGGATGGTCTCATCTCCTGACCTCGTGATCCGCCCACCTCGGCCTCCCAAAGTGCTGGGATTACAGGCTTGAGCCACCGCGCCTGGCCCCAAGACTGAATTTTATATATAATGTATTAAAAATAACATTGCTAGTATCCACATAATGCTTATCTATTCAAAAAATTACAAAAAAACTACAATAATTATAGGTATTTTATACCACAGACCAGCAACAAGGAGCCAGAGCTGCCCGATACCTGTTTTGTAAATAAAGTTTTATTGCAATGCAGCCAAACCCATTTGTTTATTGTCTATGGTTGATTTAGTGCTGCAGCATTAGAGTTGAAGAGTTTTGACAGCAACCTTAATGGCCAGCTAAGCCTAAAATATTTACTATTTGGCCTTTTGCAGAACAAGTTTGCCAATCCCTGGTATAAAGCAAGCTTAAGTCACTAAGTCTGCATTTGAATGTAATTCTCCCAACTCTTACATCTGTGTTATTTCCGCTTTCTTATTTTTCTCATATTCTACAACAAATGAAGTTTTGATGTGTCTGATAAACATTTCTTAAAACTTTCAGAGTGAAGACAATGTAGACCTAAGGCAGACCTATACTCCATTTTCTTCAACAGAATATTCAAGTTCTGTAGATTCTTCACTTTTCTGTGCACCATGGTCTACTTATGGAGATGACATTAAACAACCTTCTAATTCTCAGATCAGTATAAAGAACAGGTAAATTAATTCATTTCTCAAGGTAATTGAGGTATTTTTAAATTTAATTACATAGGAACTGAGGTTATTTGCTCTCTGTTCCCTACATTATCATTTTACTATTGTGGCATTTTGTGTTTTTCAAACTTTTAGGAAAGTGTAAACTGGGCAGTTATTTGTGTATAGTTTTTACGGTGTTTTGCTTTGTTTTGTTTTGTTGAGACAGGGTCTCGCTCTGTCACCCAGTCTGGAGTGCAGTGGCGAGATCATGGCTCACTACAACTTTGAACTCCTGGGCTCAAGCCATACTCCTGCCTCAGCCTCCACAGTAGCTGGGACTACAGGTATGCACCACGGTGGTCAGCTAACTTTAAAAAAATTTGTTGCCTTTTCTTTTTAAGAAACGAGGTCTCACTTTGTTGCCTAGGCTGGTCTTGAACTCCTGGCCTCAAACCATCCTCCCACCTTGGCCTCCCAAAGTGCTGGAATTACAGACATGAGCCTCTGCCCAGCTAGGTTATTACTTAAAAAAATTCATTAGTGGGAACATTTAGTGCATAAATCTTAAGTTCTTCTTTCTAAAGATGACTTATATGAATGAGTTAAAACTTTTAGATGTTTTTGTCATCCAGTTCTAAATTTTCCATTTTTTTCCTTCACAACTCTACAACAAACAGGGTTTTATCAAACATAAGATATTTTAAATTATTTTTCTGTTCAATTCCACAAATAATAAGGGCCCCCTGTACATCAGATGCTTTTCTATGGGGGATACCAGAATTTAAACATGGCAAATATTATCCTTGCCTTTATAATCTTGATGATGATGATGATGATGATGATGATGATGATGATGACGATAACTAGGATATTATGGGAGCCTATTGCAAAGAGGAGCCCTAAGGGAGTGACATCTATCTTTAATTATATATGGGAGCTATTTATAGAGGCTGATGCCTCATTAGTCTAACCAGGAAATAGTTATTTGTATTTATTAGAAAAGTGTTAAAAAATTAAAATTCTTGGCAAATTCTCTAAAATAATTTTATTAGAAAGTCTACGTAATACATAATTCTACAAAAAACAAAAATATTTTTAAAGTTGATACATGCTATTGAAAAAATTCAAGCCTATTCTCGCTTTTGGCTAAGATCAAGTGAAAAAATTCAAACTTTTCAGAAATATATATCAAGAAAAGTGAAAGTCTGTCTTAACCTTCTCCCCCCGCCACCCAATAACAGCTGCTAGCAGTTTGGTATATATTACATTGAATTTTTTTTAGATATATACTAATACATAATTACACAAAAAAGCTTTTATATTGAACTTTTATGAGATAACACATGTAGTAGAAAAGGTATTGGACTTACAGGGAGACTATTTAGCAAGTATGTAGTAGTTTGGCAAGTCATATACCCTTGCAAAATACAAGTTTCTTAATATCTCAAATGATCATTCATTTATTCAACAGATAATAACGAATGATTACTAATGCTTACCTTTCCAATGTTATGAAGATCAATTAAATATGAGTGTTATGCAAATATAAGGTATTTTATTTCAAAAATATCCCAACACTATGAAATGTTGAAATATGAAAAAACCGGAAGTTACAATTTATTATAAAACAATGTACAGGGCCGGGATTGGTGGCTCACGCCTGTAATCCCAGCACTTTGGGAAGCTGAGGTGGGCAGATCACAAGGTCAGGAGTTCGAGACCAGCCTGACCAACATGGTCAGGCTGAAAATACAAAAAAAAATTAGCCAGGCGTGGTGGCACGCGCCTGTAGTCCCAGCTACTTGGGAGGCTGAGGCAGGAGAACCGCTTGAACCTGGGAGGCGAAGGTTGCAGTGAGCAGAGATCGCGCCATTGCACTGCAGCCTGGGGAACAGAGCGAGACTCCATCTCAAAAATAAATAAATAAATAAATAAACAAACAAACCAACAAATAGATGTACAGGTTGAGCATCCCAATCTGAAAATCCGAAATCCAGACTGATCCAAAATCCAAAACTTTTTGAGTGCTGACATGATGCTCAAAACAAATGCTCATTGGAGCATTTCAGATTTTGGATTAGGGACGTTCAACCAAATATACAAGTATACATTATATATTTGGAGTATAATGTATATTTCCAGAATCCAAGAAAAAAACCTGAAATCCAAAACACCTCTGATCCCAAGCATTTTGGATAAGGAATACTCAACCTGTATTACTTCAAGGAAGAAATTACCCAAAAACTGTAACAGGTAAAAGGTACCAATCTTCCACGTGCTTGTGGTTTTTACATTTTGTATTTAGTCAGTATCAGTCACTAGGTGGATTTCTGGGATAAAAGGAACTCCATCCAGTCATGCTTTGCAAGCATTAGGGATGGCTCCCAAATCTGTTACATTTAAGCGACAACTGCAAAATTGCTGTGGTGTCTAGGATGACCATATCGCATTTCACTTTTTTATCCAATATTAATATAGAGTCACAAAAATAGAATAGAGCATCAGGTTCATATGGTTTTCAAATTGCAAATGAGGAAGCTGAGCAGGTGTTGATGGAATAATGTATAATAAGACAAGACTTGCTTTCAGGAGCAGCTATGATACCAAGCATGTCTGTGACATCATAGATGACAGATTTATATCTTGGTCACCTAAAATGAAAACCATGTGTTGTGGAGAAATAAGAGGTAAGCATGCACTGTAAGTTAGATATAGGATTTGAAATGAAGGAGAAATATTTATGTGGAAAAGACATTTCCACATAAAAATATTTATGTAGAAAAGAAAATATTCTTGAGTTCTAGTCTCTTCTTTATTTGAAATGATGGTGTAGATTCAGTCCACATATTTTATAGATAAAGATGGTAAGGTAGGATAAGTCTGGAAAGAGTAATCAATATATTGTATTTCAGCACGAATTCATTTATTTTTAGGATTCAAACAGAAAGAAATGACTATGGCAGTGAAACAGACTTATATGGACTTGTGTCTAACATTTTGGAAGAACAAGATAAGTCACAGCCATATTTTGCTGAAGGGTTAGTATATAATCTATATAGTATATAACAGGCTTTTAAACTAACATACACTAGTTTACCCTGTTTATTAACTTTTATTTTTACTTAATAGTGGATCATCTGACAGTAGGTATCTTAATTCAAATATTGTTTCAAGGAGACTTGATTTTGCTGAAGTATTTGCTATATAATTGGAAGTTCAGTCTAAGGTTTTGTATAAGGACTTTCATTGAAAAATTATTCTTGCATAATTCAGAGCTATTTCCCTTGAGTTCATGAACTAAAGATTGGCTTAAATAATATAAATTCAAAGGAACTTTTATACATAGATCCCAAAGAATAAAACTCATTACTACTATGCAGAAATACATATGGATTTTATTCATGTGTTAGAAAATTTTGTAATGTTTCAATTGTTTTATTGAAGTGTGGAAGCTATATTACCCAAATATACTATTTCATAAATAGGGAAGTATGTAGCACACATATAACCAATTAAAATATTTTAATTTCACAAAGTTTAAGCAAAACACATTTTTTTCATTAAAAAAAACTGTGGTCAACAATGCTTTTATGTAATAACCTAAGCAAAGGAAAAACTTATTTTCTGCTTACTATAGATAAATAATTCATCTAAGACCATGAAGTCACATATTAGGCCTTAGTTATTGTCTCTTGGGAAAGTACAGCGAAGACATTAAAATGCATATTTATGTAACATACAGCACATTTCATGTGACAGATAATTATCTGGAGCTAATGGTAGCTTATAAAGCAGAGTTGAAAGGGATTAGAGAATGGTGACATGGGGCAAGATAAATGTTTTTGAAGACCTTTTCTCCCTTTTCCACTGAAGAAATAAAGTCTTTAAAACCTAAGTTGTAATTAAATATATTTATTTGTTCTAGGACCTGCTCCTCCAATTTAAAGTCAGTTTGGCCAATGAACACAAGCAGATTTGCAGATCACCATGACCTCTTAACAGAAACCAAAAGGCCAATAGATACAGTCATCTCTCAGCAAGCTTTTTATAGTGATGAATCTGTGTCAGCAATGGAAAAGCAATACCTGCGTAACAGTAATCTCACACCACAACAAAAAATAGATGAACTTCATCATGGATTTACTGGTTTAGATCTTGAAGAACAATGGATGTACCCCTCACGAAGTGATCATTCTAACTGTCACAATATTCAGACAAATGATACAGCTAAGACAACATTCCAAGAATATCCACTTATCAAAAACTGTTTTACACCCCAAACTGGTCTGTCTGATATCATGAAAGAATCAGGAGTTGATATCTACCATTATGGAAGAGACAGAATATGTACTAAAGGTCTTGAAGCACCACTACAGCAAAAAAGGGCAGAGATGTTTCTTTCTCAATTTAATAGATACAATGAAAATGTAGATTATTGTAGATACCCAGAGTATGTTCATCCTAATAAGGCTAAGCTTAATAAATGTTCAAATTTTAGTGTCCAAGATAGCAAAAAATTAGCCAATGGCACACCTGAAACACCAACTGTAGAAGCAGACACCTACACAAAGTTATTTCAGGTTAAGCCAGCGAATCAGAAAAAAATGGAGGAGACAATCCCTGATCAGCAGAATTTCACATTTCCAAAAACTACGCCACATCTGACAGAGAAACAGTTTGCAAAGGAAGCAGTATTCACTGCTGATTTTGGCTTAACATCAGAATATGGACTAAAACCTCACACAGCTTGTCCCGCTAATGATTTTGCTAACGTCACAGAAAAGCAACAGTTTGCTAAACCTGATCCCCCACATTCTGAGTATTTTAAATCAGTGAATTTATTATCAAACTCAGCAACATCTTCAGGAGGTATCAATTTAAACAGACCAACTTGGATGAATGTTCAAACAAAAAATAACACTCCTATTCCTTATCGAAATCAAGGTAACTTGATGAAATTAAATAGTCATTTAAGTGCAGCTTCAAAAGGTTCTAACCATTCTTCAGATTTCCCCCAACTATCATCCACAAACTTAACCCCAAATAGCAATTTATTTCAGAAATATTGCCAAGAAAACCCTTCAGCATTTTCTAGTTTTGATTTTAGTTACAGTGGTGCAGAAAGAATCCAATCTGTCAATCACATAGAAGGACTAACAAAGCCTGGAGAAGAAAATCTCTTCAAATTGGTTACGGATAAAAAAATAAAGCAGCCAAATGGATTTTGTGATAACTATTCAGCTCAGAAGTATGGGATAATTGAAAATGTAAACAAACATAATTTTCAAGCCAAGCCCCAGAGTGGACATTATGATCCTGAGGAAGGTCCAAAGCATTTAGATGGCTTATCACAAAATACATACCAAGATCTACTGGAGTCACAGGGTCATTCTAATAGCCACAGAACGAGAGGTGGAGACAATAGCCGTGTGAATCGCACACAAGTGTCATGCTTTTCTAATAATTATATGATGGGAGATTTAAGGCATAATCAGTGTTTTCAACAACTTGGTTCAAATGGGTTTCCCCTAAGATCCACCCACCCATTTGGCCATTCAGTTGTTCCACTGTTGGATTCCTATGACTTACTTTCTTATGATGACTTAAGCCATTTGTACCCTTATTTTAATATGATGTATGGTGATAATTCTTTTTCTGGTCTCATGCCAACTTTTGGATTTCAAAGACCAATTAAAACCCGTAGTGGACCAGCCAGTGAACTTCATATTCGTCTAGAAGAGTGCTGTGAACAATGGAGAGCATTAGAAAAAGAGAGAAAAAAGGTAACACAAAGTTAACCACTTAGGAATAACAGTATGTTCCTTTTGCCTGTCTTCATTCTGTTTACCTTAGTGTAGTGTAAGAGTACTTGCCTTATTTCTTTTTGCTTTATTTGTTGTTGTTTTAAAGAGACAGAGTCTCGCTCTGTTGCCCAGGCTGGAGTACAGTGGCAGAATCATAGTTTACTGTAACCAAACTCCTGGGCTCAAGCAATCCTTCCTCCTCCTGAGTAGCTAGTACTACAGGCACATGCCACCATGCCTGGCTAATTTTAATTTTTTGTAGACATTAGGTTTCACTATGTTCCCCACGGTGGTCTCAAACCCCTGGCCTCAAGCCATCCTCCCACCTTGATGTCCCAAGTGTTGGCATTACAGATGTGAGCCACTGCACCCGGCTAACTTGCCTTATTTCTGAGCTGAATTCTATAATGTCCAGGATTTGCTGTAAGTTCATTACTGTAAGGAATTAAGTGGGTTACTTAAAAACTAAAAATGGATGGGGTTGGCCAATGGGAAGCTTAAATAAATGAAGATGAAAAATGCTTGACATTTTAAAGTTATTGTTATTCTAAGTTGACTTGCCCTGAAGTAGATTTTTTACCCCCTTAGTTGTTACAAGTTTATTTCTTTGAATTTTGTAGTGTTAACCTGTTGGTATACTCAGGTATTTTATTTGTATTAAGACGATAGCTGGGCGCGGTGGCTCACGCCTGTAATCCCAGCACTTTGGGAGGCCAAGGTGGGCAGATCACAAGGTCAGGAGTTGGAGACCAGCCTGGCCAACATGGTGAAACCCAGTCTCTACTAAAAATACAAAAAATTAGCCAGGCGTGGTGGCAGGCACCTGTAATCCCAGCTACGCGGGAGGCTGAGGCAGGAGAATCGCTTGAACCCGGGAAACGGAGGTTACAGTGAGCCGAGACTGCACCACTGCACTCCAGCCTGGGCAATAGAGTGAGACTCCATCTGAAAAAAAAAAGATAGAAAAATACTGTGGTATTGTGGTTTACATTTGTTGTCTTTTGATACCAAAACAGAATTTTCATTTAAAGTGGTAATACTCTATTTATTAGGCTTACGAAAACTATTATTCATGGTCGAATCATATTTAGAAAATTCTACATCTAAAAAGTATGTAATTTTTTACAGACTGAATTAGCCCTTGCCAAGAATTATCCTGGAAAAAAAGTATCCAGTACTAACAACACTCCAGTTCCAAGGCTGACTTCCAACCCATCTAGAGTTGATCGCTTAATTGTGGATGAACTTCGAGAACTAGCCAGAGTAAGCTGTAAAAATAGATAACAGTGGATGGATTTTTTGTTAAATTTTTTTTAAGTTTCAGGCCAGGCGTGGTGGCTCACTCCTGTAATCCCACCACTTTGGGAGGCCGAGGCGGGCAGATCACCTGAAGTCAGGAGTTCGAGACCAGCCTGGCCATTATGGTGAAACCCCGTCTCTACTAAAAATACAAAAATTAGCTGGGGGTGGTGGCATGCGCCTGTAGTCCCAGCTACTTGGGAGGCTGAGGCAGGAGAATCATTTAAACCCAGGAGGCAGAGGTTGCAGTGAGTGAAGATCACGCCACTGCACTCCAGCCTGAGTGACAGAGCGAGACTCTATCTCAATAAATAAATAAATAAAACTCTCATCAAGTTTTAGAGCTTTGAAGGGTTTTTAAATCACATTTACATCTAACTCTCTGAAATATATTTTTTTCATGTTTGGTCCTAGAACTATAATATTTAGGAAAGGGGCTGGGTGCAGTGGCTCACACCTGTAATACCAGCACTTTGGGAAGTGGAGGTGGGAGAATCACTTGAGCCCAGGAGTTTGAGACCATCCTGGGCAACATAGGGAGATCCTGTCTCTACTAAAAATTAAAAATTAGCTGGACATGGTGTCACATGCTTATGCTACTCAGGAGGCTGAGGTGGGAAGATAGCTTGAGCCTGGGATGTCAGGGCTACAGTGAGCCATAACCACACCATTGCATTCCAACCTGGGGAACAGAGCAAGATCTTGTCTCAAAAAAAAAAAAAAAAGAAAAAAAAAGAAAAAGGAACGGGAAAATAGTCCCACTCAATCATTTTAAAAGTAATTTTCGTAATTTAAATGGTTCCTCTTGAAGCTCAAATTGGCAGTGGAGCTAATCCTCAACTGAAAGAATTTTTTAAAAAGCAAAAATCATTTTGAGTATTATTTATGGAGAAAGTCTCATTTCTTTGTCACATTTGTTTTCCAGCTTGATGAGCAAGCTGTGCTTACATAAGATGGTAACTTAATAGGGAATTACTATCTTTCCTTTTTTTTTTTTTTTTTTTTGAGGCGGGTCTCACTTTGTCACCCAGGCTAGAGTGCAGTGGCATGATCTATGCTCACTGTAGCCTTGACCTTCTGGGTTCAAGAGATCCTCCTGCCTAAGCCCCCAAATAGCTGGGACTACAGATGCACGCTACCACACATATCTAATTTTTGTATTTTTTATAGAGACAGGGTTTCGCCATGTTGCACAGGTTGGTCTCAAACTCCTGAGCTCAAGCAATCCACCTGCCTCAGCCTACCAAAGTGCTGGGTGTGAGCCACCACCAGTCAACAAAATACTTTTGTTTTGGCGAAGTAGGATATGACTTCAAGTCAAATGTTGTAAAGAATCCTCGTTAAGTCATTTTGTAATTTAATGATTATTCCTATTCTTTATAATTTCAGAATTTTCTAAGCAACTTAGGGTAGGTAAACTTTTCCTTTTTTGACCTTCCTCTCTTAAAAACTTAGTTTTCCAAATAAAATTTGATAAAGATTCTTCCTGGGAAAAAAAAATGCAGCAAAACGGATTACCTCTTTTATTGAATAAAACCATTTTAGGAATTAGAAAAATCAACATGGGTCAAATTTGTAAATCTGTACAATGGAATTTATCCATGGTACATTCAGAGCCTAACATATGAGGTACAGCCAGATGTTAATAAAAACTTCAATCTTTTATTATTTAAAAAAAAAAAAAACTTCCAAATTAAAATTTCTTTATCTCAGTAATACATTTCTAGGAAATGAAGGATGACATACTGTGGATAGTGATATACTTTTCCCAGCTTTGCTTATGCTTCACATTAATTTAGAAGGATATGTTTATGCCTGTTATAATAATTTTATTTTCTTTACAAAAATTAGCTGGGCATGGTGGCATGTGCCTATAGTCCCAGCTACTCGGAAGGCTTAGGTGGGAGGATCACTTGAGCCTGGGAGGCAGAGGTTGCAGTGAGCTGAGATGATACCACTGCATGCCAGCCTGGGACAGAGTGGGACCCTGTCTCAAAAAAAAAAAAAAAATTCATTTTATCTATACTTAGCAACATTATTTCATTAACAGAGGATTTTAAAATTACATTTTCGCCGGGCGTGGTGGTTCATGCCTGTAATCCCAGCACTTTGGGAGGCCAAGGTGGGCGGATCACAAGGTCAGGAGATCAAGACCATCCTGGCTAACACGGTGAAACCCGGTCTCTACTAAAAATATAAAAAATTAGCCGAGCATGGTGGCAGGCGCCTGTAGTCCCAGCTACTCGGGAGGCTGAGGCAGGAGAATGGTGTGAACCTGGCAGACGGAGCTTGCAGTGAGCCGAGATCGCGCCACTGCACTCCAGCCTGGGCGACAGAGCAAGACTCCGTCTCAAAAGAAAAAAAAAAAATTACTATTTTCTAGTTTGCTAGCTTTGTAGAATTTTGAAAAAAAAATATTTTTTAAACTTTATTTAAAAATCACCTGTGCAGACTTTTCTCTTTTTTTGAGATGGAGTCTCACTCTGACAAGATCTTGGCTCACTGCAACCTCTGCCTCGCGGGTTCAAGCGATTTTCCTGCCTCAGCCTCCTGAATAGCTGAGATTACAGGTGTGTACCACCACACCCGACTAATTTTTTGTATTTTTAGTAGAGACAGGGTTTCACCATGTTGGTCAGGCTGGTCTCGAACTCCTGATCTCAAATGATCCGCCCGCCTCGGCCTCCCCAAAGTGCTGGGATTACAGGTGTGAGCTACAGTGCCCAGCCCCAATTTGCACATTTCTTTACTCTTTATCATTTGCTCAAAATTATTGTCTTATTTAAAAATAATTAGTAGTTCCCTGGAGGTTTTTTTGTGTGTGTTTTGTTTTCCCCTGAAGGATCTGGCTGATACACAGTTGAGAGGAAAATATTTAACATACGGAATAGACTTATTATGAAGAAACTTAATACGAGTTTGAGGTTAGAGAAACATTAATTCCAGTGCCATTGGTTTCTTGAGAAGCTTTTTCCCCCTATATTCTCCAATCAGTGAACACCAAGTTCTGCTATCAATTGTTAAATCATTTAATTCCCAAAGACAATTACTGTATTTACTTGATCTTCAAATTGCAATTATTCAAAAAGTTCTCTTTCCATATACTTTCCAAGTTTAGAATTTGAAACAAGTTAGGCATATGAAACATACTCCCCCTACTGACCTAATATATCAGTGCCCTTTTTTAAGTTTCATCATCCAGAGGATTGAGAAGCATCCTAATTTTCTTTAGCAGTTTTGACAGTTACAGGAGTCATTTTGTATTGTTTTAATGTAAATTTAAATCAGTATTTTCTGTATTATGGATTCCTTAAAGCTATCACTAGTCAGTATTACTATCTGAATATTTCTGATTTCCAAAAAGGGAACATTGGAGGCCCAGAAAAATTAAAGACTTGTTGAGGTCAGGATTAATCAGTCAAGTACTTCTCTTTTTAGCTCAAAACTTTTTCCATTAGATTACAATACTTCCTAACAATGCTGTTTGCAGGCTGGTCTCTTATTTGTCAAAAACAGTATCAGATCTTGTATTTGCAGTTAATGACATGGTAATGTTTGAATATTTAACATTTTCATTGATGCTTATTTTCAGTAATCAACTACCACATATTTTTAGAATTAACATAGACAAGTAGATAGAAAACACTTTCCATTTTTGTTTCCCCCAGCATGGTGTCAGGACACAGTAAGCATTCTTTGATTTATTGAATGAATATTATTGCTGTCATCTCTATTCTGCTTCACTGAAGATTTGTTTTTACTTAAGTTAATGGCAGGACATGTCTTATCAAAATTTAAAATGCTTCCCTCAGGTTGTGACTTTACTAGGCAAAATGGAACGTCTTCGGAGTTCTCTTCTTCATGCCAGTATCTCTACTGCTCTTGATAGACACTTGGAGTCTATTCACATTGTACAGTCACGTAGAAAGGATGAAATTGTTAATGCTTCCAATCGGCAAAGGCAAGGAGTTCCTAGATGCCAAGATGACAGAGGTACAAATATTAATGCATATTCTTGTGATAAGTCAGTGTGATAATTTAGGTATTGATAAAATCAGATTCTGAGGTTGAAAGATTAGATTTCTAAAATTAACACTTACCTACAGAATAAATTGGTAAATAATCTCCACATTATTTACTCCAAAAGTATTTCCATTTTATTAATTTTGTCTGTTATAACTGTTTCAAGACAGTCTGTGTTCTACTCAAACTATAGTCACTATTGTACAAGTCAGAAATAAAGTATCAATACTTTTAAATATTTTAATGATAAAGGACAGGACTTTGGTTCAATCAATAACTATCCTTTTTTTACAAAAATAACATTTGATCATTTAGTAGCAAAAGCACTGGGTTTTGTAAGATTTAACAGATATTTAAATGGCATTTAATATGAAATGACCCTGAATGTTTATTTTACAGATGTTTTTGCCCTTGCTTCTGCAATTAAAGAGATGTGTGTGGCTACTCGGAAAACACGCACTGCCCTGTGGTGTGCACTGCAGATGACCTTGCCAAAAACAGCCAGTACAGCTGATGTGGTAAAGCCTTTACAAGATACAGTAAACTGTGAAGATAAAGTCCATGAAAGCATAAATAGTAGCAATCCAATGAACCAGAGAGGTGAAACAAACAAACATTAAGGAAATGCCAGCAGAAAGAAGAATAAAAAGCTGATAAATATACCAAGACATGCTAAAAATGTTTTAATGAACTTGTCAAACTTTCAGTATGTTTTCTTTCAGATTTAAAGTTAATACCAGTACCTTAATGAAGTCTAACTTCTATTTAAAAATCTTCTATTTGAAGTGAATCCGATATAGTTTTAAGTAAACGCAAAGGTACAGTTGACTACTCAGAGTTCTGAGTAGTCAGATAACAAGTTTAAGTAAATTAAATATTTCCTAACAGCTAAAATGTGCTTAAACTCATTCTGCCATGCAGGTAAATGCAAATGTGAAATTCTTCTAGGAGATAAATTTCATTTAGGTTTGTCTTAGTTAAGTATAATTCCAAATAATGAATCTAAGTGACTGTAACCCAATTACGGCTACAGCCTAGTAACCAAGACAAGTTTTGATTGTGATATCAAAGTGTTTTCCTTACAAAACTGGATAATACCTGGGAAACAAAGGAAAATACGGATAAACCCAATATTCATGTACAAACTTAATATTTAAAATACTATACTACCATATTTATAAATTTGGAATCTTAATGCCTAGGTATATGGAGGGAAATGCATCTGATTCTCCTAAATTAATGATAAAAGTGTCAGTGTAAAAACCATGCAAGTTACTGAATATAAAACCTATTCAGATCATTTGTGTATATTCTTTAAATTTTAATTATATTATCAATTGTTAAATGTTTCCAATTTTAAAGTTATTTAAATTGAATCACAAAACATTCCCTTTATCTGGATCTTTTAGACTTGATGCACAGTAACTGAAATAATGACTACTGTTTTAATACCCTTAGTTTGCTGCCTTTTATGAGGGTGTCACGAAGTTCTAAAATGTATTTTTTTAAAGGTTAATCTCTAACTAGTTTAGCTTGCAATTGGTTAGTGTATATTTTGTGTAGTTGTGTTCATTAGTTTGCTTCTAAGTTCTAAAATGTATTTTTTAAAGGTTAATCTCTAACTAGTTTAGCTTGCAATTGGTTAGCCTATATTTTGCGTAGTTGTGTTCATTAGTTTGCTTCTGTATTTTTTTAAAACTATTGAAAGCTTAACTTTTTCTGTTTCTCATCACTTAGTATCTTTGTATAGAACTTGAGTAATTTATTCGTTAATATGAAATGTTGGTATTATGTGACTCAGAAGATCTTGGGTTTTAACATTTCTAGCATGAGTTAAACTATAATGTACTGATGAAATTTAATTGAAATATCCTTGACTAGAAACACTGATGTTTTAAATGTTAGTGTTTTTCTTAGTTTTAGAAATTCTGGTATTAAAAAAAAAAAGAGTGTAATCATACCACATAAATTTTCTTTAGATGATGTGCAGAAGAAACTGATTGAGAATGCAAGAGTAACTGTAGGGAGAAACATTTTGATCACTGATATGCCTTAGAACTACCCAAATGAATTACATTGAGGGTAGTCAAATAAAATAGATCATCTCACCACAGTCACTGCATAGAAAGTGGTTAAGTTTAACATAAGACATGTTGGATGTTATAAAAACAAATACTGTACTGAATTTAGTCTCAGGAAAAAAATAAATTACTTTGTTGAAAACATTTGGTTTCATTTTTCTAAATTCATATGTTTCTAACCTTAAGAGTCACTCATATCAGAAAGTCAAATGAATTTCATTTAAGAACTTATACTAAGTTTTAGATTTCATTATTAACGCACAAGTAATAATGTTGGTTTATAAATCAATGCCATTCAGATATCCATGGATCTAACCAGATCTCCTTCAAAGATGAAATTTTTGCTCTATCTTTATGCTAATCCGTGTAAACCAGAATAAAAATTTTAGGGAAGCTTTTACATGATACTGGTCAGAAATGAAATACCAGTCCGTTAATAAGAACCAAACACTTAAAAAAATTCTTTGAAATATTGTTAATCATATCACCCAATAGATAATTTTTAAATTAGTCGGTTGTCCCTTTCAGTGGCATATCCTCTAACAGATGGTTCTTATGTACTTGTATTTCTGAATTACAACCTATAAAACATTGTACTTCTGAATTACAACCTATGAAAACATTATAAAACTTTTACAAAATTTGCAGTGAAACTGATAAAACTGATGCTCCCGCCATTTCTAATCTGAAAGAACTTGGTGTACTCATTCTTTTTAATGGAAAAAGCAAAATTACCTTGAGTTGTTATCAGTGTCCTTCTCACTTGAATAATCTGCTACTATAAAGTTTTAGAGGGTTGAGAATTTATGACTGAAATCCAAAATCTGGCCTAAAACTCAATCTTACCATAGAAGATATGGTTGTTTAAAATTTGCCCTTTGCAGCTGGGTGCCGGTGGATCACGCCTGTAATCCCAGCACTTTGGGAGGCTGAGGCGGGTGGATCACGAGGTCAGGAGATCGAGACCATCCTGGCTAACACGGTGAAACCCCATCTCTACTAAAAATACAAAAAATTAGCTGGGTGTGGTGGCACTCGCCTGTAGTCTCAGCTACTTGGGAGGGGGAGGCAGGAGAATCACTTGAACCCGCAAGGTGGAGGTTGCAGTGAGCCAACATGGCGCCACTGCACTCCAGCCTGGGTGACAGAGTGATCCGTTTCAAAAAACAAACAAAAAAAATATGCCCTTTGCAATACTGAACATTTTAGACGTAAAGGATTTATTAGCACCTGAGTCAAGTGGATAACTAAACTCAAAGCCTAATGAGCTGATCCTCTATTTTCTGTTTAAGCATTAGTTTGAGAGTATACTTAACTGTGACATACATAGCAGAGTCCCAGAAGAAAGAACTGACTACTAACAAATTGAAACAAGTACCCTTCAGGGGACCGTGGATATAACCTGACTCCTTCAGTGACAAAAATCAAGGTGAGAACAACCCAAAATCCCAAAATAAGGATTACTAAATTAAAATAGGCTCTATCATACCCTATCGCTACCACCACATAAAGGACTAAGACTGTAATAGTAAGGACCTCTAAGCCAATTTCCTGATGTTCCAAAAAACATGCTAATCTTTCTGATCTAATTCCTACTTCACAAAAAGGAAAATTGAGAAAGAGGATTTATGGATTCCAGGAAGAGCTTCCACTAGTGGAATATAAGTTATAGGGCTAATCAAAACAAAGCATAAAATAAAAATCAACACATTCCTAAGTAACTACTCACACATATTTCATTTCCATGGGTACGTAGAAGCAATCAAAATAAGTCAGAAGACAGCAATTTAAATAAGATTTATTTTTTTAAAGGTGGTTATTTTTATTTTTTGCAATGCCACAGTTATAGGAGTGTATGAAGAGGTAACATGTCTCCTTTTCCTTAACCATGTTTTTTTTTTTTTAACCTTCTGCACAAAGGTAAAAGTTTTTGTTAATCTCATAGTTAATGGTATAAAACAGAGATTGGCAAACCTTTCCTCCAACAGGCCAGGTAGTAAATATTTTAGATTTCACAGACCACATATTTTTTTCTTTTATAACTCTTTAAAAATGTAAAAATCATTTTTAGTTTGCACCATACAAAAACAGACTGGGCCAAATTCGGCCCGTGGGCAGTAGTTTGCCAACCCCTGGTATAAAATATCTACTTTGTCTTGTCAGAGAAATTGCTGTCCTTAGGCTTCTAGACAATCTGCTGCCTGAAGTCAAGTGGAGAAGGGCCTTATTTACAATTTAATGTGGTTTGTGACAGAAGTAGAAATGGAGAGCTTCTGCTCACTTTTGACTCTCCCAGTTTTTCCATTCACTCATTCATTCAATAAATTTGTTGAGCACCTACTATGTACACTCTTAAATATCTTGGTGTTAGCAGAAATTTCCAGTGTTTCTTCCTTAAAAGGGTGATTTCTCCAGTTTCTCCAAACCAGGAATTATTTCTTAATACTCATGTTTTATGGAAAAATCAGGATTAAAATCTCTACCAGCACACAAGAGGATACATGATTATACAAAATGAATCTAGCCAACAATGATATCCTTGCACCCAATAGTGACACAGCCTAGATGAGGAAAATATGTAACTATCTCTATTTTAAAAGATACCTCTTTTCCTCCCACAGGCTGAAACTTTCAAAAAAAAAAAAAAAATCAGATCTAGAACACCCCGCAAGTAATTTCTTCCCATTTTCCTAGTTTTGCTGCCATGTTAACATAAAATCTGGATCCAGGTAGGCCTCTTCATTAGCTTTCTATTTCAGCCATAAAACAATACTACACTTACAGCTGAATACTGACTCCAAAGCAATGTGCATGCCCACATTTTATCTCAGGGAGGGATTGATTATGTTTCTGCTCCTTCAGAATGAAAACTGTTAGCTTTCTGAATCCTATTTATCCAAGGTGAGGGAAGACTTTTTAAAGTGGCCAAAAGGAGCACAGGACTTGAGTATTAAAATATAAAGGTGGCCCCCATTCCAGATCTTTGGTACAGTCATCAACTATAATAATCTGATTGCCCACCCCACCAAAACAGCACATTTTGTAATTAGAAGTGATTTTGATTTTCCTTTTGACCATGTAAACAATAGGGGAAATGCCTTGGGAAACTACTTTGCAATGCACTCTCATTTCTCTTAAATACACAACCAGTTCTCCCTTTGATAAGTTCATGGGGGGAAAGAATAGAGTAGGCCAAGGTTATCGCTTTCGCTCCCCTCTCTGTGTCCTTTTTTTTTCCTTTTCCTTGCGCTCCTGCTTGGCTAGTTTGTCTCTCTCCCTCTGCAGCTTGTCCTGTTCCTTCTTCCTTTGGGATTCATCCCGAAGTGAGTCTCGCTCCAGTTTTCGGGCATTAAGGACATCTTCCACATTGGTGTTTCGGAACAGAACTACAGGTGAGTTAAGGGATTAGGGTACAGGTCACACAGATCACACCTACTGCTGCCTTTCCTCATTCTACTTATCCTCTCTCCACCTGCTGAGTCCTGAATCGTCTTTATCTATTCCTGGTTTTTTAAAAAAAACCCTTATGTTTATCCTTGGTCTAACAGAGAAATCCTAAAGCTATATTACAAAAGTTTTAAAATGTCCTTTGGAATAAAACTCTTATTCAGATTTACCTAAATCTGAATTTTAAAATATTTTACCAAAGAAACAAAAAAATAAGAAAACAAAATATTTCATCAAAATGAAATTTCATTCTAGAATAAGTACTTATATCATTCAATGGCAGAATATTAGAGAATCTAGGCTAGTTTTGGTGAACAGAGTAGTAATGTAACTGACTAAATGTTTATGTACTTGGCTCTGTTAAAATGCCTTAAAAGAGTTAAATAAGATGTTTAACCTTATTAAACTTTATCAATTTGCTTTTGTTCCTAGACTACTAAAGCTGAAGTGAAAACCACATTCTAATAACCATACACACTGAATCTATAAGAGATAGAAAATGAGTTTAGGCTGGGCGCAGTGGCTCATGCCTGTAATCCCAGCACTTGGGAGACTGAGGCAGGTAGATCATGAGGTCAGGAGATCGAGACCATCCTGGCTAACAGGTGAAACCCCGTCTCTACTAAAAATACAAAAAATTAGCCGGGCATGGTGGCACACACACCTGTAGTCCCAGCTACTCGGGAGGCTAAGGCAGGAGAATCACTTTAACCCAGGAGGCGGAGGCTGCAGTGAGCCGAGATCGCACCACTGCACTCCAGCCTGGGCAACAGAGCGAGACTCTGTCCCAAAAAAAAGAAAAAAAAAAGTGTTTGGTGTTTGTATTCTCTGACAAATTATAAGGTTTTTGAGGAAAAAGAGAAAATTTCAACATTATTTTATTATTTTTTGAGACACAGTCTCACTCTCATATCCCAGGCCAGAGTGCAGTGGCAAGATCTCGGCTCACTGCAGCCTTGACTTCCTGGGCTCAGGTGATTCTCCCACCTCAGCCTCCTGAGTATCTGGGACTATGACTATAGGCACATGCCACTACACCTGGCTAGTGTTTTGTATTTTTTTTAGTAGAGACAGGGTTTTGCCATGTTGCCCAGGCTGGTCTCAAACTCCTGGGCTCAAACGATCCACCTGTCTCGGCTTCCCAAAGTGCCAGGACTACAGGTGTAAGCCATCACGCCTGACCTCAATATTATTTTAATTTTCTCCCTAATGCTGGGCAACTCAGAGTATAGATTTTTATTTTTCCCTTAGAAATCCTTCCTCCAAACTAATCCCTTTACAGTACTTGTTAACTTGTTTTCTCTGGGGAAAGTTCTTGCTAAACTGACTATCTAGGGCTGTCCTAGGAATAGGGCTCCCAATGTTAGCATGACATGAGTTCCTGAAGGTAAAGGGGAGCCGCCAGCAATGACAGCAAAATAAAAACTGATCTCAAGAGGACTCTATGGAGAAACACATAGGGAGGGACCCAGAAGGATACGTTTGTCAGAACCAATGTTCATTGTGGTAGCACCTGAATCATCCTTCTCATCTGCTTCAGTAAGTGATGTTAAGGAAAGTCAGATGGAAAACAACATCCCAACCTAACATTAGAAAACATTCAATAGACTGGTAAGTAGGAAAAGCACACTGAATGGAGGGAGCACATTATCAGGGATATGGCGATAAACCCAGGAGATTCATCTTTGGAAACCTCAACTTAGGAAAGATTGATATATCTTCTATAAGATCCTTTTCTTGGAGGCTGAAAAGAAACTTAAGTTGGTCTGGGTGGATTGCCACATTACCTGGAAGCCAGATGACCTTTAAACAGTGGTTCTCAAAGTGTGGTTCACAAAACCCCCAGGAATATATTAGAAATACACATTCTTGGGACCTATGCCAAACCTACTAAATTGTGGGTGAAGCCCAGCAATCTGTGTTTTAACAAGTCCTCCAGGAGAACCACTGCTTTAAAAGTCCTTTTCTAGCCCAAGATGAGAAATTATGTCACCGGAACCATAGCTCTGCCAACCCTGGCAAGAAAACTCGTAAAAAAAAAATTAGAAGAGAGGCCAGGCGCGGTGGCTCACGCTTGTAATCCCAGCACTTTGGGAGGGTGAGGCAGGCAGATCATGAGGTCAGGAGATCGAGACCAGCCTGGCTAACATGGTGAAACACTGTCTCTACTAAAAATACGAAAAATTAGCTGGGCGTGGTGGCACGTGCCTATAGTCCCAGCTACTCGGGAGGCTGAGGCAGGAGAATGGCTTGAACCCGGGAGGCAGAGGTTGCAGTGAGCCGAGATTGTACCACTGCACTCCAGCCTAAGCGACGAAGCGAGACTCTGTCCAGAATTATTCTGGTATTGCTTTGGAGGTTCAGCCTTACTTTTAACTACCTGGTCACATAAGAAAGAAAAGATGCAAGCTGCTCTAAATTTAGAGAATCTTTCACCCAAAAATACCCAGGTTCTAGTCCTGGTTTTGCCACTAATCTTCTGAATGCCTCTGATCACCCATTCATCTGTTGGTGTCTCAGTTTCCTTATTGACTGGGAAAGAACATAAAGATGGATTATACTTTATACTACACTGTATAGAAAAGTATTATACAAATATAAAGAATTACAGCTATATTGTATTTTCTGAAAGCATAATATAAATGGACTATTAAGACATTATTTGTTTTACACCAAAGTTTTCAGGAATATAATGATTATGTGTTGAAAAATATAAGTCCAGTATCAACTAATCCAATATCACTCCGCATATCCACAAAGGGCCATAGATTACTGCCATTTTAGAGGGGAAAATTAAGCTATAGAGGGGGATTAGCAACTTGCCAAAGGTCACTGTAAACCCACAAATATGTCTGGCTTGAGCTTTAGGGAATGGTGCCGAGACTCCAGAAAGGATATTCCTCTTCATCTGTCACATCAGCATACTGGGCCAGGAGGGCAGCTTTTCTCTGCTTCTCCTCTTCTGACACCATCCTTGGCTTTACTACGATTTGTGCCTGCTTCTCAATTAGGGTGGCAATGGCCTGTACTTCATCTGGGAGGTGGTGGAAGGAAGAACAAGGTTGTATGAGAGAGAACAAGCTCACTGAACCACTAGTCCACATAGGCAGCACTTGTACTGAAGACATTGGCATCTGCTGCCTCCTTAGAGCCTGGCAGTTCAAAGGACATGGCTCGGGGGCCATTGAGAAAGGAAAGGAAAGGCCATGCAGGCCAAGCTTTGTATCCATCTTCAATCAGAGCAGCCCTGATTTTACTTGTTTTATATACTGAAGTTCTGCTGCCTTAAAAAAAAAAAAAAAAAAAAAAGGTTGAAAAGCACTGCATTAGAACCACAGAAAACTAAGCCTCTGAACACTCAACTTCCCCATGGCATCCCAAAAACCTAAGCAGGAATCTAAAATCAACTTAAGCTGGTCCTGTTTATGTTTCTGATTATGCCAGGTGGAATTCTTAGATTAAGAATATTTTGGCCGGGCGCGGTGGCTCACGCCTGTAATCCCAACACTTTGGGAGGCCAAGGCAGGTGGATCATGAGGTCAGGAGATCGAGACCATCCCGGCTAACACAGTGAAACCCCGTCTCTACTAAAAATACAAAAATTAGCCAGGCGTGGTGACGGGCGCCTGTAGTCCCAGCTACTCGGGAGGCTGAGGCAGGAGAATGGCGTGAACCCGGGGAGGCGGAGCTTGCAGTGAGCCGAGATCACGCCACTGCACTCCAGCCTGGGCGACAGAGCAAAACTCCGTCTCAAAAAAAAAAATATTTTGCCATGCTATAAAATAAAATCAACTAGTAAGTTCTCCAGTCTCAAGAAAAGGAAACAATGGTGTAAAATAGTAGTTCTCACACTTGGTTGCACATTAGAATCACCTACAGGAGCTTTTAAAAAATACAAATGCCTGGGCCCCAACCCAGGTACATTAAGTGATTCTAATATACAGCCAAAACTGAGAACCAACAGTGTACAGAGTTCAGAATCTTTCCAAATTTGGCTTTTATGATTTGAGTTTTCTGTACCTAATTTACCATCCTAGTGGTGGGTATATTCGCCCATTTCTCTTCCATTTTAAAGGGTAAAGTGTTTAGCTGAATAAAGCCAAATACCAACCATAATTTGTGTTATGAAATGACAACATGAGGCAGGGTGCTGTAGCTCATGCCTGTAATCCCAGCACTTTGGGAGGCTGAGGTGGGCAGATCACATGAGGTCAGGAGTTCGAGACCAGCCTGGTCAACATGGTGAAATCCCCATCTCTACTAAAAACACAAAAATTAGCCAGGCATGGTGACATGAGCCTGTAGTCCCAGCTATTCACGAGGCTGAGGCACAAGAATCACTTGAATCTGGGAGGCAGCAGTTACAGTGAGCTGAGATTACGCCACTGCACTCCAGCCTGGGTGACACAGCAAGACTCTGTCTCAAAAAAAAAAGACAACATGAAAAAAGTAGGAAGTGGTAAAAATATAGTTGACTCCATACCTGCAATGCAAATCTACAAGAAGCAGTGGAAAGATGATGAAAAAGAAAAAGTAAAAAACCACAATGAAGAAAACTGTGGTCAGTCGAAATGGAAAAATGCAAAAAAAGAAAAGGAAGCCAATGTTCAGTAAAGGTAACACAGGCTGTTGGGTGTTTGCCAGTGTACACTATCTTCGGGAAAATGAGCATCCAAGGGGAAAATGAAAAGATCTCTTCCTAACAGCTATACAGTCAAGGCTGCTGGAAAAGGCTCAGGAAGTTAAACACAGAAACTCTGACTCTACCTTCTTTTTTCACTTTGGTGACAACATTCTGAGTTTCTGACCATCGTTCCACAATCTCCTTGCAGATATTAAGGAGGGAATCTTCTTCCTAGTTGGAAAAGCAGACCAATTAATTTCCTGAGGGAGCCCTCAAAAACAATAGTAACCTCAAAAAAGCCTATGAAGAAAGCACAGCTCTCCATGCTGTGAAATTATGGAAGGGTCTGGGAGCCACAATAGAGTATGTTTCTTTTCTGAGGCTCTGGACACAGAATTGATCCTGCTTGTGTGTCCCAGAACCCACACCTCCTACATCAAGAACAGCCACTCCATCCTGATAAGCTCCAAGGGAAGATTCATACCAACTCAGGGCAGCCTTCCTCATTCTCTCTTAAAATATTTATTTTATTTTTAATTGACAAATAATAACTGTATATATTATATATATGTAGGGTACCCTGTGATGTCTCAATATATGTTCACATTGTAGAATAATTAAATCAAGCTAATTAACAAATCTATCACCTCACATATTTCTCATTTTTTTGGTGATGAAAACATTTAAGGCTGGGTGCAGTGGCTTACGCCTGTAATCCCAGCACTTTGGGAGGCTGAGGAGGGCGGATCACTTGAAGCTGGGAGTTCAAGACCAGCCTGGCCAACGTGCTGAAACCCCATCTCTACTAAAAATACAAAAATTAGCCGGGTGTGGTGGCACATGCCTGTAATCACAGTACTCGGGAGGCTGAGGCACAAGAATAACTTGAACCCAGGAGGCAGAGGTTGTGGTGAGCCGAGATCACGCCACTGCACTCCAGCCTGGGAGAGGGGAGAGAAATTGTCTCAAAAAAAAAAAAGAAAGAAAGAAAGAAAACATTTAAAATGTACTCTTTTAGTAATTTTGAAGTATACAATGCATTATTATTTATTTATTATTATTACTTTTTAGAGACAGGGTCTCACTCTGTTACCCAGGCTGGAGTGTAGTGGTGCAATCACAGCTCACTGTAACCTCAAACTCCTGGGCTCAAGCAATCCTCCTGCCTCAGCCTCTCAAGTAGCTAGGACTGCAAGCATGTACTACCACACCTGGCTAATTGAGTTTGTTGTTTTTTTTAAAAGATGGGGTCTCACTATCTTACCCAGGCTGGTCTCCAGCTCCTGACCTCAAGCAATCCTCCCATCTTGGCCCCCTAAAGTGTTGGGATTACAGGCCTGGGCCACCACATCCAGCCGATTATTACTTATTATAGTCACCATTCTATGCAACAGATCACTAAAGTATATTCCTTCTGTCTAACTGCAATTTTATACCCTTTGATCAACAATCTTCCCTTTTCCCATCCACCTCCCCCAATTCTTTTGGAGCAAAAACCTGTTCCCTAAGTCAAAACTCCTCTGTGAAATATTCCTTGGCTGACGTATACAATTCAGAACCTTCCCTAAGGTTATCAACTTTCATGCTAGATCATATCCATTAGCTTGCTGACACATAATAAAGAGGAGATACATGACAAAATGGTCTCTTGTCCAACCATCCCGCTGTCCATTTTAGAGAAGCATACATATTCTGCATACCAACCAATCTCCCTCCTCAGCATGATATAACAAAAATCTTGTCTTTAGTGTTAGAGATACTTAAGTTCAAATCCCAGATCTGTGAGGAAGTTTCTTAACTTTCTGATCTTCACATCCTCCCAGGATTTTACTGAGGATAAATGAAAATGTATATAAATGCCTACCCTACTTGTCAAAGAACAAGCATCTAATAAACACGAGCACTTCCCTCCATCTTCATTACGGCTGCATTCCCCACCTTCACGTTCTACCTCTCAGGGCAAGCTGTCAGCATTCACATTTATTAAGCATTTACCATGTGCCAGGCACTGCTCTAAAAGCCTTACATGAGAACTCTCAATTATTAAAATAATGCCATTAAGTACTATTTTACTCTCAATTTATAGAAGAGGAAACCAAAGCACAGAGGTTAATTACTTTGCCCAAGGTCTTACAAGTAATAATGGATTAAACACAATTTGAACCCCAGCAGTTTGGCTTAGAGCCCATGTTCTTTTTTTTTTGAGACGGAGTCTCGCTCTGTTGCCCAGGCTGGAGTGCAGTGGCGCGATCTCGGCTCAATGCAAGCTCTGCCTCCTGGGTTCACGCCATTATCCTGCCTCAGCCTCCCAAGCAGCTGGGACTACAGGCGCCCGCCACCACGCCCAGCTAATTTTTTGTATTTTTAGTAGAGACGGGGTTTCACCATGTTAGCCAGGATGGTTTCGATCTCCTGACCTCGTGATCCGCCTGCCTTGGCCTCCCAAAGTGCTGGGATTACAGGCGTTAGCCACCGCGCCCAGCCGAGCCCATGTTCTTAACCATCTCCCAAAGAAAAGTGGAGAGTCAGAACACAGACTTATTATGTATATCCTTATTTTGTACCCAGCAAAGGATTTCTTCCTCTACCTTGCATCCTTTTAGCTACATGCTAGACACACAGAACTTCCTTGGTCCAGAGTTTCAATAGTTCATGGGTTTCCCCCAACCCCCACCAGCAAGAAAAGCAAAGAAACAGAAAAAGAAAAAAGGATGAGAAAGTGGTACAGCTCTTTTAAAATCCCCCACCAAAAGAAAAAGAATGGCAGGAAAAGGAGCAGCAGAGAGGCAAAAGAGAACGGGAACTCTTAAGAGGACAAAGTGGTTTATTTCCTCAGTCTCCTCATCCAAATCAATGTAGTTCAATCATCCATTCCTTCATTTATTTATACAGAAGGTGCCTGCTATGTTCAAGGCACTAAGAGGAAAGTTTATCCTACTTACAATGCTCCTTTTTCCCTGGCACTTATCACTTTGTAACATACTATATAATTTACTAGTGATGCTTTTCCATGCTAGAATGTAACCGCATGAGGGCAGGAATTTCTATCTGTTTTATTCTTTGAAGTGCCCCAAGCACTTAGGGTAGTGCCTGGCATACGGTAATCCATCAATAAAAATTTGATAAATCAATCAACCAATGCAAGTACTATTGAAGAGAAGGATGATAAAAGTTTTTGTTTACTGTTATTTGCTCCTAACTATATGCCACTGTTCTTGAATTTTACCTCAGATTATTGCTAACAAACTTCTAAATTCCTCATATTAAATCCTAGCCCAAGTCAGGCACAGAGGCTCACATCTGTAATCTCAGCACTTTGGGAGGCCAAGGCAGGAGGATGTCTTGAGCCCAGGAGCATAAGACCACCCTGAGCAACATGGCAAAACCCTGTCTCTACAAAAAAAAATTTTTTTTTTTTAATTAGCCAGGCATGGCTGGGTGTGGTGGCTCACGCCTATAGCCCCAGCACTTTGAGAGACTGAGATGGGTGGATCACTTGAGGTCAGGAGTTTGAGACCAGCCTGGTCAACATGGTGAAACCCCATCTCTACTAAAAATATAAAAATTAGCCAGGCATGGTGGCATATGCCTGTAATCCCAGCTACTCGGGAGGCTGAGAATCACCTGAACCCAGGAGGCAGAGGTTACAGTGAGCCGAGATTTTGCTACTGCACTCCAGCCTGGGTGACAGAGTGAGACTTTGTCTCAAAAAATAAAACATAAAACATAAAAAAAAAAGTTAGCCAGGCATGATATGTGATGGCAGGTGCCTGTAGTCCTAGCTACTTGGGAGGCTGATGAGAGGGGATTGCTTGAGTCCAGTCGTTCAAGGCTACAGTGAGTTATGATCACATTACTATAACAGAGCGAGACTCTCTTAAAAAAAAAAAAAGGCAAACTAATGTCTACCTTTATCAACAGAAACAGCTCCAAATAATGATGGACTGATCAAGAAGCTGGTACCAAGAAGTCTCAAAGTTATTTCAACAGCTTCATGGAGTGTTTAGAAACTTCCCAGCTGTAAATAAAAACTACCTTAAATTGCTTGCCTCCTACTCTTTCTCCCTATAATCTGTAATGTTGTGGTCCAAAAAAAGAATTGATTCCACTGTCTTGTATTTCCAGTGAACTTCCAAGCTTCCTCACAGGCTGTGTTAAAGTTTTCCCATTTATAAGCCAATCTTGCCAGAAGAGGCTCTGGAACTCAAATGGGTTACTGCCAGAAGAATCTGGGACAGCTGCACTAGTGTTATATTTCAACCATGTACCCAATCTATGAACTGCTTCCACCAAATGTGAGTGATTTTTTCCTAGCACTTGTTTCCGCTTTCACAAAACACTTTTGGATTTGAAAATGTTTCTGCCTTCTACCCTTTTAAAAAAATGAGATATGAATATGTACATTTATATCTATATATATTTATACTAATTTTTTTTTCTTTGAGACAGGGTCACTCTGTCACCCAAGCTGGAGTGCAGTGGCACAATCACGGCTCACTGCAGCCACAGCCTCCTAGGCTCAAGTGATCCTCCCACTTCAGACTTCTGAGTAGCTGGGACTACAGGTATGCGCCACCATACCTGGCTAATTTTTTAAATTTTTTTGTAGAGACAGGGTCTTGCTATGTTGCCCAGTGTGGTGTGGAACTCTTGGCCTCAAGCAATCCTCCCACCTCAGCCTCCCAAAGTGGTGAGATTACAAACATGAGCCACTGTGCCCCACCTCATGGTACATTTTGATTCTATTACTAGCCTTTCAAAATTGGTTTTGAGAATAACAAAGAACCCATTTTTCTAACCTGTCCATTGTAATAAATGCCAGAGGATAAAGCCTTTGATGGACAGACAGGTGGCTCTCACAGTAGCAATCAGGTATCCAGGATCTCCTCTAATCCATGAATGCAGAGACAACTCTAGCTTCTACAGCATTTAGTGATGATTCAAGTAAATTTTATTTTTAAGCTTGTATTTAAAAGGAAACAATTTGTTAGACAGCCACAGGTAGCACCTACAACCAATTTAATCTGTAATAACCAGTCTAATAAGTGTGTATGTTGGAGGTGTGGGAAGTGAAGATGAAGGCAGCAGAAATGATCAGGTTGAAAAAGTGGACATCTGGGTGACTTACTATGTAAACATAGCTTAAAGTACACATTTCTGAATACCTTGCTTCTAACAGGCTAAGGACTAAGTTTCTCTCTCTTCGTTAAAGCTCTGATCTCTCTCATACCCTCCTTCCCACCACCAATGATTACTGTAAATACTGTAATGGATCAAGCACGACGTTTGCTTCAGTTCTGCGTGGGCATGAAAAGACTTCTACCACCAGCTTACCTTTTATGGACTCCTACATCCATATAAGAATCAAAAGGGCACTTCCTGCAGGCTTCTGTCATGGGACAGCCCTGGGAACTGCCTTGTAATAGGCACAGACCTCCCAAGAGCATTTTAATACCCCCAGTGAACACTGTAAACGGATGGAAATGGAATTGGTCGTCAGATATTTATGATAACATTCCCATTCTGACATTTCAATGCCTTCGGAAGAACCCTCCTCGGCTCACTCACAAGCATCGGAGAGGGCCTTGTCCCCAAGAATACGAGAAAGCCCTTCCTCTCTGTGTACCTGCAGCTTTCAGGCTTCCCACACCTGGTTGGGGAGCAACCTCCTTCCCCCGCCGCCCAGATATCAGAGGAGTATACCTCTCCCAGGTGAGACCACTGAGCCTCTGGGATACCCGGTAGGGGAGGGAGGGTGCAAAGTACTGACAGGTCCTCAGATGCTGGCCAGAGGCTGAAGGAATGTGTCCAGGCTACTCACCAGGAAAGCAGAGAGGATCCCCTGCAGAGCGTCCAGCTTCTCTTCTTCCTCCTCCTCCTGCAGGATACCCAAGATGTAGGCTCCATAAACGGCTCGGTCCACTCCCAGTGCCTCCAACCGTCCGTCCAGCCAGGAGCCAAAGCCGCCGCCTCCGCCATCGCCTTCGCCAGGGGCTATCGCGGCCACTTCGCTGGGCGCCGCCATCTTGGGGTCAGGGTCCTGCAAGCCCCTAGGGCGCCTACCGCAGTGCCTGACGGGCCGCGCCGCAGGTCCACCGCGCATGCCTGAAGAGGAAGCCCAGGCCCGTAAGTGCAAAGAGCGCAGCCGTGTCGGCCGGCTTGAGAGTTTTGTGCTTTCTAGATGAAGCGCGTCTTCGCATACGTGCGGTCGCGTGATCTCACAAGATGCTTGGCATGTGAGTATTCTTAACAGACTCATTCTACAGTTCGGGAAGTTGAGAGAGGTGCAGTAATTTGGCCAAAGTCACGCGGCTAATAACTACCCAGGACTGGAGCTCAGCGTGGATGCCATCGCTTCCTCCACCCGACCGAGCTGCCTTCCCCGCGCTTTCGGGGGATGCTGGCCGCCCACTCCCACACAGCTGTCTGGCAAGAACCTCCTGACAGCCTGGAATACCCTCGTCGTCGCTACCGACGGCTACCACCTTCACCTGTACAAGCCCTTCCCTGTCAAAGTAAAGGTTGCAGAAAACCTTCCCTGATTCCATGGTAGGCACTCAGTAAATAAACAGGCAACCTCAAGTTATTTCTTCCACTCATTGATTCAACGCGTGCACGGGACTATTCTTTGAGAAGCGTACCCCACCCTCTGCTAGGCACTGTGCCAAAAGCTTTTCATGCATTATCTCTTGTAATCCTCCCTACAGCCCTGTGGGGAGATGCTTTTATTGTCCACATTTTAAAGATAAGGAGACAGGCCGGGCGCCATGTCTCACGCCTGTAATCCCAACAGTTTGGGAAGCCGAGGCGGGTGGATCACCTGAGGTCAGGAGTTCGAGACCAGCCTGGCCGACATGGTGAAACCCCGTCTCTAGTAAAAATACAAAAATAAGGCCGGGCACGGTGGCTCACTCCCGTAATCCCAGCACTTTGGAAGGCCAAAGTGGGCAGCTCACCTGAGGTCTGGAGTTCGAGACTAGCCTGACCAAAATGGAGAACCCCCGTCTCTACTAAAAATACAAAATTAGCCGGGCGTGGTGGGACATGCCTGTAATCCCAGCTACGTGGGAGGCTGAGGCAGGAGAATCGCTTGAACCCAGGAGGCGGAGGTTGCGGTGAGCAGAGATCGTGCCATTGCACTCCAGCCTGGGCAACAAGAGCGAAATTCCGTCTCAAAACAAACAACAACAACAACAAAAGCCAGGTGTGGTGGCGCGGGCCTGTAATCCCAGCTACTCAGAATCGCTGGAACCCGGAAGGCGGAGGTTGCAGTGAGCCAAGATCGCGCCGCTGCACTCCAGCCTGAGCGACAGTGAGACTCCATCTCAAAAACAAACAAACAAACGAACAAACAAAATCACTAAAGATAAGGAGACAGATATGGAGAGAGTCACACAACTAGAGGGCGCCTAACCAGTGGCAAGAACTCTTCTTTGGCAGAGTTATGAGAGCTTCAGCTGACGTCAAAACACCTGGCTCTGGGCTGGAATGAATTACCCAAGAATTTGGTTGGCTTTAGCTGAAGTGCAGAGGAAGCTGGCAAGGTCCTGGCTAACTCCTTCCTCAAATATGTACTGAGTACCTTCAGTATGGCATTGTTGCTGGCACTGAAAACACAAAAATGAATGTCACAAAATATATGTCCTCAGGGGTTTTTAATCCATTAGGAACAGACATGTTTAAACAAATGATGACAATATAGTGATATAAATGTTTTAATGGAGCTTTATCTAGCGGAGATTGCAGTAGGATGCCTAGAAGATTGAGTTAACTTTACCTGTTGGAGTGGAGTTGGAAGCAGGTGGGGAGAGGTTCATAGGAAATCCAGGAAGGCTTCCCAGTGGAGATGATGCTTGAACTTTCTTGAAGAATGGTAGGAGTTCTTTACATAAAGGGACTGGAGGGAAAAAGGGGGTAGATCCAGATGCAGGGGAACTGTGAATTCAAAGGCTTGCTAGGGGGCCTCCAGAGAGTCATGTATGGCTTGAGCTACAGGATTCAAATAGAAGATATTCAGGGGATAACAACAAAAAAAGAAGGAAAGGAGTTTGTATACCTTGCAGAGGTCCTCTTATTGCAGAGGTCTACCCTTAGTGGCATTGGGATTATGTAAATGAATGGACACTAAATGAATGGCACAGATACAAATGTAAGAAATATGGCAGAGTGTGAATTTTAGTTGCGTGGCTTCTGTGTGCTCGCTGAGTTAGATAGAATGTGACACTAACAGAGTCAGAGGCCAGAGTCAGCCTCCAAAGGCTTGCCTCTTTTTCAAGTCCTCAGTTATTCTTTCTAATCTAGTAGCTGTCTTGCAGGTAGGGCTTGTCAGTTCACAGACCTGGGTGCCATCATGGCTCAAGGATGATAGCTGGTCAGTGCAGAGCCCCCAAACCAGAAAAACATCACAAAATTTTGTTTTTTAGAAATACAGCCTCACAAGAAGTTTCAAAAATAGTACATAGAGTCCTGCACACCTTCACCCAGTTTCCCCCAATAGTAACATCAAACATAAAGACAGTATAATAGTAAATCAGGAAATTGATATAGGTATTATGCAATAAGGTTTTTTTGGTTTTTGTTTTGAGGTGGAGTCTCACGGTTGTCGTCCAGACTGGAGTGCAGTGGTATGATCTCAGCTCACTACAACCTCCGTCTCCTGGGTTCAAGCAATTCTCCTGCCTCACCCTTCCATGTAGCTGGGATTACAGGCACCCAGCACCACACCCGGCTAATTTTTTTCCTATTTTTAGTAGAGATAGGGTTTTGCCATGTTGGCCAAGCTGGTCTCAAACTGCTGATCTCAGGTGATGCACCTGCTTCGGCATCCCAAAGCGCTGGGATTACAGGCATGAGACACTGCTCCTGGCCATAATGCAATAAGGTTTTTTGAAAGCATCAACAAGCTTCTCAAAAACTGAATCAAGGTTCTCCAGACCCTAAATTTTAAGAATATCCTCAATGGCTATTTTACTACAAAAGTAACATAGCTCATGCTTTAAAAAATATTATATAAGGCCAAGCACGGTGGCTCACGCCTGTAATCCCAGCACTTTGGAAGGCCAACGCGGGTAGATCAACTGAGGTCGGGAGTTCGAGACCAGCCTGGCCAACTGGTGAAACCCCATCTCTACTAAAAAAATACAAAAAAATGGCCCTGCGCGGTGGCTCACACCTGTAATCCCAGCACTTTGGGAGGCCGAGGCGGGCAGATCACGAGGTCAGGAGATCGAGACCATCCTGGATAATAGGTGAAACCCCGTCTCTACTAAAAATACAAAAAAAAATTAACTGGGTGTGGTTGCGGGCGCCTATAGTCCCAGCTACTAGGGAGGCTGAAGCAGGAGAATGGCGCGAATCCGGGAGGCAGAGCTTGCAGTGAGCCGAGATCTGACCACTGCTCTCCAGCCTGGGCAACAGAGTGAGACTCCATCTCAAAAAAAAACAAAAAAAACAAAAAAATTAGCCAGCTATGGTGGTAGGCGCATGTAATCCCAGTTACTTGGGAGGCTGAGGCAGGAGAATTGCTTGAAACCAGGAGGCGGAGGTTACAGTGAGCTGAGATTACGCCATTGTACTCCAACCTGGGCAACAAGGGCAAAACTCTGTCTCAACAAAAAAAAAGAAAAAATTATATAAATGGATAAGCGACAAATTGAAAGCTTACAAAAAATAAAATACGCAAATTAAGATTGCAGTGAAATACCACGTCCGCTTTTCAGATCAAAAAAGTCTGATAATATGCTGTATTGAACTGTGCTTGGGTAAAAGACATTGGAAAATGTTAGAGCAGAAAGTAAATGGATCTGGTCTTGTTGGAGGACTGTTTGTTTGAAAAGACCCAGCATTTCTGCTTCTGGGAATTTGTTCATAAGTTATTCATTTATTTTTATCTTTACTTGTGGTAAAATACACAATTTGCCATCTTAACTATTTTTAAGTATACGATTTAATAGTGTTAAGTATTAATTATTTTTAAAATTTTTGGTTTAAACTGGGCGTGGTGCCTGTTTAAACTGGGCGTGGTTTAAACTGGGCGTGGTTGGCTGGGCGCGGTGGCTCACGCCTGTAATCCCCGCACTTAGGGAGGCCAAGGTGGGTGGATCACTGAGGTCAGGAGTTCAAGACCAGTCTAGCCAACATGGCAAAACCCTGTCTCTACTAAAAATATAAAAATTAGCCAGGTGTGGTAATGCATGCCTATAGTCCCAGCTACTTGGCCACTTGAGAAGCTGAGGCAGGAGATTCACTCGAATTCGGGACACGGAGGTTGCAGTGAGTTGAGATAATGCCACTGCATTCCAGCCTGGGCAACAGAGTGAGACTCTGTCTCAAAAAAAGAAAAAAATTTTGATTTAATATTTTGTATAATGGCCAGGCACACTGGCTTACACCTGTAATCCCAGTACTTTGGGAGGCTGACAAGGGAGGATTGCTTGAGGCCAGGAGTTCGAGACTAACCTGGTCAACATAATGAGACCCCAGCTCTACAAAAAAAAAAAGTGGTGGTGCATGTCTTTTGTCCTACCTACTCAGGAGGTTGAGGCAAGAGGATCACTTGAGCCCAGGAGCTCAAATTTACATGAGCTATGATGATGCCACTGCATTCTAGCCTGAACAACAGAACAAAACTCTGTCTTTAAAAAATAAAACTGTGCATTTGTGTAGAATCACATTTTTCTAAGGATATTCATTGTAGTGAAGCTTTTTGTAGTAAAAGAATAGTCTACATTTTATGTATATGAGACTGGTTCAAAAACTCTGGTAGCCACACAAAGAAGTATTGCACAGCTGTAAAAAAAAAAAAAAAAATGAACAAAGAGGCCGGGCGCGGTGGCTGGTGCCTGTAGTCCCAGCACTTTGGGAGGCCAAAGCAGGTGGATCACCTGAGGTCAAGAGTTCGAGACCAGCCTGGCCAACTAAAAATACAAAAATTAGCTGGGCATGGTGGTAAGCACCTGTAATCCCAGCTACTCGGGAGGCTGAGGCAGGAGAATCGCTTGAATCCAGGAGGCAGAGGTTGCAGTGAGAGGAGATCATGCCATTGCTCTCCAGCCTGGGCTACAGAGCAAGACTCCGTCTCGAAAAAAAAAAAAAAAAAAGAACAAAGAAGCTCTTTATGCACTGACATGTATCAAAGTTCGAGATACATTGTTTAAAAAGTACAGATCAACAATATGTAATGCTTGCCACCATCACTATTTAAAAAGAAGTTAGGGTAGGGGAATACATGTACATATGTGTCCTTGTATGTGCATAGGCTATCTCTGGAAAGATACACCAGGGATATGTGAGAATGGTTGTCCACTGAGGAGGAGAACTGAAGGAGACTGGTTTTGAACTGTTATATTTATTTACTTTGTATCTTTTTGTAAAAGAAAGCAAATTTGAAGCCCTTTCTCCAACCTCATTTTCTCCCCTCTCTCCCCAGATGTAACCACTATTCCTGAATTTGGTGTTTATTTTCTTCTTGAATGTTTTTAAACATAGTACACATTGCTACATATATAATACATATTACAACATATGGATGTATCCATAATATATCACATTGGTGTGCATGCTGTACTTTTCATTCTGCAATGTGCTTTTTCACTCAAGGTTGTTTAAAATATTTACCCATGTTGGGCCGGGCGCAGTCGCTCATGCCTGTAATCCCAGCACTTTGGGAGGCCTAGGCGGGTGGATCAGCTGAGGTCAAGAGTTTGAGACAAGCCTCACCAACATGGTGAAACCCCATCTCTACTAAAGCTACAAAAATTAACTGGGCGTGGTCACGCACGCCTGTAATCCCAGCTACTTAGGAGGCTGAGGCAGGAGAATAGCTTGAACCTGGGAGGCGGAGGTTGCAGTGAGCCAAGACTGCGCCACTGCACTCCAGCCTAGGTGACAGAGCAAGACCCTGTCTCAAAAAATATATACGTGTATATGGCCGGGCACGGTGGCTCATGCCTGTAATCCCAGCACTTTGGGAGGCCAAGGCGGGCGGATCACCTGAGGTCAGGGGTTCGGGACAAGCCTGACCAACATGGAGAAACCCCATCTCTACTAAAAATGCAAAATTAGCCAGGTTTGGTGGCACATGCCTGTAATCCCAGCTACTTGGGAGGCTGAGACAGGAGAATCGCTTGAACCCGGGAGGCGGAGGTTGCGGTTAGCCGAGATCGCGCCATTGCACTCCAGCCTGGGCAACAAAAGCGAAACCCCATCTCAAAAAAAAAAAGAAAAAAATATATATAATATATATGTATCTATATATATTTTATATATATCTTTACCCATGTTGATATATGTAGCTCTTATCCATCCATTTAAATCACTGCATAGTATTCCGTTGCTTTAATATGCTCCAGCTGATCCATTCCTCTGCCGATGGATGGTGAGGTTAGTTCCTAGTTTTCCAGTCAGTGCACCAGTTCACATTCTTAGGTGGTCCCCTTGCCCACCATGGGAAAGTTCCTCTAGATCAGTGAGCATCAGACATTTTTGCCACATACTCTTAGCAGTAAAAATATTCTCAGCATGTACACCTAATGCACTAATATGTAGTTATTTATGAATTATTTGTGTGAACTGCTATATCAAATTAGTATGTCCATCATAAAACATACAAAAAGAGAACTACAAAAAGGAGAAAATCGTTAAAAAATGAAGTAGGCCGGGCGTGATGGCTCACACCTGTAATCCCAACACTTTGAGAGGCCGAGGTGGGTGGATCACTTGAGGTCAGGGGTTCAAGACCAGCCTGGCCAACATGGTGAAACCGGGTCTGTACTAAAAATACAAAAATTAGCCGAGCAATGGTGGTGGGCATCTGTAATCCCAGCTACTCGGGAGTCTGAGGCAAAAGAATCGCTTGAACCCGGGGAGCGGAGGTTGCAGTGAGCCAAGATTGAACCACTGCACTCCAGGCCTAGGCGACAGAGCAAGACTCCGTCTGAAAAAAAAAAAAAAAGAAAGAAGTACATAATATAAATATTTATTATTTGTAGTATACCAAAAGTCCTTAGTAAAAATAATGTAGTTGAAGATGTTTCATTACCACCCCCACTTCTTTATTTATTTTTATTTTTAATTGTGGTAAAATATGTAATTTGGCATTTTAATCTTTTTTTTTTTTTTTTTTTTTGGTAGAGACAGGATTTCACCATGTTGACCAGGCTGATCTCGATCTCCTGGCCTCAAGCAATCCGTCCACCTCAGCCCCCCAAAGTGCTGGGATTACAGGCATAAGAGATTGCACCCGGACCCATCTTTTTTTTTTTTTTTTTTTTTTGAGACGGAGTCTTACTCTGTCGCCCAGGCTGGAGTGCAGTGGCGTGATCTCGGCTCACTGCAAGCTCCGCCTCCCAGGTTCACGCCATTCTCCTGCCTCAGCCTCCGGAGTAACTGGGACTACAGGCGCCCGCCACCGCGCCCGGCTAATTTTTTTTTTTGTATTTTTAGTAGAGACGGGGTTTCATCGTGTTAGCCAGGATGGTCTCGATCTCCTGACCTCATGATCCGCCCGCCTCGGCCTCCCAAAGTGCTGGGATTACAGGCGTGAGCCACCGCGCCCAGCCAACCCGGACCCATCTTAACATCCAACTATATACCAATTTATCCACCTCGGACCCCCAAACTGCTGGGATTACAGGCATAAGGGACTGCACCCGGCCCCATCTTAACCCTTTTTAAGTTTACCGTTTAGTAGTGTTAAGTATTCATTACCTTTTTTTTGAGACGGAGTTTTGCTCTTGTTGCCCATCCTGGAGTGCAATAGCGTGACCTTGGCTCACTGCAAACTCTGCCTCCCGGGTTCAAGCGATTCTCCTGCCTCAGCCTCCTGAGTAGCTGGGATTACAGGCATGCACCACTACGCCAGGCTAATTTTGTATTTTTAGTAGAGACGGGGTTTCTCCATGTTTGTCAGGCTGCTCTTGAACTCCTGATCTCAGGTGATCCGACTGCCTCAGCTTCCCAAAGTGCTGGGATGACAGGCGTGAGCCACCACACCCAGCTGTATTCATTACTTTAAAACTTTTGGTTTAACAATGTGTATTACAGCTATTTAAGTTCTATTCATTTCAATTCTTGGTTTTCATGACTGTCTTGACTGCAGTCTTGACCCCTATGATGGACTCTTAGGGGTTTATTATAGTACTCTATCTACTTTCATGAATATTTTTTATGCTCCATTTCTCTAAAATCTGCATCATTGTGCTTAACAAAACCAGTCATTTTAAAATCCCATCTACCAAGGCTTTTATTGAAATTGGACTCATTTCTATCTTCCCTGATTTTTTTTTTTTTAATTTTTGTGAGTACCAAGTAGGTATATATATTTCTGGGATACATGAGATGTTTTGCTACGGAATCTTCCCTGATGTTTATCAGTTGTTTTTTCCAAACTAATCAGAAGGCATTGTATTTTTTTCTTTTTTTTTTTTTGAGATGGAGTTTCACTCTTGTTGCCCAGGCTGGAGTGCAATGGCACAATCTCAGCTCACTGTAACCTCCACCTCCTGGGTTCAAGCGATTCTCCTGCCTCAGCCTCCCAAGTAGCTGGGATTACAGGCATGTGCCACCACGCCTGGCTAATTTTGTATTTTTAATAAAGACGAGGTTTCTCCATGTTGGTCAGGCTGGTCTCAAACTCCTGACCTCAGGTGATCCGCCCACCTCGGCCTCCCAAAGTGCTGGAATTACAGGCGGGAGCCATCATGCCTGGCCTGTTTTCTTTTCTTTTGAGAAAGGGTCTTGCCCTGTCACCCAGGCTGGAGTGCAGTGGCAGGATCATAGATCACTGCAGCATTGAACTCCTGGGCTCAAGACATCCTCCCACCTCAGCCTTCTGAGTAGCCAGGACTATATGTGCATGCCACCATGCCCGGCTAGTTTTCTTTTCTTTTTTTTCCTGAGACAGAGTCTCACTCTGTCACCCAGGCTGGAGTGCAGTGGCGTGATCTTGGCTCACTGCACCCTCCCAGGTTCAAGTGATTCTCCCTGCCTCAGCTTCTCAGGTAGCTGAGATTACAGGTGCCTACCACCACGCCCAGCTGATTTTTTTTTTTTTTTTGAGATGGAGTCTTGCTCTTGTTGCCCAGGCTGGAGTGCAGTGGCACAATCTTGGCTCATTGCAACCTCTACCTCCTGGATTCAAGCAATTCTCCTGCCTCAGCCTCCCAAGTAGCTGGGATTAAAGATGCATGCCACCACGTTGGGCTAATTTTTGTGTTTTTAGTAGAAACAGGGTTTCACCATGTTGGCCAGGCTGGTCTGGAACTCCTGACCTCATGATCTGCCCACCTCAGCCTCCCAAAGTGTTAGGATTAGAGGCGTGAGCCACCACGCCCGGCCTGATTTTGTATTTTTAGTAGAGATGGGGTTTCACCATGTTGGCCAGGCTGGTCTTGAACTCCTGACCTCAGGTGATCCGCCCACTTCGGCCTCCCAGAGTACTGGGATTACGGGCGTGAGCCACTGTGCCCAGCCTGCCAGCTAGTTTTTTTAGATTTTTTTTTTTTTTTTTAAGAGAGACAGAATCTCCCTGTGTTTCCCAGGCTGGTCTCGAACTCCTGGCCTCAGGAGATCCTCCCACTTTGGACTCCCAAAATGCTGGGATTACAGGTATGAGCCACCACACCCAGCATTGTTTTTTCTTCTTTTTTAGATGGAGTCTCGCTCTGTCACCCAGGTTGGAGTGCAGTGGTGCAATTTTGGCTCACTGCAACCTCTGCCTCCCAGCTTCAAGCGATTCTCCTGCCTCAGCCTCCCGAATAGCTGGGACTACAGGCGCGTGCCACCACACCCGGCTAAGTTTTTGTATTTTTAGTAGAGATGGCGTTTCACCATGTTGGCCAGGATGGTCTCGATCTTCTGACCTCATGATCCGCCCATCTTGGCCTCCCAAAGTCCTAGGATTACAGGCATGACCCACCGCACCCAGCCACCTTTTTAAAAAATATATATACAGAGATAGGGTCTCACTCTTTCACCCAAGCTGGAATGCAGTGGCACAATCACAGCTCACAGCAGCCCAAAGTCCTGGGCTCAAGGGATCCTCCCATCTTAGCCTCCCAAGTAGGTAGGAATACAGGCGCCCACCACCGGATCTAGCCAATTTTTTTTTTTTTTTTTTTTGAGACAGGGTCTCACTCTGCTGCCCAGACTGGAGTGCAGTGGGGCAATCTCAGCTCAGTGCAGCATCAACCTCCTGGGCTCAAGCAATCCTCCCACCTCAGCCCATTTTTTTTTTAAGTATTTTATAGTGACAGAGTGTCACTGTGTTGTTGCCCAGGCTGGTCTCAAACTGCTGGCCTCAAGTGATCCACCTGCCTCAGCCTCCCAAAGTGCTGGGATTGCGGGTATGAGCCACCTTTTCCTGCCCAAAACCCATTGAGACAGTTGCTTGGAAGATTTTTAAATGGTTTAGCAAATTCTGTTTTATAGATTTTTTTTTCTTTTTATGGAGACAGAGACCCACTCTGTAGCCCAGGCTGGAGTACAGTGACACAATCTCAGCTTACTGCCAAGTGATTCTTGTGCCTCAGCCTTCTGAGTAGTTGGGATTACAGGCAAGCACCACCGCCCCCAGCTAATTATTGTATTTTTAGTAGAGATGGGGTTTCGCCATGTTGGCCAGGCTGGTCTTGAACTCCTGGCCTCAAATGATCCACCAGCTTTGGCCTCCAGAAGTGCTGGGATTACAGGTGTGAGTCACCGCGCCCAGCCTAGATTTTTAAATGTGAGAATCAGATGTTTTGTTTTATTTATTTATTTATTTATTTATTTATTTATTTATTTAGACAGAGTCTCACTCTATCACCCAGGCTGGAGTGCAGTGGCACGATCTCGGCTCATTGCAAGCTCCACCTCCCAGGTGCACACCATTCTCCTGCCTCAGCCTCCCGGGTAGCTGGGACTACAGGCGCCCGCCACCATGCCCGGCTAACTTTTTGTATTTTTAGTAGAGACAGGGTTTCACCGTGTTAGCCAGGATGGTCTCGATCTCCTGAGCTCGTGATCCACCCACCTCGGCTCCCCAAAGTGCTGGGATTATAGGCATGAGCCGCCGCACCCGGCCCGTTTTGTTTTATTTTTAAAGATGGTTCACATACCTTTATTAGAAACAAAGTCATTAAAGATCAAAACATTTCCAAACATGTGTCTTCAAAATATGCTCTTTATGGCATGAGCTTCTCTTGATTAGTGGTGATTTTTTTCACCCCTTGGCCAGCTGACTCCTTCTCAACACTGGATTCTCACCGAACCATAAGAGTTTGTACCTGTAATACTCATTTGTGTGTGAAGCACTAGGATTATTTGTAACTGTAATCTTGCTCATTCACAAGAATATGGTTAAGCCCCTTGTCCACTTTGGAGAGTTAGGAAAAATTATATCTAGATAGCATAATCTGTAAATCCACTTATCTGGACATACGTAAACTGTATAGAGACTAGGTGTGGTCTCTCACCTGTGATCCCAACACTGGGAGGCCAAGGCAGGAGGATCGATTGAGGCCAGGAGTTCAAGACCAGCCTGGGCAACACAGCAAAACTATTAGTAAATAAATAAAATAATGATAATAATAAAAACTGTGTAGAACACTGAAAAGCAAACATGGCGCAGGACACTGAAAGAAAACACACAACCCCTCCAAATACGAAGCTCCTGACCCCTTACCCAGTTACCTCACCTGTCTTACATAACCCAAGATGTCTAACAGATGCCCAGTGTCAATCCACTTACTAAATATTAATAAAGCTTACTTGTTTTTCTTCTTTTAGATAATATAATACACTTAAATTATAATGTGTTTTTTCAGCACCTCTATGATCAATTTTTTTTTTTTTTTTTTAGATGGAGTCTTGCTCTGTCACCCAGGCTGGAGTGCAGTGGTGCAATCTCGGCTCACTGCAACCTCTGCCTCCCGGATTCAAGCGATTCTCCTGCCTCAGCCTCCTGAGTAGTTGGGATGACAGGCGCCCACCACCATGCCCGGCTAATTTTTGCATTTTCAGTTGAGACAGGGTTTCGCCATGTTGGTCAGGCTGGTCTCGAACTGCTGACCTCAGGTGATCTGCCCACCTCAACCTCCCAAAGTGCTGGGATTACAGGCGTAAGCCACTGCACGCAGCTCTTTTTTTTTTTTTTTTTTTTTTTTTTTGAGACAGAGTCTCACTTTCTTATCCACGCTGAAGTGCAGTGGTATAATCATCCCTCATTGCAGCCTCCACCTCCTGGGCTCAACTGATCCTCCCACCTCAGGCTCCTGAGTAGCTAGGACCACAGGCATGCACCACCACACCCAGCTAATTTTTTTTTTTAATTTTTAGTAGAGATGAAGTGTCACTATGTTGCTCAGACTGGTCTCAAACTCCTGGGCTGAAGCGATTCACCTGCCTCAGCCTCCCAAAGTGCTGAGATTAAAGGTGTGAGTCCCCATGCCTGACCTTTGTAATCATCTTGTACCTGAGGCACACCTTTCTTTTTTGGCCGGGGCGGGGGGGTGGGGGGCGGAGAGTCTTGCTCTGTCACCCAGGCTGGAGTGCAGTGGGGCCATCTCAGCTCACTGCCACTTCTGCCTCCTTGGTTCAAACAATTCTGCTGCCTCAGTATCCCAAGTACCTGGGATTACAGGCACACACCACCATGCCTGGCTAATTTTTATATTTTTTAAGTAGAGATGGGGTTTCATCCTGTTGGCCAGGCTGGTCTTGAACTCCTGACCCCAAGTGATCCGCCCACCTTGGCCTCCCAAAGTGCTGAGATTACAGGCATGAGCCACCATGCCTGGCCAAGGCACACCTTTCTTTGGAGACCACCGGCCCAGGATAAACCTAGAAGAGTGTTAGACTGAAGGGCAGGTACCTTATTGGGTACTAAATTGCTCTCCCAAGGTTTGCCCCAGTTTTATACCCCACCCTTTTCTTTGCATTTTTACTAGAATTTGGTTTTAATACACATTAATTTTTGCAGATCAAAAGTTATGAAGTGGCATTTAATTATTGTTAAATTGGTATTTTCCTAATTATTAGTGAGTCGTAGCATGCTTTATGTTTATCAGCCCTTAAAATGTCTCATGTTTGTATTGCCCGTATTTTTCTTTTGTGTTATTTGTCTTTTCCACATTGATTTTTAAGAATCTACTTTTTCTTTTCCATTTCATTAATTTCTATCCTTTGCTATTTCTGACTGTCTACAGCCTTTGGGCTCACTGTTTTGTTCATTTTTCTGACTTCTCAAGTTGAACACTTAGCTAATTCATTTTCAATTATTCTTATTTTCTCTTTCTTACTTCCTTATTTTCTTTTTCTTTCTTTCTTTTTTTTTTTTTTTCTTTTTAAGCAACAGAGTCTTGCTGTGTTGCCCAGGCTGGTCTCGAACTCCTGGTCTCAAACAGTCTGCCTGCCTCGGCCTCCCAAAGTGCTGGGGTTACAGGCATAAGCTACCACTCCTGGCCTAAATTTAACTTTTAGATTTGGGGGTACATGTGCAAGTTTGTCACAAGGGTATATTGTGCAATGCTGCAATTTGGGCTTGTCGGTGGGGGGTGGGCAGGGTGGGCTGGGGCAGAGTCTCCCTCTGTTGCCCAGACTGGACTGCAGTGGGGCAATCACAGCTCACTGCAGCCTTGACCTCCTGGGCTCAAGCGACCCTCTCACCTCAGCCTCTCCAATAGCTGGGACCACAGGTGCATACCTAATGCTCAGCTAATTTTTTATTTTATTTATTGTAGAGAAAGGTTCTCCCTATGTTGCCCAGGCTGGTCTCAAACCCCTGGGCTCAAGTGATCCTCGGGCCTTGGTGTCCCAAGTGTTGGGATTACAGGCATCAGCCACCACACCTGGCCTGGGCTTCGAGTGATCCCATCACCCAGATAGTGAACATATTACCCACCTTCCTCTCTCCAGCCTTCCCTCCTTTTGGAGTCCCCAGTGTCTATTGTTCTCATCTTTATGTCCATGTGTATCCAGGGTTTAGATCCCACTTAAAAGTGAGAACATGCAATATTTGGTTTTCTGTTTCTGTGCTAATTTGCTTAGGAGAATGGCCTCCAGCTACACTCACATTGCTACAAAAGACATGATGTTTTTTTTTTTTTTGAGATTGAGTTTTGCTCTTGCTGCCCAGGCTGGAGTGCAATGGCAAGATCTCAGCTCACCGCAACCTCTGACTTCCAGGTTCAAGCTATTCTCCTGCCTCACCCTCCCGAGTAGATGGGATTACAGGCATGCGCCACCACACCCGGCTAATTTTGTATTTTTAGTAGAGATGGGGTTTCTCCATGTTGGTCAGGCTGGTCTCGAACTTCCAACCTCAAGTGATCCGCCCACTTCGGCCTCCCAAAGTACTGGGATTACAGGCGTGAGCCACTGCCCCCAGCAATTTCATTATTTTTTATGGCTGTATAGTATCCCATGGTGTATATGTACCACATTTACTTTATCCAATCCACCATTCACGGGGTACCTAGGTTGTTTCTATGTCTTTGCTACTGTGAATAGTGTGGTAATAAACATAGTGCAGGTGTCCTTTTGGTAGAATGGTTTATTTTCCTTTGGGTATATACCAAGTAATGGGATTGCTGGGTCACATGATAGTTCTATTTTTAGTTCTTTGAGAAATCACACTGCTTTCCACAGGGGCTGAACTAATTTACATTCTCACCAACAGTATATAAGCATTACCTTTTCTCCATAGACTGGCCAACATTTATTATCTTTTGGCTTTTTAATAGTAGCCATTCTGACTGGTATGAGATGGTATCTCATTGTGGTTTTAATTTACATTTCTCTGATGATCAATGATATTAAGCATTTTTTCATGTTTGTTGCCACTTGTATGTCTTTTTTTAAGATATGTCTGCTCATGTTTTTGCCTTTTTTTTTTTTTTTTTTTTTGAGACAAGGTCTTGGTCTGTCGTTCAGGCTGGAGTGCAGTGGCATGATCTTGGCTCACTGCAGACTTGACCTTCTGGCCCAGGTGATCCTCCTACCTCAGCCTCCCAAGTAGCTGGGGCTGCAGGCATATGCCACCAGGCCTAGCTAATTTAAAAAAATTTTTATATAGATGGGCCTCCCTATTTTGCCCAGGCTGACCTTGAACTCCTGAGCTCAAGTAAAGCCTCCTACCTTGGCCTCCCAAAGTGTTGAGATTACAGGCATGAGCCCCTGCATCTGGCCTTTGCCCACTTTTTAATTAGGTTTTTTTGTTGTCGTTGATTTATTTAAGTTCCTTATAGATTCTGGATATTAGTCCTTTGTCAGATGCATAGTTTGCAAATATGTTCTCCCATTCTGTAGGTTGTTTACTTCATTGATAGTTTCTTTTGCTGTGCTTTGGAAGCTCTTTAGTTTAATTAGGTGCCAGTTGTCAATTTTTTTTTTTTTTGTCGTAATTGCTTTTGAGGACTCAGGCTGATATCTAGACAGTATTTCCTAGGTTTTGTTCCAGAATTTTTAGTTTGATGTCTTACATTTAAGTCTTTCATCCACCTTGAGTTAATTTTTGTATATGGTAAGAGGTAGGGGTCCAGTTTCATTCTTCTGCATATGGTTAACCAGTTTTCCCAGCATCATTTATTGAACAGGGAGTCCTTTCCCCATTACTCATAGGTGTACAGCTTTATTTTTGGGTTCTTTATTCTGTTCCATTGGTCTATGTGTCTATTTTTATGCCACTACCATGCTGTTTTGGTTACTGTAGCCTTGTTTAGTTTGAAGTCAGGTAATGTAATGCCTCTGGCTTTGTTCTTTTAGCTTAGGATTGCTTTGGCGATTCAGGCTCTTTTTTTCATTCTATATGCATTTTAGAATAGTTTTTTTTTCTGATTCTGTGAAAAATTACATTGGTAATTTGATAGGAATAGCACTGAATCTGTAGATTGTTTTGGGCAGTATGGACATTCTAATGATATTGACTCTTCCAATCCATGATCATGGAATGTTTTTCTATTCGTTTGTGTCTTTTATTATTTCTTTCAGCAGCAGTGTTTTATAGTTCTTGTAGAGATCTTTCACCTCCTTGGTGAGATGTATTCCTAGGGATTGTTTTGTGTGTGTGGCTCTTTTTTTTTTAATGAGACAGAGTCTCGTTCTGTTGCCCAGGCTGGAGTGCAGTGGGGTGATCTCGTCTTACTGCAAGCTCTGCCTCCCGGGTTCATGCCATTCTCCTGCCTCAGCCTCCCAAGTAACTGGGACTACAGGCACCAGCCACCACACCTGGCTAATTTTTTGTATTTTTAGTAGAGACGGGGTTTCACCATGTTAGCCAGGATGGTCTCGATCTCCTGACCTCGTGATCTGCCCGCCTCGGCCTCCCAAAGTACTGGGATTACAGGTGTGAGCCACCATGCCCGGCTGGCGCTTTTTTTTTTTTTTTTTTTGACAGAGTCTCGTCACCCAGGCTGGAATGCAGTGGTGTGAGCTTGGCTCACTGCAATCTTCGCCTCCTGGGCTCAAGTGATCCTTGTGCCTCAGCCACCTGAATAGCTGGGATTACAGTTGCACACCATCACTCCAGGCTAATTTTTGTATTTTTAGTGGAGATGGGGTTTCACCATGTTGGCCAGGCTGGTCTCGAACTCCTGGCCTCAAGTGATCCACCCTCCTCAGCCTCCCAAAGTGCTGGGATTACAGGTGTGAGCCAACATGCCCAGCCTGTGTGTGTGGCTGTTGTACATGAGATCACATTCTTGATTTGGCTCTCAGCTTGAACGTTATTGGTGTATAGAAATGCTACTGATTTTTGTGTGTTGACTTTTTTTTAATCCTAAAATTTTATTAAAGTAATTTATTGGGTCTAGGAGCCTTTTGGTGGAGTCCTCATGGTTTTCTAGCTATAGAATCATATCATCAGTAAGCAGAGATAATTTGATTTTCTCTTTACCTATTTGGATGCCTTTTGTTTCTTTTTCTTGCTGATTGCTCTGGCTAGGATTCCCTAAATACATTTATATTTTAAAGTATTTTCATTTTTTGGAGTTGCATAGTGTTGCACAGTATGACTACACCATAATTTATTTAACCTACTGCCCGTTGTTAATCAATATTTTCGTTGCTTTTGATCTTTTGGTATTGCAAACAATGCTGAGGCAGATACCTTTATTATACAAATTCTGTCACACATGTGAAAAAAGAACATGCTGAACCATCTTGCCTCTTAAAGTTTCTGCTTGGAAGTGATGTCACTTTTTTCTTTTTTCATGAGCCAAAGCAAGTCATATGGCCAAGGCTTCGTTCGTTCATCAGGGCTGAGATGTATAAGCTTCCTCAGGGAGGAGTCCCACTGGAAGAGATACCAAGTTTATGTACTGTATATACCTCTACCAGTGTTTAAAAAATATCACCCTGGGCCAGGCGCGGTGGCTCACACCTGTAATCTCAGCACTTTGGGAGGCCGAGGCGGATGAATCACCTGAGGTCAGGAGTTCGAGACCAGCCTGGCCAACCTGGTGAAACCCCGACTCTACTAAAATACAAAAATTAGCCGGGCATGGTGGCAGGCACCTGTAATCCCAGCTACTCGGGAGGCTGAGGCAGGAGAATGGCCTGAACCCGGGAGGCAAAGGTTGCAGTGAGCCAAGATTGCGCCACTGCACTCCAGCCTGGGCGACAGAGCGAGACTCCCTCTCAATAAAAAAATAAATAAATATAAAAACTATCACTCTGGTTGCTGAATGGAGAATGGATTATACTGGGGAGAGATAGGAAGCTACTCGGGAGTAGAAGTGAAGAATTGACCGCAGTACTTTAGGCAAGAAATGATAGCAGCTTGAACTAGGGTGGTGGTGGTCTGATTCCAGATGTACTTTGGAGGCAGAGTTAGTAGGATTTTTTTCTTGGAGTGGGGATGGGCACAAGGGAAAGTACTGAAAGACAACTTCTAGGTTTTTGGTTTGAGCAACTGGGTGAATGATTGTGACATTTGAGTAAACAGTAACATTTTACTGAGAGGGGAAGACCTGGGGGGAGAACAGGTGGTTTTTTGACAGGGGCAGCGAAACAAATGTTCTGTTTTGAATGTGTTCAGCCTGAGGTGCCTATTAGACATCCAAATTGAAATAGCCAGTAGGCACTTGAATATGTGAGTCTGGAGATCAGACAGGTCAGAGCTACAGAAAATCTGAAGGTGTGGCAGAGCTGAATTGTAAAGCTGTGGAGCTGGATGAGATCTCCTAGGGAGATAAGGGAGAGGGATAAGGGCTAAAGCGTTGGCATACTCCAAAATATATAGGTGAACAGTGGCTTTGGATCCAGCAAAGGGGACTGAGGAGGAACCATTGAGATAGGGAAAAAAACGGTAGAGTGCTGAGTCATGGAAGCAAAAAGAAGAAAGTATTTCAAAGAAGGAATAGTCCATCTATAAGTTGGATATGATAAGGATAGTATTTCAGACTGTGGAAATCACAGTTGACCTGGATAAGTACAGTTTTTGTGGGGAGGTCCCCAGCTCTCCACTGAATGATCTCTTATTAGATCAAATTTGATCTCTAATTAGCAGTCTAATTAGATGGGTTGAAGAAAAGATGGGAAGTGAGGGATAAAGATACGTCTTTTGAGAAGTTTTGTTGGGCAGGTAATAATTGAAGAACGGGAGGGGGACAAAAATGTGAAGATGAAATGATGTGTAAGTGAAATCTTTATGTAAACTGCAAATGCTCTGCAAGTGTTAGGCTTATTTTGTTATTTAGTATTCAAACTTCTAGGAATTTCAATGCAGCTCAGTGTGAAGAATCACTAAAAAGCGACCACTAGTCCTCAACTTGAGGGCCATTAAGGGGCAAAGCCGTCTAGCCAGTGAAGAGCCAAGAAATGAAGAGACGGTTTGAGAAGACGTAGGCGGTGGGGGAACGGAAAGAGGAATCGCGAAACTAATATTGTCCTTCCAAGGACACCGTAGGGCGGATCTCGCAGCTACGGCGTTCTTTTAGGGGTGGAGCCGGCAGGAAATTTAAACTGAAGCCGCGGCCGAAAACGCCAAGAGATTGATGCTGTAGCTGCCCTGAGATAACCAGGACTGTGGAATCGGGAAGAGCTCATGGAGCTCGCGAATGTAATACGGAGGCCTCTGAGGAAGGAGTACGGAGGCCGAGAAGGAGCCGGCATTTGATGAGCGAACCGGGAAAGGGTACGGATGCCGGGAAGGGGAGAAAGAAAGGCGGAAGGGGTCGTTAATAGCTGAGGCGAGGTGCGGAGTCGTGGAGGGGGCTTAGGAAGTGACCAGCGGGTAGGTGCCGAAGCTGAGGAGGGTATAGGGGCCGGGAAGGAGCCACAGGAGTTGAGGGGACCGAGGAATGAAGGTGGCAGAGGAACGTAGGGGACAACAGCCTGGAGGGATGTATGGAGATTGAGATGGACAGGAGGTGGCCAAGAGGTCACGGCCGTTGACTGAACGGAGTCTGAAAGGAGGCGGAGGGCATGAGGGGCAAGAGCCTGGCGGGAGTCGCGGGATGTAGGTCGGAATGGAGTTGAGTCTTGCTGTTCCCAGGAGTCGCGTTTCTGTGCGCGTTTTGGGAGACAGTAGTGGGCGGGAGGCATGGAAGTTCCAAGGGTTGGTGAAGATGGTTGAGTTGCTGTTATGTCCTTTCTCAGGAGACGATTGCCTCGAGCTGGAGAGTTCCATGGCTGAGAGTAGGCTCCGGGCCCCGGACCTAGGTGGGTAACAGGACAGAACTAGGGACGTGAGGTGAAAATTGCCCCAGGGTCTCTTGGAGAAGACCGAAAAATGTTCCCCCTGTTGGAGTTTTCGATCACTCAGTGTTTTTATGTACTTATTTATTCATTTTATTTATTGGGATGGGGTCTTGCTGTGTTGGCCAAGCTGGTCTCAAACTCCTGGCCTCAAGCAGTTCTCCTGCCTAGGCCTCCCAAAATGCTGGGATTACAGGTGTGAGCCACTTCACCAGGCCCACTTAGTGGTTTTATGTGTGTGTGTGTATGGACGCAGCATCATAGACCGTTTTGGGATTCATGATAAAGGTCAAGTAAGAGTCATATTATGAACAAGATTAACAGACAGATGTGGAGTCAGGATAGAGTGACTTATTAAATATATAAATTAATACATTCATAGTTGTTTACAATAAAATCCTTAAGTTAAACACTGCTACCTAATTAGGTAAGTATTTTAGCACATGGCACTTCCCTCCGTACTGCCCCTTTAGTTAATATCATCTAGTTGGCCGGGCGCGGCTGCTCACGCCTGTAATCCCAGCACTTTGGGAGGCCAAGGCGGGCGGATCACGAGGTCAGGAGATTGAGACCATCCTGGCTAACACAGTGAAACCCCATCTCTACTAAAAATACAAAAAATTAGGCGGGCGTGGTGAGGCGTGCCTGTAGTCCCAGCTACTCAGGAGGCTGAGGCAGGAAAATTGATTGAACCCAGGAGGCGGAGGTTGCAGCGAGCCGAGATTGCGCCACTGCACTCCAACCTGGGCGACCGAGCGAGACTCCGTCTCAAAAAAAAGAAAAAAAAAATACCGTCTACTTTTACTTCTGGATTGTTAACAGATATGCCATCGGCTTGTTGCCTTTTAAACAGTAATCCACTTCATTTACTGAGTTATTCATTCTTCCCATCTCTTGTTGGTTTTTTTTCCCCCTTCTGTTTCTCTGGAGAACTTCAAGAGTGTTTTCAAAAGGAGGCTTTGTGTGATAAACTAAGAATATATTTATTTCAGCCTTGTAGTAAAATTTAAGTCAATTTTTTTTCCTTCAACACATTGAAAAATTACAGTATTTTCTCCTTGTTTTCTTCAGCATTTCTTTTTTATTCTTGCTGCTTTGTAAGTGACCTCCTTTTCTCATTAGATGTTTTAGATTATGTGAACCTATGGATTATATTGATGAAAGAAAAAAATGTTTTATTTTATTTATTTTGAGGTCTTGCACCCAGGCTGGAGTGCAGTGGAGCAATCATGGCTCACTGCAGGTTTGGCCTCACCGGGATCAAGTGATCCTCCCACCTCAGACTCCCAGGTAGCTGGGACTGCAGGCACTCAACACCACGCCCAGCTAATTTTTTTTTGTTGTTTGTTTTGTAGAGACGAGGTTTTGCCATGTTGCCCAGGCCGGTCTTCAACTCCTGGGCTCAAGCGATCACCCTCCTCAGCTTCCCAAAGTGTTGGGATTACAGGAGTGAGCCACTGCACCCAGCCCAATATTTTAGATTATACATTTTTATATTTGTTCTTAAAATTTACTATAAGATGATAATGTGTGGATTTTAGAGGGTTTTTATTTTCGTTTTTATTCCAGTTTGATTTTTTTTTTTTTTTTTTTTTTTTTTTGAGACAGAGTCTCGCTTTGTCGCCCAGGCTGGAGTGCAGTGGCACCATCTCGGCTCACTGCAACCTCTGCCTCCAGAATTCAAGCAATTCTTTTGCCTCAGTCTCCTGAGTAGCTGGGATTACAGGAGCACGCCACCATGCCCGGCTAATTTTTGTATTTTCACTAGAGACAGGGTTCCACCATGTTGGTCAGGCTAGTCTTGAACTCCCGACCTCATGATCCACCTGCTTCAGCCTCCCAAAATACTGGGATTATAGGCGTGAGCCACCACACCTGGCCTCCAGATTGATTCTTTAAATTTTTTTAAATTATTATTTTATTTTAGAGACAAGAACTTGCTCTGTTACCCAGGCTAGAGTACAGTGGCACAATCATAGCTCACTGCAGCCTCAAAGCCCTGGGTGCAAGCAATTCTCCTGCCTCAGTCTCCCAATCTCCTGCCTCAGTCTCCCAAGTAGCTATGTCTTCAGGTGCATGTCTCCACACCTGGCTTCCTGTTTGATTCTTGACATAGCTTAAAAGGCAGGCCATGTGTGGTGGCTCACACTTGTAATCCCAGCACTTTGGGAGGCCAAGGCAGGCGGATCACCTGAGATCAGGAGTTCAAGACCAGCCTGGGCAACGTGGTGAAACCCTGTCTCTACTAAAAATACAAAAAACAGAGCCGGGCGTGGTAGCTGACACCTGTAATCCCAGCACTTTGGGAGGCCGAGGCAGGGGGATCACGAGGTCAGGAGATTGAGACCATGGTGAAACCCCATCTCTACTAAAAATACAAAAAATTAGCCGGGCGTGGTGGCAGGCACCTGTAGTCCCAGCTACTCGGGAGGCTGAGGCAGGAGAATGGCGTGAACCCGGGAGGCGGAGCTTGCAGTGAGCAAAATTGCACCACTGCACTCCAGCCTGGGCGACAGAGCAAGACTCTGTCTCAAAAAAAAAAAAAATTAGCTGGCGTGGTGGCAGGCTCCTATAATCCCAGCTACTTGGGAGGCTGAAGCAGGAGAATTGCTTGAACCCAGGAGGTGGAGGTTGCAGTGAGCCGAGACTGTGCCATTGCACTCCAGCCTGGGCAACAAGAATGAAACTCCATCTCAAAAAAGAAAAAAAAAAAAAAGCCAAAGTTTCTCACAAAAAACAGGAGGCATGAGAGTTAATCCCCTTTCAGGCTGTCTGATTCCCACTTCCTAAGAAACAGCCATTTACAGCTTTTAACTATTTCTTCTAGAAGCTACCACCTTATTTCTGTAATAATATGCTCATACTGTTTTAATTGTTTTCCATTTTGAATTATGTCTTCTTTTTTTTTTTTTTTTTTTTTTTGAGACGGTCTCACTCTCATCAGGCTGGAGTGCAGTGGCACAATCATCTCGGCTCACTGCAACCTCTGCCTCCTGGGTTCAAGCGATTCTCCTGCCTCAGCCTCCCAAGTAGCTGGGACTACAGGCACGTGCCACCATGACTGGCTAATTTTTTGTCTTTTTAGTAGAGATGGGGTTTCACTGTGTTAGCTAGGATGGTCTTGATCTCCTGGTCTCGTGATCCACCCGTCTCAGACTCCCAAAGTGCTGGGATTACAGGCATGAGCCACCACGCCCAGCCAAATTTTTTGTATTTTTAGTAGAGATGGGGTTTTACCATGTTAGCCAGGATGGTCTCGATTGCCTGACCTCACGATCTGCCCTCCTCAGCCTCCCAAAGTGCTGGGATTACAGGTGTGAGCCACCACACCCGGCCTGTCTTCTTTTTTTTTTATAGAGATGGGGTCTCACTGTGTTGCCCAGGCTGGTCTTGAACTCTTGGGCTCAAGTGATCTGCCCACCTCGGCCTCCCAAAGTGATGGAATTACAGGCGTGAGCCACCATGCCCAGTCAATTTTGAATTATATCTATTGACTGTCTTCTATGGACAATAAAGATTTTTTCTGTCCTACCACTTCTCTGCACCACACACAAACGCACATGCATTTCCCACCTTTCCTTTTATCTCCCCAGTATATATGTAGTAATTTTGATTTAGTCATTTGTATTGACTTTTTTTTTTTTTTTTTTTTTTTGAGACAGAGTCTTGCTCTGTCGCCCAGGCTGGAGTGCAGTGGCGTGATCTGGGCTCACTACAAGCTCCGCCTCCCGGGTTCATGCCATTCTTCTGCCTCAGCCTCTGGAGTCGCTGGGACTACAGGCACCCACGACCAGGCCCGGCTAATTTTTTGGTTTTTTTTAGTAGAGATGGGGTTTCACTGTGTTAGCCTGTATGGTCTTCATCTCCTGACCTCGTGATCCACCTGCCTCCGCCTCCCAAAGTGCTGGGATTACAGGTGTGAGCCACCACGCCCCGCCGACATTATTTTCATTATGTAAACATTATTCGGCCGGGCGCGGTGGCTCATACCTGTAATCCCAGCACTTTGGGAGGCTGAGGCAGGTGGATTACCTGAGGTTAGGAGTTTGAGACCAGCCTGGCCAACATGGTGAAACCCTGTCTCTACTAAAAATACAAAAATCAGTAGGATGTCGTGCACGCTTGTAATCCCAGCTACTTGGGAGACTGAGGCAGGAGAATCACTTGAACCCGGGAGGCAGAGGTGTAGTGAGCCGAGATCATGCCGCTGCACTCCAGCTTGGGCGACAGAGAAAGATTCCGTCTCAAAAAAACAAACAAACAAAACATTATTCATCACTGAGCTATATAATAAGCTAGGAGATTTTCTTTGTTTTTTTATGTATGGATCACTAATTCAGGTCCAAACTCTTCACCAGAGTATGGGCCTTCTCTCAATACTTTCAAGCTCATCAGAGGATCTGTCAATTTGTCTTGGAGACATAGCGTTTTAGTACTCCAGTCTGGCCTGGCTGTGTACTAGGCCTATTGCACTGATTTCATCCTCCGATCTCCCCTCGTTATTCTGTGGAATTCTTTTTGCCTCTTTCCTGTGTTGGATCTCCTGTATTTTAAATTCTATATTTTTTACACCATGGAATACTACTTAGCCATAAAAAGGAACAAAATAAGTTCTGCAGCAACTTGGATGGAGCTGGAGGCCATTACTGTAAGTGAAGTAACTCAGGAATGGAAAACCAAATACCATTTAGTTTTCACTTGTAAGTGGGAGCTAAGCTGTGAGGATGCAAAGACATGCAAAGTCATATAATGGACTTTGGGGATTTGATGAGGGGGAAGGTTAGGAGAGGGGTGAGGGATAAAAGATTACATATTGGGTACAGTGTACATTGCTTGGGTGACAGGTGCACTAAAATCTCATAATTCACTGTAGAACTCATCCAGGTAACCAAAAACTACCTGTACCCCAGAAGCTATTGAAATAAATAATACTTTTGAAAATGAAGTATAAGTTTGGGGAGCCCCACAGCAATATTTGGCTTTCCTGAAATTCTGTATAAATTTAGACAAGACTATCTCAACATTTATCCATCTATATGCCGATGTGGTAACAGTCTCTGTATGTTTTTTGTGTTTGTTTTTAACTTTCACTAAACAAGTAAGAGGTATCCTTCATTCCATTTCTACCCCTTACTAACAGTATGATCTTGGGCATACAAGATTTCTCTGTGCCTCAGTTTCCTGTAACTGTAATTATTATAACTGTAAAACAGGTATAATAATTTTATCTTCTTTATAGACCTGTTGAGAATGTATTGTGCATAGCGATATATATTTGCTATTTCTATTGCTATTATTGTCAAAAATTATTAAATTTTGATTTTTTTGTAGAAGTGGAGTCTCACTTTGTTGCCCAGGCTGGTCTTGAAGTCCTGAGCTCAAGTGATCCTCCCACCTTGATCTCCCAAAGTGCTGGGATTACAGATGTGAGCTACCATGCCCAGCTTATTATTATTATTTTTTTTAATGGGCAGCCCCCAAACCAGAATAGGTTCAGAGAGGCTCCCATAGGAAGGCTTTTACATTAGCTGGTCTCCAATATTGGCTACAATGTAAGTCAAATCCTGTCTTTCTCTTCAGTATTCTGAAATTCCATGACAGTGTGTCTTGATGTGGGACTTTTTTCATTTATGGAGCAGGTACCTTTCAATCTGTAACATCATTTTCTTTAGTTCTGGGAAATTTTTAGCATTATTTCTATAATATTTCTCCCTTCTATTTTCTCTTTTCTCTTTCTGGAACTTTTATTGTTTGGATATTAGATCTCATAGATTCTTCCTTTGATTTTCTTGTGGATTTTTGTTTGTTTGTTTTTGAGACGGAGTTTTGCTCTTGTTGCCCAGGCTGGAATGCAATGGTGCAATCTCAGCTCACTGCAACCTCTGACTCCCAAGTTCAAGTGATTCTCCAGTCTCAGCCTCCTAAGTAGCTGGGATTACAGGCACCCGCCACCTGGCTAATTTTTTGTATTTTTAGTAGAAATGGGGTTTCACCATGTTAGCCAGGCTGGTCTCAAACTCCTGACCTCAGGTGATCCACCCATCTCAGCCTCCCAAAGTGCTGGGATTACAGGTGTGAGCCACCACACCCGGCCAGTTTTCTTGTTTTTCTCTCCCATTTTGCATCTGTCTTTCATTCTGTTCTCTAGAAAATTTCCACAACTTAATCTCCAATTTTCGTTGAATTTTTAATTTCTATAACATTTATAAATTTCCAAGAGCTTTTTCTTTTCTGTGTGTTTCTTTTCTTACAGTGTCTTGTTGTGCTTAATGGATATAATGTATTCCCTTTCCTCTCCCTGGTTGTTAATTGTACTGTTTTTGTTTCTTTTTAGTTTTCTTCTGCTTCCTACATTATGTCTATTTCCTCTTCTTTTTTCTGTTTGTTAGCCTAATTTCTTTCTTTCTTTCTTTTTTTTTTTTTTTTTTTTTTTTTTTTGAGGCAGAGTCTTGCTCTGTCTCCCAGGCTGGAGTGCAATGGCGCGATCTCAGCTCAATGCAACCTCCCCCTCCCAGGTTCAAGCAATTCTCTTGCCTCAGCTTCCCAAGTAGCTAGGACCACAGGTGCATGCCACCACACCTGGCTAATTGTTTGTATTTTTGGTAGAGACGGGGTTTCACCATGTTGGCCAGGCTGGTCTTAAACTCCCGATCTGAGGTAATCCACCCGCCTCGGCCTCCCAAAGTGCTGGGATTACAAACGTGAGCCACCACACCCAGTCTAGCCTAATTTCTTGTTAGAAACTTCCTTTAAATGTCTGATGATCTTTGTTTACCTATTCATATTTAAGAGTGAGGAGAAGGGGTTGTCAACTTGATAGACTTCATTGTAAGCTGGGACCTGGCAATTTTGTGGGGGAGGGACCTCAGTTGTCACTAGTTTGTATGTTTTTGTCTTGAGCTAGTCAGTTCGCTAGAGAAGAGTCCTCCAAACCTCTCTCTGGTAAGTATAAGCTTGTCAGCATTCTGGGAGCTCACTGGGGCAACAGATCTGTAGGTCTTACTGTTCAGTATACAGATATTCTTTTGATCCCCTATGTTTTCACTGGGGCTTTATCTTTGCTTTCACCTGTGCCCAATGTTCCTCTAGTCCAGGGATTTTTTCAGCCCCAAGACTATTGACATTTTGAGCCAAGTAATTCTTTGTTTTCTGAGGTTGTCCTGTGCTTTGTAAGATACTAAGTGGCATCCCTGGCCTCCACCCGCTAGATGCCAGGAGCACACCCACTTCCCAGTTGTGCCAGCCAAAAACATTTCCAGAGGTTGCCAAGTATCCCCTGAGGGGAAAAATCTCCCCAGTTAAGAACCACGGCTCTAGTCTTCTGCTGGGGTGGGAGAGGGTTCTGAGAGTCTATTCCTTTTAAAGTCTTTCAAATAATTGGTATTTTAGCCTACTGTTTCATTCTAGCATTCTACTCTGTATGGTCCCTCTGATTGGGCCTTTCAGCTCTAATCAGCTTGCTTCTTGTTGGCTTAGGATTTAGCCTTCTCTTATCTCCTGTCTGTTTTTCACTCACCCATCTAATTTCCAGCGTCCAACATTTTGTAGCATCTCTTGCCTGTTGTCTTCTTGCCAGTTTCTTTATCTATTTTTATTCTTTTTCTGTCACTTTAGTGAGATTTGGAGAGAGAACAGAAGTTCTTGTATTCATCTTCCACATTTATGCAGAAGCCTGGATCATTATTTCTTCAAATATTTTCTTCTCTCCATTGTTTTTCCCCCTTTGCAACTCTTCTGGTGTTGTTGACATTTCTATCCCTATCCTCTGCATTTCTTAAATTCTCTGATGTCCATTTATTTATCTCTTTGTGATACCTTCTGAAAGAGTTACTCAACCTAATTTACCAGCTCACACTGTTCTATTTAGCTCATCTATTGATGTGGATAGATCTTTTCGTTTTTAATTTTAAAATAATTTCACAGTTATAAAAAAATTTCAAAAATAGTCAAAGGTTCCTACTCTTTACCCAGCTTCCCCAAATATTAACATCTATGTAATAATAGTACAATTAAAAAAATCCAGGCTGGGCGTGGTGGCTCACGCCTGTAATCCCAGCACTTTGGGAGGCCAAGGCAGGGGAATCATTTGAAGCTAGGATTTCGAGACCAGCCTGGCCAACATGGTGAAACCCTGTCTCTACTAAAAATACAAAAAAATTAGCTGGATGTAGTGGCAGGCACCTGTAATCCCAGCTACTTGGAAGGCTGAGGCAGGAGAATCACTTGAATCCGGGAGGCAGAGGTTGGACTGAGCCGAGATCGTGCCACTGCACTCTAGCCTGGGTACAAAGCAAGACCTGGTCTCAAAAAAAAAAAAAAAAAATCCAGGGGGCTAGGCGTGTTGGCTCATGCTTGTAATCCCAGCACTTTGGGAGGCTGAGGTGAGAAGATCACTTGAGCCCAGGAGTTCAAGACCAGAATGGGCAACATAGTGAGATCTTGTCTCTACAGAAAATCAAAAAAATTCGCCAGGTATGGTGGTGCGTGACATGGTGGTGCATGTGATCCCAGCTACTCAGGAGGCTCAGGGGGAGGATCCCTTGAGCCCAGGAGGTCAAGGCTGCAGTGAGCCATGATCACACCACTGCACTCTAGCCTGAGTGACAGAGTGAGATCCTGTCTCAAAAAAAAGAAAGAAAAGAAAATCCGGAAATTAATGTTGATATTATTAACTAATCTATAGATCTCATTCACATTTTACCAATTATCCCCCAATGTTCTTGTCCTGGTTTAAGATTACATGTTGCAGCTGGGCACGATGGCTCATGCCTGTAATCCCAGCACTTTGGGAGGCCGAGGCGGGCGGATCATGAGTTCAAGAGATCAAGACCATCCTGGCCAACATGGCTGTCTCTACTAAAAATACAAAAATTAGCTGGGCATGGTGGTGTGCGCCTGTAGTCCCAGCTACTTGGGAGGCTGAGGCAGGAGAATCGCTTGAACCTGGGAGGCAGAGGTTGCAGTGAGCCGAGATCGCACCACTGCACTCCAGCCTGGACGACAGAGCAAGACTCTATCTCAAAAAAAAAAAAAAAAAGGTTACATATTGCCTTTAATTATATCTCGTTAGTCTCCTCCTGAGAGGAGGTCCTCATTCTTTCTTTGTCTTTGATGACCTCAGTACTTTTGAAGTCACCTCTAAATTTGGGTTTGTTTGGTACGTCCACATGATTGAATTCAGCTAAAGCATTTTTGGCACAGAAGTGATGTTATCCCCTCTCCAGTATGTTATCAGGAGGCACATGATGAAGATAAGATAAATCTCATTAACTTCGATCCCTTGATTAAAAGTGGTGTCTGCTAGGTTTTTCCACTGAAAAGTTACTGTTTTACCTTCTGTAATTAATAACTATCTTACAGGAAGATACTTTGAGACTGTGCAAATACTGAAATTTAAATTGTTTTTCTTTTAGAGCTGGCTTTGGTGCCGCATGCCTGTAATCCCAGCTACTCGAGGCTCAGGCAGAAGAATCACTTCAACCCGGGAGACAGAGGTTGTAGTGAGCCAAGATCGCGCCACTGCACTCCAGCCTGGGTGACAGAGTGAGACTCCGTCTCAAAATAAATAAATTTTTTTTTTTTTGAGACGGAGTCTTGTTCTGTTGCCAGACTAGAGTGCAGTGGCGCGATCTTGGCTCACTGAAACCTCCAACTCCCTGGCTTAAGCAATTCTCCTGCCTCAGCCTCCCAAGTAGCTGGGATTACAGGCACGTGCCACCATGCCCAGCTAATTTTTGTATTTTTAGTAGAGACAGGGTTTCACCATGTTGGCCAGGATGCTCTTGATCTCCTGACCTCATTGTCCATCCGCCTCGGCCTCCCAAAGTGCTAGGATTACAAGCATGAGCCACCACGCCTGTCCTATTTTTTTTTTCTTAACAGCTTTTTTGAGTTATAGTTCACACACCACACAATTCATCCATATAAAGCGTACAATTCAGTGACTTAGTATGTTCACAGAATTGGGCAACCATCACCACAATCAATTTAGAGCACTTTTCTCACTCCAAAAAAGAATACCCATTAGCAGCCACTCACAAATTTCTCCTGACTCCCCAGCCCTAGTCATCTGCTAATGTACTTTCTGTTTCTATAAATTTGCCTCTTCTGGACATTTCATATAAATAGAGTCATAAAATGTGTAGTCTTTTGTGACTGATTTCTTTCACTTAGCATAATGCTTTTGCAGTTTATCCATGTGGTGCCATGTGTCAGTACATCATTCCTTTTTATTGTTGAGTAGTGTTCCATTATATGGATATACCACATTTTGTTTATCCATTCATCAAATGGACATATGAGTTTCCACTTTTTTTTTAAGAGACACAAACAAAATGTTATTAGGTTCTTAAGAAATTCAGAACACCAATTTGTGAGGATAAATTCCATTCGTTAGGGCAGACACAGATCACAGGTAGCCCTGGAGCTGAGGAAAGCTTTGATTTTTTTCTAAAACATGTGAGTCCACAGCTTTCTGATAAGTCTTGCGCTGCTCTGTAATCTATTTCTCTTTTTCTGTGTCAAAGGTCTCACCTTCCTGGTGTTTAGGCTTCCACACCTTCTTAAAGTAAGCACCAGTAAGACGTTTTGCAATTTTTACATTGCTGCTACCAATTTTGGTTGAGGTAGCAATGACAAATTTCTGGTGTGTTCTTCGTAGAGGAACTTGATTGAGGACCAGAGGTCCAGTCCCAAGACCAGCTGCTTCAGGAAAACCACCCTCGCCTCTGTGGCGCCCAGTGGTGATGATCAGAATCGTCCTGGAGGTGATGCTGGATCGCAGTTTTCTCACATGCTGACTGAAGGGTTTCTTTTGCCATGGCTCAACAGCTTTAGAGGCACATCTTCAGTAGGGTAATATCTAGGCATTTTGTGAAGTTTAACCACCTGGGTACCACTGTTCTTGTCAACACCAACTGGTTTTGTAACAGTTGCAAGAAACTTCTTTTTCTTTTCAACCTTGGATTTAGCAGCTGAGTACTTCTTCCTGGACGTGGTCTTTCTGGAATACATAGCAGATCGGGAATATCTGCAATTCCTCTGACAAGGACAGGATTGCAGCTGCAATGGGGCTTCCCTGTCTTAGACGTTTTAGCCTTGAGGTTGCCCCTTTTCACCTTGCCACCAACATCAGCTTTCTTGGCCTTAGGTTTCTTCTCTTTAGTATCTGGCTTCTCAGCTTTCTCACCCATCATCTTGCAAGATGGGAAAGACTCCACTTTTTGGCTATATGATTAATATTGCTATAAGCATTCATTTACAAGTTTTCATGTGGCTGTGTTTTCATTTCTCAAGGATATACCTAGGAGTAAAATTGCTGGGTCATACGGTAACTCTGTGTTTAACCTTTTGAGAAACTAACACATGGTTTTCCAATGTGACTGCACGATTCCACATTCCCTCCAGAAGTATATGAGGGTTCCAGTTTCTCATATCCTCACCAACACTTGCTATTATCTGGCTTTTTTTTTTTTTTAAGTCAATCTCGCTTGGTTTCCCAGGCTTGAATGCAGTAGTGTAATCTTAACTCTTAACTCACTGTAACCTCCACCTCCTGGGTTCAAACAATTCTCCTGCCTCAGCCTCCCGAGTAGCTGGGATTACAGGCGTGAACCACCACGCCCGGTTATTTTTTGTATTTTTAGTGGAGACGGGGTTTCACCATGTTGGCCAGGCTGGTCTCGAAGTCCTTATCTCAAGTGATCCACCTGCCTCAGCCTCCCAAAGTACTGGGATACAGGTGTGAAACACAGCACCTGGCCAAGATTTTAAAAATACTATGTTTTTCATGTCCATTATCTCCAACTAATTCTTCCCCCCCCCTCCCCTTTTTTGCGACAGAATCTCCCTCTGTTACCCAGACTGGAGTGCAGTGGCATGATCTCAGCTCACTGCAACATCTGTCTCCCAGGATCATGCAATTCTTGTGCCTCAGCCACCCAAGTAGCTGGGATTACAGGTGTGTACCACCATGCCCAGCTAATTTTTCTATTTTTAGTAGAGGCAGGGTTTTGCCATGTTGCCCAGGCTGGTCTCGAACTCCTGGCCTCAAGTAATGTGCCCACCTCGGCTTCCCAGAGTGCTGGGATTACAGGTATGAGCCACTGTGCCCGGCCTAATTCTTTTCTTTAACTGCTGTTCCTGCTTTATGTTTTCCTGTATCCTCCCTAGCCTTTTTGAGGATATTTATTATACTTCAATGGTTTTTCTTTTTCCTATCTGGTTCATTATTATGACAGATAGACAATCTATACCAGATAAAGTTTCTTTGGTAGTACTTGCTTTCTTCAGTTGCCTCATGTTTTCTTATACACAAATATCCCTTTGGGACATTAGCCACTCTGATTGGTAACGTGCTGCTCGAAGGAAGATCAAAAGCTTATGCCCTATCTCGTGTGTCCCTCCGCTGAGTTTAGGGATTGGAGGTTGCATAGAAGAGGAAACAACCCTGGCCAGGCATGGTGGCTCGCGCCTGTAATCCCAGCACTTTGGGAGGCCGAGGCGAGCAGATCACCTGAGGTCGGGAGTTTGTGACCAGCCTGACCAACATGGAGAAACCCTGACTCTACTAAAAATACAAAATTAGCCAGGCATGGTGGTGCATGCCTGTAATCCCAGCTACTGGGGAGGCTGAGGCAAGTGAATCGCTTGAACCTGGAAGAAGGAGGTTGCGATAAGCCGAGATCGCGCCATTGCACTCCAGCCTGGGCAACAAGAGCGAAACTCCGTTTCAAAAGGGAAAAAAAAAAAAGGAAACGACCCCACTATGGTGCAAAGCCCCTGGAATATGGGCTCATTCACTCTCCATTTGCAGCAGCATTCTGTGCTCTCCAACACACACACACACTTTGTCTTGTTGTTTTTCAAGAGCTGTCTTTTTGAGTTATAATTACCTAAGTTACCAAATGCAGAGGTTGGGAAGTAGGCCCATTCAGGAGCCAACAAGTTCACTGTCCCCTTTTCCTCTTATCTGTCTCGAATACACATGCATATTCGCCCTAAGCTAGGCGGCAACACTGCCATGATGTTACCCTGCTGACTCTGGTTAGGGGCTGGGCACTGGCAACAGGGCAGGCAGTGACTCACTCAGCACAGCTAGAAAGCATCCTCCTGCCTGGCACCCCCGTGTGAATCTCGGCCCTCTTTTCCCTAGTTTACTATTCACTGCAGCCCCCCAATGTCTGGTTTGGGGATCTGTCTAATTTCTTTTTACTTAAATGGCTTCCCTAGATTTAGATTCTAAGGAAGAAGTGAAGAAGTCAGCAAGCCTTGTTTGCTTATTATCTTGTTTGGAAGGTTCCAATTTCACCACATCTGAGCTTCTGAGGGTAAGGGCATTGGCTTCACAGCTGTCTGTGTGTGCCCAGGGTCTAGTCTGTGCTATTATAGCACACAGACTGAGCTGTCAGTGAGGGCCACCTGGCTTCAGGACTCTCTTTTCAAACTTCTTACTTTGCTCCTCTTTATTGTTTTCTAGGAGTTTCCAGGTGTCTAGGAAAATGCCAGAAGAACTCACCAGGTGCCAGGAAGCATCCCTTTTCCGGAAAGTCCTTTTACTTGGATCTGCCTGCTGGCAAGAATCTCCAGTTTTTGACGGGGGCCATTCAGCAACTGGGTGGGGTAGGTAACCTGCTCTTCTCCTGCGATGCCATGTGCCTTTGCAGGCTTAGAGCAGGAGTTGGATGGGGATTATATCTATGGTTTCCAAGTATTTTCTTTTTTGAGACAGAGTCTTGCTCTATAACCCAGGCTGGAGTGCAGTGGCATGATCTCAGCTCACTGCAACCTCTGCCTCCCGGGTTCAAGCAATTCTCCTGCCTCAACCTCCCAGGTAGCTGAGATGACAGGCACACACCACCACGTCTGGCTAATTTTTTGTATTTTAGTAGAGATGGGGTTTCACCTTGTTGGCCAGGGTGGTCTTGAACTCCTGACCTCATGATCTGCCAACCTCGGCTTCCCAAAGTGCTGGGATTACAGGCGTGAGCCACCACACCCAGCAGTTTCCAGGTATTTTCAGCGGTCTCACTACATTTCCGAAAGCAATTTTAAATATAAACCATTTTTTTGGCCAGGCGCAGTGGCTCACACCTGTAATCCCAGCACTCTGGGAGGCCAAGGCAGGTGGATTACTTGACGTCAGGAGTTAGGGACTAACTACCCTGGCCTAAATGACAAAACCCTGTCTCTACTAAAAATAATGAAAATTAGCCAGGCATCATAGTGGGCACCTATAGTCCCAGCTGCTCAGGAGGCTAAGGCAGGAGGATTGTTTGGACCTGGGAGGCGGAGTTTGCAGTAAGCCGAGATTGTACCACTGCACTCCAGCCTGGGAGACAGAGTGAGACTCTGTATAAAAAAAAAAAAATGATAAATAAATAACCTTCAAAAAATAAAGATAAATCTTTTTCCTTATTAGAAACTTAGGCTGGGCACAGTGGCTCATGACTGTCCTCCCAGCACTTCGGGAGGCTGAGGAGGACAGATCACTTGAGTCCAGGAGTTCAAGATCAGCCTGGCAACATGGCGAGAGCCCGTCTCTACAAAACATACAAAAAATTAAGCGGGTGTGGTGGTGCATGACTGTAGTTGGGAGGCTGAGGTAGGAGGATCACTTGAGCCCAAAAGGCGGAGGTTACAGTGAGCTGAAGTCGAGGTCTTGCACCACTGCATTCCAGCCTGGGCAACAGAGTGAGACCTTGTCTCAAAAAAAGGCTGGGTGCGGTGGCTCACACCTGTAATCCTAGCACTTTGGGAGGCCGAGCCAGGTGGATCTCTTGAGCCCAGGAGTTTAGATCACCCTGGCCAACATGGCAAAACCCTGTCTCTACTAAAAATACAAAAATTAGCCAGGTACAGTGGCACATGCCTGTAGTCTCCGTTACTCAGTAGGCTGAGGCATGAGACTCGCTTGAGCCCCGGGAGGCAGTCCAGCTAGGGTGACACAGCATGACCCTGTCTCAAAAAAAAAGAGAAACTTTTTTTTTTTTTCTGAGACAGTGTCTCGCTCTGTCACCCAGGCTGGAGTGCAGCGGCGCCATCTCAGCTCACTGAAAGCTCTGCCTCACGGGTTCATGCCATTCTCCTGCCTCAGCCTCCCAAGTAGCTGGGACTACAGGCGCCTATCACCACGCCCGGCTAATTTTTTTTGTATTTTTAGTAGAGACGAGGTTTCACCGTGTTAGCCAGGATGGTCTTGATCTCCTGACCTCGTGATCCTCCCGCCTTGGCCTCCCAAAGTGCTGGGATTATAGGCGTGAGCCACCATGCCCAGCCAAAAAAAAGGAAACTTAATGGCCAGTTGTGGTGGCTCATACCTGTGATCTCAACACTTTGGGAGGCTGAGGTGGGAGGATTGCTGGAGTCCAGGAGTTTGAGACCAGCCTGGGCAACATAGTGAGACCTCATCTCTACGAAAAATAAAATTATAGCTGCCGGGCACGGTGGCTTACTCCTGTAATCCCGGCACTTTGGGAGGCCCAGGTGGGCAGATCACCTAAGGTCAGGAGTTTGAGACCAGCCTGACCAACATGGAGAAACCCTGTCTCTACTAAAAATACAAAATTAGCCGGGTGTGGCGGCACATGCCTGTAATCCCAACTATGCAGGAGGCTGAGGCAGGAGAATCACTTAAACTCAGGTGGCAGAGGTTGCGGTGAGTCGAGATCACGCCATTGCACTCCAGCCTGGGCAACAAGAGCAAGACTCCATCTCAAAAAAAAAAAAAAAAAAAAAAACATTAGCTGGGGGCAGTGGCACATGCCTGTAGTCCAGCTACTCAGGAGGCTAAGCTGGGAGGATTATCTGAGCTCAGGAGTTTGAGGCTATAGTGAGCTATGATTGCACCACTACACTCCAGCCTGGATGACAGAGCAAGACCATGTCTCAAAAATAATGTTAAAATAAACAAACATATTATCTGTTCACTCTAGAAATTTTAGAGAACATGGAACTACTCCAAGTGACAACCAGCATTTTTAAGTATTTTTCTTTCCTCCCTTCCTCTCATAATGGCTTAATTTAGATATAATTCACATGTCATAAAATTCATCCGTTTAAAGTACACAGCTCAGTGGTTTTTAGTATATTCACAGAAATGTGTAAGTTGTATGATCGCATAGTCAATTGTAGAACATTTTCATCACCCCAAAAAGGAAACCCTGTACCCATTATCAGTCACTCCCTATATGCTTGGGCAACTCCCTATATCCTTGATACTCCTAGCCCTTGGTAATGCCCATCTACCTTCTGCCTCCATCCTGCCTTTGTTTTTTTGTGCTTCTTTTTTTTTTTTTTTTTTTTAAGAGGGGGCCACACTCAGTCACAGAGGCTAGAATGCAGGAGCGCGGTCATGGCTCACTACAGCTTCAACCTCCCCAGACTCAGGTGATCCTCCCGCCTCAGTCTCCCTGTAGCTGGGACTACAGGTGCTCGCCACCATGCCCTGCTCATTTTTGTATTTTTTGTGGAGGCAGAGTGTCGCCATGTTGCCCCAGACTGGTCACGACCTCCTGGATTCAAGTAATCCTCCCACCTCAGCCTCCCAAAGTACTGGGATTACAGGCCTGAGGCACTGCTACTGGCCCTTTTTCTTTCTTTTTTTTGAGACGGAGTCTTGCTCTTGTTGCCCAGGCTGGAGTGCAATGGTGCGATCTCAGCTCACTGCAACCTCCACCTCCCGGGTTCAAGCAATTCTCCTGCCTCAGCCTCCCAAGTAGCTGCAATTACAGGCATGCACCTCCATGCCTGGCTAATTTTGTATTTTTAGTGGAGACGGGGTTTCTCCATGTTGGTTAGGCTGGTCTCGAACTTCTGACCTCAGGTGAACCACCCACCTCAGCCTCCCAAAGTGCTGGGATTACAGGTGTGAGCCATCGCACCCGGCCCTTTTTTATTTATTTATTTATTTATTTATTTATTTATTTATTTATTTTTGCCTTACCCAGTTGCCTGCAAGAGGGAGCTGAGGGCAAGGCTGGGAGGGGCAGGGCAATGCTTATTTTTTTTCTAGCTATGATCATGAGTACTTTTTTTTTAATTTTAGAGACAGGGTCTCGCTGTGTTGGTCAGATTGGTCTTTTACTCTTGGCGTCAAGCAATCCCCCCACCTCAGCCTCCCAAAATGTTAGGATTACAGGCATGAGCCACAGCATCCAGCTGGCGTTAGTACATTTTTATTATCAATTTTTTACCCATAACCTTAAAGCGTTAGCACTTTTCTACCATTATTGCCCTTCATATGCATCATTTGCGGTGGGAATATAATATTCTTTTGAGTGGATTATTAATTTACTTAACTGTTGCTCTGTGGACATTTAGACTCTTAATAATTTTTAGCATTTAGAAATAACACAGGTGAACAACTTTGAGTAAAAAGCATTTGCTATATTTGATTCCATTAAAATATTTTTAGGGGCTAGGCACAGTGGCTCACACTTGTAATCCCAGCACTTTGGGAGGCCGAGGCGGGCGGATCACTTAAGGCCAAGAGTTCAAGGCCAGCCTGGCCAACATGGTGAAACACCATCTGTACTGAAAATACAACAATTAGCTGCGTGTGGTGGTATGCGCCTGTAATCCCAGCTACTCGGGAGGCTGAGGCAGGAGAATTGCTTGAAACCGGGAGGTGGAGGTTGCAGTGAGCCAAGATCGTGCCTCTGCACTCCAGCCTGGGCAACAAAGCAAGACTCCATCTCAAAAAAAAAAAAAAAAAAAAAAAACCATATATATATTTAGGCTAGGCTCAGTGGCTCGTGCCTGTAATCCCACTTTGGGAGGCTGAGGTGGGCAGATCACCTGAGGTCAGGAGTTCTACACCAGCCTGGCCAACATGATGAAACCTTGTCTCTACTAAAAATATAAAAAAATTAGCAGGGCATGGTAGCACGCACTTGTAGTCCCAGCTACTCGGGAGGCTGAGGCACAACAATCGCTTGGACCCGGGAGGCAGAGGTTCTAGTGAGCCAAAATTGTGCCATTGCACTCCAGCCCGGGCAACAGAGCAAGACTCTGTCTCAAAAAGAAAAAAAAAAGAAAACAGCATGATAGTGCTTGACCCAAAAGAGACTAATAACTGGGGAAACTGGATGAATAGGGCTTGGAATGGAGAGGCTCTTTGCTGTCAAACCCAGAAACTCAGGACTGCAGAAACTCAGTGGTGAGGATGGATAGAATGAGGATTATATAACCAAACTGGCCCATAATTACATTTTGAACTTTTAGTCCTTTCTGTCATTTAGCCTTTGCTATGTAAAACACCAACCCTACTTGGGCTTAAAGCAACAATTTATTTTCTATTTATTTATTTATTTTTAGACAAAGTTTTGCTCTTGATGCCCAGGCTGGAGTGCAATGGTGCGATCTTGGCTCACTGCAACCTCCAATTCCCAGGTGCAAGCGATTCTCCTTCCTCAGCCTCCAGAGTAGCTGGGTTTACAGGTGCCTGCCACCATGCCCGGGTAATTTTTTTTTTTTTTTTTTTTTTTTTGTACTTTTAGTGAAGACGAAGTTTCACCATGTTGGCCAGGCTGGTCTCAAACTCCTGACCTCAGGTGATCCACCTGCCTTGGCCTCCCAAAGTGCTAGGATTACAGGCATGAGCCACCACACCTGGCCAAAACAACAATTTATTATTTCTCATTATGCTGTGGGTTGGCTGGGTGGTTTATCTGGTGGTTTCAGCAGGGCTCACTCCTGAGGCTGGATTCAGCTGGACGGTCACCTGGGCTGGAAAGACCAAGATGGCCTCACTCACACATCTGGCACTCTGTGTCAGTTATCATAACTATATGCAATAAGCTAAACTAGCTGATTTAACATGGTGGTCTCAAGGCCACCTTCCCAGAAAGTGAGGCAGGAAGCTAAGGCCTCTGAGGCCTAGGCTCCAGAACTCACACATCATAATTTCCACATGTTCTATTGGTCCAATCGAGTCAGATTGAAGGGCATAAAAAAGTAGGTCCCACCTCCTAATGGCAGGAAGAGCAAAGTCATATTGCAAAGGAGTGGGTATACTGGGATGGGAGGAGGAATATATGGTCATTAACAATCTCCTATATTTATATAGGATAATCATTGATTGCCCTACTCCTACCCTCTAGCATTTGCTTTTGCTGTATTAAAAAAGGTAGATGCAGCCAGGCACGGTGGCTCACACCTGTAATCCCAGCACTTTGGGAGTCCAAGGCGGGCAGATCACAAGGTTAAGAGATCGAGACCATCCTGGCCAACATGGTGAAACCCCATCTCTACTAAAATTACAAAAATTAGCTGGGCGTGGTGGCATGCGCCTGTAGTCTCAGCTATTCGGGAGGCTGATGTAGGAGAATTGCTTGAACCTGGGAGGCGGAGGTTGCAGTGAGCTGAGATCGCATGACTGCACTCCAGCCTGGTGACAAAAAAAAGGTAGATGTGATCAGACACGGTGGCTCACACCTGTAATCCCAACACTTTGGGAGGCCAAGGTGGGCAGATCACTTGAGGTCAGGAGTTCCAGACCAGCCTGGCCAACATGGTGAAACCCCATCTCTTCTAAAAATACAAAAATTAGCCAGTGTGGTGGGACACACCTGTTGTCCCAGCTACTTGGGAGGCTGAGGCAGGAGAATTGCTTGAACCCGGGAGGTGGAGATTAGAGTGAGCCGAGATCATGCCACTGCACTACAGCCTGGGAGACAAAGTGAGACCTTGTCTCAAAAAAAGAAAAGAAAAGAAAAAAAAAGGTAAATGTAATCCTTCAATTCATAACTAATTTTTTTAATAGTGGTAAAGTGTATATAACATAAAATAAGCCATTTTAGCCTTTTTTTTTCTTTTTTTTTTAGAGACAGGATTTCACTCCCCAAGCTGGAGTGTAGTAGTGTAGTCATAGCTCACTGCATCACTGAACTACTGGGCTCAAGTGATGCTCCTGCCTCAGACTCCCAAGTAGCTAGGACTATAGGTGCATGTAACAACACCCAGCTAATTAAAAAAAAAAAAAATTTTAGAGACAGGATCTTACTATGTTGCCCAGGCAGGTCTTGAACTCCTGACCTCAATTGATCCTCCCACCTCAGCCTCCTACAGTGCTAGGATTACAGGTATCAGCCACCACACCTGGTCCCCAGTGTGTCTTACACAGAAAAATCACAGCTTACACAATCTAGTCTTAATCCTTTCCAGCTCTTTCAGTGTGTTCTTGCTGCATGCAAACTCAAACTGCTCATAGAACTCAAAGCCCGCAGCCTTCTGCCACTGGGTCAGGGGCAGCAGTCCTGTAGACAAAACCTGTAATACACATACACACACACACACACACACACACACACACACACACACACACACCCCATTAGATTTCAGGATGATGTCTTCTTAGGAACTTGGTATGAAACTGCATTTAGTCTATTTAAAGACATTGATTCTGGAACTCCTGGCAGCCAAGATTTCCTTCTCCAGCCTCTTTATATTGACAATTCTGCATTTGCTTTTTGGTTTTCAGCCACCTCTGTGATCTGGTTTCAGGTAATTGAGGGTTTTCTGAGCAAAGAAGTAAGTTACATCGTGTCCAGCCGCAGAGAAGTAAAGGCAGAGAGCAGTGGGAAAAGCCATAGAGGCTGCCCTAGCCCTAGCCCCAGTGAGGTCAGAGTGGAAACATCGGCCATGGTTGATCCAAAAGGCAGCCACCCCAGGCCTTCACGGAAACCCGTTGACTCGGTAAGAACCTCATGTAGGAAAGGTATGCTGTGTAAACAAAGGAAGTAGGCTTTGGTGAGCCTTTTAAGGCAGTCTCTGGTTTTAATTTCATCTGGATTAATTTAATCTCTCATTTGAATTCAGGGACTGAGAATATTTTATCATAGCTCTGGATCTAAACACCTCAGCAACATACTATCCCCCATGCTACCCTTTTATGCCTTATGTCAGTTTTTACGGGACTTGAAAGTCAGAGGTTTAGAAACCAGAGGAGAGTCTTCATAAACCAGAGAAGACGTGTTGGGATTGGTCTGCGCTTGGGCAGGAGTACCCTGAGTAGGCAGCCATTCCCTTCTTCCTTGCTTGCATGTATGAAGGGCCAAGAGTTTGGACAATACACATGTTATGTCTTTGATTTAAAATGGAATATGGCTTTTCCCCTCTAGGCTTGCATTCTTATTTTGTCTAACATATTAATATTAAAATGTCCATGAACATACACTGTTGGCATTGTGATGACAGATGGGACTTCCTACGAGCAAAAATTTCTAAAGTGAAACATTTGCTTTCATTATCTCCTGGAGGGTGCAGAGACTCTTAAAGAGGGTCTCAGGACATTTGTAACAATTGGATCTCAGTGAATTCAGAGTGCCCTTCTCTCCACCAGGTTCAGGCTGCCACCTCAGGGTGACCTAAATTTCCTGTGGCTTTACCTTTACCTCCTAAACGTTTTCTAGGCTCTCATTTCTACCAATCCTCAGTTGTCACTGCTCCCAGCTTTCCGAGGGACATAACCCCAAGACATAACCCCTCACCAGCTCCTGTGTAAACATCTTTCAGTGCACAGGTGGCCTAACAGCAGACCTCACTGCTCTTCTGTCCCTGTCAGGTGCCTCTAAGCAGAGGGAAGGAGCTGCTGCAGAAGGCTATCAGAAACCAGGTGAGCTGGGGCAAGATGGGACAGAGCCGGTGGTCTCCAGCATAGGGAGGGATTTCACTCTTCTTCCCAGGTTCTTCTGAAGCACCCACACAAAATGCACACTCTGCGATATGTAGTATTGTCATTATTTCCTTCTTCTACATCAGGTAGTGGAGGCTCAGACAAGTTATTTAGCCATTCACCTAGAGAGTAAGTGTTGAAGCCAGAGCCACCTCCAACTCTGGAGCCTACCAAGAGAACTGTGGGGATGTGGGATGTGGCGGGACAGGGTTGCTGGGTACAGAAGCCAGACTTCTTTTACAAGTAACTCTAGGCTGGGTGTGGTGGCTCACGCCTATAATCCCAGCACTTTGGGAGGCTGAGGTGGGTGGACCACTTGAGGCCAGGAGTTCAAGACCAGCTTGGCCAACATGGCGAAACCCCATCTCTACCGAAAAATTAGCAGGGTGTGGTGGCACGCACCTGTAGTCCCCGCTACGCAGGTGGCTGAAGCAGAAGAATCACTTGAACCTGAGAGGTGGAGGTTGCAGTGAGCCGAGATTGTGCCACTGCACTCCAGCCTGGGCGATAGAGCTAGACTCTGTCTCAAAAAAAAAACAAAAAACAAGTAACTCTTTATTCCTTGTGTGAAAATCCAGGGCTGTTAAAGTTTAGTGGCAGGAGGAGGAGTTAAGGTGATCTTGTGAGAAGAGTCATGCTGGTGACATCAGGAGGGGTACATGGCTGTGATGGGGGAGGTGGTGCTGCTGGACTGAGCCAGTGGAGGGGGAAGATCTGCAGCTAGCATAGTTTCATGCTCAGTGAGGATGATGGTCACCGTGTTTGTTGTGTACTTACTGTGCTGAGAGCTTTCCTCGCAGAGGCCCTCCCAACGAACAGCTCTCTCAGAAGCATCTGTTCCTTCCTGGTCACGAGGTGGCCAGAGCACAATGTATAGGCAGACCAGTGGTCCTTCCTCTCCCAATGTGGCCATGTGGAGGACAGGATGTCTTCCTGGGGGTTGGGATGGACTCTCTGGGCACTGTACTCTCTCTCCTACCTGCCTCCCTGCAGTCCCTCCCATGGATGACTCAGGCCTCCCAGAAGCAATTTCTATCTGTCCCCTTCACTTTCAGGCCTTGGGGAGTCTCTGCTCCTACCTGACTCTGTGTTGTAATTTCAGGGGAGCATCAGTGGAGGAGGCAGTGGGGGCAGCAGCAGCCTCCTGACCAATGCCCGCTCTTGGGGAGTGAGGATTCTGCACGTGGATGGTACCCTTTCTGTGCTGGGCTCCTGTGGAGGGAGAATTGGTGACTTTGACCAGGAGTGTCAGCTTTTAGAAGGATCATGGTCATGTGAGCTTCTGGTCACCGGAAGCCAGAAATACTCAGCTGCCATGTTGATCCACAAAGGTGGGAGGATGTGGGGAAGGGGGAAAGCGGTGAGGACGCAGAGTGCAGGCTGTGGCCTCGGCATCCCGCAGGAGGTCCCTAGAACATGCCGTTTCATGTCACCTGCTACAGCTCTCCCCCAGCTAGTATGATGATCCTGTTTTACAAATGCAGAAATGATCTTAATATTCATGACCACTGGCCAGGCGAGGTGGCTCACACCTGTAATCCCAGCACTTTGGGAGGCCAAGGCGGGTGGATCACAAGGTCAAGAGTTCGAGACCAGCCTGACCAACGTGGTGAAACCCCGTCTCTACTAAAAATAGAAGCATTAGCCGAGCCTGGTGGTGCGTGCCTGTAATCCCAGCTACTCAGGAGGCTGAGGCAGGAGAATCACTTGAACCCAGGAGGCAGAGGTTGCAGTCAGCCAAGATCATGCTACTGCACTCCAGCCTGGGTGACAGAGCGAGACTCCGTCTCAAAAAAAAAAAAAAATTCGGCCAGGTGCGGTGGCTCACGCTTGTAATCCCAGCACTTTGGGAGGCCGAGGCAGGCAGATCACGAGGTCAGGATATCGAGACCATCCTGGCTAACACGGTGAAACCCCTTTTCTACTAAAAATACAAAAAATCAGCCGGGCGTGGTGGCGGGCGCCTGTAGTCCCAGCTACTCGGGAGGCTGAGGCAGGAGAATGGCGTGAACCTGGGAGGCGGAGCTTGCAGTGAGCCGAGATTGCGCCACTGCACTCCAGCCTGGGCGACAGAGCGAGACTCCGTCTCAAAAAAAAAAAAAAAAATTCATGGCCACCTAACAGGTATTGACTCTGTGCTACGAATTACCTCATTTAATCCTCACTACAGTCCTGTCCCCATTATACAGATGAGGAAATTGAGCCTCAAAGGGATTAGGCAAATTGTCCATGGTCTCACCAGAGTGTGTAGTGTGGCCCACCACTCTCAGTTTTACTCAGCTGTAAATTTTGTGCTCCTTCTTTTTTCACACTGTAAACAACCTGTTTGCAGCCTGTTTACACTAGAATAGTTGTCTTGAACCAGGTGGCAGTGAGTGGTTTCATACCCAGCTCCATTCTTGAGTCTGGAGTTTTCTGTGATCCATTTTAGAGGATTGGTCCAGATGGGACAGCCCATAGGTGCTGACTGGGGCGCTGCCCCACCCCTTGGTACCAAGATCTTCCAGGGGAGTCTAGAGGCTGTACAGGGGAAGTTCCTGGTCTGGGATGTGGAGGGCTTCATCTCACTGAAAAATCAGCCATTTCTGACTTGATTTCCTTCCCTGCCTTTCTCTGTTAGAGGAGTGCTAGCATGTTTAGCCCTTGCTGGTCTTTCACCTGAGGGTACAGCTGAGTAGTTCACACAGCATGGCCTCCCTCACAGCCACAGCTCTTCAGTGGTGCCTTAAAGTCCTTAGCAAGCCATGAGGCACCTTCTGTTCAAAGATGAGTTGTATTCAATGCTGCAAAAGAGCATGACACCCGCTCAGGTGCTGTTCCAGGGATAGAGGACCCAGTCCTTAACCTCCGCTGTCAGGAGATGCAGAGGGGATGTGTAGCCAGAAGGTGGCAGGCAAGGCTGGAGTGATTCAGTGGGCTGGCCCAGCGAGTTTAGTCCTGCAGCCCAGGAAGGGGCTGTGCTAGGTAAGTGAAGACTGGAAGCCTTTGGCACAAACCCTCTGTCTTCTCCACAGAAATGATGATGCACGTGCAACAGCTGTCTCTTGCGTCTTTATGTGTGAAAAAACAACAGCCAAAGAAGCCAGAGGTAGGTCATCCTGCTGAACTGAAGGACAAATGGATGGTTTTCAATGAAATCAGTGACAACTTAGGTAAATCCATGGCCCACCCAAACCATCTCTTCCTGGCCATTCTGAAAGATGGAAGAGGAATGCAGCCTCTTATTTACCTCAGTCCTAGTGCCCATAGCTTTGCAACACCCTTTCTTCTCTCTTCTCTGTGGCACTTGCAGTCCTCCCATGGCACACACCCTGCTGAGACATCCCTATGGCCTGGACTGCCTGGGCCATGGGCTCCCTACAGTAGTTCTGGACCAGATAAAGTTCATAAATGCCCATGGCACTGACCAGGCTGCTATTCTGGAACTTTCCCTGTACAGCCTCTAGACTGGGAACGAGTCTGCATACTGCAGGGGTGAGAAGGAGTGATTGAAATAGCTGCCATCTTCTAAATCCTTGTTTGTTTTCCATTCTTTGCTGGCGTTAGAACTGTGTGTACTACATCAAGAGAGCCCAACCTGGTTTAAAGCCACAGTATCTTCACCCAAGCCTCAATCTGAGGAAGGATTAAATCTACAGATCTACCCACAGCCTGGCATCCAGGCACAGGACGAACAGTAATAGCTATTAGTTAACAGTGCTAATTAGCTAACAGAACTAGCAAGCCACATCCAAAGTGGATGGAGCAGCTGGGCATGGTGGCTCACACCTGTAATTCCAGCACTTTGGGAGGCCAAGGCCAGCAGATCACTTGAGGTCAGGAGTTCAAGACCAGCCTGGCCAGTGTGGTGAAACCCCGACTGTGCTAAAAATACAAAAATTAGCCGGGCGTGGTGGCACATGCCTGTAATCCCAGCTACTCAGGAGGCTGAGGCAGGAGAATCTTGAACCCAGGAGACATGTTGCAATGAGTCATGATCGCACCACTGCACTCCAGCCTAGGCGACAGCAAAATTCTGTCTCAAAAAAACATAAAAAAATAGTGGATGGAGCATTCAGACACTGACGCCCTCTCCACACCCTCTCCTCTAGGAGTGTTGGGGACATTGCTGCTGTTAAATTTGTGTTATTCAAAATTCAAAAGGGTATACAACAAAAATTCTCGCCCTGCTCCAGCTTCTCCTCAACCACTGACCTTCCTCCCTGAAAGTGTGAACAGTTTCTAGGACTCTATGCACATAGAAGCAAATATGTCAAAAATTCCCCCCTTCTATGCAGATACACAGCATTTTTACTTTAACTTAATCAGTTTTGTAGGCCGGGCACAGTGGCTCACGCCTGTAATCCCAGTAATTTGGGAGACCGAGGCAGGTGAATCGCTTGAGGTCGGGAGTTTGAGACCAGTTGGCCAACATGGTGAAACCCTGTCTCTACTAAAATACAAAATTAGCCATGTGTGGTGGCGCATGCCTGTAATCCCAGCTACTTGGGAGGGTGAGGCAGGAGAATCGCTTGAACCCTGGAGACAAGTTGCAGTGAGCTGAGATCACACCACTGCACTCCAGCCTGGGCAACAGAGTGAGACTCTGTCTCAAAAAAAAGAAAAAAAAATTAGTTTTGTAGATATCTAGCAGTGAAGTGAGTTTTGGGTGTAATGTGCTGATACGCAAGGGAATGTGAGAGGCTTCTTTGGATTGTGTTTGCCCCCAAGGTGTGGCCTAGAGGAGAATCTGGAACTTCTTAAGGCCCAGAGGCACAGGTGGTCATGGATCCACCATCATCCTGGCCCTCCAGCTAAAGCTGATTTTTTTATTTTATTCCATTTATCTTACATTTATTTACTTATTTTTCAGGTATATACCAGAAGATCCATTTACTCTTTTTTCTTTTTATTTTATTTGTTTATTTTACTTTACTTTTTTTGTGAGACAAGGTCTGGCTCTGTCGCCCAGGCTGGAGTGCAGTGGCGCCATCTCTGTTCACTGCAACCTCCACCTCCTGGGCTCAAACCATCCTCCCACCTCAGCCTCCCAAGTAGCTAGGACTACGGGCATGCGCCACCATGCCTGGCTAATTTTTTTTTTTTTTTTTTAAAGATAGGGTCTTACTATGCTGCCCAGGCTGGTCTCAAACTTGTGAGCTCAAGCAATCCACCTGCCTCGGCCTACCAAAATGTTGAAATTACAGACGTGAGCCACCACGCCCGGCCTCCATTTACTTTTTAATATCAGCTTTGTTTGACCTTGGCTTAAACATTGATTTTGACCCACAGGATCAGAGTACACAAGATAGGACATAGGAAAGCAAATGGCTATCGTCTTTATCCTAGTCCTATAGGGTACCTGGAACAGCATCAGTACCTAGAAAATAAAGCTGCCATTTAGTGAGCATCTATTCTGTGCCACATGCGATGAGGTCGGTGGGTACTCTTCACATTGCAGGTGGCAGAGCTGAAGTACCCACCAGGCCTCTGGGACTCCAGAGTTCTTGCTCTCTGTACTGTCCTGCACTCCCTGCACAGTCAGCTGCCATTAAGATTCACACACCGAGTGCCCCCCTTATTCATCGTGTTGCCGAAGAGGGAGCCGTTGTGCCCAGGTCTGCTCCAGCTCAGGGCCTGAGAGTCTGGTTCTGCAGGCCTCTCAACAGCAGGAAGCAAAGTGGGACAGACTGGCAGCCACTTGGCTTATCAGGCCCAGTTCCTTGACCCCCGTGGCTTCCTCACATCCTTAACCTATTTTTCCTTTCCATTTAGGGAACATGTCCAGCAGCAGAGTCAAGAACACGGAAAGGTCAGTGTGGTAGCTTTTCCTCATCTAATTGCAATCCCTCCCTCCCTAAACACTTCCCCACGACTCCCTCTGTGGCAGCATCTGCTCACTTTTCTGTGGCAGCAAGCGAGTCCAGGTTATCTTGCCCCTTTGTGTTTCCAGGGCCTGGTCCTCAGGTTTCTGGAGCGAGAGAGGCATGCCCAAGAGCAAGTCCAGAGCTGCTGGGCCGGGGCTTCTCCTTTAGAGCCAAGACCCCATGCAGACACTTTGGCTCCTGTGTCCTCTGGCTGTTCCTGGGCATCGATTGAGGTTCAGCATCCTTTTCCTTCTGATTCAGTAGCAGTTTGGGGGTGGGCAGTTTGACAGCTGCCTACCGTTTTCAGAACTGCCAAACTCCGTGAAACTGACAAACTGGCAGATTGATGGACTCCGTCTCCTGGTTCCTCTTGGACAGCAGGAGAGTTGCTCCCCCTGGATGTTTCTCCCAAAGATGCTCTTTCAGTGGCATTTATTCATGCACAAGCAGGAGCTAAGAAAAGTCACTTGGCACCTCTCTCATGCTCAAAATTCAAGGAAGTCTGTAGGGGAATTGATTTTAATAACTGTCTCAGTTAATTAGAAAGACAAGAAATTGTCCCCAAAAAGTAATTAATGAGAGCTGCTGCTAAAGGAGAAAAGGCTGCTTTTTGCTTGGGTGCTACTGGTGGCCTCAAGTACAGTTGGGAGCTGTAAGGTGCCAGCGTCTTTGGGGAATTTATGGCTGTCAGATGGGCCCAGGATTTCAGCTGCCTTGGCTGCCCCTTCGACAGGACTCCTGGTCACTGTGGGTCCTGATGCCTAAGGGATTTTGTAAGCTATGCGAATAACTATCTAATAGGGGTGAGTCTCTTAATTGACTCCAAATTCATCTTCTCAGCACTCCTTTGCCCTATTTTTTCAGGAATCAGATTTTACCTGTGATATTTTTCTACCATCCTGCTAATAAGACCACTAAACACTCTTTATCCCTCTTCCTCTCTGCTTCCCCTCCAAAAAACCCAGGGTCCTCCTGGAGCATTCTGCCTGGGAGTTGATCTTAGGCCCCTCAGTATCCTGAGGCTCCAGAAGCAAAGGGCTAGGAAGGACCTGGGACTTTGTGGGAATGACCACCCCCACCCTGCTTTTAGCAGAAGCCATCAGGGGCTGGGTTTCTCCCACCAAACCAGCCAGGTGTCTGATGGTGGTGGCATCTTTGGTTGGTCGATAGCCTCCAGAATCCACACACAGGAGCTCCTGCGTCCTGCAGAGGAAGGGCCCATCTAGGGCTTCAGTGTTAACTGCAGCCTATCCCCCCACTGGTGCAACCTTTCTCCCAGGGGTAGAGGCTGGAGATCTGAGTGAATGGAGAGCGCAGCCTGGGGTGGCATGATTTCCAGCTCTTGCAAGGCTCTTAGGCTTTGGCAGAGCCTTCCCTCTCAGCATTTCCTGCATGTGTGGTGCAGGCCCTGCACAGGGGCAGACAGATAGCTGATGTGTGCATTCTTCCCCTTTCAGTGGCCAGACTGAAGGCCCCGTTCCTCAAAATCGAAGATGAAAGCAGGTGAGTGGGACCTCCTTTCTCTGCTTGCCCCAGCTAGGCCTGCACAGAGGAGGGAGGAGGGAGGGGTGCTCAGGGGCCTCAAGCTAATGTGAAGACATGGAGCCCCTTAACCCTGCACCTTCATCTTCCTGAGAAGCCACTTTCTCCCATTGTCATGGAGAAGTCTCATGCAAACCAGGAGGAGCCTCAGAGTGGCATTATACAGTGAATAGTCCTCTTGGAGATGAGTCAGAGGTTAATGATCCTGTGTGTGAATTACCTCCATTTAATACTCTGCTCTATGAGCTCATGGTGTCCCATGCAGGCTCATTATTGCAACTCCTTTCCCCTTGGGTGTATGCTGACATTTCATGTCAAATCATTACCCAGTCACAGTGCTAGTATAGTCCAAGACATCATCTTGGCTGAAATTAGGGTGCTAGGGGTGGTACTGGGGATTCCCTTGTCAGGCCACCCTGTACTTGATAAAGCCTTTCTGTTTCACTTTGAAAATCGTTTTCTGGCTCATGTTACCTCCTGACAGCCCTGGGTGAAAAAAGCATGAGGAGAGCCCATCTCTTCCTAATGGGGAAAACTGAGGTCAGAGAAAGGAAGGGACTTGTGTACAGCCACCTTGCTAATAAATTGCAGCCTAAGGCTAGAATCCAGGTGTCCTGCCTACCCTGTCTTGTGTCTTCTCTGTCCACCATTATGATCTCCTCTTCCCTCGGAGCAGGAGGGTCCCATGACAATGTTAACCTAATGAGCTATTAGCAGCCATGTTGGTTATCACTGAATCTTCAGTAAGTACAAGATCGAAAGTGTATGTGAATCTATAATTATCTCAAAATTTAAATTTTTGTTTTTAATATTTTTTCCAAAAAGGCATTTTCAGACTAAATAAATTTTTTAAAGGAAATAAGTCCATGTGTATCCAGCAGAGACTACTGAGGACAGAATTGTCTGTGTGCCTCAGACAGGGAAGGGCAGGGCAGCTGAGACCAGCCCTAGGAGCCTGGCATGCCTGCCCATCCTCCAGACAAGCCCAGGGTCACTTCTCAGCACCTGCAGACAGTGCTGCGCTGGCTTTGGTGGCCCAAAGGCAAGTGGAGAGAACAATGGGATGGTACAGAGGTGCTGTCTTCCAGTTCCAGTGGGATGGATTGCGTGTTCATCCCCAGCCCCTTCACACCTATTTAAATGTAGGTAATCATGACACATATGCAACGGCTGAAAGGCACTGTTACAGCCTCAGTATCTGCACTGCACATGGCAGGCACAGGTATATCACTGTCACCAGAGAGGGGTACACATATTCCTGGCATTATAGGCCAGAGAGGAGATCCAACTGGAGCTGAGATTTCTTGTGAAATTTTTTTTTTTTTGAGACGGAGTCTCACTCCATCACCTAGGCTGGAGTGCGGTGGCACAATCTCGGCTCACTGCAACCCCTGCCTCCCAGATTCAAGCGATTCTTCTGCCTCCCGAGTAGCTGGGACTAAAGGTGTTCACCACCACGCCCAGCTAATTTTTGTATTTTTTGTAGAGACGGGGTTTGGCCATGTTGGCCTGGCTGATCACAAACTGGCCTCAGGTGATCCACCTGCCTTGGCCTCCCAAAGTGCTGGAATTACAGGTGGGAGCCACAGTGCCCAGCCTCTTGTGATTTTTTTTTTATGTGCTGTTTTGAAGCAGGTGCATTCAAAGCCTATTAGGCCTATTAGCCTGCCCATCCTCAAGTTTCAAGCCCCCTAAGCAGAAACAATATCATTGAAGAAGAAAGAAACATGCCAGGGTTGTGAGGGGTACCCCCTTCTCCTTAAGGGTCCAAGAAGACTTATTTGTTAATTCACTGCTGAGCTACAGTACTCTTACCCTGCTCCCTGAGAACCCCTGGCTTGCACTGTTTCCCCCAGAACATGGACCATTGCAACCAAACATGGTGCACCCGGCAGTTACCTCACTTGGCAGGGTTTGCGAAGTATACACAGATCACTTCTGTCTCTGCAAATCTCTTAAATGTTTGCAACTTGAGGCACACTGCCAGAACCACTCAGTCCAGGTCTGACTATCCAGAACCTTCACTGTGCCTGTCTTCTCCTTTCAGAACCCAGCCCTCAGATAGTTCTAAGGACCAGCAAGAACACTTCACAGAACAGGGAAATAACTGTTCTGGTTTAAACATTCTTCCATTTAGAATCTGCCAGGCTAGAGTCCTCAAAGATTGTTGTAGGGTCAAGAAACAAATGGGAAGGTGGGGAAAAGTAGATCAGGAGTCTGGAGATGTGGCTTCTGATCTGACCTTGGCTGCTTAACTATTTGTGAGCCCTTGAGCAAGTCACAGAACCTCTTGGGCTTCATTTCCTTAGATATAAAATAGGATAAGCCCAGAGGGTGCTTATAGGATTCCAGGGAGGCAGTGGTATGAGTTTGAAAAGTAGACAGGGAGGGGCCGGGCGTGGTGGCTCACGCCTGTAATCCCAGCACTTTGGGAGGCTGAGGTGGGCAGATCACAAGGTCAGGAGATCGAGACCATCCTGGCTAACACAGTGAAACCCCGTCTCTACTAAAAATACAAAAAATTAGCCGGCCATGGTGGCGGACGCCTGTAGTCCCAGCTACTCGGGAGGCTGAGGCAGGAGAATGGTGTGAACCTGGGAGGCGGAGCTTGCAGTGAGCCGAGATCGCGCCACTGCACTCCAGCCTGGGCGACAGCGAGACTCTGTCTCAAAAAAAAAAAAGAAAAGTAGACAGGGAGAACATATGTATTAATTTAACCTAGAAAGGCTGATGAGTTTTGTTATAGAATTTAAAAGATGTGGAGGTGAGAGTCCACTTTATCAGGGCTGGAATTCTAGGGCATTGGGCGAGGCCCCCTCCTCAGCCTTTACCTTCCCCATTGTAGTCAAAGTGGAAGTTTTCTCTGTTGCAGGAAGTTTCGTCCTTTCCATCATCAGTTTAAATCCTTTCCTGAAATTTCTTTTCTTGGACCCAAAGATGCAAGTCCCTTTGAGGCCCCGACGACCCTGGGCAGCATGCACCATACCAGGTGGGTCTTTCTGGTTCCTGAGTACCAAGGGCTGGTTACAGGCCAAAGTCCTCCCCATCGGGGGCCTGCTGGTCAGATTTGGGAATGGCCATGTGTTTGCTCCTTAGGCAAAGTCTATTCTGGGAACGTAGCCCAGAGAAGAGAGACTAGGAGCGTTCATCCATTTTATTTTGTGTTCTTCATCCGTACTGAAGAATTTAACTTGAAGAAGAAAGGGAGGTGCCAGGGTTGTGAAGGGCACCCCCTTCTCCTTAAGGGTCGAAGAAGACCTATTTGTTAATTCACTGCTGAGATACAGCACTCTTACCCTGTCCGCCCAGAACCCCTGGCCTGCACTGTTTCCCCCAGAGCATGGACCATTGCAACCAGACATGGTGCACCCAGCAGTTACCTCACTCGGCAGGGTTTACCGAGTATACACAGAAGACAATAGACCGCTTTCTCAAACTCATATCTATAGACCACCATTATCAGAGTCCCCTGGGGTCTCTTTAATTAAAAATACAAGTTCTAGCTGGGCACAGTGGCTGATGCCTGTAATCTCAGCACTTTGAGATGCCAAAGTGGGAGGATCACATGAGGCCAGGAGTTTGAGACCAACTTGGGCACACAAACATAGCAAGACTCTGCCTCTACAAAAAATAAAAATAAAAATGTAAAAAATTATGAGTCAGGCAGAGTGGCTCATGCCCGTAATTCCAGCACTTTGGGAGGCTAAGGGGGCGGATCACTTCAGGTCAGGAGTTTGAGACAAGCCTGGCCAATATGGTGAAACCCCTTCTCTACTAAAAATGCAACAAAAAAAAAATTAGCCAGGCATTGTGGTGCACACCTGTAATCCCAGCTACTTGGGAGGCTGAGGCAGGAGAATGGCTTGAACCCGGCAGGCGGAGGTTGTAGTGAGCTGAGATTGCGCCACTGTACTTCAGCCTGGGTGATAGAGCGAGACTCCTTCTCAAAAAAAAAAAAAAAAAAAAAATTAGTCAAGCGTGATGACAAGTGCCTGTAGTCCCACTTACTCAGATGGCTAAGGCAGGACAATCATTTGAGCCCAGGAGTTCAAGGTTGCAGTAAGCTATGATTGTGCCACTGCACTCCAGCCTGGGTGACAGAGTGAAACCCTGATGCAGGTTCCTAAACTCCACCCCATATCTATAGAATCAAAATATCTGATGATGGAGCCCCAAAAGCTGCATTTTACAAGCTCTCATGTGATTTCAGTGAATATCAAAGTTTAAACTGGTTGGGCCAAACATCAGGAATAACTAAGGGGCGGGGCGGGGGAGAAGATCGCTGCATTACGTGGCTCATGGCTTGTGGGCTTGTTAATGTTTCTACTCTGCAGATGTTTGAGAATTTGAACCCTCATTAACCAAAGTAGAGAAGGAATTCAGCTCAGGTGATGGGTGAGATGCCTTCTCAGACCCTTTCTAACCTCTGGGCTGTGGGGTTATAGACCAGGAGAGAACAGAGCAGACTCTCAGCCCTGGAGTTCCTGGGGCCAAGGAGGCTCTGTGGTTTCCATCAGCTGACAAAGGCTGTGGGTAAGAAAATAGTACAAATAGGAGGGAAAAAATTAAGGGAATGTGGCAGTAGATGAAATGGGAGCAAAGAGAGAAAGAGGTGAGGTTAAGTCCCAATACAAGGGATACCAGGGAGAGCCAGTCAGAAGGTGGCCCAGGCTTGGCGCTGGCAGTGATGCTAGGCCTGGGATGGCCTTGGGATCACAGAGGAGCTAAGAGGCTGTAAAGGGAAGATGAAGCAATGAAGCTTTGGTATCTGCATGTGAGGCGCCTAGGCAGGGAGTTGGCCCTGGTGGGACATCAAAGTTCCAGGCACGTGTGTATGTGGAAAATATGTGTAGGAAGAAGTGTTTAAATTTTTACATTTTTGAAATCATTATTATATTTTAAAGTTTAAAAATTTTTAAATTTAAAAAGTTTAAAATTTGTGTTACAAATGGTTTAATGTGAAAAGTCTATATTCCACACCCAGCCTCCAGTTCTATCCCCTCACTGGTGCAACCTTCCTCCCAGGGGTAGAGGCTGGAGGAGATCCGAGTGGTGCCTCACCCCTGCCAAATGGAGAGTGCAGCCTGGGGCAGCATGAAAAGAAAAAGCAAGTAACATCCAGCATAGTCAATACTGTATGATTCTTTTTTTTTTTTTTTTTTTTTGAGAATGAGTCCCACACTGTTGCCTAGGCAGGAGTGCAGTGGCGTGATCTCTGCTCACTGCAACCTCCGCCTCCCAGGTTCACGCGATTCTCCTCCCTCAGCCTCCTGAGTGGTTGGGATTACAGTGCACACCACCTCGCCCGGCTAATTGTTTGTGTTTTTAGTACAGATGGGGTTTCACTATGTTGGCCAACTGGTCTTGAACTCCTGACCTCGTGATCCACCCACCTCAGCCTCCCAAAATGCTGGGATTACAGGTGTGGGCCACCACACCCAGCCTATATGATTCTTTATGTAAGAAGAGGGAACGAAGGATACACATGTACCTATATATCCATGAACTATCTCTGGAGATAGACCACACCTGTAATCCCAGCACTTTGGGAGGCCAAGGGGGAAGGATCACTTTGAGGCCAGGAGTTCGAGACCAGCCTGGGCAACATAATGAGACCACCCCCCCCCCCCCCCGCCCATCTCTATTTTTATATTTTTAAAAAATCTGGCCAGACACAGTGGCTTATACTTGTAATCCTAGCACTTTGGAAGACTGAGGCAGGTGGATCACTTGAGCTCACGAGTTTGAGACCAGCCTGAGCAACATGGTGAAACCCCACCTCTATTAAAAATACAAAAATTAGCCAGGCATGGTGGTGCAAGCCTGTAGTCTAAGCTACTCAGGAGGCTGAGGCTGGGGAATTGCTTAAGCATGGGAAGCAGAGGTTGCAGTGAGCCAAGGTGGTGAATCTGCACAACAGCCTGGGTGACAGAGTAGACCCTGTCTCAAAAAAAAAAAAAAAATTGCATTCCCTTTTATGGCTGCAGGGTATCCATTATTCCATTGTATGGAATGTATTTACTGTATTTTATTTAACCAGTCTGTTATTCATGGATGCTTAGATTAGCTCCAATGAAAATCATGTTCAGAGTAAATTTGCAATTGCTCATTTGTGGAATAAATTCCTAAAGGTAGAAATATTGGGTTAAAAGATATATGCATTTATAATTTTGATAAATTCAGCCAAATGGCTTTTCATGGAGCGGATACCAACTTATATGTTTACCTACACTGCATGAGAGAGGCTGTTTCCCATCCCCTTGCCTCATGCTGTGACTGGCAGATATGCTGACCTCCAGTATAACAGATTAAAAACTGTATCTCAGTATAATTATAATTTTTGTTTTTTCTTACTATGAATGAGGCTAAGTAAGTTTGCATATGTTTGGTTGTTTGAATCTCTTTTTATGTGAACCTTCTTTTTATACTTTGCCCATTTTTTATTTGGTTATTGATCACTTTAATGATTTGTAAGGAGCCCTTCTCATATTAGAAAAATGAGCTCTTTGTTATTAGTTGTAAATATTTTCTTTTCTCTGGTCACTGCAACCTCCACCTCCCAGGCTCAGGCAATCCTCCCATCTCAGCCTCCCAAGTAACTGGGAGTACAGGTGTGCACCACCACACCTGGCTAATTTTTATATTTTTTGTAGAGGTGGGGTTTCACCATGTTGCCCAGGCTGGTCTCGAACTCCTGCGCCCAAGTGATCCTCCCACCTTGACCTCCCAAAGTGCAGGGATTATAAGTGTGAGCCACTGTACCTGGCAGTTGTAAATAAATCAATATATATATTTTTTTCCTAAGCCTCCCTGAGCAGAGAAGTTGTAAATACTTTTAAAAGACAAGAAAACCCCAAGTTTGTGGTTTGTCTTTTAACTCTGCTATATTAGTCCATTTTCATACTGCTATACAGACCTGTCTGAGACTGGGTAATTTGTAAAGGAAAGAGGTTTAATAGACTCACAGTTCAGCATGGCTGGGGAGGCCTCAGGAAACTTACAATCATGATGGAAGGCAAAGGGGAAGCAAGGCACCTTCTCCACAAGGTGGCAGGAGGGATAAGTGCTGAGTGAAGGGGGAAGAGCCCCTTACAAAAGCATCACATCTCATGAGAACTGTCACGAGAATAGCATGGGGGAAACCACCTGATTCAGTTATCTCCACCTGGTCTCTCCATTGACACTTGGGGATTATAGGGATTACAATTCAATATGAGATTTGGGTGGGGACACAAAGCCTAACCATATCATTTGCTAATGATTCTTTGCCATGCATACATATTTTAAAGTTGTATATAGCTGAATTTATGAGTTTTTCTGTATATCTTCTGGGGTTTGTGTCATACTTAGGAAGTCTTTAAAAGGAGTGTTTTGGACTTGTCGAGTTTGCTGGACAGCCAGATAGAAATGCCCTTTGGTTGTTAGAAATATGGGGCTGATATTCAGATAAGAATTCAGGCTTGGCCGGATGTGGTGACTCAGTCCTGTAATCCCAGCATTTTGGGAGGCTGAGGTGGGCAGATCACCTGAGGTCGGGAGTTTGAGACCAGCCTGGGCAACATGGTGAAACCCTGTCTCTACTAAAAATACAAAAAAAAAAAAAAAAAAAAGAAAGAAAATTAGCCAGGCGTGGTGGTGTGTTCCTGTAATCCCAGCTATTCGGGAGGCTGAGACAAGAGAATCACTTGAACCCAGGAGGTGGAGGTTGCAGTGAGCCGAAATCATGCTGCTGCACTCCAGCCTGGGTGACAGAGCGATACTCCATCTCAAAAAAAAAAAAAAAAAAAGAAGTCAGGTTTGAGGAAGGTTTGAAAATCCTAGCGGACAGTGAGGACAGCTGTGAGAGATCCAAGGCAGCATGAGAGAAGGGACAGACTGAACCAAGCTGGGGAGACATTCAGGGTGGAAAAGAAGAGCAGTCCCTTCACTGTGGTTGAGACCTTTTCCCTTTCATCTTTCAGGTCTCATGAATGTGGGTGTAGGTTTGAGCACAGAGTTGGAATTCCTACAAGGGATTCTTGCTGCTGCCGTCACCATCCCATCTTCACCTGTCGTTTAAGAGAAGGACGGAGATGGCTGGCGCGGTGGCTCACACCTGTAATCCCAGCACTTTGGGAGGCCAAGGCAGGTGGATCACCTGAGGTCAGGAGTTTGAGACCAACCTGGCCAACATGGTGAAACCCCGTCTCTACTGAAAATACAAAAATGAGTTGAGCATTGTGGCGGGCGCCTGTAATCCCAGCTACTCTGGAGGCTAAGGCAGGAGAATGGCTTGAGCCCAGGAGGTGAAGATTGCAGTGAGCCAAGATCGCACCACTGCACTCCAGCCTGGGTGACTAAGCTAGACTCTCTCAAAAAAAAAAAAAAAAGAGAGAGAGGACAGAGATAAGACAGGCTGCCCACAGGGAGGTCTCCAGACGTCTTCTTCCTTGTTCCCCTCTTGCCATTCTTAGATGATTGGTACCAAGCTCAGGGAAGGCCTGCCTGCCGGTGCCTGCACAGCCCCTTGGCCATCTTGGTCCTTCCCCTCCCTGACCTAGGCTCCAGGCTCTAAGTAGTGGCTCCTCCCCCCAAGGGCCCCAGCAGTAACCACTTTGCCGCACTATGTACCCTCCCCAGAGAATCCAAGGATGGAGAGCCAAGCCCACGATCAGCTGCCCACACCATGCCCAGGAGGAAGAAAGGCTACTGCGAGTGCTGTCAGGAGGCCTTCGAGGAGCTCCATGTGGTGAGCCCCTTCCCCATTAAGCAGCTGCTCCCAGAGTGCCCTGAGGGAGCCTGCTCACTGGGGATGAGTCCTTCCTATGCGATCTCTATGCTGCTATGGCTGTCCTCCAGGGCCAGAGCATGGGCTGGGAGGTCAGCTTCCGTGTCCCCCTCCCCCCAGGCCTCATCTAATGCCCTGTGCTCCTCTCCCCCGCCGGCAGCATCTTCAGAGTGCCCAGCACCGGAGCTTTGCCCTGGAAGCCCATCTATATGCAGAAGTGGACAGGATCATTGCTCAGCTCAGCCACAGCTTTGCAGACATCCCTTTCCAGGCTGGCCTCCCCAGGTGAGTGCCACGCTGGCAGGCACAACTGTGTCTGCTCTCTCCTCTGTTGCCCTCTGGGTGGGAAGAGACCCTCAGGTTGGTGGCTGCTGGGACCAGACTGTGATGTTTTCCTCTTTTCTCACCTTCCTTTCCCCTTATCCTCAGTCCTGTTTGTTTTGGGGCTGGCCAAAAAAAATAAAAAGACCTCCATTTGTGGCTTCACTTGATGAAGACTAGACCCAGACTACACTGTGGCTCCCTTCCAACTCCACAGGCTTTGATGTGGTTGATAAGCAGTTCTGGCCAGGGAGCAGGGGGTTAGTGCTTGGGCCTCTCCTAGATAGGTGAAAAGCAAAGTCTTTCCCCTCTGTAGAAGTCACCCCCAGAAAGAAGGACTGCATGGGGTTTGGTGGGAATTCCAGGGCCCTCTGAGCCCTGCTTCCCCTTGCTGCCAGCAAGGCAGACCCTCTCCCACCTGGGGCTGTGGCTTCACCTCTCACCCCAAATCTCCACCTCAAGCTCAACTTGCACAGCCAGGCACTGCGCTGCTTTCTTCAGCTGCCAAAGGGCACAGCCTCCTCTGTGAAGTCATGAAATGGAATAGCCTCTAACCTATTCCTCTGGCCGGCCCCAACCACAGGCTGCAGAGCCAAGAGAAGTGCACACAGTGCTGGTTGCTGCGGCAGGTTAGACCCAAACAGGAGGACTTTCACACAGGGCCTCAGAGAAGGCAGCTCTCTCGGCACATGAACCGCCAGCTGTGGCAGCTCTCCCTGTGCCCTCAGCCCTGGCCCAGGCCTGCTGTGAAGTTGAAACCTGCAGCTCACAGTGTTTCTGTCCCAACAGGTGGTCAGGTTCCCCAGCTTCTGATTGTGACCCTCTCTGTCCTGAGACTCTGCACCCCCATCAGCCCTCCCATCCCAGGGCAGCATCTCCCAGGATAAGGAAAGAAGACAGCTGCCAGGCATCAGGTATCCCAGAGCAGGATGGGACAGTGGACAGCACGCAGGCACCAGCTGAACGTGCAGGGACTGGTGAGGTACCTGGACCTATAGCAAGCTGCCAGGACCTGGGGGTGTCAGTTGATGTGTTTGTGGACCCCCCAGGGATACCAGTGTCCAGGAGCCCTGCTTGCCAATGCCTCCTGCCTAGCTCTGGTTTTATGGAACTCTCCTCTGGCCCAGACCTGGCACTTTTTGGCCACAAGCGGAAGGTTCAGTTCCCCAGTGGCAGTGCTAAGAAGAGAGTGGGGGCCTCCTGGCCACAGGCTTCATTTTTTGTCCCAATAGCCCCCAACCCCTGCGGCACCAGGACAACTAGTGGCAAGCGTCTTCCCTCTCTTCCCCTTACAGGCCATGAGTCCAGGCTCCTCGCCTCCCTCCAGCCCTTGTGCCACTCACAGACCTGCCTCTCTCTCCCAGACCCCTTCCCCTGGCAGCCCACAGACAGACCAGCAGAGTTCTGGGCCACACAGCCCTCCTGGCTGGGGAAAGGGTGGCCCCCAGGGCCTGAGGATTCTGAGTGTACAGCCACTGGCCCTGTATCCCAGGAGGCTGGCCAGCTCCTCAGCTGCCCCACAGCTCCAGGCTGGCCATCAGCTCCCCTGTACTCAGCTACCAGTGTGCAGCCCTCGGGAGCACCTGTAGAGAGCAGGTCTACCTCCCTCCTGCAGCCCCTGCCAGCCAGTGCGGGAGCCAGCTGTTCCCGATGCCTCTGGGCCCCCCAGCCTCTCCAGGTGCCCTGTCTCCCTGTCTCCCAGCCCTGGTCCCAACCCCAGCCCCAGCCCCAGCCCCATGCTGGCAGAGAGCTGCTCCTACGAGTCCCCAAGGTGCTTGGCTCTTCACAGGGCCAGGCAGCTCCAGATTGAAGGGCCACAGATACAACTTACTCCTCTGCTGGGTGCTGCACACCCGGCCAGGGCTGACCAGGACGCAGGAGGGGCAGAACCCCAGGACTTCCCCAAAAGAGCTAGAAGGAGGCCCGGGCCTGGCCTTTGAAGTCCAGCAAGCAGCTGTCACGCTCAGCTCCATGGAGCTGACAGAGCCACCCCTCCCACTGGCCAGGTCTTTGGGAGAGAATCTGGGCTGGGGGCTGCCCTCTCCTACCCCTGCCTCCTGCCATGTTCCTGACCAGGCAGAGTCTACAGTGGGCTTGCCCAGCTGAGGCTGGCCGCCCACGCCAGGAGGCAGAGGCGAAGTTGGCATGGGGAGGGACCACAAAGGAGCTGGGGCAGCAGGAGTCCTGGCCCGGCTTCCTGGCCCTCCACAGGCCCTTGCCTCTCTGCAGAGCCGCGGGTTAGCTGTTGGTGTGCTCCACCCCCAACCCCGGCCTCCTTTCTCACGAGCATGTGGCCGCTCCTGCTTTCCAAAATGACTGTGTTTGTCCCCTCCCCCAGCCCCCCACGCTCCCGCACACAGATCCTCAGGAACATATGAAGCAGAGGAGGGGCTTGGGCTGCACCACTCACAGAGCTCCCTCCCCCAGGCACTTAGTTGGGGCCCAGCACTGACCTTTCCCCTGAGCCCAGGATGTGGCCAGAGCCCCCTCTGGGACCCCTCTCGCCCCTTCTCTGCCTCCTCAGCTTGAGCTGCCTGCCCGAAGTTCGGCTGTTCCGGGGCCAGTGTGTCACCTGCCAACTTCCACATCACCCTCCTCCCTCGCTCCCTCCTCTCCTTCCCCAAGGACCTCCCCCCATTTCTGGCAGCCAAGCCATTAATCTGGAGACAGAAATGGGTTTGCTATCGATTCTCTGGCCACTTTTTCTTTCATTACAATTTGTACCGTGATTCTTCTCACCCTTCTCTGCGTCCGTGCATTTAAAGAGTTGTCTCTTTAAATGTTGAAGCTTCCGGAAGCCTGATGCTATTCTGTGTCTCCTTTCAAAGGAAGAAGGGGGGGCCCAGCTATGGGTGAGGACTCAAGTTATTAGTTTGGAAATAGAGCAACTATGTGTACAGCCCACCTTAGAGGTCATGTTACCCCCTTCCTGTTAAATTTTACAATTAATTTTGGTTCAGGAAATGTAAATAAATTTGTTAATTACAAATAGCAAAGAGATGGGGCTGGAATGCCATATGTCGGTCCTTGATCTGCCCTCCAGTGACCCAAGGCAGGGCTGCGGGCCAGCAGCGATGGACAGAATCACTAGATGGTGTGATGGGACCTCCTGCAAGTCACACATGTGTGAGTGCCACAACCCTCCTGCCGGCCTTGCCCAAGGGCTCCAGGGAGCAGGGCTGCCTCTGTCCCTGCCCAGCCTCCTTTACCCAGTCTCATCTGGTCACTTCCTTGGCTCTGCTGCCTGGGGAGTGGTCGCCTGCAGAGGACATGCCCCTCCATCCCTCCCAAGAAAACTCCTTTGCCCCGGCGGACATTCCTGTTAAGGGCCCACTCCTCTTCCCTGAAGCCAGACCGTGGCTTATGTCTGCACGCTGCTGGGTTCGTCCCTTTCCTTTTGTGACATGGGGTTGCCTCATTCCCCATGACACCACCCCTCTGCATGAGGAAGTTTCCCCTTGCCCCTGTCTCAGACTTGGATACCTTTACCTGCTGCTCACACAAAGCCTGTGGTGCCGGGTTCGGGTGCCCTCATTGTCAACTGCAGGACCCATTCCCCGAACCTCACATCCGTGTACCCTTGCCTTCCCCTCCTATCTCAATGATCATGACCTTGGACATCTCTGCCAGGCCAAACCCCAAGGCTGGAACACTCCTCAGCCATTTCTCCATTGCGGCTTCCTGGCTGTAGACTCAGGTTAGAGGTGAACCCAGAACACCTGAGACTTGACCCAGGATGGATGGGTGCTGCTTGATGTGAATGAGGTCCCGCAGTGGCTCCTTGGCGTGAGCACTGCTCAGACTCCTTTCCACTCCAGCCCCCTTTCCACATCGCACCAGATGACTTTTACCCAGACCCAGTGGGCATTGCCTTATCTTGCAGTCAGTCCCTTTTCAACATGTTGCCGTTTCTTTCTGAAGAGGTGTCCTCCCTCCACAAGTCACACTGTCTGTCCCTGGCCCTCCAGCCCACCTCGCCAACCACTCTTGTTGGTTTCCTTCTCAGACTTGCCACCTTTCCCCTCTGCCCCAAAATGCCATGCTCCTCTCCTGGAAAACACTTGAGTTGATTCAGTAAATCGACTTCAAATACTTGAAGGCTCCCACCTTCTGTTCTCTGGCTCCTTCCTGCGGTCTATACCTACCGCCTCCTCTTCACCTCCTTCCCTTCCACACTTCCTTCCTGGGTAGCTCTGCCTGAAGCATTCCACTAAGATCATCTATTCCAAGGTCATGGACAGGCTACTGGTGACCAAAGTTGGTTCCTTTTCTCCTTTCTTTCCTCCTTGAAGCCTGGCTCCCTTGGTCGCAGCAGCCCCTCAGTGGCCTGGTTCTCCTGTCCCCCTGCCCTTCCTCACCATTGCCCATTCCCTCGTTCGTTCATTCAGCACAGGCCTTGCCGTCTGCCCTGAGTCAGCTCCGAGACACCTGAAGAGCCCTCCAGCCCTAACTACTTTACTCAGACTAGGTCCCCAGGCCTTTGTTCTTGCCTCTTCTCGCTGAGCCTTTCACTTCTCGGCAGATGTGACCGATTGGTAGCTCCACCCCAACTCCCTTCTGCTGGGTGGAATGCAGGAGCTAGCTGCCTCCAACTCACTGTGACCTCAGAAAAATGCCTTTATTACTCGGGCCTCAGTTTCCTCGTCTTTAAGTAAGGGGCTTGGATGAGATGATTTCAGGACCCTTTCCAATAATAAAATACTGTGACTGCCAGCAAATCTTTTATGTCTTTCCCTATCCTGCCACCAGCAGGAGTGCTGTATACCCGAGCACTCCTTCTCATCCTGGATCTTGGCTCCCCTTCCCAGGGGAGTTTCAGCTGTGCCCAGCTCAAACTGTTTTCTTGATCTAAAAAATGGAGGTAATCTAGGCTGGGCACGGTGGCTCACGCCTGTAATCCCTGCACTTTGGGAGGCTGAGGCGGGCGGATCATTTGAGGTCAGGAGTTCGAGACCAGCCTGGCCAACATAGTGAAACCCCATCTCTACTAAAAATACAAAAGTTAGCCGGGCATGCTGGCATGCCTGTAATCCCAGCTACTCGGGAGGCTGAGGCAGGAGAATCACTTGAACCTGGGAGGCAGAGGTTGCAGTGAGCCGAGATTGTGCCACTGCACTCCAGCCTGGGCAACAGGGCGAGACTGTCTCGAAAATAAATAAATAAATAAATAAATACGAAAAATGGAGATAATCATAGTTGCTACCTCGCTAGGAAATCACAAGAGTGAAATCAGATGTGTTTGTGAGGTATGTGGCACAGAGCTTGGCACATTGTCTCAACAAATAACATATTACCCACAGGCACACATGCCTGTGAGGCCTCCCTCCTAAACTTACATAAAGCTTATTCTCACTAATTCCCACCTGGCAGTGTCCCTTGGTAACTGGCGTCCTCATCTCGGGTGAGCATTTGTGGATGAAGCTGCTGAGGGGCACTGTGAGACCCCCTGTCCCAGGCCCCCTCCCAAGGGCCCTCTCCTGAGCTCCAGGAGGATCCCTTTTGTGGAAAAGAAGTGGCACTTGGGCCCTTATGGGTGTGACTGTATTTGTGCCCCACAGACCTCCCAAAGGATGAGTGTGCCTGGGATCCTGGTGCCCCAGGTGCCCCCAACTCCTCCCTTGGTGAAGCCTGAGAGCTTCAGAGATTAAAAGAGGGGCCACTTGGACGCCTGAGAGGGAGGAGCATGAGGTTTCCCGGGAGAGCTATGCAGATGAGAAGAACGGTCCTTGGACCCTGGGCTGGCATCTAAGAGGAAGCAGGATGAACTTCCTGTCCAAATGCTAGGCACTTCCCCTGCTGCCACCCCTCCACATCACGACATCAGGCACAGGTTCTCTCTGTGCTGGGTAGAGAGAGGACCCCGAGGACCCCAAGCCATAGAGAGGCCTGGGGTCCTGGGCAAGGGCCAGGGAGCCGGTTTGCTCCTCGGCGCCTTGGACGGTGCGAGCCCAGGGTGACTGAGCCCCTTTCATGTGCCAGACGCTGCTCCAAGCATGGGCAGCTCAGCCATCATCCCCGAGAGGAGCACTGTGAGGGGGGTGGTTTTCTAACCCCTGTGTCGTGGATGAGGAAACCAAGGCCCAGAGAGGCCAGCGGGCTTGCTCAAGGTCACACAGCCAGTTTGTGGGGGAGGCAGGATTGGGACCCCAGCCTGGAGACCTGAATCCTGCCCCCTTGACTAGCATGGTCTGTGCTGCAGGACTTAAGGCTGGTCACCAGGCCTGGACGGCCTCCACTGGCAGGAATCACTGCCGGTGGTATCACCCCAGGGCTGGGGGCAACCAGGACCTCTCCCTTACCTGGAGTTGCGGAGACAAGGTCTTGGCCCTGCATCCCCAACTTGGCCCTTATGCAGGAAAATTTGAGAGAACCGGCTAAAGAGCTAGAAGAGCAGCAGAAGGAAGGAGGCTCCGGCCTCCTAGGGAAGGGGCTTCCTAAGGGAGGCCAGAGACCCACCCCTCAGGGCCCCACAGCTCCCTCAGCAAGAGCAACCCCAAGAGTGGCATCAGGGCAGCAGAAATAGTGGCCCCAGCCTCAATGGATGGACCGAAGGAGCCAGCCATAGCTATGAAGTTGAGGTGGGGCCCCCCAGGGAACCCTATGTTTGAGGGGGAGACACAGGCCTGCCCCGATCTAAGCAGAAAACAGCCCTTGCTATCAGGGTCAGGTCTGATGAGGAGGACAAGCCCTGCTCTTCTGAAGTCCCAGTCTGATGAAGGGCCACCAATGAGAAAACAGACAGCCCTGACCTCAGGAGGGACGGTGGGTGAAAGAACGTGAAGCAAGCTTTCTGTGTGGGGATCCCACAGCTCCTAAGAGAGCTGAGGCAAGCATGAGACAGGGGAGGTGGAACCTCAGGGACTGGGGACTGTGATCAAGGGAGAGGCAAGAGGTCTAGCCGAGGCCGGGTGCCAGGGTTCACAGATGTAATCTAATCCCAGCACTTTGGGAGGCTGAGGCTGGAGGATCACTTGAGTTCAAGAGTTCGAGACTGGCCTGGGCAACATAAAAAGACCCCCGTCTCTACAAAAAGAAATTTTGTTAGCCAAGCATCGGCCTCATGCCTGGTAATCCCAGCACTTTGGGAGGCTGCTCTGCCTCCCAGGTTCACCCCATTCTCCTGCCTCAGCCTCCCGAGTAGCTGGGACTACAGGCGCCCACCACCACGCCTGGCTAATTTTTTGTATTTTTAGTTGAGACAGGGTTTCACCGTGTTAGCCAGGATGGTCTCGATCTCCTGACCTCGTGATCCACCCGCCTCAGCATCCCAAAGTGCTGGGATTACAAGCTTGAGCCACCACGCCTGGCCTTGAATGGCTCTTGAGTCCAGGTGTTGAGAACAGCCAGGACAACATGATGAAACCCAATCTCTACAAAAAATACAAAAGTGCTGGGCACGGTGGCTCACACCTGTAATCCCAGCACTTTGGGAGGCCAAGGTGGGCAGATCACTTGAGGTCAGGAGTTCAAGACCAGCCTGGCCAACATGGTGAAACCCCATCTCTACTAAAAATACAAAAATTAGCCAGACATGGTGGAGCACACCTGTAATCCCAGCTACTTGAGAGGCTGAGGCAGGAGAATTGCTGGAACCCGGTGGGAGGAGGAGGTTGCAGTGAGCCGAGGTCATACCATTGCACTCCAGCCTGGGCAACAGAACAAGACTCCGTCTGAAAAAAAAAAAAAAAAAAAAAGCCAAGCTTGGTGACGCCACCTGTAGTCCCTGCTACTCAGGAGGCTGAGGCAGGAGATGACTTGAGCCCAAGAGGTCAAGGTTACAGGAAGCTATGATTGTGCCACTGTTCTCCAGCCTGGGCAACAGAGCGAGACCCTCAAAAAATTAAAAAATAAGGTCTATTGCCTGCAATCCCAGCACTTTGGGAGGCTGAAGCAGGCAGATTGCTTGAGGCCAGGAGTTTGAGAACAGCCTGACCAACATGGCGAAACCCCATCTCTACTAATAATACAAAAATTAGCCAGGCGTGGTGGTGCACACCTGTAATCCCAGCTACTTGGGAGGCTGAGGCAGGAGAGTCACTTGAACCCAGGAGAAGGAGATTGCAGTGAGCCGAGATCATGCCACTGCACTCCAGCCTAAGCAACAGAGTGAGACTCCCATCTCAAAAAAAAAAAAAAAAAAAAAAAAAAAGATCGGCTGGGTGCGGTGGGCTCACGCCTGTAATCCCAGCACTTTAGGAGGCCGAGGTGGGTGGATCACCTGAAGTCAGGAGTTCGAGACCAGCCTGACCAACATGGAGAAACCACATCTCTACTAAAAATACAAAATTAGCTGGGCATGGTGGCACATGTCTGTAATCCCAGCTACTCGGGAGGCTGAGGCAGGAGAATTGCTTGAACCTGGGAGGTGGAGGTTGCGGTGAGCCGAGATCATGCCATTGCAACAAGAGCGAAACTCCAGCTGGGGGTGGTGGCTCACCCTGTAATCCCACCAGCACCCTGGGAGGCCGAGGCGGGTGGATCACGAGGTCAGGAGATCGAGACTATCCTGGCTAACACAGTGAAACCCCGTCTCTACTAAAAACACAAAAAAATTAGCTGGGCATGGTGTTGGGCACCTGTAGTCCCAGCTACTCGGGAGACTGAGGCAGGAGAATGGCATGAACCCGGGAGGCGGAGCTTGCAGTGAGCCGAGATGGCGCCACTGCACTCCAGCCTGGGTGACACAGCGAGACTCCATCTCAAAAAAAAAAAAAGAGCGAAACTCAATCTCAAAAAAAAAAAAAAAGAAAGTTCTAGGCCAGGCATGGTGGCTCACACCTGTAATCCTAGCACTTTGGGAGGCAGGCAGATTGCCTGAATTTAGGAGGTTGAGGACAGCCTGGACAACATGGTGAATTTAGGAGGGTGAGAACAGCCCGGGCAACATGGTGAGATCCCATCTCTACTAAAAATACAAAAAATTAGCCAGGTATGGTGACACATGCCTGTTGTCCTAGCTGCTCGGGAGGCTGAGGCAAGAGAATCACTTGACCCCAGAGGTGGAGGTTGAAGTGAGCCGCGATCTTGCCACTTTACTCCAGCCTGGGTGACAGAGCGAGACTCTCCAAAAGAAAAAAAAAAAATAGTAAGTTCTAGCCGGGTGCGGTGGCTCACGCCTGTAATCTCAGCACTTTGGGAGGCCGAGGCGGGTGGATCACGAGGCCAGGAGATCGAGACCATGCTGGCTAACATGTGAAACCCCGTCGCTACTAAAAATACAAAAAAAAAAAAAAAATAGCTGGGCGTGGTGGCGAGCACCTGTAGTCCCAACTATTCAGGAGGCTGAGGCAGGAGAATGGCGTGAACCCGGGAGGCGGAGCTTGCAGTGAGCCGAGATCGTGCCACTGCACTCCAGCCTGGGCGACAGAGCCAGACTCTGTCTCAAAAAAAAAAAAAAAAAAAAAGTAAGTTCTAGCCAGATCTGCTGGGAGCCGGGGAACCCAGGAATATAAGTGGCTATGGGGGCCAGGGAGCCATATGACCGAGTCTCCACTGGAACTAGCCCAGGGTGCCACCAGGGAGAGTCACTCTTAGGGCTCATCAGGTCTCCCCAACAGGAAGTCTAGGGTCCCAGGGCCACCGATGTGGTAGGAACATGCCTCTGGTGAAGAGGCCTGGACCACAGATTGGGCTTGCTCTGTGGTCTTGAACATGTTGGAGGACCCAGACTCTCCCAGCCCCGGGCTCGCACTGTGAAATGACAAACCTCACCCAGCCTACTGGGGGGCACTCCTGATCGGGACTTGCTGATGTGGCCCTGGGACATGGGCAGGCTGGAGCAGGACAGCCACCTTCGTGTCTGGGGTGTGTGGTGAGGGTGCATGGGACCAGATATACCAGTCCCCTCTGGTCCCAAATGGAGGGCAGAGATGGAAGTAGGACTAGGGGTGGCTAAGAGGAGTGGGGCCATGGAGTATGGGATGTGCCTTTCACCAGCTGTGTGACTTTGAGAAGCTCACATAACCTCTCAGAGCCTCAGTTTCCCCATCTGTAAAATGGGGAGCACAATCTCTCCCTCTGGGCTCATGATGAGTTTCCAGGAATACCACCTAGTAGGCCCTCATTCCCAGGAGCCTCCTCATGCCTACATCTTGGAGGAGGTTCTCAAGATGTCTCCAGAGCGAAGGAAGAATTGGCTCAGCCTTACTGAGCATCTGGGCCTGGCATGGCAGGTGGTTGGGGGTGGGGGGAGTCACTTGGTTCCCTACATTGATGTCAGCGCCTCCTGGGAAATCGCCTTCTCACCTCTCCTGGGCCTAAAATAGAGCGGGGGGTGGGGGTGTCACAAGCTAGAGGCAGTTCCCTCATCCCCAGCAGAGGCCCTGGGTCCTTGCGGAAGCAGAGGACCCAGGAAGGGGTTTCCTGCCTCCAATCTTGTTCTTCAGCAACCTGTGGTCCCCTAGCATGGGTACCAAAAAGGTCAGGGTGGGGACTCAGCGGCCCACCCACCATGCCCTACCACACCCCACACCATCTCAGGTATCTGGCCTTCAGCACCCCTAGCAGAAGTCTGAGGTCCCAGCCCTGGTATTGGGACCCAACATCCCCAGGAGCTGGGTGGAGGGCACAGCTGGGAATGTAGGTTGGGAGGTCAAGTATTTTGCAGACAGGGCAGCCTAGTCTGACCAGAGAGGGAATGCTGGGGGGCTCCAGAGGTGTCTTCTGCTCCTAAGGATTGGGACTAGCAAGGGAGGGGGAGCCATGGGGCATGCTAGCAGCATATAAGTGACCTGGCTAGTTTATATTTTATCTAGGAGGAAGGACAGGACGCCTGTGAGAGACTCAGGAACCCAGACGGACATGCCAGCCCTTCCTGATGGTTGGAGTGACAGCGATCCCTGAAGCCCTCCTGGAGGCCGGGGCATCTTTGGCGGGGAGAAGGAGCCGATGGGAAGGGGTCTGTACCGCGGGCGTGAGAGGACTCCGCAGTGACACGACCCGTAGCGAAGGTGCAAGAAATCCCAGAGGCGTAGAGCCCGGCGTTCGCCAAGAGCCTTTGCCCACCCCAACCCCAGCTTCCACAGCCTGGGGTCAAGCGGGGCGCTCCAAGCTGGGGCTGGGGCAGCCTCTCTGGGGTACCACGACAGAGGGGCGAACGTGGGCGCCGCAGCCACGCCCCTGCCCCCGGGCCCCAGACAGGCAGTCGCCGGGTCGACCCCGGGGGTACCCCGTCCCCTGCTTCCCTCCCCTACAAATCTACGAGTCCTCGGAGATGCTCAGGCAGAGGTGGCCGAGGAGAGGCCGCGGGATAAGTACGCGGAGCGCCACCGCCCCGCACCTGCCGAGGAGACTTCGAGGTGCGAGGAGGGACCCCGGGGCGGCGCCTCTTTTGTCCTGCCGCGGCGGCGGCCCGGGCCCTGCGGGGCTGGGGGGGCCGGGGGGCGGCGGGAGAGCGGAGGGCGGGCCCTGGGCTCACGTGCTCGCTGCTCAGCTCTTAACCCGGCCCCGCCGCCCCGCCGGGATGGCCGCGGCCGGAGCGCGCTGAGCCCCGGCGCCGTCCCTGCCGCCCCCACCTCTCCGCGACCCCCGCCCGGCCCCGCGCCCCCGCCCCGGCTCCGCAGCTGGCGCCTCCCCACCCCCGTCCCTGCTCCCGCCCTCCCCGCGCCGCTGGCAGCCGCAGCCCCCGGACCGGGAGGAATGAGCGAGCCATGAGGCTGCTGCGGCGCTGGGCGTTCGCGGCTCTGCTGCTGTCGCTGCTCCCCACGCCCGGTGAGTGACCCCCGCCCGGCCCCGGCGCCCCCTCCCTGCCCCCGCCCCGGGATGTGCGGCGCTTGCTGCTGCAGCCACCTTTTCCTGCAGTGCTCGGGGTGACAGCCGGTCCGGAGCGCGGGAGGGTAGGGGAGCGGGAGAGGAGGGAAGGTGCGTCCACCCACCTGTCCCCAGCTGGCCGGGCCCACCGCGTCCCTGCCCCTGCCGCCGACCGGCCAGCTCTGCAGGTCTCTGCGGGTTTGGGCGGATGGGGGGGCAGTCGTGACGGTTGGGCGGGAGTGAAGCTCCTGGCCCCCTCCCCGCGGGCTCTTGCCTCTGCAGGGCAGCCAGATCCTCCCACCCGGATCGCCCTAGGGCTCCAGGGGCCACACCAGAGTGGGGGATGAGGCATGCCCACCCCATTCCCAAGTCTTCTGCCCCAGGGTGGGCAGCTGCCTGCAGCCATGGCCTTGTTTCCCCAGGTCTTGGGACCCAAGGTCCTGCTGGAGCTCTGCGATGGGGGGGCTTACCCCAGCTGGGAGGCCCAGGAGCCCCTGAGGTCACGGAACCCAGCCGTCTGGTTAGGGAGAGCTCCGGGGGAGAGGTCCGAAAGCAGCAGCTGGACACAAGGGTCCGCCAGGAGCCACCAGGGGGCCCGGTGAGTGGGGCTGGGTGGTGAGGCCAGGGGCTGAAGCAGGCCTCAGAGCCCCAGGAAGCCCACGGGGTAACCAGGGTTGGAGTCCCCCTCAGCAGCTGCCCCGCAGGGTCCCCTTCTGTACAGTGGGCTATCCGGTGGGTGCTGGAGCCCACTGGTGGGGAGCACCAGGCCTGCCCAGCCCCAGGGCCCCCTTCCATTATTGTAGGGTCCCCTGCCCTCAGTGTACAGGGACCACTAATGCCTAGGTCTCAGGTCTGCTTTGGGTCAGCCTTCCAATGGCCCCCTGCTCTGCTCTGGCCAAAGCTAGTTGTTCTGTTCAAAACAGGGCTTGGATGGGGCAAGTTGGGGGCAGGGAGAGGCAGCCCAGATTCCAGTCAGGGATTAGGGCTCTCAGGTTCTCACCACAGCCACCTTAGTGGGCTTTCTTGGAACAACTTAGTGCTTGCTCCTGCCTCAGTTTCCACACAGTGCCCAGATAGGCTTGTTGTTCTTCCTGTCCTGGCTGAAGGTGGGGCCTTGGAAAATAACTTGAGGCCCCAAGCCAGCTCTACCTGCCTGCCCACTGTCCCTTTCAGCTGCCAGGCCCCTCCTGCCTCCCAGAGGAAGGTTAGGCATGAAGGAGATTAATTGCAATTAATAATTAATTAATATCATGTGAATAATAATCACCCAGATGGAATATTCATTCAGCACACCCCAGCGCTCCAAGAGCTGGAGCTGAAAGTGAGCCAGGCCAACAGGGCAGCAGAGGGCAGGTTGGCTGGCAAAGGCCCGGCACAAACAGGAGGTATAGGGGGGAGACCCAGAAGAGGGGTACAACTGAGGCCTGGGAAGTTTTGGCAGCGGGGAGTGGTGGGAGGTAAATTGGGCTGGGCAGAGGGAGGAAGGAGGGAAACGGAGGCTAACATTACGGACATCTGTCAGACTGGCATCTGGCCCTGCCTAATGTACTTGGTTAAAAGCCCTTAAGGGAGGGGAGCAGAGGGGGATGCGGGGTGGTGCAGGGGTGGAGAATACTGATGAAATGGATGGAGCAGGAAGGGAGCATGCATAATAGATGGACCATCACTCAGGGCCGTGCAGAGGGGCAGGGGGAGGGGGCTAATGGTCCAAGGCCCGCAGTCACTGGGGGTGGGGTGGGGGGTGGAAGCTGCCTTCAGCAACTGCCCAGGCTCCCTGGGAGGTGTGCAGTCCTAGGGCCGGGGATGGGGTGTCCTGGCCGCTGAGTCTGGCTGTCTTGCCTGGTGTCACTCCCTACCTGTGAACTGTGCACCCCGTGGTTACACTGTGGGGGAACTGATGGTCTGCCCGACTGCTGGGACTCTGGCTTATGCTTTAAGGGATGTGCAGATTGAGTCATGGAGGGATGTCACCGCAGGGAAAGGGGACAGAGTTGAGGAAAAGCCTGGAGTCAGGTAGGGATGAAAAGTCAGGTATTCCAACTGGGCAGGTTGCTCCTTCAGCCTGACCCTTTCCGAACAGAGACAGAGGTGGCAAAGGGTAGGAGGTTCTGGGCTGTGGTGGTGTCTGCAGCTGCGTGGGAAGGTCAGGATGGGTGCAGTTGAACTGCTTGGGTTGGGGGTCTCTGTGTTGTTCTGCAGGTGAGTGAGTGCATGTGAGGTGTGTATGTGATCCACCGATTCCAGATACTTCTGAGGGGTGTCTGAGAGCCTGCGGGGAGGGAATGGAGTTCCATGGATCTGCCGGGCAGTGATTATCTCCAATTTTGGGGTCTCTCTGAGACTGAGACTTCCTAGGGCCCTCATGGCGACCTCCTCAAGGGACTTGTTTGGGGCCCTCTCTTATCTGTGCCTCAGTTTCCCCTGAGGTACCAAAGCTGTGGACTTCTATGGGCCACTCTGCCAAGCTTTGTATGCACTCTACATCACTTATTTCTCACAACTCTGTAAGGCTTGTAACTTTTGTGTGTTTATGTGTGTGTGTGATGGAGTTTTGCTCTTGTTGCCCAGGCTGGAGTGCAATGGCGTGATCTCTGCTCACCCTAACCTCCACCTCCCGGGTTCAAGCAATTCTACTGCCTCAGCCTCCCGAGTAGCTGGGATTACAGACGTGCGCCACCATGCCTGGCTAATTTTTTGTATTTTTAGTAGAGATGGGGTTTCTCCATGTTGCTCAGGCTGGTCTCGAACTTCCGACCTCAGGTGATCTGCCCACCTCGGCCTCCCAAAGTGCTGGGATTACAAGCGTGAGCCACTGCGCCTGGCAGCTTGTAACTTTTGTCAGCCCCATTTTACAGATGAGCAAACTGAGGCTCAGAGGGATGACGTAAATTGCCCAAAGTCAATCAGATCTTAAGCAGTGGAGGTGGGAGTTTTCTCCACACCAGGGCACTTCCCAGTTCTGCCTCCAGGGCTCTCTGGATTTGGGTCCAGGAGGCAGTCTCCCAACTCTGCCCAGAGCAAGGAGACAAAAAGACACATCCAGAATATTTTCCCCAACGGTAAGGAGATATGGCAAACCCTCAATCTCCTGCCTGGCATTTCTCCCTGGGGTTAGAGCGCTTTTGGCCTCAGAGCCATGGGGTCTGATGGTGGATCCAGTGTGGACTTGAGCCCGTGTGTGTCCTAGCCAGAAGTACCCCAGCTGGGCATTGCTTGGTTTTTGCCTTAACTTACTGCCCTGGTTTGGAACTTCAAGCCTAGCCGGTGTGGAGCTGGCAGCAAGATCTCTGGTCATGTGTCGAGTCCAGGGGCACATGCTGGCTGGCAGGGCCTGGGGCGCTGAGCTGCTGTGGCTTTGGGCAGGTCGTTTGACTTTTCTGAGCCCCAGTTTCCTGTTCCCTAAAATCAGGATGGTAACATATCTCAGTCCCACCTACTACCAGGAGGTGGTGATGGGAAAGAGCTTTACGTGCTGAGGATTCCTGGCTTGACAGGGGCAAGGGTGGGGGTGCGACTGGGACAGGGGAAGAGATATAGCGGCCAAGAAGGAATTAGAAGCTGGAGAAATTAGACTGGGTGCATTGGCTCACAGTGGCCAAGGTCAGGGGATTGCTTGAGACCAGGAGTTTGAGACTAGCCTGGGCACCATAGTGAGACTCCCGTCTCTACCAAAAAAAAAAAAAAAAATTACCCAAGCATGGTGCTGCGCACCTGTAGTCCCAGCTACTTGGGAGGCTGAGGCTGCAGGATCGCTTGAGTCCAAGAGTTCAAGGCTGCAGTGAGCTATGGTTGCACCACTGCACTCCAACCTAGGCTACAGAGTGAGATCCTGTCTCACACAATACAACAACAACAACAAAAGAACAAGGTAGAGAAATTACAATTATTTACTAGGCCTTTTTGGGGCAGGCACTCCTTTACGTGGAATTATTTAATCTTCATCACAGCTCCCAGAGGTGGGGCTGTTATTCCCATCTCGCAGATGGAGAAACAGGCACAGAGAGGCAACGTAACTGCCCCAAGTGACACAGCACTTGAGCACAGAGTCAAGACTGATCCTCAAAGCAGGGCTCTCACCCAGCACGCTGCCACCTCTTGCTCAGGGCTGAAGGGAAAAGAGACACAGATGCACCCTTGCCCTCTCTTTGCTACTGCACTCAACCCCCTCACTTCTGTCCAGCCTGGAAGCAGGCTAGGCCTGAGGCCCAGAGAAGTGAGGGAGCTTCTGGGAGTGCAGAAACCTGTGGTTCCAGGGAGCCTGCAGCCGAGGGGTGGTGCAGGTCAGGCAAGACTACCGTGTCCAGTTGGGCTGGTTGTTCACTCCACTAGGGTGACTGGGCAAGCAGTAAGTGAGCTGAATGCAATCTGTGGGCTTATGGGGCCACATGCGTTCTGACTTGCAGGGGGATCTTGTTTTCTTTCTTTTTTTTTTTTTAAGACAGAGTCTCACTCTGTCACCCAGGCTGGAGTGCAGCAGCATGATCTCGGCTCACTGCAGCCTCTGCCTCCCGGGTTCAAGTGATTCTTGTGCCTCAGCCTCCCGAGTAGCTGGGATTACAGGCGTGCACCACCACTTCCAGCTAATTTTTGTATTTTTAGTAGAGATGGGGTTTCACCATGCTGGCCAAACTGGTCTCGAACTCCTGATCTCAAGTGATCCACCCGCCTTGGCCTCCCAAAGTGCTGGAATTACAGGTGTGAGCCACCTCACCCGGTCTTGGGACCCCTTTTTCTAATTTGCACCAAGCTGCTGTATGGGTTATGCCTGCCCCTGGGGAGACCCAGACTCCTTGGGAACAAGGAGAGGGCAGGACATGGGGAGGTGACTAGGGTCAGGGGTGAGGAGGTCGCAGACCTGGTACATAGAAGCTCATCTGAGCCAGCTAGGGGAGGGGTGCCTCAGTCTCTGGGCTAAGCTCTTGTGAGAGATGCCCAGGCCAGCATTTACTGGAAGCACCACCCCAGAAGCCCTCCACGGTGGGTGTGTGCTGCAACAGTGTTTGTGTTTTCGTCCTGCAGAAAGGCGGAGGGCAGTTGAGTAAGGCTCACCCCCAGCTCTTGAAGATGGGAGTCATGGACATGGTGCCACAGGGGGGCCAGGGTCTGTGCCTGGGGCCCTGGTACCCCACTAGAGCCAAGGCCATGCTATAGTCTGTGTGGCTGAAGTTGCGGCTCTCTCCTGGGTTGGGGCAGATGGCTAGAAGCCAGGGCTAGGATTTTGCTGGGCCCAGCTTGTTCCCAGGGGTGAGGTGGGGGCATGAACTGAGCTCTGCCATGCCAGAGAGTTCAGCAGGCTTAGTTTTGGTGTGAGAGGCTGCACGCTGTGGCTTTGAGGTGGCACAGCCTTAGTGCAGGTCCTGCTCCCCTGCTTCTGACTGTGTGACCTGAGCCAGTCATGCAGCCCCCTGAACACCACCTTCCTCATTCATAAAATGGGGATGCTCATAGTCTCCACCTCTCAGGCTGCTGCGAGGACTTGAGATGATGAATGTCAGGTGTCCAGCCCAAGATCTGGCAGAAGAGCCGATGGTCAACATCTCTGAGTGTCCGGACAGGGTGCTGGGCCCTGGTGCTGGCATGAGGGCTGGGTGTCAGAAACAGGAGCCAGGATATTTAGGGGTTACTTGTCAGGCTCGGGGTGGGGTCCAGGGGAGAAACCACATGAGCAGGACTCTGGCCTGTGGGCTTGGCCTCACCCAAGCAACCTCCTGGCTGCCTAGAGGAACCCAGCTGTCCAGAGTCTGTCCCCAGAGGGACTGATGACCCTGTAAAAGGAGGTGGCTCTGTTCTCAAAAATGTAGGTCAAATCCCATCATTGGAAATTTGTCTGGCTGTTCTCATTGCCTGGGAATCCCGCTGCCCTCTTGATAAATGGAGCACCCAACACATTGCCGGGGGTGGGTGGGGGGAGCTGGCAGGTGGGTGGGTGGGTGGGGGGTTTCTCCCAGCTGGGACATACTCCCAGGTGGAGCTCCTGCCTCTCTGGCTCCTCCCCACTCTGCAGCCACCTGGCCCACAAGGTGGTGGTGTCTCCTTGCGGGAGGGGATTCCAGAAAGATGTCCTCAGGTGAGACACCTGACAGGTAAATCACACCATCCACCCAGATCTGGAGCATAAGGCTACCATTCTGGCATGTCCCTGTCACAGTAGGTGATCCAAAGGAGTCGTTTATGCAGTTCCTCAAAGCCCTGTTCAGCTGGAACATTTACACTTCCTTCTCGTTATTATTATTATTGACCCTTATGATACCACATTTAAAAGGGCTTTTATTTAATCCTCACAGCAATCCTGGTTTTTCTTTTCTTTTCTCTTTTTTTTTTTTTTTTTTTTTTTGTAGAGACAGAGTGTTTTGCTGTGTTGCCCAGGCTGGAGTGCAGTGGCACGATCTTGGCTCACTGCAACCTCCGCCTCCCGGGTTCAAGCAATTCCCCTGCCTCAGCCTCTCGAGTAACTGGGATTACAGGCACATGCCACCACACCCGGCTAATTTCTTTTTTGTTTGAGTAGAGACAGGGTTTCACCATGTTACCCAGGCTGGTCTCAAACTCCTGAGCTCAGGCAATCCGCCCACCTTGGCCTCCTAGGATTACAGGCGTAAGCCACTGCTCCTGGCCCAACAATTCTGTTTTACCGAGGGGAAAACTGAGGCCGGGGGCATGAAGCAGCTTATCTCAGGCCTTGCGATACATTTCCATTCAACGTGAGTGTTGAGCTCGTGGGCAGGGAAAAAAAGCAGGCATCGCCCTTGCTCCAGGGAACTAAAGGTCGCCCACCTGAAAAGCCAAATCAGTGATCAAAGAAGTGTATGTCTACTGTGTGCTTAAAGGCCCAGAGGTGGAGGGCGCCAGAGCCCTGCATGGGTTGGCAGGTGCAGGCTGTGCAGATGAGGGTGGGGAGGAGAGGGAGGTCCGGGCAGGAGTTCCGGGTCAGCGTGTGAAGGGCCGTGTCTGGAAGTGGTGGGGAGCAATGGTCTCCCTTCTCGAATTTCCTGGAGAATTTGAGAATCCTAAGGCTCCTTAGTCTCTCCCTTCCTAAGACTGTGTGTCTGTAGGTCTGGGGCAGAGCCCAGGCACCTGTATTTGTGCTTCTGGGTCTTTGGCAGAATCTTTGCCTTTTTCTGTCTGCACCCCGCATCTGGTACAGAGAGGACAAGGCACAGTCGCTCTGAAGCAGATGTCTAGGAGAGTGGGTGGGCCAGCCAGAGAGGAGCCTCGGGTGGAAGGGGTGGTCACCCCTGCCAGGCAGTCACAGCTGCTGTGGCGACACGAACTCCAGCCCCAGGGTGAGATCCAGCCCCACACCTCCCCAGCCACCCAGCCATGACCCTGGGCCAGTCACCTCCAGGTGTCTCCCTGAGCCTCATCCTGGCATTTGTAAAATGAGGACCAGACAGCCTGGGCACGTTGAGATCAAATGAGCTGGAGCATGTGAGAGCCTGGGCAGCCGGGGGAGCAAGAGACAAGTGCAGGGCACAGGGTCAGCTGAGGGCTGGCATGACCTCAAGACCAAAGGCCCCTCCCACCAGGGATGGAGGGACAATGGGATGAGGTCAGAGGCAGGGCAGGGGCAGAAAGCAGGGCCAGGCAGGGAGCACAGTTTGGCTTTGATAGAGCACTGGCTTAGGCTGGACATGGAGGCTCAAGTCTGTAATCCTAGCACTTTGGGAGGCTGAGGCGGGAGGATGGTCTGAGCCCAGGAGTTCAAGATCAGCCTGGGCAACACAGTGAGATCCCATCTCTTAAAAAATTAATTAATTAATTTTAAAAAAAGAACATTCGCTGGGCATGGTGGCTCACATTTGCAATCCCAGCACTTTGGGATGCCAAGGGTGGATCACAAGGTCAGGAGTTCAAGACAAGCCTGGCCAAGATGGTGAAACCCTGTCTCTACTAAAAATACAAAAAAATTAGCCGGGCGTGGTGGTAGGCACCTACAATCCCAGCTCCTCGGGAGGCTGAGGCAGAGAATTGCTTGAACTCAGGAGGCAGAGGTTGCAGTGAGCTGAGATTGCACCACTGCACTACAGCCTGGGTGATAGAGTGAGACTCCATCTCAAAAAAAAAAAAAAAAAAAAAAAGAACATTGGCCTAATGCTGGGCGGGCTTGGGGCGGTCTTGGGACTCTGTGCCAGCAGGAGTCCCCTCCCCACTCCCCAGGTGCCAGGGCCACAGAGATTCTGGGGACTGAGATAGGTTTGTGTGACCCATCTCTTCCCTCAGACCAGGGACAGGGTTGTGTCCCCGCATGGGGCCAGGCCAGGCAAACACCCCTTGGTATGTGGTCTCTTTCTTTCTCCTACCGCCTTTGGGGGCTCTCCCAGCCCCCTCCTGGGCCACCTCCAGCCAGGCCCAGCCCCCAGCCCCAGCTGCCCCGGCACTGCCCCAGGGGCTTATCTGGTCTGAGCCCTGTGTCCTGCTGGGCTCAGCTGCACCAGATGGGGAAGTGGTGAGAGCTCAGCAGGTGGCAGGAGGTGGTGGACAAGGAGGCTCTTAAGGTATCTGGCCTTCATCCCCCATCAGCTGGGGCTTTCCCCAGAGTGGGGACTGGCTTGGCCTCTGCAGAGAGGAAGCAGGCTTGATGGGGTGGCTCGCAGACCTCCTGAGTGAGGGAGATTCTGTTGGTGCCAGGGCAGACTCTGCTGGAATCTCCAGGCCCAGGATGGTACCAATACGTAGCCAACCTCCTGGCCTCGCATCTGGGCTCATCTGACCATTTTCAGTGGGAAAATCTGAGGCACAGAGAGGTTGCTGGGTCATCCCTGGGGCTGCACGGTCAGAGAGCAGCATTGGGGCAAGGGGTCTGGCAGGCTGCTCCTCTAGGCAGCTGTGGAGGGGGCTGGCATAGGGGCTTGTTGGTGGGAGGCAGATAGAACAAGCAGGAACAGTCCCAGGGGCAGGGGAAGGCCAGGATGGTTCAGGCCATGGGCCGGGAAGAGGATGTGGCGACTCCTTGTCCTTGACTTTCTATTTCGGGCTGATCAATGCTCTAGGGGCTCAGGATGGAATTGGGAGCCTTGGTCAGCCTGGAATAGGGTGAGTCGGTGTCCTTGGGGCGCAAAGGTCAGCCCACCCAGGCCCTGGCCGTTGGTGCCCCCCTTGCTCCTCTCCCAGGACCTCTCATGGACACTGGGCCCTCTTCCATTTTACTCCACCTTTGGGGTGAGACAGCCCTAGAAGCAGACTCCCTAGCTTCACCACTTTTTAGCTGTGTGACCTTGGGCAAGTTAGTCAGCCCCACTGTGCCTGTCTCCTTTCAGATGGGAATGGCAGTAATCTATCCCATAGGGTTGCTGCGAAGATCAAACAGGGCAATACTCTTAGTGTTTAGACCAGGGCCCGGCACACAAGAAGTGCTCGGTAAAGATTAGCAGTGATGAGGTGGTTGAGGAGGAAGCCGACAAGGCACAGGCTATGGATTTCATGACCACAACCTTGGGGCTCTCTTCCTTCCTGCAACCTGCCGTCCCCACCACAAAGGCCAGGCAGCGAACAAAAGCCTCCCATTTGCAGGGCAGAGTGGGTGACCCTCATGTTGGGGTCTGGAGTCAGTCTTCTGGAATGAACAAGGGGTGTGGAGAAGGCCCCAGCCCTGAGTCCTCTCAGCCCTTCCTGGGCCCTGCGGTTGCTGTGATCCAGGCGTCCTCAAGCGCCCAGGCCTGGGGGGCCGCCATCTTGCTCTGGCGTGGTGTGTTGCTGTGGCAACCTGGAGCCTCCAGCCCCACTGCACTCTGAAAAATTTATCAGGAAAACTTCCATGTTTAAAAATTAACCATGGGATTGAAATATTAAAGATGAGCTGCTTTGGGTGAGGCAGAGGGCAATGGATTTGGGGGTAGAGGAGCCAAGTCCTTACTCCCAACAGGATGGCACCTGCCCGTCGCCCAGTTTCCAGGGGCCTAGCCATCCATTCCCACCCATTCGCCCCTGTCCGAGGCCTCCTATGTAGATGGAGGCTGGGGCCGGGGTAGGGGGACAGGCAGCGAGGGTCCTGCCTCCCATTTCCTGTTTGTCCCTTTCCCATGATACTCCTGGGGCCCTCCCGTTACTCTGCCTGATGGTGGGGTGCCCCTCACCAGCCAGGAGGGCATAATGAGGCAGAGGGCTGGCCGGGCTGCCCCTCTCCATCCCAGCTGCACCTGCAGCCCAGCCCCAGAGAGGATGCACAGGTGCCCGGGCCCAGAGGGCAGAAAGGGGGCTGTGCCCAGGGCTGAGCACTCCTGCCTCTGCCCACTAGTAAAGGAGCAGGGTCGTGGAGGAAGAGGAGCTTGGACAAAGCATCTTGCCCCCAAATCAATGGTCCCCTCAGCTGCTAGGGCTGGCCACCCCTTCCCCAGGGCTACTGTTGCTCCCGGGATCCCCCCGACTCCCACCTTCAGGCCTCCCTGGGTTGACTCCCCCTCTGCCCTCCCCCCACCCAGCCTGTCCATCTGGCCCAGGTGAGTTTCGTCATCCCAGCCTTCAACTCAAACTTCACCCTGGACCTGGAGCTGAACCAGTGAGTGTGGCCTTGAGCCCAAGAGGAAGGGCAGTGGTGGGGCGGGGGAGACATGGCTAGGGCCTGGCTGCTGGGGGTCTGGGGGTTGGGCCTGGGCAGAGGGGACCTGGGTCCTGACCTGAGGCGAGCCTCAAGCCCGACCTCACCTCGCCCGTGACCCCCCTTCCTGCTGCCCCCTCTGTCTCAGCCACCTCCTCTCCTCGCAATACGTGGAGCGCCACTTCAGCCGGGAGGGGACAACCCAGCACAGCACCGTGAGTGCCACTGCAGGGGACCGGGGCCGGGGATGGAAGGGAGGTGCTGTTTCTGTGGTTCTGTGGTCACAGGTGTAGGGACAGGTGGCCACTGGAGATGGGGTCCTGGGCCTGGCCCCTCAGCACCTTCCCTCTCTCCCGACCCAGGAGGCTCTGAGGGTGGACAGTGGGCAGCTTGAGTGCATAGGGCCCTGAAGTCCCCTCACTTGGCCCCAGAGCTCTGACCCCCAGCCAGCCCACGTGGGGCCTACAGGGACACTCGTTCCGAGCAGGCTGCCAGGAATCCCCCTCTCCAGACTCTTCTGAGAGGGACAGCTGAGGAAAGGCCCTTCTTACTCAATATCAAGGCCCCGAAAATCCCAGCTGCCTGGGACACTAGGGTCCCAGCCCTGAAGGCTCTAGAGCCTGAAAATGAATGAGTGTCTATAAATAGCCTGTCTCCCCCCCCCCCGCCCCCACTGCCTGTTCAGTAACTGGAGCACAAGTAATTCTGCAGGAGGCAGAGCTGGAGCGGGAGGGTGCCACTGGTCCCCCCAGCCCCAACCCATGAGTCTGGCCAGGAGGACACATGCTGCCCATCACTCCTCAGCCAACCACAGGCCCAGGGGTGTCCTGGGAGGCAGTGCATGAGGTTGTGTGTGATGTTAGGGGCGAGTACATGATTAAATGAGGTAATATATGGTTAGTGCCAGAGCAGTGCTGGGTACATGGTAGGTGCTAAATAAATGTTGCCTGTTATTCTCAAAGGAGTCTGATCCCTTCCCCAGCCCCAGCAAATGGCTAAGAACCCTTGCTGTACGCTGGGCTCCTATAATCCCATCACTGGGAGGCTGAGGTGGGCGGATCACGTGAGGTCAGGAGTTTGAGATCAGCCTGGCCAACATGGTGAAACACCATCTCTACTAAAAATACAAAATTAACCAGGCATGGTGGTGCATGCCTGTAATCCCAGCTACTTGGGAGGCTGAGGCAGAAGAATTGTTTGAACCCGGGAGGCGGAGGTTGCAGTGAGCTGAGATCATGCCATTGCTCTCCAGCCTGGGCAACAAGAGCGAAACTCCGTCTCAAAAAATAAATAAATAAATAAATACAAAAATTAGCTATGTGTGGTGGCACATGCCTGTAATCCCAGCTACTCGGGAGGCTGAGGCTAAGGCATGAGAATGGCTTGAACCCAGGAGGCAGAGGGTGCAGTGAGCCAAGATCACACCACTGCACTCCAGCTTGAGCGACAGCAAGACCCTGTCTCAAAAAAAAAAAAAAAAAACCATTGCTACAGTCCAGCTTCCTCATTTTATAGATGACGTGAAGGAGGCCCAGAGGTTCCTAACCCCAGAGGGCTAGGAACTTGCCCAGGGTGGCACGGCAAATTAGGAGCACCAGCCATCTAGAAACAGGCTCCAGAGCCCCAGGCATACCCAGGGATTGTGGCCACCTGCACACAGGGCAGCTTCAGTGTCCCCCAAAAAGCCTTGAGGCCCATTGGCTGCCCCCGGCCTCATGCCAGCGTTCTGCTCACTGTTCTGCTCCTTCAGGGGGCTGGAGACCACTGCTACTACCAGGGGAAGCTCCGGGGGAACCCGCACTCCTTCGCCGCCCTCTCCACCTGCCAGGGGCTGCAGTGAGTATGGGGAGGGGCCGGGCAGCTGGGAGAAGCCTCTGGCCCAGGCCTGGGGACGGAGGGGAGCTGCGCCTCTCTCTCCACAGTGGGGTCTTCTCTGATGGGAACTTGACTTACATCGTGGAGCCCCAAGAGGTGGCTGGACCTTGGGGAGCCCCTCAGGTAAGCCCCACACAACCCCTTGCCATCCTCTCTGGTGGCCCTGCCAAGCTTGTCCCAACAGCTGTTGCTGCCACCTCTTCCTCCTCCGGCTCCTCCCTCAGTAACCCCAGCCTCACTGCCCTCTTCAGTGACCCCAGCTCTGGTTCCCTCCCTCCTGTGCCCCAGCTCCCCCTGTGCCCCCAGCTCCAATGTCCCATCTGTCCCATAAGTGACCTCCCATTGGGCTCCAATGTCCTTTGCCCCTGTCTCTCAGGGTGCCCCCAGGTCTTGACCCCGGAATCTGAGCATCTGGGAGATCAGATCCGACATGGGAGCTGTGGCCAGTTCTGGGTCACCCCAGGGTGGGGTGGAGGCGAGGGCTGGATCTGGCCCCCGCCAAGTGGGCCTGGAGCAGGCCCAGTTGGCACCCCAAGAACTAATTTCCCCTCATTGCAGGGACCCCTTCCCCACCTCATTTACCGGACCCCTCTCCTCCCAGATCCCCTCGGATGCAGGGAACCAGGTAAGGGAGGGAAGGGGGGGTGGGGAGGGGCCGGCTGTGCCCCCCTCACCTGCCCCTCCCCACAGGCTGCCTGTTTGCTGTGCCTGCCCAGTCGGCTCCTCCAAACCGGCCGAGGCTGAGAAGGAAAAGGCAGGTACGGGGGCCCGCACAGACCTCGGGCTGCAGAGACCTCGGGCTGCAGAGAGACCTCAGGCCGTGGCCCAGAGCAGGAGGGCACCCTCATCTATGGCTGGGGCGAAGGAAGGCTCAGATGGATGTGGCTGGGGGCCAGGGACCGTGTCTGGGAGAAGCCCCCACCCCTTCCCTAATGCTGGCATCTACAGAGGCCCCATCCTGGGCAAACCGAGGCTGCCTGCCCTCATTCCAAAGCTGAGGAAGGACAGGACCCTCTGCCAGTGGGGAGCTGGCACTGTCCCTGGCTGGAGTCCAGACCCCCCCATCCCCACCGAGTCTGTTCCTGGCTTGGCCATGAGATCAGTCAGACATGGAAGGGACTGATTCCAAGTGCCCACCCACCCCCCAGGTCCGCCGGGGCCACCCTACAGTGCACAGTGAAACCAAGTATGTGGAGCTAATTGTGATCAACGACCACCAGCTGGTGAGTGCCAGGGCAGGGACAGGGCGTGACACTGGGAGGCCCCTGAGGAGCCTGGCCCTCCTCCCATTCTTCTCTCTCCCAGTTCGAGCAGATGCGACAGTCGGTGGTCCTCACCAGCAACTTTGCCAAGTCCGTGGTGAACCTGGCCGATGTGGTAAGCAGCTCTCCCTCCCTCCCTTCCCTCCTCCTCATGCCCCCCACCCCACCACACACATTAGGGGGCACTGTCAGCCCCTGGCTCCCACTTCCTGGAGAGAACAGACAGGCCCTCCTCCAGCCCTGGCCCCAACACCCACTCCCACCCTCCAGCCCCCTCATCTTCTCCCCAGATATACAAGGAGCAGCTCAACACTCGCATCGTCCTGGTTGCCATGGAAACATGGGCAGATGGGGACAAGATCCAGGTGCAGGATGACCTCCTGGAGACCCTGGCCCGGCTCATGGTCTACCGACGGGAGGGTCTGCCTGAGCCCAGTGATGCCACCCACCTCTTCTCGTGAGTCCCCCACCCTGCACCTCCTGCCAGCCTCTGCTAGTTGCTACAGTGCTTGGGATTACTTAACACCTGCCCTGTGCTGGCTGCTCCTCTCAGAGTCTGGGGACTGGGCTCACCTTGCACCTGCCACCTACCCCCAGCCACATGCAACAGCTGGGCATCATCCCCTGAATCTGAGGTTGATGCCCTTGTCTTAGCCCTGGTGGTCCTCTTCTGCCTCTCACCTCCCCTTAGTTCTGTCTTTCCCCTTTCAAACTGTCCCAGCATCCCTTCCTCAGGGACCCAGTGCCCTAGTAGGGAAAAAAATCTAATAAAAGGGCCTTGCAACTAGAGATGGTCTACTGGGAGCCTCTCCTTTGCCTTATGGGCAAAAGAACCCAAGGAGGGGCCAGGCGTGGTGGCTCATGCCTGTAATCTCAGCACTTTGGGAGGCCAAGGCGGGTAGATCATTTCAGGTTACGAGTTTAAGACCAGCCTGGCCAACATGGTGAAACCCCATCTCAAAATACAAAAATTAGCCAGGCGTGGTGGTGTGCACCTGTAGTCCCAGCTACTCGGGAGGCTGAGGCAGGAGAATCGTTTGAACCCAGGAGGTGGAGATTGCAGTGAGCTGAGATGGTGCCACTGCACTCCAACCTGGACCACAAGAGTGAAACTCTGTCTCAAAAGAAAAAAGAAAAAGAAAGAAAAAAAAGAACCCAAGGAGGGGGGGAAGGGTCTTGCCTGGGGTCACCAAGGCTGATGTAAAGGGCCAGGCTCACCTCCTGAGGAAGGACTCTAGTGTGAGGGGCTCCCCAAGGCCCCACCACCACCCGGGGAGCCACAGGGGAGGGCAGGAGGCCATCCTGACAGCGCACTCCCTTCCAGGGGCAGGACCTTCCAGAGCACGAGCAGCGGGGCAGCCTACGTGGGGGGCATATGCTCCCTGTCCCACGGCGGGGGTGTGAACGAGGTGAGCAGTGGGGGGACATGGCTGGGGTGGCGGCTGAGGGAAAGGGGCTTCAGGGGCACGACGTGCCTGTTGGAAGATGTAGACATCTGTGCCCCATCTTCCCCACCCCCAGTACGGCAACATGGGGGCGATGGCCGTGACCCTTGCCCAGACGCTGGGACAGAACCTGGGCATGATGTGGAACAAACACCGGAGCTCGGCAGGTATCCTCCCCCAGAGGCCCCCGTGTGGCCCACGCCCAGCAGCTCTGGAACGGGAGGGTGACAGTGGGAGGGGTGGTCCTTGGCCTCCCTCATATCCGCCTGGCTCACCCCTCAGGGGACTGCAAGTGTCCAGACATCTGGCTGGGCTGCATCATGGAGGACACTGGGTGAGTTCTTGGGGACAAACCGGGGGAAGGTCTTGGGCGAGGGGAGTCTTAGAGCGAGCATTGTTTGGCAGTCTGGACCAGGGGGCTCAAGAGGCCCAGCTCACAGAACCACTCAGGATCCCAAGAAGCCCAGTTTTCCGCAAACACTGCCCCGGGAGACCCAGATTTCCCTGCTGGGACACCAAAACCGGCCAGGCTGCAGTGCGCATCGTGGCCACTGGGCGCCGCCCAAGCCTCGCATGGAGACACCTTCCCTCCAGCGCGGCTGCGAGTCCCCAGGTTCAGCGGAGGGGATGGGAGCGACAGGGACAGGCGGGAGGATTCTGGTGCAATCCCGGGGCAGATCCTCCGCCTCCTCGCGATGGTGACGAAGTCCCCCAGTGTACCCCCTCCCCAGCCTTGAGAGGGGTGAGGGTGGGTTGGAGGGGAGCAGCCAGCAGCACCTCCCCTCGCCCTATCCAGGTTCTACCTGCCCCGCAAGTTCTCGCGCTGTAGCATCGACGAGTACAACCAGTTTCTGCAGGAGGGTGGTGGCAGCTGCCTCTTCAACAAGCCCCTCAAGGTACCAGCCCCGCGGCGGGGAGCATGGGAGCGGGCCCTGGGCGGGGTCCGGGCCAGACTCCCGACCTGTCCTCCCGGTCCAGCTCCTGGACCCCCCAGAGTGCGGGAACGGCTTCGTGGAGGCAGGGGAGGAGTGCGACTGCGGCTCGGTGCAGGTGAGCGGTGGTGCGGGCGCCAGGTGGGGAACCGGGATGCGGGGGTGGGCACGAGGGAGCGTCTGAGTGGGAGGATTAGGGCTCGCCCGCCTCCTTCCCCTCCTCCCGCGTCCCTCAGGAGTGCAGCCGCGCAGGTGGCAACTGCTGCAAGAAATGCACCCTGACTCACGACGCCATGTGCAGCGACGGGCTCTGCTGTCGCCGCTGCAAGGTAAGCAGGACCGGCCGGGAGGCGGGGCCAGGACGCAGGAGGAGCGATTGGAGGCCTTCATATAAGGGGTGGGAGCTAGGGAGGGAAGCGGAGCCTTCGGGGACGAAGGCCTCTGGGGCAGGGCTTGATGCGAAGACAGCGCCAATGGGGAGCAAGGGGCGGGGCTGAAGGATGTTGAAGGCGGGGCTACGAGGAGCGGGAAGGGAAGGCTGCCCAGAATCAAGGAGGGGCGGGAAGGTGGGCGGGCTTGGGGGCGGTGCTGAGTGCGCTGGGAGCGAGGTGGGGAGCGTTCAAGAGGTGGTGGGAGCAGGGAAATAAGAACAGGCCTGAAACGGGGCCCTGGGGAGCTGGAGGGCCCGGGGATGTGGGGGTCCAGAGAGCGAGGGGCCTGGGGAGGGCAGGGCCGAGGCATCCATCCTGCCTGACTCGAGGAGCGCGTCTCTTCCCTAGTACGAACCACGGGGTGTGTCCTGCCGAGAGGCCGTGAACGAGTGCGACATCGCGGAGACCTGCACCGGGGACTCTAGCCAGGTCCGCCCGGCCCCGCCGTCTTGTGGAGCCCTGGGCGAGGCAACCCCTACCCTTGTCGATTTGGTTTTCCCGGACGAGTGCTCAGCACTCCCCTCCTCTCCACAGCTGGCATCGACCTCCACTGATCAGACTGTTTTCTTATCTGAGAAAGGGGTTCTTCATGCTCCTGGCCTTGTTCCTTCAATCATTAAACCAGAATGTATCGTCTGGCTGGTATTCCCAGCGCCTGGCCCGGTGCCTGGTGTAGGTTAGGGATCAGAGTAGACGATAATATTAGTTAACATCTATTACAACCTAATTACATGCCAGGCATTTATCTCCCAGCCCTACGAGGGAGGGAGGCTGGAGCGGCTCTGGGGCTTGCAAATCCGTGTGGTCTGGGTCCAGAACCAGACAGATCGCTTGTCCTAGGCGTGGAAGAGCCCTGTGGCATGAGCCCCCAATGGGGGGCACTTGGTACCCCAGCATTCCTCCCTGGGGCAGCCCTCAGCTCCAGTCCTGGGACTGCTCCGCTCAACCCCACCCCTCTCTCCACAGTGCCCGCCTAACCTGCACAAGCTGGACGGTTACTACTGTGACCATGAGCAGGTATGATGGCTGCCCCCTGAGCCTGGGATTCAGGGCAGTCTCTTGTCTCCACTCTGACCACTCAGCATCTCCATCCCTTGCCTCTTAATTCTTGGACTCTCAGGGCCGCTGCTACGGAGGTCGCTGCAAAACCCGGGACCGGCAGTGCCAGGTTCTTTGGGGCCATGGTGAGTCTGGCTAGGGCTGGGAGTGGGGACTCCGGAGGACCCAGAGCTGAGAAGCTGGGGAGAGTGGGTTCCAGCTGAACAGGCCCCCAAGTGTGTAGCTCCCCAGGATCTCAGGGACCCAGGCAGAGTGTGGGAGATGCAGGCCTGAGGTCTTGGGGTGGGTCCTGGGGCGCGTGGGGTCACTTGGCATCCTCTCCCCACAGCGGCTGCTGATCGCTTCTGCTACGAGAAGCTGAATGTGGAGGGGACGGAGCGTGGGAGCTGTGGGCGCAAGGGATCTGGCTGGGTCCAGTGCAGTAAGCAGTGAGTACTGAGGCTCCCAGAGGGCCTCTCAGCTCCAGGGCAGGTGTGAGACTTTTCAGAGATGGGGCAGCAGGTTCTCCCAGGAGGAGCCTGTCAGTCCCAATGGGCGGGCACGTGGCAAATGAGGTGGCAGGGTGCAGGGTGAGGGCAGATTAGAGTTCAGTAGTTGAGTCTGAGGTCAAACTTGGGGCTCACTGTCTCTATATGCCCCAACAGGGACGTGCTGTGTGGCTTCCTCCTCTGTGTCAACATCTCTGGAGCTCCTCGGCTAGGGGACCTGGTGGGAGACATCAGTAGTGTCACCTTCTACCACCAGGGCAAGGAGCTGGACTGCAGGTGCTGGCCAGGACCAAGACTAGGGAGGGGAGGTTGCAGCTGTGCTGGGGGTTAGGAGACAGGGGGCTGAGGCTGGCTGTGTCACTTCCCCAGGGGAGGCCACGTGCAGCTGGCGGACGGCTCTGACCTGAGCTATGTGGAGGATGGCACAGCCTGCGGGCCTAACATGTTGTGCCTGGACCATCGCTGCCTGCCAGCTTCTGCCTTCAACTTCAGCACCTGCCCCGGCAGTGGGGAGCGCCGGATTTGCTCCCACCACGGGGTGACTGCCTGGAGCCTGGGATGGCGGGAGAAGCTTACAAGAGGGGACAGGCCCCTGCTCACCTCTCCTGGCCCTGCCCTGCCTCTAGGTCTGCAGCAATGAAGGGAAGTGCATCTGTCAGCCAGACTGGACAGGCAAAGACTGCAGTATCCATAACCCCCTGCCCACGTCCCCACCCACGGGGGAGACGGAGAGATATAAAGGTGAGGCTGGAGCTGGCCGAGGGGGGTCTGTCTGTCCTGCTCTCTATGCCTGTCCTTGCCAGCTAAGCCCTGCCATCCTCCCCAGGTCCCAGCGGCACCAACATCATCATTGGCTCCATTGCTGGGGCTGTCCTGGTTGCAGCCATCGTCCTGGGCGGCACGGGCTGGGGATTTAAGTAAGAGACACACACACCCTGTGCCCCCTGGCATCCTTGAGGGGGGATCAGAATCCCTACTGGTGGAGCTGAGGGGGCCCTCCCTGAAAGCCCAACTGAACCAGAGCTCACACGTCATAGGTCCAAGTAGCCTGCAGGGCTTAACATTTAGAAACTAGGAGATTTTAGGCTAGATGAGGTGGCTCACGCCTGTAATCCCAGCACTTTGGGAGGCCAAGGCAGGCGGATCACCTGAGGTCAGGAATTCAAGACCAGTCTGGCCAACATGGTGAAACCCCGTCTCTATTAAAAATACAAAAATTAGCCAGCCATGGTGGTGCGCACCTGTAATCCCAGCTACTTGCGAGGCTGAGGCAGAGAATTGCTTGAACCGGGGAGGTGGAGGTTGCAGTGAGCTGAGATCGCACCATTGCACTCCAGCCTGGGTGACAGAGCAAGACTGCGTCAAAAAAAAAAAAAAAAAAAAAAAAAGAAAGAAAGAGAGAAAGAAAAGAAAAGAGAAAAGAAATCAGGAGATTTTACACTAGCAATTCGGATTTCCAGCTCTGGAAACATGAAAAGGTTGAGCCCCAGCGTGCCTCTAAGCATCCCCAAATAGCCACAGAGTGGAGCTGGGCAGGGGCCACCCAAGCCAGGCATGTGTCCTCCAGTCTCCAGTCCCCACCCAGCCTATAATGCTTTGTGCGTGTCTAAGTTTGGGGTCCTTGTGCTGGTCTAACCCCCTTAATGTGCAGAGGAGGAACCCATGGCCCAAGGTCACATGATTGAGTTAGTAGCAGAGTCAGAGCTGGAACCGGGACGCATTTTTGTGGGTGCCCTGGGTAATTCTCCCTGGCCCTTACATTAGTGTCCAGGCCCCGGGGACCCCGGCCCCGCTCTGGGGCAAGGGGTCGCATGGCAGCCAAAGGCCCCTCCCTGAGAGAAGCAAAAGGTCAGATGTCTCCTTTTCCTCTCCCCTTCCACCATCCTCCCCCTGCAGAAACATTCGCCGAGGAAGGTACGACCCGACCCAGCAGGGGGCAGTGTGATGCCGGCCACGTCATCCCTCCCGCTGTCCTTGTCTCCTCCATCTCATTCGTCACCCCGCGTTCTGTTGATGGGGAGCGGGGGCTGATTCCCCCACCCCTGCTGCCAGGCTGTCCCGGCAGGGGTGGGAGAGCCTCGCTCAGGGAAGAAGGTCCCAGCTGCCCTCGCCCTCGCCCGCTCAGGCCACGTCCTTCTCGACTGCCCTGCTGCGGCCAGGCCCTCCCCTGCCACCAGGTGGAACTGGAGCTGCGCCCCTGGCAGTCCCCATCCCCGGGAGGGCCCTCCCTGTGCGTCCCATCTGTTTTGTCTTCCATATCACCACTGTCTGACCTCCCGCAGATCCCTTCCCTGGCCAGCCTGTGACTTGCCGCCTGCCTCCAGGGCCCAGCACTGAGCTCCGGGGCCCTGCTGGGGGGCTCTCCCCGTGGCCCCTGCTCACGTCCTCCCCTGATGCCCCCTCTCCGTTCCAGGTCCGGAGGGGCCTAAGTGCCACCCTCCTCCCTCCAAGCCTGGCACCCACCGTCTCGGCCCTGAACCACGAGGCTGCCCCCATCCAGCCACGGAGGGAGGCACCATGCAAATGTCTTCCAGGTCCAAACCCTTCAACTCCTGGCTCCGCAGGGGTTTGGGTGGGGGCTGTGGCCCTGCCCTTGGCACCACCAGGGTGGACCAGGCCTGGAGGGCACTTCCTCCACAGTCCCCCACCCACCTCCTGCGGCTCAGCCTTGCACACCCACTGCCCCGTGTGAATGTAGCTTCCACCTCATGGATTGCCACAGCTCAACTCGGGGGCGCCTGGAGGGATGCCCCCAGGCAGCCACCAGTGGACCTAGCCTGGATGGCCCCTCCTTGCAACCAGGCAGCTGAGACCAGGGTCTTACCTCTCTGGGACCTAGGGGGACGGGGCTGACATCTACATTTTTTAAAACTGAATCTTAATCGATGAATGTAAACTCGGGGGTGCTGGGGCCAGGGCAGATGTGGGGATGTTTTGACATTTACAGGAGGGCCCGGAGAAACTGAGGTATGGCCATGCCCTAGACCCTCCCCAAGGATGACCACACCCGAAGTCCTGTCACTGAGCACAGTCAGGGGCTGGGCATCCCAGCTTGCCCCCGCTTAGCCCCGCTGAGCTTGGAGGAAGTATGAGTGCTGATTCAAACCAAAGCTGCCTGTGCCATGCCCAAGGCCTAGGTTATGGGTACGGCAACCACATGTCCCAGATCGTCTCCAATTCGAAAACAACCGTCCTGCTGTCCCTGTCAGGACACATGGATTTTGGCAGGGCGGGGGGGGTTCTAGAAAATATAGTTCCTATAATAAAATGGCACCTTCCCCCTTTCAAGAAGGGTGATTCTGGGGCCGACTCAGGGTTTAGGTGCCCCCTGGTGTGGCCTAGATGTCCCCACCTGGGCCATCTTTCTGGGGAGGACTCTCCCAGGTAGGGAAGGCCAGAGGTGGCCCAGTGCCTGGAGGGTTAGGGTCTCTGCCTGGGATATGCAAGAGGAAGTAGGAAAGGGAGGTCTCATGGATGATCCTAGGCTGCTAGAAGTCCTTAAGGCCCCATCTAGTCCATTCCACTCCCTACCCCCATTCCAGAGCCGAGTAGTAAGTTTACAGATGTTTCCCCCATTACGTACCCCCACCCATCCCTGCTGCAGCGAGCCTGAGAGCCAGGTAGAGCCAGGCACAGCTCCTCAGTCTTCTCACACAGTCCTGCCGGTGGCCTTCCCTCATGACCCTTGCTTGGGAGGGTGGAGCACTGGCTCCTTGACCCTAAAAGGTAGCTGGCAGGGGCAAGATGGGGGCCAGCTACCTAATGGATGAAAGCCACAAGTGAATACAGTTCTTGTCACCAGGGTTGCCCTGCCCTCACTCGGCAGGGAGTTCTGACACCCCAGGGCCCGTGAGCTACCTGCTTGAGCCCCTGTTTCTGGGGCACCTTCGAGGAGGCGTTGTGGAGGGCATCGCCCCCTGTTTATTCACAACACCCTCAGGGGCAAACAGGCCTGGGACCCGCTGACACCATTTTGGGTAGCTGGATGCACCCGACAGCAGTGGGGTCCACACACTGAGCTCCAGCTGGCACTGCCCACTCAAGGGCTGAGTGGAGGGGCCCCTCCGGCCAGCTCTGCTCCACCAGCCCTGCAAGCTGATGCAGGGCGGGGGAAGGGCTGGGTGTTGCACTATTGCTGCGCTGCCTTAAGGCATCTGTCCTCTGGTGGTGCACCCGTGCACACAGGTACAGTGCATCTGGGCACAGCTTTTGGATCCACACCTCTGCACAAGTGTGAATACCTCTGCACATATGGGCGTATCTGTGTGTGCTCGTGTATATGGGGTGGGGAACATGAGACTTCCTGTGACCAGTCCACCCTGGCTCCCAGCTGTCTGTATCCTCCTGCCCCGCCCTGGCGAGTGCCTACCCTGGCAGAACCCAGGGAGGAGTGGAGGCTGCCTCTGCCTGGGCCTCCACACAGCATCCTGTACATACGCCACCTGGGCTGGGGGTGGGGAGGCAGGGCCAGGAGCATCGATTAAAGATCACATCCTGGGGCTTCCAGGGAGCTCACACCAACCTTGCGTTTCTCTCCTGTCTGTGAATGGCCATGCTGTGACTTGTCCCCTCTGGCTCAGGAGGGAGCATGATAACTGGGGTGCTGGAGGCGGGAAGGGAGCGCCCAGGACCAGCTCCATTCATGGTGAGGAAACAGGGTGGAGGCCTGGCCCTCCCGCTTCCGCTTCCTCGCTTCCTCGGCTCTTCCAACAAAGACAGTTGTGCCCCTCCTCTGGCTCCAGCAAAGCAGGAGGCCAGGCGAGTAGGAAAGCATTTTCCCAAAAGTCTGGAGACCCAACTTCCCTTTTATGGCTGAAGCCAAAGAAGCCTCTCCTCACCTCCCAAAAGATTCCAGAACGCTGGACAAAACCATTAGCCTGTCTGGTCCCAGGGCACCGTGTTCCTGGGCTCTTTTCCCACCCCTGTGCTCTCTGGCCGAGCCTGGGGCAGGAGGGGACTGAGCAAGGCTAGTGCTGGGAGTCCCTCCCCTGGCTGGGGCTGCGTCTGAGCCAGGAGCCTGTAATGATTATTCCTGTCTTCCCCTGCAGAGTGCTTGGGCCTGGAGGTATTCGCAGACTTGGGGGGCCGGGAGGAAGAACTGGGGGAGGATCCATCGGGCTCTGGAAGTCCCGCTTGTTAAGGGAAAAGATAAAAGAAGCAGTTGGGGGCAGGGAAACAAATGAAAGGCTAGAAAAAGATGGAGAAAGAAATAGCAGCACCAAGCAGGGGCCTGGGAAGAATTGGCAGCTAGAAGCTTTGGGATCATAGCCCCCCATTCCTGAACAGGTAGGGTTCCCAAGGCCACCTCGGATCACATGCCGAAAGAGTAGGACCCAGGGCCACGTTCAGCTTAGATTCCTACTCTGGCATCTGGTCGCCGCAGGACACTGGGTAACATCTAACTCCAGTCTCTCCTGCAGCAGAAGGTCAGCTTCTTCCTATTCAGAGTGCAGGGGGAAAAAAGCAAGAATCATTCTCAAACCGATCAGTCACAAACTGAAGTCTAGCTGTGCCCTTGTCTTCCTTGCTCTAGGCTGAATAACATTATTTTTAACTTTCTTTTTGCTTCTGCCTCTCAACTCCTCCATGCCCATGCTTAACCCTTTCTCAGTTCCCAGTTCCCAGTCTATCCGGGTCTGATGTGTGGTTCAGCTGACCCTCCAGATAGGGAAAGGGTGGCTTCTGGCAGATGAATGGCAGGAAGGCAGAGAGGGCACAGGTGAGGCTCAGCCTTTGTGACTCTCAAAGGTCAGTGTAGGCCGAGCGTGGTGGCTCACGCCTGTAATCCCAACACTTGGGAGGCCAAGGCAGGTGGATCACTTGAAGTCAGGAGTTCGAGACCAGCCTGGCCAACATGGTGAAACCCTGTCTCTACTAAAGATACAAAAATTAGCCAGGTGTGGTGGCGCTTGCCTGCAGTCCCAACTACTTGGGAGGCTGAGAGAGAGAATTGCTTGAACCCGGGAGGCAGAGGTTGCAGTGAGCTGAGGTCACACCACTGCACTCCAGCCTTGGCGACAGAGCAAGGCTCTGTCTCAAGAAAAAAAAAAAATGGTCAGTGCAGAGTCACCAGATGCCTCTCAGCCTCGGACCAAACCCTGGAGCCCTAAGTGTCCCCTGCGTGGGTAGGCAAGCGGATGTCAGAGAGGCACCGAACTCTCTGCCTTTGTCTTGCCTGCCTAGGGATGCCAGTTCACCTTTTCCCAACTGGCCAGGAGGAAATAAAGCTCCACAGGTTGGAGTGGAGAATCAGATCTGGCCCAAACAGAACATCTGAAAAGACTGACTTTGGTTTCAGAACTGGTTATCGGCAGCTCTGATGGAGTGATTCCTAAACAACATGGGTGGAACCAGGAATTTGAAATTTGCAGTGAAGGCCACCTATTGCAAGGAATTCCCAGGAACCCTTATTTTTCAAAAGTAGAAATTCCTTTGGCCAGGAGCAGTGGCTTATGCCTATAATTTTATTACTTTGGGAGGCTGAGGTGGGAGGATCACTTGAGTGAGCCCAGGAGTTCAAGACCTGCCTGAGCAATATAGTGAGACCTTGTCTCTACAAAAAACTTTTTAAAAATTAACCGGCCGGGCGCAGTGGCTCACACCTGTAATTCCAACACTTTGGGAGGCCGAGGCGGGTGGGATCACGAGGTCAGGAGTTTGAGACCAGCCTGGCCAATATGGTGAAATCAAATCTCTACTAAAAATACAAAAATTAGCTGGGCGTGGTGGTGCATGCCTGTAGTCCCAGCTACTCGGGAGGCTGAGGCAGGAGAATTGCTTGAACTGGGAGGTGGTGGTTGCAGTGAGCCGAGATGGTGCCACTGCACTCCAGCCTGGGTGACAGAGCGAGACTCTGTCTCAAAAAAAAAAAAAAAATTCGCTAAGCATGGTGGTGTGGGCCTGTAGTCCCAGCTACATGGGAGGCTAACACAGAGCAAGACTCTGTCTCAAAAAAAAAAAAAAAAGGAAGGAAAAAGAAAATCTTTGGATAAAATCACCATTCCAGGTTGCCTCCGAATCATCCCCCTCACCCCTCACTTTTTTTTTTCTTTTTTGTCTGTCGCCCAGTCTGGAGTGTAGTAATGCATCATAGCTCACTGCAGCATTGAACACTGGGGCTCAAATAATCTTCCCACATCAGCCTCCTAAGTAGTTGGGACCACAGGTGCTGGCCATCATGCCTGGTTAATTTTCTTCTTTTTTTTCTTTTTTTTTTTTTTTTAGACTGAGCTTGCTCTGTCACCCTAGTGGAGTGGTGCCATCTTGGCTCACTGCAACCTCCACCTCCAGGGTTCCAGGGATCTTTTCACCTCAGCCTCCCACGTAGCTGGGATTACAGGTGCGTGCCACCACGCCTGGCTAATGCCTGGCCAATTTTTTTTGCACAGGGGCTGGGTGCAGTGGCTCAGCCTATAATCCCAGCACTTTGGGAGGCTGGGGAGGGTGGATCATGAGGTCAGGAGTTCGAGACCAGCCTGGCCAACATGGTGAAACCCCATCTCTACTAAAAATACAAAAATTAGCGATGTGGTGGCGGGTGCCTGTAATCCGTAATCCCAGCTGTAATCCCAGGCAGGAGGATTGCTTGAACCTGGGAGGCGGAGGTTGCAGTGAGCCGAGATTGTGCCAGTGCACTCCAGCCTGGGCTACAGAGCGAGACTCCATCTCAAAAAACTAAAACTAACTAAATAAATAAATCTAATACATCCAAAATATTCTCATACCAACATATAATCAACATAAAATAATTATTGAGATGGTACATCCTTTTTTTTTTTGTACAAAGCCTTTGAAATCAGGGATGCATTGTGCCCAATTTCAAACTCAGCAGCTACATGTGGCTATTACAGATACTGTTAAGAAGCAACATTTACATCCAGGAAGCTTTGAAAGAAGGAAAGGACAGAAGAGAAAACAGACAACTATGTGTGAAAGACTTAGGTCAGGAGCAGCAGACACTGCCTCCTTAAAGGTCAGAGGGAACCTTTGTGTATAGTCCTTTCTAGAAGGCAAGAGATGGCCGGGCGCAGTGGCTCATGCCTGTAATCCCAGCACTTTGGGAGGCTGAGGTGGGCAGATCACGAGGTCAGGAGATGGAAACCAGCATGGCCAACATGGCGAAACCCCGTCTCTACTAAAAATACAAAAAAATTAGCCAGGCGTGGCGGTGCGCACCTGTAATCCCAGCTACTCTGGCGGCTGAGGCAGAAGAATCGCTTGAACCCAGGAGGCAGGGGTTGCAGTGAGCCGAGATGGTCCATTGTACTCCAGCCTGGGTGACAGAGCAAGACTCCATCTCCAAAAAAAAAAAAGAAGAAGAAGAAGAAGGCAAGAGACAAGTCAGGCTGATGTTGGCAGGATCAAGGAATTTTAACTTAATCTAGAGTGAGAGACCTAGATTTATCCTGCCCTGAAAGGGGCTCTGGCTCCCAGGAACTTGCTTTAGGCAAAAGAAGATTTCTGTCAATCTTTCCAGAAGATCAGCAGGAGAGAGAAGCAGCTCCAGCCCAAGGCTTCATGCTGAGGAAGATTCTTGAAGACTTTCAGCTGAGCCCAGAAACCCAGTGCCTGCGGCCTAGGCTCTTCAGGCCTTTGGTGTTGAAAGCAAAGGTGGGAAATAAACACCAGTCAGTGGATCATGTCCTCTAAGAGGCCAAAGCCGTTACAACCTGGAGACCACCCCTGGCGACAGCTCCTGAAATGTGCCCTGACAGCCCTTGCCATGCGCAGGAGTCCTTAGGAGGCCTGTTCACCACCGAGACTTCGCCAAGTCCCCATGAGGTTGATGAGGCCATGAAGCCATGCCCTCCACCTCAGTCACAGGCGGCATTCCAAGTCAGCTATCAGGACTAAGTGCCACTTGGCTCCTCAGAATGCTGACAGTGTGGCCAGGCACAGTGGCTCACACCTGTAATTCCAGCACTTTGGGAGGCGGAGGCAGGTGGCTCACTTGAGCTCAGGAGCTAGAGAACAGCCTGGCCAACATGGTAAAACCCCGTCTCTACTAAAAATACAAAATTTAGCTGTGCGTGGTGGCTGGTGCCTGTAATCCCAGCTACTCGGGAGGCTGAGACAAGGGGATTGCTTAAACCTGGGAAGGGGAGGTTGCAGTGAGCCAAGATCATGCCGCTGCACTCCAGCCTGGGTGACAGAGGGAGGCTCTGTCTCAAAAAAAAGAACACCCCAATGCAAGAGGCCCAGGGGCCTTCAGAGCGTGGAGAGCAGCAAGGGGTCCCCAAGAGACACCTTTGCTTTGCACAAGGCTATTCACGTGGCCCATCTGACTACAGGAGGAGACCAAGCCTGGGCCACCACTGGGTGCAGGGGCTAGGACAGTTATCACTTACACTGGCTCCATGTGGCCCCAGGGGCAGCCCAGCCTGAGGTCTCCACTCGCTACACTCAGTCCTCCAGGCCTGGCTACCTCCTTAGGCCACGCTGGTGTTGGACCCCGAAGGGTTAATTGCTGCTGCCCTCACCCCCACAGACCCCTCTGTTCAGCCCTGGCCCTCCGCCACCTGAACCCCTGCCCGCTTGGCAGCCTCAGGCTTCCTGACAAGTGTCTGACCGGCTGCCAATCTCCACTCTCCCCAAGAGCCGTCTGCTTCTCTCTGGCAGCCGCGGTGCCCACTTGGGTTTAAAAATAAACTCGCTATCTGCCTTTCCTCCAGCAGAATCCCAGGCACTTCTTCCATGTGGAGCTGGATCCCAGCCGCCCCCGAAAGCACCATGTCGCCGTCATCTCAGCGGCCCCTGCGAGGAACACGTTCTACGACTCCATTGTAGGGACTTTGCTGCAGAAAACTCCATTTTATTGTGGGGCACCTGTCACTTCTCCCATCATTTCTGGGTGGAGGATATAAGTGCAGGAGTGGGGTAGAGGCGTAGGGCTGCTCTAAGGGGTATGGGGGTTCCAGGATGGCTCAGACAGGTGTCTCTGCAAAACCAGCATCTCCAGCCTCAGTGGGGCACTGTGTGGCCTTCACACCCACAGTGCCCGGGGTTCCCTCCCCTCTTCCTGCCATTTAATTTCTCCTCCTCTGCTCTCTTCAGAACTCACCCTGTCCCACCCCTTTTCTCCCTGATGGCCTCTTCCCTCATGCTCCTAGGAGAAAGGCCAGCTCCCAAGCTCCCAGCTTGCTTCTTCCCAGCACCTTCAGGCTCTTCCCCAAGGGCTAATCCCTCCCACTTTGCTTCGAGCCCCTGCCCCTCGTACCACTTCAGGCCATGGTTCTGCCATTTACCAATCCTCTCCCCCATGTTTCCTGCTCCTTCCCATAACCCAGCCCTTTTCACCCTTAAACACAAACCACCACCCCAACCACCCCCAGCCCCAGCGCCTCCGCAGCCCCACTGCACCCTGGCACTGCCGCTCCCACTGCCGCCGCTCCCACTGCCACAGTTCCCACTGCTGTCCGGTCCTTGGGGCAAACAATGCGGGCTGCCAACTCCAAACCGGCCTCCTGCTCATGCCACCACCTGCTCCAGTCTTACAGGCTGAGCACCACAGACCCTCCTCCCAGCGTGGCTGTGGCCAGAGCTCTGGCTCACCTGCCCCTTCCCTGCTCGCCTCTCCAGCCCGTTTCAGCCCATCTTCCCCGCTAGGCTCCTGCCTTGGGAATTTCTTTCTGTTCCTGTTCCTTGAAAGCTGTCACCCTTGGACCTTCCCCCGCATTTATGATTTCCTCCCATTTCATTTATTTTTATTTATTTTTGAGATGGAGTCTCACTCTGTCACCTAGGCTGTAGTGCTTTGGCACAATCTCGTCTCACTGCAGCCTTCACCCCCCCAGGCTCAAGTGATTCTCCCGCCTCATGTCCCCCGAGTAATTGAGACTACAGGCGTGTGCCACCACACCTGGCTAATTTTTGTATTTTTTGTAGAGATGGGGTTTTGCCATGTTGCCCAGGCTGGTCTTGAACTCCTACATTCAAGCAATTCAGCCTCCCAAAGTGCTGGATTACAGGGGTGAACCACCACTTCTGGCCTCCAGCCCACTTTATATGACTAACTCCTACTCATCTGTTAGGTGGCAATTTATCCATCACTGCTCCAGAAAGCCAGCCTGGGTGAGATGCCTCTGCCCTGTGCTCCTGGCGCACTTTCTGATCAGTTCCCTGGGTCCAAGCACGCAGCACCCTGAGCCCTGACAGCCTGTCCATCCCCCTCAGCAGCGTCGGCCCCTTGAAGAGTGGGACGGGGTCTGCCTGTTACAGTGTCATAGTTCCAGGATGGAATCTGGTGCCTGCAACATGAGTGGTGCTTAATAAATGCTTGTGGAGTGAACTGCTCAGTGCTACACGAGACTAGAACAAATGGGCAAATGTAAAATGGGACCAGAAAATCCAGACTGGCTCACAACTGTTTTTACTTTTATTGGTTCTTTTATTTTTATTTATTTATTTATTCATTTATTTTTGAGATAGGGTCTTGCTCTGTTGGCCATGCAGTGGCTCCATCATGGCTCACTGCAGCCTCGACCTCCCAGGCTCAAGTGATCCTTCCACCTCAGCTTCCTGAGTAGCTACGACTATAGGCGTGCCACCATACCCAGTTAATTTTAGTTATTTGTTTATCTATTTTATTTTATTTTATTTTATTTTATTTTATTTTATTTTATTTTATTTATTTAAAGACGGAGTCTCGCTCTATCACCAGGCTGGAGTGCAGTGGTGTGATCTCAGCTCACTGCAACCTCCACCTCTTGGGTTCAAGCAATTCTCCTGCCTCAGCCTCCCGAGTAGCTGGGACTACAGGTGTGAGTCACCACGCCCAGGTAATTTTTGTATTTTTAGTAGAGACAGCAGGGTTTCACCATGTTGGCCTGGATGGTCTTGAACTCCTGACTCAGGTGATCCACCTGCCTCGGCCTCCCAATGTGCTGGGATTACAGGCGCAAGCCACTGCTCCTAGCCCCTATTTTATTTTATTTTATTATTTTTTTGAGACGGAATTTCGCTCTTATTGCCCAGGCTGGAGTGCAATGGCACAATCTTGGCTCACCGCAACCTCTGACTCCCGGGTTCAAGCGATTCTCCTGCCTCAGCCTCCTGAGTAGCCAGGATTACAGGCATGCACCACAACGTCCGGCTAATTTTGTATTTTTAGTAGAGATGGGGTTTCTCCATGTTGGCCAGGCTGGTCTCGAACTTCTGACCTTGTGATTCGCCTGCCTCGGCCTCCCAAAGTGCTGGGATTACAAGCGTAAGCCACTGCACAAGGCCTATTTTTATTTTTTTTGAGACAGAGTCTCATTCTGTCGCCCAGGCTGGAGTGCAGTGGGGCAATCTTGGCTCACTGCAACCTCCATCTCCCGGGTTTAAGCAATTCTCCTGCCTCAGCCTCTTGAATAGCTGGGATTACAGGTGTGTGCCACCACACCCACCTAATTTTTATATTTTTAGTAGAGATGGGGTTTCTCGAACTCCCGACCTCAGGCAATCCGCATGCCTTGGCCTCCCAAAGTGCTGGGATTACAGGCGTGAGCCACCATGCCCAGCCCCAGTTAATTTTAATTTTAATTTTTGTGGAGACAGGGTCTCAATATTTGCCCAGGCTGGTCTTGAACTCCTGGGCTTAAGCAATCCTCCCTCCTTGGCCTACCAAAATGCTGGGATTACAAGTATGAGCCACCGTGCTTGGCTGACAACTATTCTGCTTAACTGGAGTTTAAACTGAAATTTCAGTTATCTTTGGGATGTGGAGGCAAGACAGTTTCATTTGAGACATACCCCATGGCACATGCACAATGTAGAAATGTCTTTTCTGGCCGGGCGCAGTGGCTCATGCCTGTAATCCCAGCATTCTGGGAGGCTGAGATGGGTGGATCACGAGGTCAGGAGTTTGAAAGCAGCCTGGCCAAAATGGTAAAACCCCGTCTCTACTAAAAGTACAAAAATTAGCCAGGCGTGGTGGCATAGGCTTGTAATCCCAGCTACTTGAGAGGCTGAGGCAGGAGAATTGATTGAACCCCAGAGGCTCAGGTTGCAGTGAGCTGAGATTGCACCACTATACTAGCCTGGGCAACAGAGCAAGACTCGTCTCAAAAAAAAAAAAAAAAAAGAAAAAGAAAACCAAGCCTAATGACCAGTGTTGTTGAAAAGAGGCTGGAGCCAGACGCGGTGGCTCACGCCTGTAATCCCAGCACTTTGGGAGGCCAAGGTGGGAAGATTGCTTGAGCACAGAGTTTGAGATGAGTATGGGTAACATGGCAAGACCTCATCTCCACATAAAATATAAAAAATTAACTGGCTGTGGTGGTGCGCACTTGTGGTCCCAGTTACTTGGGAAGCTGAAGTGGGAGGATCACTTGAGCCCAGGAGGTCGAGCCTGCAGTGAGCTGAGCTCACACCACTGCACTCCAGCCTGGGTAACTAAATTTAATATGGCTTTCAGTTTTTCTGAAATTAAAAACCACATACCAATCCTTGTTCAGAGAATTACTATATAAGGACACTTGAAATTACTATCCGTGTTTACAGATGAGTAAGTGCATGTGTGCATTTATTTTTCGTTTTTATTTTTTAGACACAAGATCCCACTCTGTTGCCGAGGCTGAAGTGCGTTGGCGTGATCATAGCTCACTGCAGCCTGACCTCCTGGGCTCAAGCAGTCCTCCTGCTTCAGCCTCCCGAGTAGCTGGGATTACAGGAATGTGCCACCACACTCGGCTAATTTTTTGTATTTTCAGTAGAGATGGGGATTTCTCCACATTGGTCAGGCTGGTCGTGAACTCTCGAACTCAGGTGATCCACCCGCCTCAGCCTCCCAAAGTGCTGGGATTACAGGCATGAGCCACCGCATCCAGCCAATTTTTTTTTTTTTTTTTTTGAGATGGAGTCTTGCTCTGTCGCCCAGGCTGGAGTGCAGTGGTGCGATCTCGGCTCACTGCCAGCTCCGCCTCCCGGGTTCACGCCATTCTCCTGCCTCAGCCTCCCGAGTAGCTGGGACTACAGGCGCCCGCCACCACGCCCAGCTAATTTTTTTGTATTTTTGGTAGAGATGGGGTTTCACCATGTTAGCCAGGATGGTCTTGATCTCCTGACCTCGTGATCCGCCTGCCTCAGCCCCCCAAAGTGCTGGGATTACAGGCATGAGCCACCGCACCTGGCCAATTTTTTGTGTGTATGTGACAAGGTCTTGCTTTATTGCCCAGGCTGGAGTGCAGTGGCGTAGTCTTGGCTCACTGCAACCTGTTTCCTGGGTTCAAGCAATTCTGCTGTCTCAGCCTCCCGAGTAGCCGGGATCACAGGTGTGTGCCACCACGCCCAGCCAATTTTTGTATTTTTAGTAGAGATGGGGTTTCGCCATGTTGGCCAGGCTGGTCTTGAATTCCTGAACTTAGGTGATTCACCCGCCTCAGCCTCCCAAAGTGCTGAGATTATAGGCATGAGCCACCATGCCCGGCCTAAATTTTTTTTTTTTTTTTGGAGGTGAAGTCTTGCTCTGTCACCCAGGCTGGAGTGCAGTGGCGCGATCTTGGCTCACGGCAAGCTCTGCCTCCCGGGTGCACGCCATTCTCCTGCCTCAGCCTCCCGAGCAGCTGGGACTACAAGCACCCACCACCACACCTGGTTAATTTTTTTTTTTTTTTTGTATTTTTAGTAGAGACGGGGTCTCACCGTGTTAGCCAGGATGGTCTCAATCTCCTGACCCCGTGACCCGCCCGTCTTGGCCTCCCAAAGTGCTGGGATTACAGGCATGAGCCACCACGCCCGGCCCGGCCTAAACTGTGTGTGTGTGTGGAAATGGGAGAATTGCTGTGTTGCCCAGGCTGGTCTTGAACTCCCGGCCTTAAACTATCCTCCTGCCTTGGCCTCCCAAAATGTTAGGATTATAAGCATGAGCCGCCATGCCCGGCCACATATATGCTTTTAAAAAGACAATGCTAATAATGCCAAATTTTTTTTTTTTTGAGGGATGGAGCAATTATTGATGTCTTTTGGTTTCTCTTTATTTTCTGAATTGTCTCTATTTTAAAATAAGGAACTTGTAGTATCTTCATAACCAGAAAACAATAAGTAATTAAAACTCAGAATAACCCCCTCAAAAGAAGGCAATGGTATTTACAGTGGGAAAAAAAAAAGTCAGCTGGGTGCAGTGACTCACACTTGTAATCTCAACACTTTGGGATGCTGAGACAAGAGAATCACTTGAACCCAGGAATTCAAGACCAGCCTGGGCAACACAGTGAGAACCCCATATCCACAGAAAAATTTAAAAATTAGCCGGATGTAGTGGCATGTGCCTGTAGTCCTAGCTGCTTGGGAGGCTGAGGTGGGAGGATCACTTGAGCCCAGGAGATCCAGGCTGCAGTGAGCTATGATCATGCTACTGCACTTCTGCCTGAGTAACAGAGCAAGACCCTTTCTCAAAACAAAACAAAACAAAACAAAACAAAACAAAACAAAAACTAATTGAACTCTATGTACTGTAAGCAGGTATATTTATTGTCTGTAAATTATGCCCCCATAAAGTTAATGTTTAGAAGCTAAAAATGCCTTTAGATGGCCTACATTCATTTCAAAATGTGTATTCTGGCACCTAAGTTATAATCTTTATGGAAGTCTAATTCATGTACACTGGCAGTAGGGGTTCCTGGTCAATTTGCAAGTGTTCTCTTCAAGACAAAGTAAGTTCTCTAATTTTGGTGCCACCAATTTAGGATCTGGAGGTCTGTAGCCTGCTTTATCAAAGACAACAATTGTAATTTGGCTGAATAAATGGTTTGCTAAGCAAAGAGTAGACATATGTATATGCTTGTATGTGCACATATTTCTGGGAAGAAACGGTAGACTGAACAGTGGTCACCTATGAGGAGTAAGAAGACTCGGGAGCATGGGGGGGACTTAATTTTCTTTTTTTCTTTTTTTGAGATGGAGTCTCCCTCTCTTGCCCAGGTGATCTGTCTCGTGATTCGCCTGCCTCGGCCTCCCAAAGTGCTGGGATGACAGGCGTGAGCCACTGAGCCCGGCCCGTGTTTTTTTTTTTTAAGACAGAATGTTGCCGGGTACAGTGGCTCAAGCCTGTAATTCCAGGATTTTGAGAGGCCCAGGCAGGCGGATCAACTGTGGTCGGGAGTTCGAGACCAGCCTGACCAACATGGAGAAATCCCGTCTCTACTAAAAATACAAAATTAGCTGGGTGTGGTGGCGCGTGCCTGTAATCTCAGCTACTCGGGAAGCTGAGGCAGGAGAATTGCTTGAACCCGGGAGGCGGAGGTTGAGGTGAGCTGAGATCGCGTCATTGCACTCCAGCCTGGGCAACAAGAGCGAAACTCCGTCTCAAAAAAAAAAAAAAAAAGACAGAATGTCTCACTCTGTCACTCAGGCTAGAGTGCAGTGGCATGATCTTGGCTCACTGCAACCTCCGCCCCCCGGGTTCAAGCGATTCTCACGCCTCAGTCTCCTGAATAGCTGGGATTACAGGCGCCCACCACCACACCCGGCTAATTTTTGTATTTTTTGTCAAGATGGGTTTTCGCCATGTTGCCCAGGCTCGTCTCGAACTCCTGGGATGAAGTGATCCTCCCACCTCAGGACTCCCAAAGTGCTGGGATTACAGGAGTGTGCCACCACACCCAGCTTTTTAAAAAAATCTTTTATACTGTATATATTTTATCTTTCACTGTACCTTTTGTTTAGATATGTCTAGATATATAAATACCATTGTGTTGCCATTGTCTACAGCATTCAGTATAGACACACACTGGATGTGTTTGTAGCCTAGGAGCAATAGGCTATAGAGCCTGCGTGTGTAGTAGGCTACGCTGTATGGGTTAGTGTGAGTTCTTTCTATATTTGTACAATGACAGAATCACCTGATGTTAAGTGTTGCATGACTGTAACAGTTCCCACCCTGTACCATGTCTCTTCTAGGCCAAAGCCCCCTCCCCAGAGCAGACCCCTAGCACTCCACAGCAGGATCACAAGCTGGTCTCTGGTCCCAGACCCTGCGGATCCTTGTCGACGCTTCCAGTCTCGATCACTTCCCGATGGTTTGAATGTGAAGTCAACAATCCACGGAACAATTTGCACTTACTGTTTCTAGGGCTTTTGCAGTTAAAAGTGTCTTCAGTTTCCCCGATCTTCCTGCAGATGCCCCTGCAGTCAGAAGCTGAGTCTGTCCCTTCTCCCAGCAGCAGCTGGGTACAGGATCTAACATCAGTCTCTGCCTGCTGGGCAGAAGCCACAGCTGCAACGTGCTTTCAGAAAAATGGGCCAGGCCAAAGGAGCTCCCCGTCAGTGCTTTTCAGTGTTCCCAGCACAAAGATAAAATTACACTTCCATAGGAGTACACAAACTAAAAATAAAATTTAAAGAAAGCGATCTAGTTCTGTATCATTTTCCCCATGGTCGGGTCCCATTCGGGTCACTGGACATGCACTGAAATCGCTTATGAACAGCTGCTTGGTTCTGCCTCGCCTGGAGTTTACGGCTGTCAGCATCCCCAGCCCTCTGTGATGGCCCCAGGAGAGCCAGGCAGACAAAGATACTTGTGGCGGTTTGGCTGAGGGCAAAGACAAAGTCGGCAGTTCTTTCCTCCAGGCATGAGCAGGGGGCTTCCTTAGGTTTTTCTTTCAGAAGCCCCTATCTAGCTTAGAGTAGGCATAGCACGTCAAGGGCAGGGCAAGGAAATGCTGTGCCGTTTCCTTAGGATCCAGGGGGCGGGAGAAAAAGTCAATTGACAAAGAATGCTTGTCACCATGTCATGTCAGCAGCTCTTTTTCTGGTGCTTCCCAATCCTGAGTCACTTCCTGTTTCTAAGTTCCTCCAAGATGTCATTAACTGTAGGAAGGAGAAATATCTAAGTAATGACACCAACTCTTGCTTACATACAAGGTGAGATGATTCTTTTCACATGGGCCTAGTCATAGTCATGATCCCGAAGTGCTAAATGCGTATTTTATTTATTTATTTTGAGATGGAGTCTCACTCTGTTACCCAGGCTGGAGTGCAGTGGTGCGATCTTGACTCACTGCAACCTCTGCCCTCCTGCCCCAGATTCAAACAATTCTCTTGCCTCAGCCTCCCGAGTAGCTGGGATTACAGGCGCCTTCCACTGCGCCCAGCTAATTTTTGTATTTTTAGTAGAGACGGGGTTTCACCATCTTGGCCAGGCTGGTCTTGGAACTCCTGACCTCGTGATCCACCCGACTCAGCCTCCTAAAGTGCTGGGATTACTGGCGCGAGCCACCCCTCCCGGCCACTAAATCCATTATTTCATGATGAAACAGGAAAAGTTCCCTTGTCCCCTTGCAGGGTGTGCAATGGGAGAGTGGCTCACTTCTTCAGTGCCCTGCTGCTCAAACCTCAAACTTCTAGGTGAGCATACAGATGGGCAGGCTGTGGGGCTCTGACCCCAAGACAGTGTCCAGGGGTGAATGTTTACAGCTGAAGCCCCAGTGGGCGTATGTTACAGTGTGTGCTTTTAGTTTTGCTCTTTTAGTTTAGCCGTCTATAGGCGGCTTGTGTTAGTTCAATTAGACCTCTGCCTCATTGCAAGGACAGAGGGCTTTCTGTATCCCGAGGTTCTTGCCTTAATGTACTGGAAGAATCGGATCGCACGTGGGCTTGGAGAATGAGTGCAAGGTTTTATTGAGTGGAAGTAGCTCTCAGCAGATGGGGGAGCCAGAAGGGAGATGCTTTTCCCCTGGAGTCCGGCCGCTTGGCGGCCCGGGCTCTCCTCTGACTGCCCAGGCCAAACTCCATGTCATTCTGCTTCTGCAGGTCGGTGGCCTGCCAGCGCACCGGTGCCTGTCAGTGTTCCTCCGGACATCCAGCCACCTGCATCTGCCTACTAGGGTCTAGGGAATGGGGGCGAAGCATTTGGGCAGGAAATGCCAGTCCTCACCTAGGTCCGTGGGGGTGGAGCCCTAGCCAGGAACCATGCCATCCTCTATGCAGCACTTCCCTTCCCCCCTTCCATATCATTTAAAGGGACCACCTCTTCCCTTCCCAGCACTCCCATATCAATGATATTTTGAAACATGCTTAACATCTAGTCAAGGATGGCACACTCTTCCATCAACCCTGCCCCAACCTCAAAATCACTGATAGATTATTTGGCTGAACCCAGAGGAGTCCCTGGATCCTCTATGTAGGTCTCCCCTCCAGGGAGCCAGCAGTCATTCTGAGCTGACTGATGAGATGAAACTCATGTGCTATGCCAGGTCTAAACCTTCTTGAACAGAGGAGGTAATTCAAAACAATTCTCTTTCCCCTTTTATTTTGGCTACTTCAAACAATTTTTTAAAAATGAGTGGTTTTCAAACTATAATGTACATAAGAATCACCAGGTAATTTGGGGGTAATGCAACTATTATGCATCTTTCTAGTGTGGTTACTTAACTGTATGCATTTCTAACTATGCAACAGTTTTACTCCATGTAAATTATATCTTAATAAAAGATTTAAAAAAATGAATCCCCCAGAGAACTTGTTAGTTCTGATTATGTAGGTCTGCAATGGATCTAAAATACACACACACACACACACATACACACACACACACGTATATATATAGAGAGACAGACAGACAGGGTCTCGCTCTTGCTCTGTCATCCAGGGTGGCGTGCAGTGGCGCAACCACGGCTCACTGTAGCCTCCACCTTGGCGGTCAACCGATCTTCCTGCCTCAGCCTCCCAAGGAGCTCGGACTACAGGTGAGTACTACCATGCCTAGCTAATTTTTTGCTTATTTTTTGTAGAGACAGGGTCTCACTATGTTGCCCAGACTAGGAATCTATATATCGCTATCTCTCTCTGTTATATATATTTTTTAATTATTATTTTTTTTGAGACAGAGCCTAGCTCTGTTGCCCAGGCTGGAGTGCAGTGGCACAATCTTGGCTCACTGCAAGCTTCGCCTCCCGGGTTCACGCCATTCTCCTGCCTCAGCCTCCTGAGTAGCTGGGACTACAGGTGCCCGCCACCATGGCCGGCTAATTTTTTTGTATTTTTAGTAGAGATGGGGTTTCACCATGTTAGCCAGAATGGACTCAATCTCCTGACTTCGTGATCCGCCCGCCTTGGCCTAGGAATCTGTATGTTAATAGCATTCCTGTTACTTCTAACAAGTAGTCCAATGGTCCAATGGTTACATTTTGAAAAAGTATTATAATAGACAGATGCAAGGTCCACCCAGCAAAGATGCCCCTAAACCCTTGTGAGCACCCGCTAACAGCTGCTTCTGGACCCTCCTCTTGCAAGAACAAAGGATACTGGATTGTACAGACCTGGATTCTGTTCCCAAATTTGCCTCTGCTTCCATATTCTTCATGCCGTTGTGCAACCTGCTTCCAATGGGAGATATCTAAAGGAAACAAACCCTAAAAGTATCATATAAGCCCTTAAAACCTTAAAAACAGTTTTCAAACTCTGTGTAGCAAAGAAAACAGATTTGATGCCACAGGTATTAGTCTCCGTTCTGATGGCAAATCTGCCAAAGAATCTACTTTCAAAACTAACAGATCCAGAGTGATTTAACTGCTCCAATAGCGTTCAAATAGCTCACAAATTCATTACCAAATATGGTTGGCTGACCAGTTTACAATCTGTGCTGCTGAGGGTGAGCTGTTCGTGACCTACCAGTCGGCTATCCCGTGTCTGAGGGAACAAGAGGGCATTGCTGCTCCCTTCTCAGGAGGTGGATTAGGCTTTTCAACGACACTGCTGACTCTGCTGCCGCAAAGGGTCCCTTGCAGAAGGCACTCCAGGAAAGGCCTCCAGAACCGAGGGAAGTCAAGGGTGCATTCCCAGCTTTTGAGCTTAGACCCCAGCCTCCCCCGCCAGGCTACCTATATTCCCCAGATTGCGACGCCACGAATATGCTGACCTATTTAGCCACAGTAGTCCCAGAAGAGCTTCAAATCAGCTATGAAAAAAGGCATCTTTTAAGCCCAAACCTTTAGTTGGAAATTTCTCTGCTCAAGTATTCCCACCAAGATCAACTTACAGGTGAAATGTATGAGGAAGAGATTTTCGTATTAGCTTTTCTGTGTATATCACTAAGCTCTTGGGTATTATCTTATATAAATAGGGTAAAATCCTCAATATGACATTACCTGGCAGCTGATTTTCAGTTGGTTTCGAATTCTGAGAAAGGAAACACAAACCACAAATGAATCTTCAAAACTGTATTTGGAATTGACAAAATCTTCCTAGAGACAAGGCCCTGAGCACACAGAGTCCGTCTCCACCATGAAAATATTACATAAGCTGTACAGAACAAAATTAGCAATGAGTGATCTTTGGCACTAGAACAGGTGATTCCTTAGCTGTTCATGCAATATCCAAACTGCACACCACATGACATTAGATTGCTGGTTAACCATTTAATTTTACATTTAAATTATCTTAAAAGGCTGGAAGTCCTAGCTAAGTTTTCAATATCAATATGCTACCCATGTCATAACACTTAGTGCCTGAGGTAGAGATTTCTGTAAGAGATTTTTTTAAAACACAATTGAGAGTATAATACAGAAAAACATTTAAATCTTGGAAGCATATAGCCTGGTTCAACAAGCCAACTCTGAAATGCAGAACTAGTACCTTTTTTATTTGAGTCTCACTCCATCACCCAAGCTGGAGTGCAGTGGTGCAATCTCAGCTCACTGCAACCTCCGCCTCCTGGGTTCAAGAGATTGTCATCTCATGCCTCAGCCTCCCAAGTAGCTGTAAGTACAGGCACGTGCCACCATACCTAATTTTTATATTTTTAGTAGAGACAGTTTTGCCATGTTGGCCAGGCTGGTCTCGAACTCCTGACCTCATGTGATCCACCTGCCTTGGCCTCCCAAAGTGTTGGGATTACAGGCATAAGCCACCACACCCAGCCAGAACTATTACTTCTTTTATCTCTGTAGAAACTGCACTGGATAACTTTTTTCCTCTTTTTTGGCGACAGTCTTACTCTGTCACCCAGGCTGGAGTGCAGTGGCGCGATCTCGGCTCACAGCAACCTCTGCCTTCCAGGTTCAAGGAAATCTCATGCCTCAACATCCCGAGTAGCTGGGATTACAGGTGTGCACCACCATGCCCGGCTAATTTTTGTATTTTTAGTAGAGAGGGGGTTTTACCATGTTGGCCAGGCTTGTTTCAAACTCCTGACCTCTAGTGATCCACCCACCTCAGCCTCCCAAAGTGCTGGGATTACAGGTGTTAGCCACCATGCACAGCCGAGAACTTTCTTTTATTTGGACTCCTGATTTTAGAATACCATGGTTTCTTTTAAAAAAAAAAAAAAGTACGATTATTAACACTGATTAATAACACATGAACCAAACCCACTTAATATCATTATTAAAAACAGGCTGGGCACAGTGGCTTATGCCTGTAATCCCAGCACCTTCGGAGGCTGTGATGGGAGGATTGCTTGGGCCCAGGAGTTTGAGACCAGTCTAGGCAACATAGTGAGAGCTCTGTCTCTACAAAAAATACAAAAATTAGCCAGGTGTGGTGGTGAGCACTTGCAGACCAGCTACTTGGGAGGCTGAAGTGGGAGGACTGCTTGAGCCAAGGAGGTCCAGGCTGTAGTGAGTTGAGATTGTGCCATTGCACTCTAGCCTGGGCTCAAAACAAACCCCAAAAAACAAAACCAAACATCAATAGAACTACATAGGGACAACAGCAAATACAAATCTTTAAACACTTCATGATGTGGCCGGAATGAGTACAAGTATGCAATTCAATGATTCCAACATTTGATGGTGACTGTGAATTATTACATATTTATTACACATAAATGAGTTTAAATTTTATTTCCAAACTGCATGCAGGGACTTTATTATTACTATGAATTTTTTTTTGAGAGTTTCACTCGTTGCCCAGGCTGAAGTGCAATGGCGCAATCTCGGCTCACTGCAACCTCTACCTCCTGGGATCAAGTGATTCTCATCTCAGCCTCCTGAGTAGCTGGGATTACAGGTACCCACCACCACGCCCGGCTAATTTTTGGTATTTTTAGTAGAGACGGGGTTTCACCATGTTGGCCAGGCTGGTCTCAAACTCCTGACCTTGTGATTCGCCCACCTTGGCCTCCCAAAGTGCTGGGATTACAGGCGTGAGCCACCATGCCTGGCCAAAACCTTTGATTTTTAAAAAGGCGTTTCTTGAAGTACCTTATTAAACATTTGATTTGAAGGAAACTGTGCATGTCTAACATACTTGCCTTTTACAGAAAGCTGGCTAGCCAAAAATGTATCATCAACTATCGATTTTATTTTCAGAAGTGGACTGTCTCTTAAATGAGACAGCATAAAGTATGGACTTGTAGAAGCTGAACGAGTAAATCATGAGTGTAACTGATAACATGTAAGTCCATTCTTCGTATAAACTGCTAGAGAGTGTTTCAGACCATCACTGATGTCTGTGATAAAGAGCACCAAAGCATCACAGTCCAACTTTTTTTTTAAGCGCCAAGTTCAAACAAGTGACCAATAATAATGGTTGGTCCTTGAAGGTCTTTTACCAGAGGCCTTTTCTAATCACTTCGTAACACTTCTGAGATGTACATGGCTCCTGAAACTTGAAAACAAAGCCACAAAATGAACATTAACATTTCTTTAGGGGAAAATGCTATCTAATTTTCCCCTCGTTTGAATTAACCAAAAAAAAAAAAAAAGCCTATTTCTTTTACAAATCTTCTGAATAACGGGTTTTAAGAGCAGGCCAGGCGCGGTGGCTCACGCCTGTAATCACAGCACTTTGGGAAGCTGAGGTGGGCGGATCACGAGGTGAGGAGTTCGAGACCAGCCTGCCAGCCTGGCCAACATGATGAAGCCCTGTCTATATTAAAAATACAAAAAAAATCAGCCTGGTATGGTGGTGGTGCCTGTAATCCCAGCTACTCGGGAGGCTGAGGCAGGAGAATCGCTTGAACCCAGGAGGCGGAGGTTGCAGTGAGCCGAAATCACACCACTGCACTCCAGCCTGAGCGACAAGAGCAAGACTCTGTCTTAAGAAAAAAAAGAGCAAAGGACACACCACATCTGCATAAATCCAAGTGTGTTAAGGAACATAATCATGTTGATTGTATCCTGATTCTAGCAGGTGAAGGACTAAGCACTCAACTTGTATTTGGAGGAGAAGCAAGTGTCATGATGGAGCATGTCTTATATGGCAATTCAAAACAGTATGATTCTGATGCGAGTGAGAACTAAATGTTGGACAGGCTTTTTATACAAATCCCACCTGCATGATCCAGAACAATATTCTTACAGATTCAATGCAGACTCCACCAATGGGTTAGCTAGACATCAACAGGCTCACTTTCTTTTTTTCTTTTTTTTTTTTTGAGACAAGAGTTTCACTCTGTCTTGCAGGCTGGAGTGCAATGGTATGATCTCAGCTCACTGCAACCTCTGCCTCCTGGGTTCAAGCAATTCTCCTGCCTCAACCTCCCAAGTAGCTGGGATTGCAGGCGTCCACCCAGCACTCCTGGCTAATTTCTGTATTTTTAGTAGAGATGGAGTTTCACCATGTTGACCAGTCTGGTCTTGAACTCCTGACCTCAGGTAATCCACCCGCCTGGGCCTCCTAAAGTGCTGGGATTACAGGTGTGAGCCACCGCGCCTGGCCCATTTTCTTAATGTAAGTCCACAATATGTCATTAGGGGAGAATGACTTTGGCAAACTCATATGCTTCAAAGGCAGAAAGACATGTACTAAGAAGGCAGTTAGAGCTGGAAAATTCTTGACATAATTACAACTTTAGCAAGAGAATAAAAATAGATTTTAAAAGTGTGTGCATGTGGGGAGGTGACAGAATATCTTTATATGTACTTTAAGAAGCTGACGCGTTATCCAGACACAAAAGATAACATTCTCATCAAAACAGGCCAAGATGAAACACCAGGGGCACTCTTCACAGAAATTAAGTGGATGCTTCTGGCGCCAAATGTCTTTGCCTGGTTCTTCCTGGCATTTCTGCTTGACTCCTTCCCCCTGTATCATTCTCAAATCCCCAGCCTTTCCACTGGGCAAAGCCACTCTCTTCTCCCTCAGGCTCTGAAGAGATAACACAAATGTATGGACACTTTTTGTCCTTCAATTAAAAAACCTGCTGGAAGCTCCAGTGATGTTAAGAATTAACTGGTAGTTCTTTATCTTAGCTAGGCTTATGTATTCCAAATTTTGCCTGTTTTCTTGGAATTATATGAATTTCCTTATTAAACATTTGATTTGAAGGAAACTGTGCATGTCTATTAATTACCCATGAGGTACATGTGTATTTCTGAAATTTCTCCTTCAGTCTCACCTGAGTTTAATTTTTGCCTAAGATGTTTAGAGTTCCTGAGGTGCTTCTCTAGGCTAAAATTTAAAGATTTTTTTTTAAAAAAGCAAATAAAAGTAAATGAATGGCTAAAAGATAAGGTTAAATTTTCTAGGCTGGGCATGGTGGCTCACACCTATAATACTAACACTTTGAGAGGCTGAGGCGGGAGGATCACTTGAACCCAAAAGTTCGAGACCAGCCTGGGTAACATAGTGAGACCTCATCTCTACAAAAAAAATTTTTAAAACAGAATTAGCCGAGTATGGTGGCACATGCCTGTAGTCCCAGCTAATCAAGAGGCTGAGGTGGAATGATTGCTTGAGCCTGGGAGGCAGAGGCTGCAGTGAGCTGAGATCATGCTGCTGCACTCCAGCCTGGGTGAAAGAGGGAGACCCTGTCTCAAAAAAAAATTTCCTTAAGTTTCTTTTTTTTGGTGGGGGTAGGAATGCAGTAGAGAAACAAAAACACTGCACAAAGGGTGCAGTGTTCTACTATTCATCTAAATAATGGAGAACTGGCATTTTACAATTAAGATATAAAAAATATTCATACTTTCAGAATTTCCAAGTCAGAGGTGGCTTACAACAGCTTTCATTAGAAAAGGGTGAGACGCCCAAATAAAATGCTCCCTGGTGGAACAAAGTCCCCTTTAAACCTTTACCAAGCTCTTTCTCAGAAGCTCACAAAACTTAAGACAATGTGAACATGATGAGAAAGCAAAGCTCTCCAACATAAGGCTGAAAATGACAATAAAAGACTGCAATAAAAGACTAGTGGGATGAACATGAATGCTTGTCAGTGACAAACACATTATGCCTACAAAGAATAAATACTGCACTTCTCTTTAGGTCTATTTACAGACAGGACCCCATGACCTTTCAGGCATAAACCTCCACTGGCAGAAGTAAGAATTTAATCACAAAACTTCTATGGTAAATTATAAAAAATAAGAAATTTGGATTTAGGCCTTCTGCCATTTCCAATACAAGTAGCTTTGAGTATTCTTGGTTGACAAGGGAATGTTTGCATTTCTAATGTTAACAAAGAAAATATCCACCACTGGCTTCTTAACCAGACGGAAGCGGGCAGGTTTCTGGATAGAGGCTTAAGGCAAATCAAACAGGTTCACAACTAAGCAGCCTATTAGGGATTCCAGGCATGGCTTTGCTTTCTGAGGGACAGCTCCATATCATCTCTAGCCAGGTTTTCCACATTGCTACCAAACTGGGGACACGTTTCTGTATCAGGCTTTTGAAAGAACTTTAAGTTATATACATATACCATCAAAGCATATACTGGTGATGCTTGATATTTAAAGGAATCCTACAGTGAATCATTTATTTCCTTTGAAAATAAGGTTTTCAAAAATTGGCTACAACTCTGATCGCATGAATGAGATTCAAAGATTTCTCACATAAAAGAAAGATCTCAACCTCCTTCTACTGTGAACTTGCTTTCCAAGACTAAAAACTGGTATCTCCTCTTCAGTCTCCTTACACATCTGAAATCGTTCCTGCAATATGAGAGGCACTTTTATTAGGTGTAGCATCTATTAAAAACTCTAAAGCCAGGGTAGAATTTGCTGAACAAAGTAATAGCACTAGCCTAATAGGCATTATTTATAAGGACTTTTTCCCCTTTAATATAAAAGTATAACTACAGCAGTTCAATGTACAAATACAAAAAAAGTTCTCATACTAAAAAAAAAAAAGTACCATAATACTGTACATACAAAAACTGTTCAACAAGAATGATTTAAATATGTCTGTTCTTCTCCAGATCTGGAAGACACAAATGTAAAGTTCTGCAACTGTATTATTGCTAAGAACATGTGCCTGGGAACACTGTGTTTCCCTTTCTCTCCCTCAGCCCAGCCCCGCCTCCAGAGTCCCCTGAGCTTGGATCATGAGCCAACAGCATCCCTGAAGATAACCAGAGCCAAATGTTTACTCAATGGAAGTCATTATTCAGTGAGCTGCTGCTTACCATAAACTATGAAAAGCACAGGTTTTAAGCCCGCCAGGATTAAATCCAGACGGAGGTCTTCCCATCCCCTGATTTGCTACTGGCAGTGCTTTTGTTGGACCCAGCTTTGGACCCCACTTTGGCCTTCTTCTCCCGGGGACCATGAGGGTTGTTTTGGTGACTGTAGGCCTGAACTGCCAGATCCAAGCGTTCCTGAGCCATCCTGATCTCCCGCTGCAGAGCCTCCAGGTCAGCTGGGAGGTTCTCCTCATGGCTGCCATACTGCTGTTCCTGGGCTGTGTTGGCCTTGTTTTGCTTGTAGGCGATCTTAGCATTGGACAGTTCGGTGTACTGGATTTGATCTGGTTTGACAGCAATGTTATAGCCAGGGGGAGCAGATGGTGTATTCCAAGTGAAAGGATAATTATAAGCACCCGGATCCTCAAGTTCCCTCCTTTTACTGTTTAGTGAGTCTCGAATGGTCCCAAACCCTAAATGAAGCATCTCCCAAATGTTAAGCAAGAGGCAAAGGCCTGTAACACCATACATTATCAGAAGGAAGATGGTCTTTTCAGTGGGTCTAGAAATAAAGCAGTCTATCTTATGAGGACAAGGAAGTCTGCTGCACACATAAAACGGGTGGACTTGGAAGCCATACAGAAAATACTGCCCTATCAGAAAACCCACCTCAAACACGGTCCTTGCCAGCAACTGCAGCACATAGATTTTCATGAGCCCATCTTCCCGAATCCGTCGTCGGCCATCATGCTTAGGTTTGGGTTGGCTCTGCTCTTTATTTTCCTTATCACTTTCTAACTCCATCTCTGGATACATCATAGGATCCTCTTCGTTGTCCTCCTCCGTTTCTTCCAGAGCCCGGTGTTGTTTCCAGCGCATTGCATAGGGCTTGCTCCGAGCTGCCTTCTTGTCTGCTTCACCGTGCTCCATTTTGGCAATCTTGTGGATAGCATAGCCCAGGTACATCACAGAGGGAGTTGCCACCAGGATGATCTGGAACACCCAGAAGCGTACATGGGAGAGAGGTGCAAACGCATCATAACAGACATTCTCACAGCCCGGCTGTTCTGTGTTGCACACAAATTTGCTTTGCTCATCGTAATAGATGGATTCTCCTCCTACAGCTGTAAGGACGATCCGGAAGACAATCAGAACAGTGAGCCAGATCTTCCCCACAAATGTGGAATGGTTGTGAATCTCCTCTAGCAGGCGAGTCAGGAAGCTCCAACTCATGGTGATTGAATTGGTATGCCCTGATAAAAGTGGAAAAATACCAAAATAAAATCAACAAATATTAAATCTTAATTTAATTACTAATTATGATATCTCTAGGAACTACTGCTTTGAATACTTGAAATCTAACCTCAAGGTTCACAGTGGAACAAATGTTAGAATAAACAGCATCTCAGTTGGGTAGGGTGGCTCACGCCTGTAATCCCAGCACTTTGGGAGGCCAAGGCGGGCAGATTAGTTGAGGTCAGGAGTTAAAGACCAGCCTGGTCAACATGGTGAAACTCCGTCTCTACAAAAATACAAAAATTACCCGGGCACGGTGGTGTGCACCTGTAATCCCAGCAGCTCAGGAGGCTGAGACAGGAGAATTGCTTGAACAGAGCAAGACTCCATCTCAAAAAAAAAGAATAAACAGCATCTCACTCTCTACTATCTTCAAGAAGGTCAATTCACCTCAGTCAACACCTGTTGGCCCCACAAGGTCCCAGAAAGTATGGATTGCTTTCATATCTCCTCTGGTTTAAAAGGTAAACTTGTAGCTACTATTTACTGAGATATTTCTCAGACCTTGGTTCTTCTGTTTGTTTTTTTTTTTTTTTTTTGAGACAGTTTCCCTCTTTCGCTCAGGCTGCAGTGCAGTGGCGTGATCTTGGCTCACTGCAACCTCCGCCTCCCAGGTTCAAGTGATTCTTGTGCCTCAGCCTCCCGAGTATCTGGGATTACAGTCATGCACCATCATTTTTGTATTTTTAGTAGAGATGGGGTTTCACCATGTTGGCCAGGCTGGTCTCGAACTCCTGACCTCAGGTGATCCGCCTGCCTTGGCCTCTCAAAGTGCTGGGATTACAGGCGTGAACCACCATGCCTGGCCAGACCTAGGTTCTTTACACATACTATTATTTCATGAGACCTTCAGAATTTTGTGAGATAGAAATTTAAAAAACACACAGGTATAGTTATTCGGTCCAATCACAGAAAAACCACCACTGAGAACATAAAGGGGACACCTCGGTTGGACTCCACTGTGAAGGGGTGATTTATTAGGAAACTTAAATTTTAGACAAGTGCTAAAAGGGATTAAGAAGATGGTACAGCTACAAACTGCTGGCAATCATTAAGAACTAAAACAAAAGACAGAAGGGAACTAGGAAGATCTTCCCTAGCTAGGCTGCATCGCATACCAGATTTTGGTTTTACTTAGAAGCCCAGTAAATGGTCTTGCAATAAATATTGTACCCCTTTACTATATAACAGAATCTACAAATTATACTTCTGTACCTTATTTATGGTAGACATTAAAAAATGATTGCTAAACTGAACTGTGAGGACATTAAATCCAATCAACAGCAAATCCATTTAAAACAGCATTTTAAAGGACAGATTCTTTCTGAGATTCCCAGATCTACATCCAGGATCCAGGTAAAAACCACCTAAATGAGGTAATATATGGGAAATCCCCAATAAAGCCCCGACACAAAGTAGACTTAATTTTTAACTTGTCCTCCTCCCTCTCCCAGTTTACTTCTGCAGATTACAGATGATTTGTCAGCACCACCAAAGTTTAAACACACTTTACCTGTTGTCCAGAACTTCGGTTACCCAAAATTTTCTTAGAGAAATGATGTTTTGATTGCAATTTTTCCAGATTCCCTCTGGAAGGGAAAAAGAAAAGAGCAGGTCATAAGCTTTCTCCCACAGAAAACAATGAATCACTAAAATGCCATTTTCAGAAAGAAACAAAGTTTTCTATGTATCATAAAAATCAATGAGAATAAGATAGAAACAGGCTTGAGTTTGAATACCAGTCTTCTCCTCCCCATACAGGTGGCAGGAGAAACCATGTAACAGGTGACCCAAAGATTCTTAAGTCACCACAGTCTAAGAATATACGACAGGAAGATGCGTCAGTAGTAAAAATATGAAGCAGATGAACTCTGGCACCTATAGGAAAAAGCCAAAGCAGAAGAATTGCAGCAAATTGAAAGCAGGTCACTAAAGGCCTTGCAAAAACCTTCACCCCATCTGCTCTATTCCCTGAAGCAGCCGATACACCTCTCAGGGGGATTTGAGCAGCTAACTAGGAGCAAGCTGTTTAGCTAAAACACCCAACAGCTGGCTCTCAGTCACAGGAACACCCGTCTCCATGGGAGGTGATTTACAGATACAACTACTCACAAAAAGTCACAGAAAGAAAACACCTGCATCTGTACTGGATTAAACAGCAAAACAGAAAAGTTTCCAAGATGAATTATTGCTCATTATTAAGCTCTGGCAACTCTGCATAGCTCTGGCCAAATGTCATCCATAAGGCGCCCACATTTAGCAAATAAATTTAAAACAATTCCTGAATGTTATGTGTTTATAGTAACTTAATTAAAAGGGTGCTTTGTGTTGTTGTTTAAAGATACAGGAAAAAAAAAACTGGAACAATTTCCAAAGGAACAATGGAAAAAAAAAAAGTGAAGGCATGAAGCCGCATAAAGATTTGCACATAAGCCTGGGCAATATAGTGAGACCCTATCTTTCCAAATTTTAAAAAAATTAGCCAGGTGTGGTGGCAGTGGTGGCCACTGCAGTCCAACCTGGTAGATAGAACAACACCCTGTCTCTTACACACACACACACACACACACACACACACACACGGCCCAGCACAGTGGCTCTGGCTCACGCCTGTAATCCCAGCACTTCGGGAGGCCAAGGTGGGGGGATCACATGAGTTCAGGAGTTTGAGACCAGCCTGGGCAACATGTGAAACCTAGTCTTCACCAAACAACAACAACAACACACACCCCCAAAATTAGCATGGTGACGCACACCTGTGGTCCCAGCTACTTGGGAGGCTCAGGTGAAAGAATCACTTGAGCCCGGGAGGTAGAGGTTGCAGTGAGTTGTGATCGTGCCACTGCACTCCAGCCTAGGTGACAGCGAAACCTCAAAAAATAAAGAAGCAAAAAGATTTACATATGAAGAATCCCGGCCAAGCACGGTGGCTCATGCCTGTAATTCCAGCACTTTGGGAAGCCGAGGTGGGTGGATCACCAGCAGTCGGGAGTTTGAGACCAGCCAGACCAACATGGACTGACCAACTAACTAAAAATACAAAATTAGCCAGGTGTGGTGGTGCATGCCTGTAATCCCAGCTATTTGGGAGGCTGAGGCAGGAGAATTGCTTGAACCTGGGAGGGGGAGGTGGAGGTTGCGGTGAGCTGAGATTGTGCCATTGCACTCTAGCCTGGGCAACAAGAGCAAAACTCCATCTCAAAACAAAACAAAACAAACAAACAAAAGAATCCAGCTGGGCATGGTGGCTCACACCTGTAATCTCAGCACTTTGGAAGGCTGAAGGAGGAGGATCACTTGAACTTGGGAGCTTGAGACTGCAATGAGCTATGATCATACCACTGCACTCCTGCCTGGGCGAGAGAGGGAGACTCTAACACAATAAAATTTCCAGTACAGCTCCCATTTCTAGCCCTGTTTTCCAACTGAGCTCACCACCTCTTTTCTCATTGAATATACAAGTTATAAAACCTCAAAACAAGAAGTAAATAATATAAAATCTTTAAATGGTGATGTAAGCCAGGTTTCCAACATAGAACTCCATGATTCTCATCCACAAATTCTCTGCAGGCTCAGATTTTCCCCAAAGCCTGAAATTTCTATTTGTTCCAATAAGCCAAAATTATGAAAATACAATTAGTTAGAACTAACTCATCTGTTATATCTCCATCCACAAAGATAAATGTGTATCTTTTTTTTTTTTTTTTGAGACGGAGTTTCACTCTTGTTGTCCAGGCTGGAGTGCAATGGCGCGATCTTGGCTCGCCACAACCTCCACCTCCCAGGTTCAAGCAATTCTCCTGCCTCAGCCTCCCGAGTAGCTGGGATTACAGGTATGCACCACCACGCCTGGGTAATTTTGTATTTTTAGTAGAGACGGGGTTTCTCCATGTTGAGGCTGGTCTTGAACTCCTGACCTCAGGTGATCCGCCTGCCTCGGCCTCCCGAAGTGCTGGGATTACAGGCGTGAGCCACCACGCCCAGCCTTTTTTTTTTTCCAGACAGTCTCGCTTTTTTGGCCAAGCTGGAGTGCAGTGGCATGATCTCGGCTCACTGCAAGCTCCGCCTCCCAGGTTCACACCATTCTCCTGCCTCAGCCTCCCGAGCAGCTGGGACAACAGGCACCTGCCACCACGCTTGGCTATTTTTTTTTTGTATTTTTTTGTAGAGACTGGGTTTCACCATGTTAGCCAAGATGGTCTCGATCTCCTGACCTCGTGATCCACCCGCCTCGGCCTCCCAAAATCCTGGGATTACAAGCGTGAGCCACCACGCCCAGCTAATTTTGTATTTTTAGTAGAGACGAGGTTATCACCATGTTGGCCAGGCTGGTCTTGAACTCCTGACCTCAGGTAATCCGCCTGCCTCAGCCTCCCAAAGTGCTGGGATTACAGGCATGAGCCATCGCGCCCGGCCAAATGTGTATCTTTTAAGTAATTATTGTTATGAAAGAATTTCTCAACAGTTGAGCTTTTCAATAAAATTTTCTTGGGGGGAAGAATTGGTGATAAATCCTTCAGAGCTTATGTAAGTTCTAAAGCAGCCATTTTAACACATCCATTAGTAAGTATTGTGTACTGATTAAGCTGCAGACGTGGAAAATGCTGAACCCTTACAGTCTGGTTTTCCATAGACAATCCTAAGAGCCACAGAGTATGGGTACTCTATACCCACACTCTGAAGTCTTCGGAATGAGTATCGCTACGGTCTATGCTCTTGACCACAAAATGTTGAGAAGATCCACAACAACCAGGGGTTTTCTCCACAAAACTCGCTGGAGATCTGCAGACGGACTCCCCTCCATACCCCAGGTCTTCAGCTCTGATCAGTGCATGTGTGGGGAGGAGCGGGGATCTGGATACCTGATCCTCTCTATACTGGATGGACATCAATTAATTCATTTTTTTTTTTTAAACAGGGTCTCGCTCTGTTGCCCACACTGGAGTGCAGTGGTGCAGACCTAAGTCACTGCAGCCTCAACCTCTTGTGTCAAGCAATCTTCCCACCTTAGCCCCCTGCAGTAGCTGGGACTACAGGTGAAGGAACACTACCATGCCTGGCTAATTTCTGTATAGATGAGGTTTCGTCATATTGCCCAGGCTGGTCTTGTACCCCAGAGCTCAAGTGATCTGCCCACCTCAGCCTCCCAAAGTGTTGGGATTACAGGTGTGAGCCACCACACGCAGCCAATATAATTTCTTTCTTTTTTTTTTTGAGATGGAGTTTCGCTTTTGTTGCCCAAGCTGGAGGGAGTGCAATGGCACGATCTCAGCTCACTGCAACCTCCGCCTCCTGGGTTCAAGCGATTCTCCTGCCTCAGCCCCCCAAGTAGCTGGGATTACAGACATGTGCCACCACACCCAGCTAATTTTGTATTTTTAGTAGAGACAGGGTTTCACCATGTTGGTCAGGCTGGTCTCCAACTCCTGACCCTCAGGTGATCCACCCACCTCGGCCTCCCAAAGTGCTGGGATTACAGGCGTGAGCCACTGCACCTGGCCTTTTTTCTTTTTTTTTTTTTTTTTTGAGACAAAGTCTCTCTTTGTTATCCAGGCTGGAGTGCAGCGGCACCTGGGCTCACTGTAGCCTCAGCCTCCCCAGGTTCAGGTGATCCTCTCACCTCAGCCTCCCAAATACCTGAGACTACAGTTGCACGCCACCATGCCTGGCTAATTTTTGTATTTTTTGCAGAGAAGAGGTTTTGCCATGTTGCCCAGGCTGGTCCTGAACTCCTGGGCTCAAGTGATCTGCCTGCCTCGGCCTTCCAAAGTACTAGGATTACAAGCATGAGCCACTATGCCTGGCCTCTTTCTCTTAATATAATTCTGTGGGAAAAAAAATAGGCCGGCGCGGTGGCTCACGCCTGTAATCCCAGCACTTTGGGAGGCTGAGACAAGTGGATCACCTGAGGTCGGGAGTTCGAGACTGGCCTAGCTAACATGGTGAAACCCCGTCTCTACTAAAAATACAAAATTAGCCGGGCATGGTGGCACGTGCCCATAATCCCAGCTACTTGGGAGGCTGAGGCAGGAGAATGGCTTAAATCTGGGAGGCAGAGGTTGCAGTGAGCCGAGATCGTCCCATTGCACTCCGGCCTGGGCAAGAACAAAACTCTAAAAAAAAAAAACAAAAAACAAAAAACAAAAAAACCCAGCTGGGAGCAGTGGCTCATGCCTGTAATGCCAGCACTTTGGGAGCCCAAGGCGGATGGATCACGAGGTCAGGAGATTGAGACCATCCTGGCCAACATGATGAAACCCGCCCCTACTAAAAACACAAAAAAATTAGCCGGGTGTGGTGGTACACGCTTGTAGTCCCAGCTACTCAGGACTACAAGCTGAGGCTGAGGCAGGAGAATGGCTTGAACCAGGGAGGCAGAGGCTGCAGTGAGTCGAGATTGCGCCACTGTACTCCAGCCTGGCAACAGAGCAAGACTCTGTCTCAAAAATCAAATCAAAACAAAACAAAACAAAAAACCCATAACATTAAAACCCATTTATGCCTATTGTTCCATTACTGGAACGCTACGCATGTGGGAGTTATTTATATCCTACTGTTCAAGATCATTGCCAAGGTCTGATTTTTTCAAATTCAAAAAATTGCAATCTCAGGCATAAATGGGTTAAAACAAACAAACACACACAAAAAAACCCATAATCACAGCTACTTACAAATGTTTTGGTTTTCCTTATGTCCTTCTAGTCTTTATCTAAATGAATACTCTTTCCAAATAACACTAATTTACTAAGGGATCTAGTAGTAAAAATGAACTTTTTTTTTTTTAATTGAGACAGAGTCTCACTGTCGCCCAGGCTGGAGTGCAGTGGCACAATCTCGGCTCTCTGCAACCTCCACCTCCCGGGTTCAAGCGATTCTCCTGCCTCAGCCTCCCGAATAGCTGGGACTACAGGCCCGTGCCACCATGCCCGGCTAATTTTTTGTATTTTTAGTAGAGACAGGGTTTCACCACATTAACCGGGATGGTCTCCATCTCCTGACCTCATGTTCTGCCCACCTCGGCCTCCCAAAGTGCTGGGATTACAGACGTGAGCCACCACGCCCGGCCAAACTTCTCTTATACTTGTTTACTATTTGCATTTCTTTTTGTGTAAATGTGTTTATCAACTTAACTCCAACATCTCACAAAATGGGTGACGAGCAACTAACCTTCCTTCCTTCTCCTTTCCTCCCTTTCTCTTTTTTTTCTTTGAGACAAGAGTCTCTGTCACCCAGGCTGGAGCACAGTACCGCAATCTCAGCTGACTGTAGCCTCCGTCTCCTGGGTCCAAGCAATTCTCCTGCCTTAGCCTCCCGAGTAGCTGGACTACAGGCGCACACCACCACGTCCAACTAATTTTTAGTAGAGATGGGGTTTCGCCCCGTTGGCCAGTCTGGTCTCGAACTCCTGACCTCAGGAGATTCACCCTTCGGCTTCCCAAATGCTGGGATTACAGGTGTGAGCCACCGCACCCAGCTGCAATCTTCTTTCTAAAATAAAGAACCATGAGTTTCCTAAAATGAATGGCAGTATCACCAATGTTTTTACCTATTGAGTCAGTAAGTTTTTCTTGGATACTCTTCCCTTTCCTCTCCTTCCAAGTTACTTTTTTTTTTTTTTTTTTTTTTTTTGAGACAAGAGTCTCTCTCTGTCGCCCAGGCTGGAGTGCAGTACCACGATCTCAACTTACTGCAGCCTCCATCTCCCGGGTTCAAGCAATTCTCCTGCCTTAGCATCCTGAGTAGCTGGGACTACAGGCACACACCACCACGCCCAACTAATTTTTGTATTTTTAGGAGAGACAGCGTTTCACCATGTTGGCCAGGCTGGTCTCCAACACCTGACCTCAGGTGATCTGCTCACCTCGGCCTCCCAAAGTGCTAAGATTACAGGCGTGAGTCACCACGCCCGGCCACAAGTTACCCATTCTTACTCTCAGTGAAATGTCAAATAATTCCTGGGAGATGAGTGCAGTCTGGGGAACATTTTGAAAACATTAGTCCTCATTTCTGTAATGGGTCACTCATTCTCTAGGCAAGCCCCCTCCCTGGCAGCTATGTATTAACAAAGCATTAAGGATTGGCTTACAATGTTACAGAGTACAATACTCCTCCAGAGAAATTAAGATCATTTCAAGAAGTAGAATGAGTAGAAGGCAGGTTCTGGAATTAACATTTCTAAGCAGAATATGTCACTGCCAATTGTGGTCTCACTGTGGAGAAAAGTGGGTTCTTGCTCCACTGAAGTTTCCTTTCCCCTGAACCATTATTATTATTTTTTGAGACAGAGTCTTGCTCCGTCGCCCAGGCTGGAGTGCAGTGGCCTGATCTTGGCTCACTACAAGCTCCACCTCCCAGGTTCATGCCATTCTCCCGCCTCAGCCTCCCGAGAAGCTGGGACTACAGGTGCCCGCCACCACGCCCGGCTAATTTTTTTCATTTTTAGTAGAGATGGGGTTTCACCATGTTAGCCAGGATGGTCTTGATCTCCTGACCTCGTGATCCACCCACCTCAGCCTCCCAAAGTGCTGGGATTACAGGCGTGAGCCACCACACCCAGCCCTGAACATTTTATCTATTTTTTCTTGAATGGCTTCTTAAATTTTTTTTTAAAGAATGCTGCAATTCACGGAAGCACATAATTCAAAAGGATTCACTCACTCACACACAAAAAACCCTGGAGATCTGCAGAGGGGCCCCTCAGTCTTCAGAACTGATCAGTGCACATGTGAGGAAATGGTCTACATAAGGGACCTGAAAAGGTGCCTAAAATTCAGGACATAGGGCCGGAGCGATGGCTCACGCCTGTAATCCTAGCACTTTGGGAGGCCAAGGCAGGTGGATCACCTAAGGTCAGGAGTTCAAGACCAGCCTGGCCAACATGGCGAAACCCCATCTCTACTAAAAATACAAAAATTAGCTGGGCGTGGTGGCATGCGCCTGTAATCCCAGCTACTTGGAGGCTGAGGCAGGAGAACCACTTGAACCCGGGGGGCGGAGGTTGCAGTGAGACGAGAAGGCACCACTTCACTCAAGCATGGGTGAAAGAGCAAGACTCAGTCTTAGGAAAAAAAAAAAAAATTTCAGGACATAAGTCTTCTCTGGCTTCCCTGCTTCTGAAAACAAACTTGGTTATAGTGTAGGGGCTGAAAGTCTGAGATTCAGCTGTGAATGGCTCTCATGAATAAAAAATCATGTCTATACTCCATCTACAAATAGAAAATGACATGGAAGCACATGTCAAGTGGTGGAGATGGGTGGAGGCCAAATACCTCAATGTCTTTTGCTAATTAGTAAAGCACCAATTTTTTATTATTTTTTTGAGGCTGGGTCTTGCTGTCACCCAGGCTGGAGTGCAGTGGCATGATCTCAGCTCACTGCAACCTCCATCTCTTGGGTTCAAGTGATTCTCCCACCTCAGCCTCCTGAATAGCTGGGGTCCAACTGATTTATATGTACTTTTATACTTAATATCTTCGTGAATATATCCTAAATGCCTTGAGTTTATATCTATAAATTCTAGGAGGTGGTATTATTAGATCACAGGCAATGTAAATCTGCATGGTTTTTGCTTTGTACTGTCATTTGGTTTTCAAAAAAGGCACTAGTAATTTACAGTGCCTGGCAATGAATGTATACTTAAAACAACTTCACCTCCACCTCTTCAGCACTGTCATTATGCTCCTTTACTAGATGCAAAATGGCATTTCAAAATCATGTCAATTTTCATGTTTCTAAGACAGTAGGATACGTTCCCCCTCATATATCCAACCCCTTTGTGGGTTATTTCCATCCTTTTACCTATTTGTCTATAAAAGGTAATCTTGATATAGTATAGACATTGATTAATTGACATTTAATATAAACATCTCAGTTTATTTTACTGACTTCCTTCAAATTTTATTATTTTTATAGAATCGTATCAATTCTTTAAAAAATTAAAAGGTTGAAAAACTTGGGGCGCGGTGGCTCACGACTGTAATCCCAGCATTTTGGGAGGCCGAGGTGGGCGGATCATGAGGTCAGGAGATCGAGACCATCCTGGCTAACAAGGTGAAACCCCATCTCTACTAAAAATACAAAAAATTAGCCAGACGTGGTGGCGGGTGCCTGTAATCCCAGCTACTCGGGAGGCTGAGGCAGGAGAATGGTGTGAACCCGGGAGGCGGAGCTTGCAGTGAGCCGAGATCGTGCCACTGCACTCCAGCCTGGGTGACAGAGCGACACTCCGTCTCAAAAAAAAAAAAAAAAAAAAAAAAAAGTTGCTTTTTTCTAGAACGGCTTCTATTTTAAAAGATACTGCAATTCATGGTAGCCCATAATTCAAAAGGATTCACTCACACAAAGAAAACCCAAATACTGAAGAAAATCAAGTTTGCTTATATAACATTTATTAGACAGAAACCAAATGTGCTATTTTTAGTCTATTTTCCAAATAACTTAGACACAAATCTACCTTGTCTTACACTAGAAAACAGAATTTAAAAAAATTAGCTGGCATCAACATGGTAATAAATTATGTAATTCTCTCTCAAATTCTTATCTCAAGAGTTTTCTATAGGTTATATCCAAACAGACTCAAATTAACACTGTTTTTCTGTAAAACATAATTCAGTTTGTTTTGTTTTGTTTTTGGTTTTCTGAGACAGAGTGTCGCTCTGTCGCCCAGGCTGGAGTGCAATGGCGAAGTCTCAGCTCACTGCAACCTCTGCCTCCGGGGTTCAAGCAATTCTCCTGCCTCAGTCAGCTTCTCGAGTAGCTGGGATTACAGGCACTCGCCACCAGGCCTGGCTAATTTTTCTATTTTTAGTAGAGATGAGGTTTCACCTTGTTATCCAGGCTGGTCTCGAACTCCTGACTTAACTGATCCCTCTGCCTCGGCCTCCCAACGTGCTGGGATTACAGGTGTGAGCTACCGCGCCCAGCCGAATTAATAGGATTTTTGAAGATCAAATGTAATGAACATTATTTGAATTATTTCAGCAGGTAGATTCTAATATTAAACTCATTTTAAAGATGAGGAAATCAGGTTTAAAAATTTATAATTTGCCTGCCAGGCGCAGTGGTTCACGTCTGTAATCCCAGCACTTTGGGAGGCCAAGGCGGGCGGATCACCTGAAGTCAGGAGTTCGAGACCAGCCTGACCAAGATGGAGAAACCTGCCTCTACTAAAAATACAAAATTAGCCAGGCGTGGTGGTGCATGCCTGTAATCCCAGCTACTCAGGAGGCTGAGACAGAATTGCTTGAACCCAGGAGGCGGTGGTTGCAGTGAGCTGAGATCGTGCCATTGCACTCCAGCCTGGGCAACAAGAGCAAAAGTCTGTCTCAAAAAAAACCCACAAAAAACAAATAACTTTATTATTTGCCTAAAATCATCTACTTATTAAGTAGTGAAGCCAGAATTTGAAGTCAGGCAGTCTTGCACTAGAGTTTGGACTCTTTCTTGACCACTCGCTAGTAAAGAATTACATTACAGATGGAATTATGTACAGGTTCTATGTGACCCTAATCCCAGTCTTTAGGATCAGAACTGCAAAAGAAAAGCACAAGGCCAGGCACGGTGGCTCATGCCTGTAATCCCAGCACTTTGGGAGGCTGAGGCGGGCGGATCACCTGAAGTCAGGAGTTCGAGACCAGCCTGACCAAGATGGAGAAACCCTGTCTCTACTAAAAATACAATATTAGCCAGGCGTGATGGTGCATGCCTGTAATCCTAGTTACTCAGGAGGCTGAGGCAGGAGAATCGCTTGAACTCAGGAGGGGGAGGTTGTGGTGAGCTGAGATTGTGCCATTGCACTCCAGCCTGGGCAACAAGAGTGAAACTCCATCTCAAAAAAACCCAAAAACCAAAAAACTTTATTATTTGCCTAAAATCATCTACTTATTAAGTAGCAAAGCCAGAATTTGAAGTCAGGCAGTCTTGCACTGGAGTTTGGGCTCTTTCTTGACCACTCGCTAGTAAAGAATTACATTACCAATGGAATTATGTACAGGTTCTATGTGACCCTAATCCCAATCTTCAGGATCAGAACAACAAAAGAAAAAGCACAAGGCCAGGCGCGGTGGCTCATGCCTGTAATCCCAGCACTTTGGGAGGCCGAGGTGGGCGGATCAGCTAAAATCAGGAGTTTGAGACCAGCCTGGCCACCATGGTGAAACCCCATCTCTACTAAAAATAGAAAAATTAGCCAGGCGTGGTGGTGGGCACCTGTAATCCCAGCTACTCGGGAGGCTGAGACTGGAGAATCACTTGAACCCAGGAGGCAGAGGTTGCAGTGAGCTGAGATTGCGCCATTGCACTCCAGCCTGGGCGACAAGAGCGAAACTCTGTCTCAAAAAAACAAACAAACAAACAAAAAAATGCACAAACACCAGAAAGAAAATACATTTCAGAGTTTAAGATCTTAAAATGTAAAATGGAATGAAAGTTTAAAAGTAAAATAAAACAGAACAAGCTTTCTTGGTAGCTGGGGAGGAAGGAATAAACGGTATCTTTGACAAAAATGATTTATTTATTTAAGGAGGACAATTTATTTGGGCATTGAGAATAGGGAGACCACAAAACAACTATTAACCCAAGAAATCACTTCCACATATATCTTTGGAAAAGTCTCTAATAGTCTCATGTTAAAAAAAAAAAAAAAGGCCAGGCATGGTGGCTCACATCTGTAATCCTAGCACTTTGGGAGGCTGAGGCGGGCGGATCCCAAGGTCAGTTCAAGACCAGCCTGGCCAACATGGTGAAACCCAGTCTCTACTAAAAATACAAAAATTAGCCAGGCCTGGGCTACTGTAATCCCAGCTACTCAGGAGGCTGAGGCAGGAGAATTGCTTCAACCCGGAAGGCAGAGGTTGCAGTGAGCCGAGATTGTACCACTGCACTCCAGCCTGGGCAAGAGAGCAAAAGAGCAAAACTCCATCTGGGGGTGTGGGGCGGGAAGAAGCTGGCTGGGCGTGGTGGCTGACTCCTGTAATACCAGCACTTTGGGAGGCTGAGATGGGCAGAACACTTCAGCTCAGGAGTTCAAGACCATCCTAGACAACATGGCGAGACCCCGTCTCTATTTAAAAAAAGAAAACAAAAAACAAAACCTCTCAAGTTTTTCAAATCAAGCACTAAAAACCCCCCTCATTAACTTGTGTCCTGTTAAATTATTTTTATTATTTTACTGTGGTAGAATAGACATAAAATGTACTATCTTAAGTGTACAGTTCAAGTATTAAACACATTCATAGCATTATCAACCATCACCACTACCTCCAGAATTTTTTTCATCTTGTAAAACTGAAACTCTAGACCCAGAAACAGTAACTCCCCATTTCCCCTTCTCCCAGCCCCTGGCAATCACCATTCTACTTTCTCTATGGTTGTGACTACCTAATTATCTCATATAAATGGAATTATATATTTGTCTTTTTGTGTCTGGCTTATTTCACTCAGCATAATGTGTTCAAGGTTTATCCACGTTATACCATGTGTCAGAATTTCCTTCCTTTGGCCAGGCGCGGTGGCTCACGCCTGTAATCCCAGCACTTTGGGAGGCCGAGGCGGGTAGATCATGAGGTCAGGAGATCGAGACCATCCTGGCTAACACTGTGAAACCCCCTCTCTACTAAAAATACAAAAAATTAGTCGGGTGTGGTGGCAGGCGCCTGTAGTCCCAGCTACTCAGGAGGCTGAGGCAGGAGAACAGCGTGAACCCAGGAGGCAGAGCTTGCAGTGAGCCGAGATCACGCCACTGCACTCCAGCCTGGGCGACAGAGCGAGACTCCGTCTCAAAAATAAATAAATAAATAAATAAATAAATAAATAAATAAATAAATAAAAAGAATTTCCTTCCTTTTTAAGGCTGAATAATATATTCCATAGTATGTACATACCACGTTTTTTTTATCCATTCATCTGTTGACAGACACCTGGGTTGTCTACAACTTTGGCCACTGTGAATAATGCTGTTATGAACGTGGGTGTACAAATCATTCAATTCTTTTTTTTGAGGCAGAATCTTGCCTCGTCACCCAGGCTGTAGTGCAGTGGCATGATCTCGGCTCAATGCAACCTCTGCCTCCCAGGTTCAAGTGATTCTCCTGCCTCAGCCTCCCAAGTAGCCAGGATTACAGGCGTGTGCCACCACACCTGGCTAATCATTCAGTTCTTTTGTTTTAATATCCAGAAGTGGAATTGCTCTATCATATGGTAATTTTTAATTGGTTGAGGAACATTATCTTGTTTTCCACAGTGGCTAATTTTTTTACATTTTTAGTAGAAACAGGGTTTCACTTTGTTGGCCAGGCTGGTCTCAAACTCCTGACCTCAGGTTATCCGTCTGCCTCAGCCTCCCAAAGTGCTGGGATTACAGGCGTGAGCCACGGCTCCTGGGCGAAAAGTGATTCTTAACCTTGAATTTTGTGAAACTAAGCAAGCAATGGACTAGAAGGCAAGAGATTCTAATCCCAGAATATAATCCATGCACTTCAGGAATAAGTTCTTTCCATATCCTAATTTCTGAAATAAATGAAGAATATCAAGTTAGATGATTTCTAAAATCTCTTCCATTTAACATTTGATGAAAACTATCTCAGAGTAAAATTCACCAAACTGACAAATTATGTGGAACTCAAAAGTCTAGGGATAGGAGAAAAGTAAAGTAATAGCAGTAAAATTAAACAATATAACAAGATGTCAAAATTTTAAAAAGGCACTTCCCAAACGATCATTTCAGAAAATTTGCGGTTGGACTAAATTTAAAAATTTCAATATTGACTCACTGTAATTCCAAAGTAGGTATTAACAATCTAGGCATCCCAGCTCATGAGCTGAGCAATCCACTAAGAATCGTGCTAGTGACTCATACCCCTGAACGCGACTGCTTTATGTGCAGAGACCAGGAATCAATTAAAGGGTTTACAATGAAGTGTTGTTTAACTGGAACGTTTTAAGTGGAAGTTAATTCCACATGAGTGATAATAGATGTTTAATAACTAGCTCGTGACAATTTCTAAGCAAAAGCATTACAGCAGCTAAGTAGCACATAGTAATCTATGTGCTACAAACATGAAAACAACTTGTTTTCAAAAGAGCTCTTGGCTATGAATATTTGAAAAACCTAAAATATAATTTGTGGCGAATCAAATTATAAAATCTCATGGAGAGTGAGTAGTTTGAGATCTTGGCTGTATCAACCAATGAGGAAACAAAAAGCACCATTGTGGGTTGAAGTGCCAATTTTCGCTGGCAAAAAGCCATTCTATTTGAATGTAAGAACCTTCAGGAACCAGCTGGAGAAGTATGAGGAACCTGGGATAGGGATAATATATTCATTCACAACATATCCTAAGTGGAACTGTCTTCATGCAAACAGGACAATATTGGAACATTTGTCCAAAACAGCCTAAGATTAGGTCAAACCAACTGTTCTGAACAATGCTCAGTCTAGAAAAACGAACATGTCTAAGACAAAAATAAATGTATGATTTTCCAATATGACTACGTTTATGATACAAAATTTCTTTAAAAAAACCCAACCCATACCATCGGCTGGGTGCGGTGGCTCATGCCTGTAATCCCAGCACTTTGGGAGGCTGAGGCAGGCGGATCACCTGAGGTCAGGAGTTCGAGACCAGCCTGACCAATATTGGCGAAATCCTGTCTCTACTAAAAATACAAAATTAGCGGGCGTGGTGGCACACGCCTGTAATCTCAGCTACTTGGGAGGCTGATGCAGGAGAATCACTTGAACTTGGGAGGTGGAGGCTGCAGTGAGCCAAGATCGCGCCATTGCACTCCAGCCTGGGCAACAAGAGGGAAACTCCGTCTCAAAAAAAAAAAAAAAAAAAAAAAAAAAACAACAAAAAAACACCAACACCCATACCATCATACACCAATGGTGTCATCTGGTACAACTTTTCTGGAAGGCATCTTGGCAACAGTTATCAAGAACTTTAAAGTGCTTATATCCTTTGATCAATAATTCCACATTTAGTAATTTACCCTAAACAAATACAGGGCATTTATTATAAGAAACACATATAATTAGGTTGGGTGCGGTGGCTAACACCTGTAATCCTAGCACTTTGGGAGGCCGAGGCAGGTGGATCACAAGGTCAGGAGATCAAGACCATCCTGGCTAACACTGTGAAATCCTGTCTCTGCTAAAAATACAAAAAATTAGCCGGGCATGGTGGCGGGCGCCTGTAGTCCCAGCTACTTGGGAGGCTGAGGCAGGAGAATGGTGTGAACCTGGGAGGCGGAGCTTGCAGTGAGCCAAGATCGTGCCACTGCACTCCAGCCTGGGAGACAGATCGAGACTCCGTCTCAAAAAAAAAAAAAAAAAAAAAAAAAAGAAACATATATAATTTATGGTATAACCTCCATAATGGAATATTGTACAACCATTATGGGGGGAATAAGGAGGGAGTAACTGCTAACGGGTATCAGGTTTCTTTTTGACGGAATAAAAACAATCTAAAATATTCTAAAATTAGGGTGTGTTGGCTCATGCCTATAATCCCAGCACTTTGGGAGGCCGAGGCGGGTGGATCACCTGAGGTCAGGAGTTCGAGACCAACCTGGCCAACATGGTGAAACCCTATCTCTACTAAAAATATAAAAAATTAGCTGGGCGTGGTGGCAGGCGCCTGTAATCTCAGCTACTCGGGAGGCTGAGGCAGGAGAATCGCCTGAAACCGGGAGGCAGAGGTTGCAGTGAACCAAGATCATGCCATTGCACTCCCGCCTGAGCAACAAGAGCGAAACTCCATCTCAAAAAAAAAAAAAAAAAAAAAGAGTCCAGCCTCAGTAAATTGTGTGATAGAGCCACTTAATAAAATAGAGTACACTGAAGAAAGTCTAGGTGTGGGGCCAAGATGAAGAGCTCACTTTGGACAACACAATTCAAATTACCTCCTCTGAGTATCTCTGTGGAGATGTTGAACAGGCAGCCAGGATAAAAAAAGAGGTCTGGCTACAGATAAAAATGTGGCAGTATTCAAAATATATATGGTAACCGAAGCCACAGAATGGATAATTTCAGGAAGGAAAATTTTGAATCCAAATAAACATCTACTCTGGATGGGCAATTAGGAATTCCAAGTCCAAGAATGACTCAAGGGGAATTCCTAAAATAGAGTCCAGCTCTAATTTGAACGTTCCCAAAAGGAATGTTATAACTCATTAGTTAAGTAATAATAAATTAAGCCAAAACTGATAAATACTACAAACATGTGAATGAAAATAATCTCTATAACTATTGGGAGTTGAATATAGTTTAGAGATTAGAGGATAAGAATAGGGGTGTGTGAAGTTTATCCGATTTATATAGAGGAAAAACATCAAAACTTACTCTGAAACCCTATGCATTTCTTTCCTGTTTTTTTTTTTTTTTTTTTTTTAAGACGGAGTGTTGCTCTGTCACCAGGCTTCAGTGCAGTGGTGTGATCTCAGCTCACTGCAAACTCCGCCTCCCGGGTTCAAGTGATTCTCCTGTCTCAGTCTCGCAAGTAGCTGGGACTACAGGTGTGTGCCACCAGGCCCAGCTAATTTTTGTATTTTTAGTAGAGACGGGGTTTCACCATGTTGGCCAGGATGGTCTTGATCTCTTGACCTCATGATCCCCCCGCCTCGGCCTCCCAAAGTGCTGAGATTACAGGCGTGAGCCACCGTACCTAGCCTCTTTCCTCCTTTTTTTTAAAATTTCTTATTTTTGTAGAGACAGGGTCTCATCATATTGCCCAGGTTGGTCTTGAACTCCTGGACTCAAGCAATCCTCCTGCCATGACCTCCAGAAGAGCTGTGATTACTGGTGTGAGGCACCATGCCTGGCCTTTCTTTCCTTTCCTTTTTTTTTTTTTGAGATGGAGTCTTGTTCTGTCGCCTAGCCTGGAGTGCAGTGGCACAATCTTAGCTCACTGCAACCTCTGCCTCCCAGGTTCAAGCGATTCTCCTGCCGCAGCCTCCTAAGTAGCTGGGACTACTGGCGTGTGCCACCACACCTGGCTAATTTTTTGTATTTTTAGTAGAGACGGGGTTTCACGGTGTTAGCCAGGATGGTCTCGATCTCCTGATCTCATGACCTGCCCACCTCGGCCTCCCAAAGTGATGGGATTACAAGGCGTGAGTCACTGTGCCTGGCCCTCTTTTCGTTTTTTGAGATGGAGTCTTGCTCTGTTGCCAGGCTGGAGTGCAGCGGCACAATCTCAGCTCACTGCAACCTCCACCTCCCGGGTTCAAGCGATTCCCCTGCCTCAGCCTCCAGAGTAGTTGGGATTACAGGCGCGCGCCACCATGCCCGGCTAATTTTTTGTATTTTAGTAGAGATAGGGTTTCACCATGTTGGCCAGGATGGTCTCGAACTCCTGACCTTGTGACCTGCCTGCCTCGGCCTACCAAAGTGCTGGGATTACAGGTGTGAGCCACCGCACCCGGCCTCTTTTTTCAAATAGAGACTGTCCCACTCTGTTGACCAGGGTGGAGTGCATGGTGTGATCACAACTCACTGTAGCCTTCAACTTCTGGGCTCAAAAAATCCTCCTGCCTCATCCTCCTGAGTAGCTGAAACCACAGGTGTATGCCACCACATCCAGCTAATTTTCAAATTACTTTTTGCAGAGACAGGGCCCTCACTATGTTGCCCAGGGTGGTCTCAAACTCCTGGGCTCAAGGTATCCTCTAGCCTCAGCCTCCGAAAGTGCTGGGAGTACATGTGTGCCACTGCACTCCAGACTGGGTGACACAGTGAGGCTCTGTCTCAAAAATAAAATAAATAAAATAAAATCAGTCAAATTAGCCAGGCGTGGCAGCATGCGCCAGTAGTCCCAATTACTTGGGAGGCTGAGGCAGGAGAATTGCTTGAACCTGGGAGGCAGAGGTTGCAGCGAGCCGAGATCGCACCACTGCAACTCCAGCCTGGATGACAGAACAAGACTGTCTTAAAAAAAAAAAAAAAAAAATTAGTCAAGTGCAATAGTGAGAAGGGGGGGAAAGAAAGAGTCCAACTATTTTTTTTTTTTAATCAAGTGCTTATATGTTTTGGGGAAGAAAAAAAAAAAAAAAACGTTGGGATCCAGGTGCCTTGGCCTGTAATCCCCATATTTGAGAGGCCAAGAGGACTGCTTGAGCCCAGGAGTTCAAGACCAGCCTGGGCAACAAAACAAGACCCTGTCTCTTCCAAAAAAAATTTTAAAATTAACTGGGCGTGGTGGCGGTGTGGGCCTGTGGTCCCAGCTACTAGGGATGCTGTGGTGGAAGGATCGCTTGAGAGCACCACTACACTTTAGCCTGGGCTACAGAACAAGACTCTGTCTCAATTACAAAAAAAAAAAAAAAAAAAAAAAAAAAAAGGCTGGGCGCAGTGGCTCATGCCTGTAATCCCAGCACTTTGGGAGACCGAGGCAGGTGGATCACCTGAGGTCAGGAGACCAGCCTGACCAACATGGAGAAACCCTGTCTCTACCAATACAAAATTAGCTGGGCATGGTGGTGCATGCCTGTAATCCCAGCTACTTGGGAGGCTGAGGCAAGAGAATCTTGCCCAGGGGGCAGAGGTTGCGGTGAGCCGAGATTGCGCGACTGCACTCCAGCCTAGGCAACAAGAGCAAAACTCCGTCTCAAAAAAATAAAAAGGGCCAGACACAGTGGTTCGCGTCTGTAATCCCAGCACTTTGAGAGGCTGAGGCAACCTGAGGTCAGGAGTTCGAGACCAGCCTAGCCAACATGGTGAAACCCTTTCTCTACTAAAAATACAAAAATTAGCTGGGCGTGGTGGTGGACACCTATAATCCCAGCTTCTCGCAAGGCTGAGGCAAGAGAATTCCTTGAACCTGGGAGACGGAGGTTGCAGTGAGCCAAGATCGTGCCACTGCACTCCACCCTGGGTGAAAGAGTGAGACTCAGTCTCAAAAGAAAAAAAAAAAAAAAGTTGAATGACTTAATGGGCACCAGAATGCTTTTGTCCAAATTGTGCTTGTATTACAAGCATTATAGCCTCAAAGAACAAAGCTTCAACTGAGAGCTGGAGAAGAATTCATTTACCAGAATACTTCATTTCTTTCTTTTTATTTTGAGACAGAGTCTCGCTCTGTCGCCCAGGCTGGAGAGCAGTGATGCGATCTCGGCTAACTGCAACCTCCACCTCCCAGGTTCAAGCCATTTGCCTGCCTCAGCCTCCCGAGTAGCTGGGATTACAGATGACTGCCACCACGCCCAGGTAATTTTTTGTACTTTTAGTAGAAATGGGATTTCACCATGTTGGCTAGGCTGGTCTTGAACTCCTGACCTCAGGTGATCCACCCGCCTTGGCCTCCCAAAGTGCTGGGATTATAAGCATCAGCCACCACTCCTGGCCCCATTTCATTTCTTTAGAAGTAAAATGCTGGCCGGGCACGGTGGCTCACGACTGTAACCCCAGCATTTTGGGAGGCCGAGGTGGCCGGATCATGAGATCAGGAGATCGAGACCATCCTGGTTAACACGATGAAACAGTCTCTACTAAAAATACAAAAAATTAGCCGGGCATGGTGGTGGACGCCTGTAGTCCCAGCTACACAGGAGGCTGAGGCAGGAGAATGGCATGAACTCGGGAGGTGGAGCTTGTGGTGAGCAGAGATCACGCCACTGCACTCCAGCCTGGGCAATGGAGCGAGACTCCGTCTAAAAAAAAAAAAAAAAAGTAAAATGCTATCTGCAAAGAGATCATCATATCCTTGTTTTAGGAAAACTCTTTGGGCAATATATTCCACAGGTCTGAAAGATAAACCTTTATTGCCAAGGACTGCTCTCAGCCAACTACAGTACTTGTAAAATTCAAGAATGTATAACTGTATGCCAGCCAGTACTGACTAACAGGTCATTCACTCTTTAGAGTTGCAGTAAATAGCAATGCTCAAACGCCCAGCTAGTTTTTTGTATTTAAAATTATTTGTATTTAAATCTTAAAAAATATTTTTAAAAATACATTTTACTAGGTTCTTATTTCAACACAAACTGAACTCATCAGCTGTAGCAGTATGTTGAAAAACAACTGTTGCCATTCAGCTGATATTAACAGCTCAGAACTGTTTTCTATGTCTAAATTTCAGGTTAACGATATCAGCCAAAATCTATCTTCTCATACCTATTCTCAAAGGAACGGTCTTACAAAACTAATAATCTGGTCGAGTGCGGTGGCTCACACCTGTAATCCCAGCACTCTGGAAGGCAGAGGCAGGCGGATCACCTAATGTCAAGAGTTGGAGACCAGCCTGACCAACATGGTGAAACCCCGTCTCTACTAAAAAATACAAAATTAGCTGGGCATGGTGGGGCATTCCTGTAATCCCAGCTACTTGGGAGGCTGAGGCATGAGAATCACTTGAACTCGGGAGGCGGAGGTTGCAGTGAGACAAGATAGCACCGTTGCAGTGAGACAAGATAGCACCATTGCACTCCAGCCTGGGCAATAAGAGCTAAACTCCGTCTCAAAAACAAACAAACAAAAAAAAAAAATTCCTGCTTTTTCTTTGCCTAAATTTTTATCAAATATTTTGAACAGAAGCCACATGTATTTCTACACTACAAGAAAAGCATAAGTTCAGAAATAAGTAATCATACCCCCTAGTCAAACTTAACTATAGGAAGGAAGGACAGGACAGGACAGGAAAGGAGGAGAAAAAAGAAATTAGCTGGGTATACTCAGGAGGCTGAGGCAGGAGGATGGCTTGAGCCCAGGAATTTGAGGCTGCAGTGTACTATGACAGCCTGGGCATCATAGCAATGTCTTTGAAAAAAAAAAGGATGGCCGGGCACGGTGGCTCACGCCTGTAATCCCAGCACTCTGGGAGGCCGAGGCGGGAGGATCACAAGGTCAGGAGATCGGGACCATCATGGCTAACATGGTGAAACCCCATCTCTGCTAAAACTACAAAAAAAAATTAGCCAGGCGTGGTGGCGGGTACCTGTAGTCCCAGCCACTGCACTCTAGCCTGGGCGACAGAGCAAGACTCCATCTCAAAAAAAAAAGGAAAAGGAAAAAGAAAAAAGAACACACCTCACCAATTTTGAAATGTGAACATACAACAAATAAAGCAATATTTTTTGGAACTCATCACTTTGCATTGAATTAGGCATGGAACAAACACTAAGCATTTGTTAAGAGAACGATGCTCTGGATTTAAATTATATATCCTGTATTCTAAGATCCTCATTACTCAATTGATAGGCAAGCCTGGACCTGGGGGGAAGTGGACTAATCAGAAACACAACCCTGCATTCCTTCCCTTTGGCTGACTTATACAAATATAAGAATAAAATTTAATTGACAAAGGATAACAGCATTTATAAGTAAGATTGTTATGCTGGAGATATGTTAATTAAGTCCTCTGGATTAAAGGCTAAAACTCAATTTTACCTGCATGAATTGATTACAGAGAAAATTACCAGGTCCTTTGCTCCTTTTTAAGAGAACTGTGGTAGAACTTTTTAAGAGAACTGTTTCTGGTAGAAAACAATTCTTAAGTCACACAACCTCAAAAGTTAAAAGTGCTGGCTTTTGAAGAGGTTGTTTGAAATGCTTTGGAAAAATGCACAACAGTTTAAGTAGTAAATAATATTAAGCCATTACAAATCAGGACAAATATTAACAGACCTTCCATACAACTTCTATGTATCTCTTCAATATGCCCTTTGCCTACAGCACTCTGGGCACAAAAATCTGGGGAAAACTAAGATCTGTTTATTGGAGCTTTTTACCTTCTACCCAGAAAAGTTAGTTCGTGTTTAATTCTGACATTACACAGTACTTAAGACATTCAAAGCAACTGCAGTGATACAACTCTATGCTAAGTTTTTTTTAAATCAGTAAACTTAACCCACAACTCACAATATTTTAATCAGGAGCTCTGGAAGTAAGGGTATTTTTCTGTTTTTTTCCATACCCTCTGAGGTTGAAATTTTTTTGCTCTTTTACTCTGAATAATACCTAAACCCTCTCTAGGGAGAGAAATATTTTATTCCTAAATGACATTATTAACGCATTTTTCTACAGATATTAAAGTACTGGAGATATGCTGTTTCCTGCTTATCAGGAAATTAAAATCCCTTTCATTTATGTAGTTTGATTTTTTATAGCGCTTTCACATATATTCACTTGAACGTATACACGACACAAACATATAACAAATTTAGACTTATCAGGCATACAAGATGACCCTCAGCCTGAACTTATTCAAACTTAACTTACTCGATTTCACATCGTCTTGATGCTAACAAAATTAAGCATGAGCATAATGAAATCGGTATCACTGCCAGTTCTCAATGAACAAAAAGAAAACCAAATTCGCCCATTTCGCAAAGGAAAAGTACTCCCAATCAGACAATCGCAAAAAAAAGAACAAAATCTAAACCATACATTCACGTACATCTTTTCAACTCAGAGCTCCAAACGCAGCCGCCAACCACACAACTGCCCACAATCACAGCGGTAGCGCCTACTCTTAATTTTGAAGCTAGAGACTTAAGGAAACACACACACACACAAAACAGTTCTCAAGTTTGACAAAGTGGGGGAAAAGTCATTTTAAGTAAAGACAACGAGTTAATCAGGAGGCGATGAGCCCAGTCCTTCCGCCCCGCTTTCCCGCTTCCAGCCCTCGAACGAACCCTCCTCTAACCCCCGGGAGGCAGGAGTTCCAGCGGGGAGATGCGGGAAGCCTCAGACGAGCCCGCACGCCGCCGGAGACGCAGGGATCGAGGTCGGGGAGACAAAGAGCAGCCCGCGAAGAGCCCGGGCGGCGAGGGGCGGCCCGGCTCCGCCCTGCGCCCCTAACCGCCCGGGTAGTTGTCGGCACCGCCGGGGCGCCGCCGAGTGCGCGCCGCTTCTGTCCGGGCTCCCCGACCGTCGCCCGACACCTCCGCGGCCCAGGACACCCCCGAGCCGTTTCCCTCCCGATTTGGGAGCCGCGCGCCTGGGGACAAAGAGGGAGGGTGCGCCGGGGACAGTGGCAGGACGCGGGCCGGCGACGCCCCTCCGGACTCGGCGGGAACCCCTCGGCGGCGCCCCCCTCCTTCTCCCGCTCTGGCCGCGCTCCTCCCCGGACCTCCGGAGGTTCTCCTCGGCCCCTCCCCGGGCTCCCCAAGAGTTCTCCCGCCTCCCCCTGGGACCCCGCCCCTGGCCCGCTTCTCCTCAGCCGGCCCTGCGGCCGCCCCTCACCCGGCGGCGGGTTCCCCCGGAGCCGCCTCCTCCGCCGGGCCTCGGCCCGTCCCGCCGGTCGCGGCCTCATGTGCCCCGCGTCGCCATCGCCTTCACCCTCGCCTCTCCTCCACCTCCTCCGCCGCTGCCGCCTTCGCCTCAGTCTCCAGCCGAGGCAGAAGCCGCTCCCGCCGCTGCCGCCGCCGCCGCCGCCTCCCGCTCCCGCCGCCGCGACCCGCGGGAAGGCGCCTGCGCACTGCGCGCTGCGGTGGGGGCGGGGGCGTCCCGCCGCGGCCCGGGAGCGGGGGGCGCGCGGCACGTGGCGCTCGAGTGGGAGGGGGGCGCCCCAGAACGCGCGGGAAGCGACGCGAGCGCCAACTTTCCGCGGTCGAGTCCTCGCCGCTCTCTCGGATAGTCCGGGACGCGGCGGAGGCGCGGCGCGCGTGGGAGTCACCCGCGTGGAGTCTGGACCCCGGGTGGGCGCAGACTTCGCTCCGGACAGTTCATTCTTCCAAGCTGATTTTCGGGCGAGAGTCCCCCGCCAGCCGCGCCTCAGTTTGAGCGGGCCGCTAACGGCGCCGTGGGTTCTCGCCTTACCTGGGTATCCTGGGTTGGTTTAGCGGGCCCAGAGTTGTCTTCTGCGCGCTCCGCCGAGGCCTTGGTCCATTGTAGCACGGGATGCTAATGTCTCCTCCCAGGTTCTGCTCTACAATTCCTCGAGGATCTGGCGGGCCCTGCGTGGATCTAGCTAGAGTCGGGGCTCTTAGCAGTGCTCTAGATACTTTTCAGGTCCTGAACTTCTCGGATTAGCAAGACCCTAATAGGCTATTTCCTCTTAACTCTTTGCATCCCAGCAGGATCCCATTCAGAGGACTTGGGAAAAATTTTCATGCATAGGAATCCCCAGTTTTAAAATGCCCAGTAGGAAACCGAAAATTCTCCAAATGCTTTAAGTAGAGTAAGACTTTGGGTAATAAAGGAAGGCTCAGTAAAGAGATGGGCGACCTCTGGAATGATCTCATCTGAGCATCAGAATGCCGATGGACAGGCTTTTATTATTTTGCCCTTTTGACCAGAGGGGAAATTAAGCGCTAACAAGTGAGGTTACTTGCTGCAAGTCAAACTCCCCCACCCAAAGCCAAGCCCTAAGGGGTAGCCCCAGAGTGGAAATCTTGAAGGCTAGGCATCTAATGCACTGACCAGTTTTGTGTGGCCAGTATGTTTTCCAAAAATATGAATTAGTTACCAAAATATTAAAATCCAGATTTCTGGCCTCCCTAAAAAGTCAAAAGCTGCTTACTTTGAGCTTCTCTTTTCACATGGCAGCTCCTCTTGAGTCACCTTGTCCGGGTAGGCAATGTCCCCACTCAGCTGCTTAAATCATTTCATGACCTGCTTGGCCTCGGAGCATTTAAGTACTTCTCCCTGTGATTGCTGTAGTCTGTCCCCACGCCTTATCACATTGCCTCTCTACAGATGTATTTAAAATGACAAGTGTGGGATGGGCGCGGTGGCTCACGCCTGTAATTCCAGCACTTTGGGAGGCCTAGGCAGGCGGATTGCTTGAGCCCTGGGGTTCCAGACCAGCCTGGACAATATGGCAAAACCCCCATCTCTACAAAAAATACAAAAATTAGCCGGGTGTGGTGACGCGCACCTGTGATCCTAGCTACTCCAAGCATGAGGTGGGAGGATCGCTTGAGCCCGGGAGGTCAAGGCTGCAGTAAGCTGAGATAGCGCCACTGCACTCCAGCCTGAGCGACAGAGTGAGACCCTGTCTCAAAAAAATAAGTGAAAAAAATAAAATGACCAGGGTGAAAACTCTGAAAATACCTGGAAATAATAAATAGCATGTAACTAAAATAACACAGGAAACAACATCATTGTACCTGTTGAATAAAATATTAAAATTCTCACAGCCTGCAACTGTAAACTAGTACAAATAACTTTTTTGTTTTGTTTTGTTTTGAGGGAGAGTCTCACTCTGTCGCCAGGCTGGAGTGCAGTGGGCGCCATCTAGGCTCACTGCAAGCTCCACCTCCCCGGTTCAAGCAATTCTCCTGCCTCAGCCTCCCGAGTAGCTGGGACTACAGGCGCACGCAACCACGCCCAACTAATTTTTGTATTTTTAGTAGAGACAGGGTTTCACCATGTTGGCCAGGATGGTCTCGATCTCCTGACCTTGTGATCCGCCTGCCTCGGCCTCCCAAAGTGCTGGGATTACAGGCATGAGCCACCGTGCCTGGCCTAAATCACTTTGTTGTTGTTTTTGCAACAGAGTCTCACTCTGTCGCCCACGCTGGAGTGCAGTGGGGTGATCTCGGCTCACTGCGATGTCCGCCTCCCAGGTTCAAAAGATTCTACTACCTCAGCCTCCGGAGTAGCTGGGAATACAGGTGCCCGCCATCATGCCTGGCTAATTTTTGTATTTTTAGTAGAAAGGGGGTTTCACCATGTTGGCCAGGCTGGTCTCAAATCCTGACCTCAAGTGATCTGCCCGCCTTGGCCTCCCAAAGAGCTGGGATTACAGACATGAGCCACCGTGCCCAGCGGACTTTGCAAAACTGGCAATATCTACTGTTGAGGCTCAGAAAATGATTTCCCAGGGCGTGGTGGCTGTAGTCCCAGCTACTCAGGAAACTGCAGTGGGCTATGATTATGCCACTACACTCCAGCCTGGAAGACAGAGCGAGACCCCATCTCTTTAAAAAAGAAAGAAAGAAAACAATATCCCAAAGTATGGAGCTTTGGCGTGCTGAGTGCTTTGAACTAAAGGAGATTGGAAGGCCTCAGAAGCAAAGTCTCTCTCTGACCTTCTCCTGCCCTCCTGTCTCCCGCCCCTTTCTCCCCTGAAGCGAGTCATAGAAATAAAAATTCCTCTTCCCCAAGGCGGGTCATAGAAACTAGAACCCCTCTCCCCCAAAGCAAGCCATAAAACCAGAAAGGTCACTCTCCCCCTTCTCTCCTCCCCCTTGAAGACCCTCATTCCAGAGGAACCAGGAAGGAATACCCTGGAGGAAGGAATGTTACACTGGGAAGCCAAGAAGAATTTGAACCGACAAGCCTTGTTGGGTTCCCCGCTCAGTCTGTTAAATTAGATCATACCCCTTTTGTCTGATCACATTCTGCTTGTCCATTCTGCATTGAACCTAAGCATAAAAACAATTGTTCTAGGGTATTGAGGGTGTGTGTGTGTGTGTGTGTGTGTGTGTGTGAGAGAGAGAGAGAGAGAGACCGGGTCTCTCTCCATCACCCAGGCTGGAGTGCAGTGGCATGATCTCGGCTCACTGCAACCTCCGCCTCCCAGGTTCAACTGATTCTCATGCCTCAGCCTCCCAAGCAGCTGGGACTACAGGCGCACACCACCACGCCCGGCTAATTTTTTTTGTATTTTTAGTAGAGACTGGTTTTCACTATGTTGGTGAGGCTGGTCTTGAACTCCTGACCTCGTGATCCACCCGCCTAGGCCTCCCAAAGTGCTGGGATTACAGGTGTGAGCCACCGCACTCGGCCCTTTGAGGTCTTAATTTCCGAAGTCTCTTGTGTTACATAAAACTTTGGTTAAATAACTTGGTTATGCCCTTCTCTTGTTAATCTGGGTTTTGTTATAGGAGTGTCAGCTGTGATCCTTATGATGGATGAGGAAAGGTGTCACACCTTTCCGCCACTACACTACTAAAGCTGAACCTATGAATACACTATGCCTTTGGAATTCCATGGCAATTCCACGAAAATGTGTACAAATGTTCACCAAAATACTTGTACTAGAGTATTCATAGCAGCACTATTTATAATAAGTCAAAAAACTAGAAACTACCCAAAATGCCTGTCAACCGTAGAATGGCTAAATTGTGTTACGTACATTATGCTGCAATGAAAATGAACAATCTACATTTACACATAAGATGGATCTCACAAAAGTTTTCATTTACAAAAACTTCAAAAACAGACAAAACTGGCCAGGTGCTGTGGCTCATGCCTGTTATCCCAGCGCTTAGGGAGGCCAAGGTGGGCGGATCACTTGAGCTCAGTAGTTCAAGACCAGCCTTAGCAACATGGCAAAACCTTACCTCTACAAAAAATACAAAAATTAGCCAGGCATGGTTGCATGTGCCTGGAGTCTCAGCTACTCCAGAGGCTGAGGTGGTGAGGTGGGAAGATCACTTGAGCTGGGGAAGTTGAGGCTGCAGTGAGCTGTGATTGTGCCACTGAACCACTGCACCACTGCACTCCAGCCTGGGTTACAGAGCAAGACCGCGTTTAAAAAAAAACAAAACAACAACAACAAAAAAAAAAAACAAGCAAAACTAATCCATGCCGTTAGAAGTAGGGACAGTTGGCCAGGCGCGGTGGCTCACGCCTGTAATCCCAGCACTCTGGGAGGCCGAGGGGAGCAGATCACCTAAGGTCAGGAGTTCAAGACCAGCCTGGCTAACATGGTGAAAACCCATTTCTACTAAAAATACAAAAAATTAGATGGGTGTGGTGGCGCATGCCTGTAATCCCAGCTACTCAGGAGGCTGAGGCAGGAGAATTGCTTGAACCTGGGAGGCAGAGGTTGCAGTGAGCTGAGATCATGCCATTGCACTGCAGCTTGGGGCAACAAGAGCAAAACTCAAAAAAAAAAAAAAAAGAAGTAGTAAGGTGCAGTGGCTCACGCCTGTAATCCCAGCACTAAACCCCGTCTCTACTAAAAATACAAAAATTAGCTGGGCGTGGTGGCGCATGCCTGTAATCCCAGCTACTCCGGAGGCTGAGACGAGAATTGCTTGAACCAGGGAGTTGGAGGTTACAGTGAGTGGAGATTGTGCCACTGCACTCCAGCCTGGGTATAGAGCAAGGCTCCGTCTCAAAAAAAGAAGAAGTAAGGCCAGTGGGCTGGGCACAGTGGCTCACGCCTATGATCCCAGCACTTTGGGAGGGTGAGGCAGGTGGATCACCTGAGGTCAGAAGTTTGAGACCAGCCTGGCTAACATGGTGAAACCCCATTTCTACTAAAAATACAAAAAATTAGCTGGGCGTGGTGGTGTGAGCCTGTAATCCCTGCTACTTGGGAGGCTGAGTTGGAGGTTGCAGTGAGCCGAGATTGCGCCACTGCACTCCAGCCTGGGGACAGAGCAAGACTTGGTCTCAAAAAAAAAATTAGAAGGATAGTGGGCTGGGCACAGTGCCTCACACCTGTAATCCCAGCATTTTGGGAGGATGAGGCAGGTGGATCACCTGAGGTCAGGAGTTCGAGACCAGCCTGACCAATATGGTGAAACTCTGTCTCTACTAAAAATACAAAAATTAGCTGGGTGTGGTGGCATGCGTCTGTGAGAACTGCTTGAACCCAGGAGGCAGAGGTTGCAGTGAGCCAAGCTCCCGCCACTGTACTCCAGCCTGGGTGACAGAGTAAGACTCTGTCTCAAAAAAAAAAAAAAAAGAAAGAGAGAAGTAAGGAAGGATAGTGGTTACTTGGCAGGCAGGATAGTTACTGGAAAGGAGCATGAGGGGTTTTTGGGGGGCTGGCCTTGTTCTGTTGAAACTGCCTTTGCAAAAATCATGACAGTGAGAAAAATCTGACACAGGCTGGGGACGGTGGCTCATGCCTGTAATCCCAAGCATTTTGGGAGGCTGAGGTGGTGGATCACCTAAGGTCAGGAGTTCGAGACCAGCCTGGACAACATGGTGAAACCCCATCTCTACTAAAAATACAAAAAATTAGCCGGGCGTGGTGGTGGATGCCTGTAATCTCAGCTACTCGGGAGGCTGAGGCAGGAGAACTGCTTGAACCCAGGAGGTGGAGGTTGCAGTGAGCCAAGATTGCGCCATTGCACTCCAGCCTGGGTGACAGAGCAAGACTCTGTCTTAAATAAATAAATACATAAATAAAATAAAATAAAATAAAATACAAAAGAAGTAGCCGGGAGTGGTTGCACATGCCTGCAATCCCAGCTACTTGGCACGAGAATTGCTTGAACCCAGGAGGCGGAGGTTGCAGTAAGCAAAGATCTCGCCACTGCACTCTAGCCTGGGCAACAGAGAGAGACTGTCTCAAAAAACAACAACAAAAAGAAAAATCTGACACAGGAAAATTACAACAGTGAAAGAGATCTGACCTAACCGACTCCATCTTACTTTTAACCTCCAAGCTGCCCTTGTTCATTCCTGGGAATAGGCTGAGTTCTCCATGGGAGGAATTGACTTTATAATTTAATTTGGAAACAAAGACGATAAGAGTCCCTTCCCAAAATAAATCCCTTCTGCCTGGGGACCAGACTGCCTTTGTAGAACTAGCAAATCAGCTATAAGATTAGAAATTAGGGGCCAGGCCGGTGGCTCACACCTGTAATCGGAGCACTTTGGGAGGCCGAGGCAGGCGGATCACCTGAGGTCAGGAGTTCAAGACCAGCCTGACCAACATGGAGAAACCCTGCCTCTACTGAAAATACAAAAAAATTAGCTGGGCGTGGTGGCGCATGCCTATAATCCCAGCTACCCGGGAGGCTGAGGCAGGAGAATCGATTGAACCCGGGAGGCAGAGGTTGCGGTGAGCCGAGACCGCACCGTTGCACTCCAGCCTGGGCAACAAGAGTGAAACTCCATCTCAAAACAAAAAAAAAAAATTAGAAATTAGGGCTCAGGAGTCATGCAGCCAGAGGCCATGAGATTCCTAACCTCAGCCGGGCACGGTGGCTCACGCCTGTAATCCCAGAACTTTGGGAGGCCGAGGTGGGTGGATCACGAGGTCAGGAGATCGAGACCATCCTGACTAACAAGGTGAAACCCCGTCTCTACTAAAAATACAAAAAATTAGCCGGGCGTGGTGGCGGGCGCTTGTGGTCCCAGCTACTCGGGAGGCTGAGGCAGGAGAATGGCGTGAACCCGGGAGGTGGAGCTTGCAGTGAGCCAAGATGGCGCCACTGCACTCCAGCCTGGGTGACAGAGTGAGACTCTGTCTCAAAAAAAAAAAAAAAAAGATTCCTAACCTCTCCAATTGCTCCTTTGCTCCTATGGATGACATTACTATTATAAAACCCGATATTGGCCAGCATGGTGGCTCACGACTGTAATCCCAACGCTTTGAGAGGGTAGGGTGAGTGGAGCACATGGGCCCAGGAGTTCGAGACCAGCTTGGGCAATATGGTGAAACCCTGTTTTTACTAAAAAAAAAAAAAAAAAAGATGTAGCTGGGCGTGGTGGCACACATCTGTAGTCCCAGATACTTGGGAGGCAGAGCAGGGAGGATCTCCTAAGCCCAGGGAGGCTGAGGCTGCAGTGAGCCATGATCACACACTGTACTCCAGCCTGGGTGATAGAGTGACAGCCTGTCTCAAAAAAAAAAAAATCCTGAGATTGGTATGAGATATTTTTTCAGATCCTGCATTCTGAGGCACCAGCTGGTGCCACCCAGATCAGTAAACTGGCTCAACTAGTTCTGGATGCCACCCAGGAATGGAAGACAGCTTCAACCCCCTATGATTTCATCCCCAACCCAACCATCAGCATTCCCCACTCCCTAGCCCCCTGCCCGCCAAATTATCCTTAAAAAACCCTAGTCTCTGAATTTTGGGGGAGACTGATTTGAGTAATAAACTCTAGTCTCTCATGTAGCCACCTCTACATTCATTAAACTCTTTCTCTATTGGGAAAACCTGCTGTTTGCAGTGCATCAGCTTTTCTGGGTAGCGGGCAAGATGAACTCTTCAGGCAGTTCACTGTTCTTGAGCTGGGCGCTGAATACACAGGTGTGTTCAGTTAGTACACTGACCTGCATACTTGGTTGATTTGTTTTCTTTTTCTTCTTCTTTTTTTTTTTTTTTTTTTTGAGATGGATTCTCATTCTATCGCCCAGGTTGGAGTGCAATGGCGCAATCTCAGCTCACTGCAACCTCCGCCTCCCAGGTTCAAGCTATTATCCTGCTTCGGGCTCCTGAGTAGCTGGGGGCTACAGGTGCGCACCACCACACCTGACTAATTTTTGTATTGTTAGTAGACGAGGTTTCACCATGTTGGCCAGGATGGTCTCAAACTCCTGACCTCAGGTGATCCACCTGCCTCAGCCTCTCAGAGTGATGGGATTACAGGCATGAGCCACCGAGCCTGGCCTGTTTGTTTTCTTGAGACAGAGTCTCACTCTGTCACCCAGGCTGGAGTGCAGTGGCACCATCTCGGATCACTGCAACCTCCATCTCCCGGGTTCAACTGATTCTCCTGTCTTAGCCTCCTGAGTAGCTTGATTACAGGTGTGTGCCACCACACCCGGCTAATTTTTGTATTTTTAGTAAATACAGGGTTTCACCATGTTGGCCAGAAGTGATCTTCCCCCTGCCCCACCGCTGCCCCCCCTCCCAAAGTGCTGGGATCACACGCATGAGCCACCACGCCTGGCTGAGCTGCATACTTTTGATGGTGTGCTTTTCTGTGGCATATTAAGACAAATGAAAACCTTTAGGCCGGACGTGGTGGCTCATGACTGTAATCCCAGCACTTTGGGAGGCCGAGGTAGGCAGATCACAAGGTCAGGAGATTGAGACCATCCTGGCTAACACGGTGAAACCCTGTCTCTACTAAAAATACAAAAAAAATTAGCCGAGTGTGGTGGCGGACGCCTGTAGTCCCAGCTACTGGGGAGGCTGAGGCAAGAGAATGGCGTGAACCCGGGAGGTGGAGCTTGCAGTGAGCCAGCCTGGGTGGCAGAGCGAGACTCCGTCTCAATAAAAAAAAAACCTTTAAGGTCAGGCACAGTGGCTCATGCCTATAATCCCAGCACTTTGGGAGGCCAAGGCGGGTGTATCACATGAGCTCAGGAGTTCAAGACCAGCCTGGCCAACACAGCAAAACCCTGTCTACTAAAAATACAAAAAAGTTAGTCAGGCATGGTGGTGCATGCCTGTAGTCTCAGCTACTTGGGAGGCTGAGGCAGGAAAATGGCTTGAACCCAGGAGGCAGAGGTTGGTTGCAGCGAGCCGAGATCACACCACTGCACTCTAGCCTGGCAAGAGAGGGAGACTGTCTCAAAAAAAACCTTTAAAATGGTATTAAAACATTTGATTATATATATATATGTGTGTGTGTGTGTGTGTGTATATATATATATATAAAACTATAAATATATAAATGTATTTTTATATATACAAATGTTCATTAGGTATTATTTTCCCATAGATTCATGAATGAATCTGGAAGGGAAAACTCCCCATCTTTTATTGTTGCCTATTTTTTTTTTCTTTTACTTTTTGTTTTCTTTGAGACAGGGTCTCACTCTGTTGCCCAGGCTGGTTGCAGCAGCGTGATCACAGCTCACCACAGCCTCAACTGCCTAGGCTCAAATGATCCTCCCACCTCAGCCTTCCGAGTAGCTGGAACTACAGGCATGCGCCACCATGCCGGGCTAATTTTTTTTATTTTTAGTAGAGACAAGGTATCCCTATGTTGCCCAGGCTGGTCTCGAACTCCTGAGCTCAGTCAATCCTCCTGCCTCCCCCTCCCAAAATGCATTGCGTATTCTTTCTTCCTAGAGATTGGGAACAATACATTCATTTACTTTCCTTTTTTTTTTTTTTTTGAGACGGAGTCTCACTCTCTTGCCCAGGCTGGAGTGCAGTGGCGCGATCTCGGCTCATTGCAAGCTCCGTCTCCCGGGTTCATGCCATTCTCCTGCCTCAGCCTCGGGAGTAGCTGGGACTACAGGTGCCCGCCACCATGCCTGGCTAATTTTTTGTATTTTTAGTAGAGATGGGGTTTCACCGTGTTAGCCAGGATGGTCTCGATCTCCTGACCTCATGATCCGCCCACCTTGGCCTCCCAAATTGCTGGGATTACAGGCGTGAGCCACCGCACCGGGCAATACATCTACTTTCTAATTTGTTACCTTATTACCAAGCCACCAAGCCTGCAGCTCTGTCTCCCTTCTGATAGAGCAACGTTTCTTTTTTTGTTTTGAGACGGAGTTTTGCTCTTGTTGCCCAGGCTGGAGTGCAATAGCGTGATCGCAGCTCACTGCAACCTCCACCTTCTGGGTTTAAGCGATTCTCCTGCCTCAGCCTCCCTAACATCTGGGATTACAGGCACGAGCCACCACGCCCACTAATTTTGTATTTTTAGTAGAGACAGGATTTCGCCATGTTGGCCAGGCTGGTTTCGAACTCCTGACCTCAGGTGATCCACCCGCCTCAGCCTCCCAAAGTGTTGGGATTACAGGCGTGAGCCACCATGTCCGGCCACTTGTAGATACTTTAAAAAACAAGTAGGCTGGCCACGGTGGCTCACGCTTATAATCTCAGCACTTCGGGAGGCCAAAGTGGGAGGATTGCTTAAGCCCAGGAGTTTGAGACCAGCCTGGGCAACTTAGTGAAACCCTGTCTCTACAAAAAATGTAAAAATGAACAGGTTTTGTGGCCTGCACCTGTAGTCCCAACTACTTGGGAGGATCGTTTGAGCACAGGAAGTTGAGGCTGCACTCTAGCCTGGGGCTGTACTCTAGCCTAGGCAACAGAGCAGAGCAAGGCCCTGTCTCAAAAACAAACAAACAAACAAACAAAAAACCCCCAAAAAACCCCAAAACCTAAAATATAACCTAAGGCTCTTGTCTTCTAGTCAAGACTTCTTTCTCTCCTCTACCACCTTGGCAGCTAGTGATTTCCTTTAATCCCATTACTGGTGGGGAAACTGAGGTCAGAATTCCAGGGTAGAGGCTCTTGGGCCCAGGCATTCGCCAGGATATGGAGCAAACCAGGGTGTCTGCTACAACGTGAGCTCCCCGAAGGCAGGGGCACTGTGTCCCAGCTCCTGGAACAGAGGCCAGCAAATTGTAGGTACTTAGGAAGTATATGCTGAGTGAATAAGTGAATGAAGGCTCACCATCCCTAGAAGAAGAAAGACCACTGCTGGAGGGAAGGGGAAAAAAGCTGTAAGTTTCAAACAGGGAAATGGATCTCATTTCCAGCCTTTGGCAGAGAGTGGTACAGCTGGGTGCTATGAGAACCACATCACTTTTAATCCACATGGGGCTCAGGCAGGAAAGGATCAAAACCCAATTTGAGAACTTGAGAGTCGCCCTGGGGCTCTGTGGTTTGGGAACAGTAGGGTCAATCTGAAGGCTGCAATGTGTCACTATTTCCATTACACACTTTCCAGGGTCCCCACTTGGCTGGTAAACTCAGAGCAGATTCTTCTGTCTTGAAAGATGGAAAGAGGCCCAGAGAGGTAAATTTTTTTTTTTTTTTGAGATGGAGTCTCACTGTGTCACCCAGTCTGGAGTGCAATGGTGGATCTCGGCTCACTGCAACCTCTGCCTCCTGGGTTCAAGCGATTCTCCTGCCTCAGACTCCTGAGTAGCTGGGATTACAGGCGCACACTGCCACGCTTGGCTAATTTTTTGTATTTTTAGTAGAGATGGGGTTTCACTGTTCTCCAGGCTGGTCTCGAACTCCTGAGCTCAGGCAATCCACCCGCCTCAGCTTCCCAAAGTGCTAGGATAACAGGCGCTCATGAGCCACTGAGCCCGGCCCAGAAAAAGTTTTGAGAATGCTGCTTGTTGGGAACAGGGGAGTCCTGCCTGCCCCAGACTGGCTGGATAGTAAGAACTGTTAAAGAAGTTATTGATTAGTCTTGCCAGGCGCGGTGCCTCATGCCTGTAATCCCAGCACTCTGGGAGGCGGAGGTTGGTGGATCACGAGGTCAGGAGTTCGAGACCAGTCTGTCCAATATAGTGAAACCCCATCTCTGCTAAAAATTGAAAAAAATTAGCTGGGTGTGGTGGTATGCACCTGTAATCCCAGCTACTTGGAAGGCTGAAGCAGGAGAATCACGTGAACCCAGGAGGCGGAGGTTGCAGTGAGCTGAGATCACGCCACTGCACTCCCGCCTGGGTGACAGTGTGAGACTCTATCTCAAAAAAAAAAAAAAAAAAAAAAGAGAGAGAAGTTATTGATTACTCCTGCTAATGGGAGAGAGGTATTAGTGGGAAACACCACCCTCCCTCTCCACTAATCCCAGCAGTTTCAGTTAACCTGTGGGACACATTATACTGCTTCTCCCTGCCCCTGCCCACAGGGATGTTGACTGAACCAGATTTTTTTGTTGTCAAAAAAGTTCTTTTGGCCAGGTGTGGTGGCTCATGCCTGTAATCCCAGCACTTTGGGAGGCCAAGCCGGGTGGATCACCTGAGATCAGGAGTTCAAGACCACACTGGCCAACATGGTGACCGTCTCTACCCAAAAAGACAAAAACTAGCTGGGTAGTCCCAGCTACTCGGGAGGCTGAGGCAGGAGAATTGCTTGAAGCCGGGAGGTGGAGGTTGCAGTGAGCACCACTGCACTCCAGCCTGGGCGACAGAGTGAGACTCTGTCTCAGAAAAAAAAAAAAATTAAATTAAAAAATATGTGAAGTCTTCTCAGAAAGATTATTGGATACCAAAGGTACTTTCTGGCTTCAGGCCTGTGGCCCTTGGGGCTGTCCTTGGACAAATGCTAGGAGGTCCTTGGAACTCAATGCCTGTTTATAAAAGGGTGGGGGGTGGGGGGTGGGGGTGTTACAGACAGCCTCCACCAGGAAGCGGCCTCAGCCTAGCCATATTATCTAGAAACTTCCACTGCCTGTTCCTGTTACTCCACTCCTTACCCTTCAAGTGCCCCAGACACAACTATATCCCCTAATGTTTTCTCCCCTCTGATTCTCCCAGCCTTTCAACCCCATTTCTTCCCATTCCAACCCCAACTAGGAGCATCCTCTGTCCCCTAGTCTATTCTCCATCATGCCCTCACTTACAGCTCCCATTAGCTCAAGGCAAAAGCTGCTTGTCCCTCCCCTCCCAGTCACTCGCTCCCTTGGGCTATAAATAGCATAGCTGTGCCTTAGATCGTGTTGAGAGCTTTAAGACTTAGTCCCCCTTCCCCCCATCCCTTCCCCTTTAACACAACAGGGAGAACAAGCCTAAAGCTTCCAGTTAGGGTGGGCAAGCCCAAGAAGGAGGGGGTCCGGGGGAAGGGAATGAGAAAAGCTGTGCTGAATTCGGAACCACACAGAATATGGTAACTTTGCCATCTGTTGTCAGGGACTCTCCGCTTTTCCCCCAGCCTGCTACCCATTCCCTGCCACTTGCTCCTGGAGGAAGAGGAGCAGCAGGAGTTAGCAGAATTCTAACAATTCTCTTTTAACCCTTGCGATCATCCTATGGGCAGGTGCTATCTTGATTTTACCAATGAAGCCAAAGACTCTAAGAGATTAAATGGCATAACCCAATATTTAGAGTGGTTGGTCTGTGGGCTAACTGATCCCACGTCTGACTTTTGCCTATGCTAAGTCTGTCCGCATCATTGATTTAGGCCCCTCTAAATCAGAATTTCTATTGATGTGACCTGATTTGGAAGAAAAAGAGGTCTCCTAAACAAATTACTAATGTAGCAATGCATAAATGGAAAACATTAAAGACTCGGCATGTTCACAAAAATGATGCTATCATAATTTTATCTTATCTGTTTACTAAAGCAGGACTCTACAAAAATCTGTTCCTTGAAGTTTTTTTTAGTTACTGTATGTTCTCAGAAGTTTTTGAAATACAAAGCAATTTTACTTCTTCTATTTCAAGATTTGCCCTCCACTTTACATTCTCTCAAGTTAGTCCTGAGTAGTGAGTTAGAAGTCTGGTCTTTTTTCTGTCACTTACTGTTGGGCAAAACGCTTAATGGAGCCCCAGTTTTTTGCCTGTGAAGTGCGGATAATAATAGCACCTACCTCATTGCTATCGTGAGAATTAATCTACACAAAGGAGGCCGGGCATGGTGGCTCACGCCTATATTCCCAGCACTTTGGGAGGCCGAGGTGGGTGGATCACTTTGAGGCCAGGAGTTCGACACCAGCCTAGCCAACAGGGTGAAACCCCATCTTTACTAAAAATACAAAAATTAGCCAGGCGTGGTGGCATGTGCCTGTAATCCCAGCTACTCAGGAAGCTGAGGCTGGAGGATCCCTTGAGCCCAAGAGTTCAAGGCTGCAGTGTGCTTTGATTACCACCACACTCCAGCCTGGGTGACAGAGTGAGACTCTGTCTCAAAACAAAACAAAACAAAAACAAAGCAATTAGCACACTGCTTGGCCCATAGAAGGTGCTCAGTAAATCACAGCAATTATTATTATTTCTCAGCTGTGGGAATTATTATTATTCCCACAGCTGAGATGCTGTGGGAACATCACCATCATTTCAGTAGGGAGAAGCTGAACTTCACTATCCGTGGTTTGGCTCCTGTTCTTCAAAGGACTTGGAGTTGATCCTGTTTCCTGCCCTGTCTTATCCAGACATTTTCATCCCCCTTTTTCTGGCCTAGACCAGTAAGGGAATATACCATCCATCTCCTGAGAATTCAGGCCACTGCTGGAACCTGGAGAGGCAGCAAAGGAGGGTGTGTGTGAAAGGCTGGGAGGAGAGTTCCCATGGACACTGGGGACATGTGAAGGCCCTGGGGAGTTGCTGTGACCCTGGGTCTCTGCCTAGAGCAGTGAATGCTGGGGAGAAAAAAGGACATCATCTGCCAAACAAATTTCCAGTGCTGCAGAGCCCCTTTAGGATAAACACACAGGGCTGAGTAATCTAGGGAAGAAACAAAGGCCTGGGATAGAGTGGGATCTCCCTAGCACACCCTATCTTTTTCCATTTGCTTAGCACATACTTTTTCTTCTCCTAAACAAGGGTGCCAGGATATACTAGCATTCCTAAGCTTCAGTATTCATCTGGAAAGGGCTTCCGTTTAACCAGCCCCCTGGAGGTTAGTATTGCAGTTAGGAGTGCAAACACTTGAGCCAGCCTGACCTGGGTTCAGATGACAAAACTGCCATGTACTAGCTGTGTATCCTCAGGTAAGTCATTAAGCCTCTCTGAAGCTCCATTCCTTTGTGAACAAACTGCTACTTACCATATAGAATAGCTGAGAGTTTTGAAATATGCTGAGTACAGGGCTGGGCACAGTGGCTTATGCCTGTAATCCCAGCACTTTGGGAGGCCGAGGTGGGCGGATCACCTGAGGTCAGGAGTTGGAGACCAGCCTGGCCAACATGATGAAACCCCATCTCTACTAAAAACACAAAAATTAGCTGGGCATGGTGGCAGGCGCCTGTAATCCCAGCTACTCGGGAGGCTGAAGCAGGACAATCACTTGAACCCGGGAGGCAGAGATTGCAGTGAGCTGAGATCATGCCATTGCACTCCAGCCTGGGCAACAAGAGTGAAACTCCGTCTCAAAAAAAAAAAAAAAAAGAAAGAAATATACTGAGTACAGAAGAGCCCTAATCCTGATCACTGTCATCCCTGCAACCTGAGTGAGCATCACCCCATAGGTAGTATAAAGAGTTCTGGAAGCTGGGCCCTGTAGCTTCCACCTTTAATCCCAGTACTTTGGGAGGCCAGTTCTGAGACCAGCCAGGGTAACATGGTAAAACTGTCTCTACCAAAAATACAAAAATGAGCCAAGTGTGGTGGTATGTGCCCGTGGTCCCAGCTATTTAGGAGGCTGAGATGGGAGGGTTGCTTGAGCCTGGGAGTATGAGGCTGCAGTGAGCCAAGATCACACAGCCTGGGTGACAGAGGGAGACCCCATCTCAAAAACAAAACAAAACAAAAAACCCCAAAAACTAGCTGGGTGTGGTGGCTCATGCTTGTAATCCCAGCACTTTGGGAGGCTGAGCCGGGTGGATCACAAGGTCAGGATTTCGAGACCAGCCCGGCCAACATGGTGAAACCCCGCCTCTACTAAAAATAAAAAAATTAGCTGGGTATGGTGGCACATGCCTGTAATCCCAGCTACTCGGGAGGCTGAGGCAGGAGAATCACTTGAACCTGGGAGCGGAGGTTACAGTGAGCCGAGATCGTGCCACTGCACTCCAGCCTAGGTGACAGAGCAAGACTCCATCTCGGAAAAAAAAAAAAATCCCAAACCAAAAGACAGCCTAGAGAGTCTGTCTCTCACAACTAGGGTATTTTATTTACATCCCACATTGTTCATAAGAGTATCCGAGGGAGTGTAACTTGGGGGACCCAGGCTTTCTACTCATCCTTGTTCCTGTATCTCCATCTCCGTTCTCCTCATCAAGCCTGTCTCTGATCCAGCCACTTAATTCCATGGGAATTAAAAGACTGAATCTAGTTAGGGGCTCCCCTCCATTTGGTCTTTCCTTACTTTCCAGTGCCTGGAGCTTTGGCTTGGGACTCAGCAGACTGGGGGTTAAGACCGATCCCCTGTCCTTTCCCCTCCCCTCTCCATCCCTGACTTCAAAGTTTTCATAAAGCCCAAGTCACTGCTTCCCTGACCCCATAGTGGCAGCTCCATCTCAGCTTTTGGTCGGTTCAAAACAGCAGACGCTGAGCCCTGGCCTGGCCGCCCGTTCTCCTCGTTCTAGCCATCTCTTAGGGTAAGCACCAGCATGCCAACGACCTGGGGGGCCACCAGTCCTTGCTCCTCCAGGAGAGGAGGGCTAACTAGGATAGAAGCTGACTCAAGGGCAGGCACAGTGGTTCATGCCTGTAATCCCAGAACTTTGGGAGGCTGAGGTGGGCAGATCGCCTGAGACCAGGAGTTCAAGATTGGCTGGGCGACATGGCAAAACTGTCTCTACAAAAAATACAAAAATTAGCTGAGCGTGGTAGCATGCACCTGTAGTCCCAGCTACTTGAGAGGCTGAGGTGGAAGGACTGCTTGAGTCTGGAGGGTCAAGCTTGCAGGGATTGACACTGCACTCCAGCCTGAGTGACAAAGTGAGACCCTGCCTAAAAAAAAAAAAAAAGAAGAAAAAGAAAAGAGAGTTTGCCGTATGGTTAGGCTTAGAAGGTATCCCATTGGACAGGGCACGGTGGCTCATACCTGTAATCCCTGCACTTTGGGAAGCCGAGGTGGGCGGATCAAGAGGTCAGGAGTTCAAGACCAGCCTGGCTATCAGGGTAAGACCCCGTCTCTACTAAAAAAATACAAAAAATTAGCTGGGCATGGTACACACCTGTAATCCCAGCTACTTGGGAGGCTGAGGCAGAATTGCTTCAACCAGGACCTGGGAGGCGGAGGTTGCAGTGAGCCGAGATGGCACCACTGCACTCCAGCCTGGGCTACAGAGCGAAACTCCGTCTCAAAAAAACAAAAAAGGGCCGGGCGCGGTGGCTCACGCCTGTAATCCCAGCACTTTGGGAGGCCGAGGCAGGTGGATCATGAGGTCAGGAGATCGAGACCATCCTGGCTAACAAGGTGAAACCCCGTCTCTACTAAAAATACAAAAAATTAGCCGGGCGCGGTGGCGGGCGCCTGTAGTCCCAGCTACTCGGGAGGCTGAGGCAGGAGAATGGCGTGAACCCGGGAAGCGGAGCTTGCAGTGAGCCGAGATTGCGCCACTGCAGTCCGCAGTCCGGCCTGGGCGACAGAGCGAGACTCCGTCTCAAAAAGAAGGCATCCCATTGGCAGAACCCTTGTTTCCAGCCCAGGGATGAAGGTAGCCAGTTGGTAATTGTGAAGAACCTGCCTGGAAAGAGATGGACCTGGAAAAACAGGAGCAGCTCAGGAACCAGAATGTGTTCCTTAGTACTCATGTGCAAAATATATGCTAAATTACATGCAAATCAATGTCCAATCATTATAATCTCTGGCAATTTGGTAACTAATGCTGTTACACTATCTGGTCTAGGACATTTCTGGCTCCCTGGGGCCAGATCCTGCTCTGTAGCTCCCACAGGAGAAACCATCACAGACCAAAGGCCAGCGGGGGCCCCAGCACTCAAGGACTGTTTCTCCCACCACCATCTGTGGACTTTTCCAGCTGTTTTTCTTGGCCCAAGGATCACACCCATAGGGATGCAGATGGGGGAAGGGGAAGCTGAGAAAGCAGTGAAGACAGAATGAGCTGGGGAAGAGGCAGATGGTAGGAAATGGAGACGGAGAAATGGCACTAATGGCCCAGCCACCTGAGATGGGATACCTGGGAGGGACATCTTTTCAAGTAGAGGCTGTGTTGGGGCATGGTGAGAGAGGGTCTTAGCAGGTAACCTTCCTTTCCTCTCCAGACTGAGGAATCAGAGTTCTGATTGTGGAGTGCCTCTCTCTAGGACGGGGCTGCAGCATAGGAGTCTCAGCTGCTTACATCCAGGTCCAGGATTATGTCTGCTAACAGACGCTGGTGGGTACCACCTGACGACGAAGACTGTGTGTCTGAGAAGCTCCTGAGGAAGACTCGGGAATCTCCACTGGTGCCTATAGGTAAGTGAAGAAAGGAATGGGGTGCCGAGTAGGAGGCCTTCTCTGTCATGTCTCCTGGTACCCTCCAAAGAGAATGAAGCAGAGGTCAGAAAACTCAAGTGGTCCTACTCACGGAACAAGGGAAACAACAGCAAAGGTGCCAAGGGGCAAACCCTTACAATGAAATCAGGACGTCTGGATGGGTGGAGGTGGCAGCCAACTGAGTACATGGGATATGAGGAACCTGGAGCACCAACACCAAAGTGGGAAGGGTCAGAAGAACACCTTGGGGTCCCCCAGGGCTTCCTTCCTTATGGCCCTGGTAGAGTAGGAAAACAGCTGTACCAGGAGGTGGGAGCCAGCAGTGTGGCTCAAGGGCCCAGGGCGGAGCAAATTGGTGGGGAGGGGCTGTGTCGTGGTGATCAGCTATTTGTATCTGGGGGAGGGGCATCACTGGTGGTGATCAGCTATTTGTATATGGGGGAGGGGTGTCACGGGAGGGAGGCAGCCACTTTGAAAATGCCATTGAAGGGCAACAACTCAATATATATATATATATTTTTGAGATGGAGTTTCACTCGTTGCCCAGGCTGGAGTGCAATGGCACAGTCTCGGTTCACCACAACCCCTGCCTCCTGGGTTCAAGTGGTTCTCCTGCATCAGCCTCCTGAGTAGTTGGGATTATAGGCATGCACCACCACGCCCGGCTAATTTTGTACTTTTAGTAGAGACTGGGTTTCTCCATTTTGGTCAGGCTGGTCTCAAACTCCCAACTTCAGGTGATCCACCTGCCTCAGTCTCCCAAAAGTGCTGGGATTACAGGCGTGAGCCACCATGCCCCGGCAACAACTCAATATTCTAATGATCCCCCTAGGTCCCCCGCAACGCCCACCCCCCGCCACCAGATGCTGCATAAAACCAGCTGTTTATCCAGATGCCCAGCCTGCCTGGTAAGGTATCTCTCATCAGGGGAGTGCTGTGCATTGTGGCTGTGGCCCAGGGGCTGTGTTCTCTGCCCACAGGCTTAGGAGGCTGCTTGGTGGTAGCAGCATACAGGATTTACCGGCTGAGGTCTCGTGGTTCCACCAAGATGTCCATACACCTGATTCACACCCGAGTGGCAGCGCAGGCCTGTGCAGTGGGTGCAATCATGCTAGGTGAGTAGCTTTGTGGGGTCGCAGAATGAGGGCAAAACCGATTATGCAGTTTGTAGGTCTTTAAGTCCCAACAATTAAAAGGACTGTGCTTGGCTGGGCGCGGTGGTTCACGCCTGTAATCTCAACACTTTGGGAGGCCAAGGCGGGCAGATCATGAGGTCTGGAGAGAGAGACCATCCTGGCCAACATGGTGAAACCCCATATCTACTAAAAATACAAAAATTAGCTGGGCGTGGCGGCAGGTGCCTTTAGTCCCAGCTACTCTGGAGGCTTCGGCAGGAGAATTGCTTGAACCTGGGAGGCGGAGGCTACAGTGGGCTGAGATCCGCCACTGCACTCCAGCCCGGGTGACAGAGTGAGACTCTGTCTCAAAAAAAAAAAAAAAAAAAAAAAAGGACTGTGAATTAAGTTCTCCTGTTCTGGGCTCCACATCACATGCTTGGTGAAGCCCCTATACTGAGCCATCTTCCCTGTTTAGGCTCCTGTCCCAGGCCTGTGGGGACAGTGTCTCATGACAGTTTGCCCTAGGGGTGAGAAAAATCATGCAACAGAACAGATGTTGAATTTCTCTTCCTCTTGAGATTAAAAAGCAGACAGCCACTTGCTAACTGTGTGACAGTGGACAAATCTTTCTCACTGAGCCTCAGTTTCCTGATGTGTAACATGACAATAACCACCCCTGGCCTGCCTACCTTGCAGGCTGCTGTGAGGTTTCTCAGATACACAATACATGTGAAAGTGTTTCGTGAACTGTCAGATAAGTGGTTTCCCCAGGTTGTGTGGTCAGATGCTTGAAGCAGCTGTTGGGACCTGGGGCAGAAAGATGAGCGGGAAGCTGGACTCTCAAGGGAGCAGCTAGAGGTGAACCCCTAGGACGCCTGAGAGCCAGAGGACGGGTGAAGGGTTTGATGCCAAGGGGCATTATTTCTTTTCTCTCACACAGGTGCTGTGTACACAATGTACAGCGATTACGTCAAGAGGATGGCACAGGATGCTGGAGAGAAGTAGGACTCCTATAGGAGCCGGGGCTGTCCAACTCCCCTAACTCAATCCCTGGTACATTCCTAATAAAGCAGTTTTGAGGAAAATCAACAGACTCTTTTTCACTGGGGGAGAACAGAGTAAGGGACTGGTGGTAGCTGGGGAGAGGACTTGGAGTAAATGGCTGGAAATCAAAGTGCTCTGGCCCCCTACTCCAGGGCAAGGAAGATTCTTAGGGGAGGCAGCAGTTTCCTGAGGAGGTGGTGGGGTAGACTTCTGATCGCAGGAACCCAACAACTCCCAAGCCATCTTAGGTTCCACCCAGAAGCAGCATGGAGTGGGAGCAAGGGGGCAATAATGGGGCCTTGGCGCTCATGGGAACACTGAATTAAAAGGCAGGCGGCTTCCCTGGGGACCCAGGCAGGAAGGAGGCTGCAGCTGGAAGCAGAGGCAGTGAAGCCTCTTGGGAGATGACATATATTCAGAATGTAAGCACCAGACGGGGCAGGGGAGACGAGGATGAAAGGAGCAGAGCAAGACAGAGGTCAGAATGTTCTGTTCACTTGCAAACCATGGCTAAGGTCAAACTTGTAGAAAATAAAATTCCATGTAAATCCCAAAGATAGGGCCCCTTGGGGTTTCATCCCCTTCTCTTTCTGTGAGCCCAAGCTCCTCTCTTTTCCTTGGGAATGGAGCCCGGCAGAGGCCACAGAAGGAAGCAGGAGGCCAAATGCTCCTCTCTCACTGGGGCTCTGGGTTGGAGGTTGGTGAGTTGTTCAAGATGGCAACAGCAGCTTCCAGACACTCTCTGACAACACGAAGGCCACGTCATATGAGGTCTCAGCTTCAAGTACAGGAGTTGCAGCCCACTGTAGGGAGCAGGAGCTCCCAGGAGTCCACGCACTCACATGGGGTAATTGAGCACAACATCCTGTTTGGCAAGTTCCAGCAACATAGGATCATCGAAGAATTTGCTGATGCTCACATCTTCACTGAGGCCCTGCAGGGAATGGGGCAAATATAAGAAAGCCCGAGGTGGTCGCAGACTAAGCAAGGAGACTATCCAAGACCTGTGTTCAGTGGGGAGGCTAGTGGTGGCTGGAATGTAGGTGGTGGTGTTTCAGGAGCCCTGCCTTTAGGGTACTATCACATGGGAGGATAAGGCTCTCCTTTCCCAACGAGACTGGGGCCCAGGTTTGGTTGCCTAAGGAGTATACAGATCATATCTCTACATTGGAAAAGTGTCCCTTAGGAAAAGGGGCCAAAAGAAAGAGAGAGAGATCCTGCTTCTGAGAGTCCTGGGGGGTTGAGGGATGGCAACAGGCCCAAGGGAGACATACCTTCCTACGGCGGGTTTTGATCATGAATTCCCGGGCCAGGTGAGGAGCTGGCTGTGGCTCCAAGGGGCGGATGACAATGCTCTTGTCCAGGGGATCACCAGGCACAATCTAAAAGGCAAAGGAATTTCAGATGGCCCAGGCAGAATTCCCAGAAGATTCAGGCCCAGAAGCAGGACTCTTCTTATTTATTTTATTCCTAAATTTATTACTTATTATTATTTTTTTGAGATGGAGTTTCGCTCTTGTCTCCCAGGCTGGAGTACAATGGCATGATCTCGGCTCAATGCAACCTCCGCCTCCCGGGTTCAAGCGATTCTCCTACCTCAGCCTCCCAAGTAGCTGGGATTACAGGCATGCACCACCACGCCTAGCTAATTTTATATTTTTAGTACAGATGGGGTTTCTGCATGTTGGTCAAGCTGGTCTCGAACTCCTGACCTCAGGTGACCTGCCCGCCTCAGCCTCCCAAAGTGCTGGGATTACAGGTGTGAACCACCATAGCCGGCCCTATTATTTCTTTTTTTTTTTTTAAACTGAGAGACACAGATTCAAGTTGCCCTGAATATATGCTCCCCAGAGGAGGACTCTTCTCCAGGATGCTGTACACCTCACTTAGGGCTTGGAGAGGGATCAGGACAGAAGGGGATGAGGCTTGCAGAGGTGGGAAGCCAAGTCCGCCAGCCTGCATTGCTTTCTCACCTGCCAGTGGTGGAAGACAGACAGAGAAAAGGCTTGTCCCTGGGTGTGAGTCCGGAGATCAGTCTCAAAGCCAAAAGAGTCGATGGCCGGGATAAAAGCTTTGATGGTGTACAGAGGGGAGCCTGGGATGGGTGCATCCTGAGTCACGTGCCCCCTGAGACAGAAAAACAAAGGCTGAGCCTCTAGTCAAACATAGGCCAAAAGCCAAGAAGCAATCCAGCATTTGCTGTCCCCCAAATGCATTCCAGCCCAGAGTTACCATCAAAGAAAGAGTAACCAAGAATGTTCTACAAAAAGCAGAAAAGGCTCAGGGCTCTCAGTATAATTCCCTGTGGAAGTCAAAGTGGCAGCAACCTCTGGGCAGAGGACAGGAGTGGGATGGTGAAGGGACAAGGGCCCAAAGACATTCCCATCACTGACTTGCCTCAGCACTGCCTCCAACAGCTCTGTGAGGAGGGGATCCCAAAAGAAATGTCAATTTTTTTTTTTTGAGACAGAGCCTTGCTCTGTCGCCCAGGCTGGAATGCAGTGGCGCCATCTCGGCTCACTGCAAGCTCCGCCTCCTGGGTTCACGCCATTCTCCTGACTCAGCCTCCCAAGTAGCTGGGACTACAGGCACCCGCCACCACGCCCAGCTAATTTTTTGTATTTTTAGTAGAGACGGGGTTTCACTGTGTTAGCCAGGATGGAGAAATGTCAAATTTTAATCTGCAGAAAAGCGGGGGCTTGCCTCCCTCCGCTCCTACTTCTTTCTGGAAAATCAGCTCTCGGGGTTTCCAGAGAGAGGAGGGTAGAGAAGGCCAACCTCTCTTCCCTGTAGGAGCCGAGGTGACTCTTGTTCTGCTCTTGCTCTCAGCACTCTCCCTAATACGCCTGGGGCCGCTCACCTGCGCCTGGCCAGGACGGTATAAACTGCAGAGACGCAATCTGCAGGGGCCTGGACCTCTACAAAGTAGTAAGGCTCCATCAGACGAGGAGTAGCCTGCAGCAGAGCAAGAAGAAAGGCCCCTCAGCTTGGGGAAGGCTGGGGGCCTATAGTCCCACTTGCTCCTTCACTTAGTCCCCTGTCCAGTGAAGCAGATGGTCCCCTACCGCCCCATTCTCTTACCATGAGGAAGGCAGAGTAGACGACTCTCCTGGCTGTGGGGATGATCTGGCCCCCGCCCCGGTGCAGGGGCTCCTGGGCAACCACCGCATCCAGGATCTTAAACTTGACATTCCGAATCACTGTAAAGGAGGTGGAGGGAGTGACTGGGGAGAGGTTCTGGGCCTGTCATGGGGCCATGGCAGAGTAGCAGTCTCCTGCAACACTGCAGCTGTCTTGCAGTCATGAAAGACATGGTACAGAAATCAAATGGGAGGTGGGCGTTCTAACTGAATAAGCAAGGCCCATGGCAGAGGTCAGAAGTTAAGCATATGTTCTTAGTGTTTGCTTCAGGCCATGCTCAGACTTAGAGCTTTCCTAGAAGTTTATTTCCTTCTTCTGCACATATTTACATTTTTGTGGATGTAGAATAAATTCCAGAATTGTACATTTGGTCCATGAAGCCCAATCAGGGTCTATAAACCATTCCAATCTCATCATCCTCTTGATATCTCTTCTCAAATACGTCCAACGCCAAACCCTTCTCAGAAATGAGGAGCAAATGACAGTTTAGAAATGACTTAAATTTCCATTTCCAGGCTACACCACCAGGATAAGGAAGGAAAAGGGAAGAAGCTGGCCCAGGACTTGGGATGGTCCTGTGTACCCCAAGCTGCTTCTCCTGCCGAATCCTAAAGATGGTGAGCCCATCCCACTCATATGCCTGGCTGCAAGGACCCTCGAGGACTGGGGTGGGGGAGTGCTGGTGGACTTACATTCATCACAGAGGGGGCCCTCCCTGGTTCCCCACTGGAAACCTTGAACGATGCTGTCCTTCACTGAACCAAGAAGAGCCTTGTCCACCTATAGAGAAACATGAGGCCTCCTTAGCAGTCGCCCTGGCAACGGCTGAAGCATTTAGAGGGAGAAGACAGATGTGCCTGTAAGGGGATACTGTCCTTCACCAGAGGACACAAGATACTTTTGGGAAAAGAACACTTTGTAGTTTCTTCCACTCCAGAGGTAAGAGACCGCCACCCAGTTCCCATCAGTTCTGCTGTACCTCAGAGGGCAGAGTATCATCCACCAGAATGTTGGGGCCAGTCGCATCAGGGCCAAAAGCCCAGATGGAACGGGCAGCCAGCAGATCCCAATCGTACTTGGTCTGGAAGAACTCTCCCAGCTTCTTCCTGGGGAAGGGAGGAGACAATGGAGCTGTCAGCCAGCTCTGTGATTGCTGGTCCTGGAGCCACAGACCCTCCCTTCCTGGAAGACAGTCACTTCATCCTACCCACTGTGCCCAGAACAAGAGCAAAGGCAAAGACATAAATGCTCCCCAGAAAGATGTGTGCTCTTAGAGACCCGGCAGTTAAACTGTGGCATCCCTGCCTCCTTTCGACCCTGGCGTCAGAGCCCTGTTCTCACCTGTTCCACGTAATCTGGACCACCTCATTCTCTATGTCCTCTGCCAGGCCCTTCTCAAGAGGCTCAGCAATCATGGTGATCTTGTTCCTGGTCAGAATGGAAATGGGTGGTAAGGACGGCTAACAGAACAGCAGAAGAGGCATTACTAAGAAAAGGGTAACAAGACGGACAGCTGAGGAAGTGACATCAGTGAAAGCCACAGGGGCCAAGCGTGGTGGTTCAGACCTGTAATCCCAGCACTTTGAGAGGCCAAGGCAGGAGGATCACTGAAACCCAGGAATTTGAGGCTGCAGTGAGCTATGGCTCACACCACTGCACTCCAGTCTGGGTGATACAGCAACATACTGCCTCTTAAAAACAAACAGCCAGGCGCGGTGGCTCACCCCTGTAATCCCGGCATTTTGGGAGGCCGAGGTGGGCGGATCACAAGGTCAGAAGATCGAGCCTACCCTGGCCAACATGGTGAAACCCCATCTCTACTAAAATACAAAAAATTAGCTGGGCGTGGTGGCGTGCGCTGGCACATGCCTGTAATCACAACTACTCAGGTTGAGGCAGGGGAATCACTTGAACCCAGAAGGCGGAGGTTGCAGTGAGCCGAGATTGTGCCACTGCACTCCAGCCTGGCGACCGTGCAAGACTCTGTCTCAAAAACAAAACAGAACAAAAAAAAACCCCAGACAAACAAACAAACAAACAAACAGAACCTGGGCAACAAAGCAAGAGACCCCATCTCTATAAAAAATTAGCCAGCCGGGTGCGATGGCTCATGCCTGTAATCCCAACACTTTGGGAGGCTGAGGCAGGCAGATCATGAGATCAGGAGTTCGAGACCAGCCTGGCCAACACAGTGAAACCCCATCTCTACTAAAAATACAAAAATTAGCTGGGTGTGGTGACACTCACTCCCTGTAGTCCTAGCTACTCGGGAGGCTGAGGCAGGGGAATTGCTTGGACCCGGGAGGCAGAGGTTCCAGTGAGCTGAGATCGAGCCACTGCACTCCAGCCTGGGCTACAGAGTGAGACTCTATGTCTCAAAAGAAAAAAAAAAAAAGAAAAACAAACCCAGGTGTGGTTAGCACACCTGTAGTCCCAGCTACTTGGGAGGCTAACTAAGGTAGGAGGATCGCTTGAGCTCGGAAGGTTGAGGCTGCAGTGACCCATGGTGGCACCACTGTACTCCAGCCTGGGTGACGAAGTGAGACCCTGTCTCAAAAAAAAAAAAAAAAAAAAAAAAGCCACAGTATCAGGGGCAAGGTGGAGCAAAAAGGGCAAAGGGCTCATCTTTCTTTCATTTCAATCTACTGGTCTTTATGAAAGTAAGGTTTAAGCTGGGCGTGGTGGCTCATGCCTGTAATCCCAGCATTTTGGGAGGCCGAGGCGGGCGGACTGCCTGAGGTCAGGGGTTCGAGACCAGCCTGGGCAACATGGCGAAACCCCACCTCTACTAAAAATACAAAAAATTAGCCAGGTGTGGTGGTGCGTGCATGTAATCCCTGCTACTGGGGAAGCTGAGGCACAAGAATTGCTTGAACCTGGGAGGCAGGGGCTACAGTGAGGCGAGATCGTGCCACTGTACTCCAGCCTGGGCGACAGAGCGAGACTGTCTTAAAAAAAAGAAAAAAAAAGTAAGGTTTAAGCTGGGCATGGTGGCTCACACCTGTAATCCCAACAATTTGGGAGGCCAAGATGGGAGGAACACTTGAGCCCAAAAGTCCAAGACCAGTCTGGACAACAAAAAATAAAAAAATTAACAGATGGCCTGGTGTGTGCCCATAGTCCTAGCTGCTTGGGAGGATTGCTTAAGCCCAGAAAGTTGAGGCTGCACTCCAGCCTGTGTCAAAAAAAAAAAAAACAAAAAAACAAAAAGTGAGTAAGATTTGGAGTAAACTTTTAAGATAGTCATTTTATAGAGACAAAGTGGCAGTTATGAAACTCCTCTTGGGAATACCCAAGGCGAATAATCCCATGTCATTGTGTTCAAAGGCAGAAGGGCTGAGAGGGCTGGAGTGAAACTCAAGTATTGTAAGCACCCCCTATTCTGAGCTGTAGAGGTCTCTATGTGCATAGTGCTCATGGTGGGGGTAGAGGTGGAAGATAAAGGAGAGAGAGTGTCCAGGAGGCTGCAGTCCCAGGGACACTGTGCTCCCAGCTTACTTCTTATTAGGCGTTTCAGCAAAGCACTTGAGGGAGGATGTTTCCACCACCGTCTCACAAAACGTGACAACTGGGTCAGCCACCTGGGAAACAGAAAATAAATTACTGAAGCGAGGTCTAATTTTGTTGGAAGGGCAACCATTTACCTAAGGGAATTCAGAAGCTCCCTTGACACTACCTCTGTGAAAACCCCAACTGCCTTAATCAGCACAAGTGATAAGTACAACAGCAGGTTAAAAGAGCTGTCCAAATCATCACCAAAAAGCCCAAGAAAACTTACTGTAGTAAAGAAATTAGATTCCTGAGCCAAGAGTAAGTGGGGTATCAAACTAGGGCCTTAATTCTAGTCTTCAAAGGTAGCTCTCAGCATCCATTCAGCCATCTACCACCATTCACTGAACAACCCCCATGGGTCTGACAGAGCTGGTGCTGAGACCCACTGGCGTGCACCCATGTCATTCTCAACCCACAGCATCTGAGTGAAGCTCTGCCCTGAAGCCCCAACATGGTCTGCTGCCCAGGAAACCCAGTGTTTTCTATGACACCAATCCTTCCTCCTTCCTAGATACATCAGTAGAGGAGTCTAAGAGGGGTATTGAGGGTCCTCCACAGGGCCTTGGAGAAAATACGACTCAACTAGGACAAGGAGGCCAAGCAACACATGGTTTGAGGGGCTACATCAAGGCTTGACAAAGAATCTGGGAGAGACAGTCCCCACCCTCTCCTTGAAACCACCCACTCTGAGACCTAATCACCACCCATGGGTTAATTGTTTAATTGTGCAATTATTTCCCTAACAAAGGACCAAGAATAACTTTGGCTTGGGAGCCTTTATTTTCTTTTTCCTTTTTTTTTTTTTTTTTTTGAGACAGAGTCTCGCCCTATCACCCAGGCTGGAGTGCAATGGTGCGATCTTGGCTCACTGCAACCTCTGCCACCCGGTTTCAAACAATTATCCTGTCTCAGCCTCCTGAGTAGCTGGGATTACAGGTGCCCGCCACCATGTCTGGCTAATTTTTGTATTTTTAGTAGAGACAGAGTTTCACCATGTTGGTCAGGCTGGTCTTGAACTCCTGACCTCAAGCAATCCAACCGCCTTGGACTTTCAAAGTGTTGGGGTTACAGGCGTGAGCCACCGTGCTCGGCCTGTTTTATTATTTTTCAATGCATTTATTTTTTGAGACAGGGTCTTGCTCTGTCACCCATGCTAGGGTGCAGTGGCATGATCGTAGCTCACTGCAGCCTCGAACTGCTGGGCTCAAGCAATCCTCCTGCTTCAGCCTGCGGAGTAGCTGGGACTATAGGTGCAAGCCACCACACCTGACTAATTTTTATTTTTTAGTTTTTTGAGACAGGGTATGACTCCATCTCAAAAAGGAGAGCAATGGCACAATGATTGCTCATTGCAGCCATGACCTCCTAGGCTCAGGTTGGAGAGCAATGGCACAATCACAGTTCATTGCAGCCTTGACAGTCTAGGTTCAGGTGATCCTCCCACCTAAGCCCCCCAGTAGCTGGACTACAGGTACATGCCACTGCACTGGGCTGGTTTGTAGAGACGAGGTTTCACTATGTTGCCCAGATTGGTCTCAAACTGGGCTCAAGCAATCCTCTCACCTCAGTCTCCCAAAGTGCTGCAATTACAGCAACGGACCACCATGCCCGGCCTGGCTATTTTTTTTATTTTAATTTTTGTAGAGGCAGTGTCTCACTTTGTTGCTCAGGTTGGTCTTGAATTCCTGGCTACAAGCAATCCTCCCACCTCGGCCTCCCAAAGTGCTGGGAGTGAGCCACCAAGCACGGCTGAGCCTTGATTTTAAACGTATGACACAGCAGAAGGGGGCAAACCAGTTCTCAAAAACCTTCCCATATAAGGAGCAACAGATCATGGTTTTCACAAACACATGTACTCTCTCTTCCCTTGGAGCTTCCCAGGAATTCAAGGATTTGGTCACTTGTGAAAAGTCTGGACCGTGAACCCAGCTCCCGGCAGATACTGCTGTACCTTGATGTCTATCTCTGAGTACATCTTCCGCAAATCATGCATCACACAGTCCAGGTAGAGCTCCCCAGTGCCCAGGATCACATGCTCGCCAGACTCCTCCACCTGAAACACAACAGGCAGTCACAGCCTGGATTCTCTTATGCCAGCAAAGGCACACACAAACAAAATCAAGGCCAGAGCAGACAAGAAGTTGCCTATCAGAAACAGCTACTACTTAGCATCTGTTCCAGCCTCTTCAAGAAGGTTCAGTGAGGAGCATCTGCCTATGAGTGGGTCCTCAAGACACCAGGACCACTCAGCATGGTGATACTAGGTGTGAAGTCAATGATTTAATTCCCATCTTAATGATTTAGGTCAAACTCTACCCTATACCCATGGACATAAGCTAGCCCTTTAGCCCTCCTGGCCTGCTACCTGGAAAGGTACACTGGCAGGCTCATAGTGTACAAGGATCAGAGTAACAACTCACTTTTCCTTCTCTTCTCGAGAAAATCAATTCAAAGTATACTCATTAAGAAATGTATTTTTGTCTAGATAAAGACATCTGCGGAACACAAATACGCACACACACACACACACACAACCTTGTCCTATACCCCCCATCACTGCCCCCTCCTACACAGGTCTTGTTTTAACACACACACATACACACACACACGTGTCTTGTCCTGCCTTGACATGACAGCCATAGGCTGGGCTTGCTCCTGACACAGCTTCCTGTAAGCAGCAGATCATGAACACCTGATGGATGGGAAGCGGTGTGCAGCTCTGCCCATTCAGCTGGGGATAGTGGGGCTTGGCGGCTGCTGCAGGCCATGGGCATACCTTGGTGGTGAGGGATGGATAGCTCTTGTTGACCTTGCGCAGGCCATCAAGCATCTTGGGCAGCTCTGAGGGGTTGACTGGCTCCACAGCAATCTTGATAACAGATGTGGTATTGAACTTCAAGGGTCGGAAAATCTGAGCCTGAGATCCAAAGCACAAAGGACTGAGGGCAACTGGCATGAGCAGGCACAGAAAGTGCAGAGGTATGAGAAGAGAAGAGGACTTGCTTAGGATCAGACTATGTATTCCCCAACCAGGAGCCTGGTGCTGAGTGGGGGTAACCTGAAGGGCCATTTCTTCCCAGGTATTCTGGCAGAACAAAGAGAGGAGGAAAATAATAAAAGGCACCCGTCCTAATTCCTCGCATCTGAACTGAGTACAGGGAGAATCCAGCAGGGTCATATCTAGAAGGCTAAGCCTGAAACCAGGACATGGCAATGACTGTGGATTAGTCCCGTTTGTGCTCATGTGTGTCCCTGGGACCATCTAGCTTAAGCCAACCCAGTTGGTCTCTTCAGAAACTCTACCTCCTCATTGCCTCGGGGTTCGGTTATGGTTGCTGTCTTCACAATTGGTTGATCAACACCTTCAATCAGAACCCAGTTGCCAGCAGGAACACGGTTCACCTCGATGTGGTACCTGAAGCAATGTCCAATAAGCAGCAGTGAAACTTAGGCAGAGCATTCCCTAATTTTTTTTTTTTTTTTTTTTTTGAGACAGGATCTCACTTTGTTACCAGGCTGGAGTGCAGTGGCACAATCTTGGCTCACTGCAGCCTCGAACTTCCAAGGTTCCAGTGATCCTTCTGCGTCAGCCCCCCAAGTAGCTGGGACTACAGGCACACACTAACATGCCCAACTAATTTTTGTATTTTTGTAGAGACGGGGTTTTTTCATGTTGTCTAGGCTGGTCTTGAACTCCTGAGCTCAAGCAATCCTCCTGCCTCAGCCTTCCAAAGTGCTAGGATTACAGGTGTGAGCCACCACATCCAGCCTATTCCACAAAAATTTACTGAGTACTTGCTGCGTGCCAAGAGCAGGGGTGAGCAAAACAGATACATTCTAGCAGGGGAGAGATACAGTAAACAATCATTATCCACACATGTATGTGGTTACAAACTGATGGGCATTATGAAAGAAAAGTACAAGGTATTTCTGTGAGGACATAAGAGGAAAATCTTATTCCAATTGCAGGCTCATGGTAAAAAGCTGCCCAAGGTGTCGACTGTAAGGGGCTAGCAAAAGCATCAAAGAAGGCCGGGTGTGGCGGCTCACGCTTATAATCCCAGTGCTTTGGGAGGCTGAGGTGGGTGGCTGGATCACCTGAGGTCAGGAGTTTGAGACCAGCCTGGCCAACATGGTGAAAACTATCTCTACTAAAAATACAAAAAATTAGCCAGACATGGTGGTGCACACCTATAACCCTGGCTACTTGGGAGGCTGAGGCAGGAGAATCGCTTGAACCCGGGAGGCAGAGGTTGCAGTGAGCCGCAATCACGCCATTGCACTCCAGCCTGGCTGACAGAGAGAAAAAAAAAAAAAAAAAAAGGCTGGGAGCGGTGGCTCACACCTATAATCCCAGCACTTTGGGAGGCTGAGGCAGGTGGATCATGAGGTCAGGAGATCGAGACCATTCTGGCTAATACGGTGAAACCTGTCTCTACTAAAAATACAAAAAAATTAGCTGGGCATGGTGGCGGGCGCCTGTAGTCCCAGCTACTTGGGAGGCTGAGGCAGCAGAATGGCATGAACCCAGGAGGTGGAGCTTGCAGTAAGCCGAGATCACAGGCACTGCACTCCAGGTTGGGCGACAGAGTGAGACTCCATCTCAAAAAAAAAAGCATCACAGAAAACTTCCACTTTCCCAGCTCTTCAATATTCCACCTTTTGGCATTTAGGGTGGATTTAACAAAAGGGACCACCATTGAGGCAGGGTAGCCACCTTAGGGAACACGAATGCTTTGGTTTAACTTGTCAACTGGGAAACCAAATTCATAAACTGACAAGTAGCCCAGAGGCCCAAGCTAAGTTTGACTGCAGATTGGGATGCTACAAGGGATCCAGCGAAGCCTTCTCTCTTGGTCAAAGAGTAGACAGTGGAGTTGGGGAACAATTTCTTTTGGGAAGAAACACAAAGATTATGACTTAAGGAACACAGGAGAGGAAATGAAAAGAGGATTAAGATGAGTAACAATGGAAATCCTCCTACAAAAGTTCATACAAGCTTCATGCTTTCAAAAGGGCTTTAAGATGGTGTGTGGTGGCTCACACCTGTAATCCAACACTTTTGAGAGGCTGAGGTGGGAGGATCACTTGAGCCCAGGAGTTGGAGACCAGCCTGGGCAATATAGTGAGACATTGTCTCTACAAAAAATTTAAAAATTAGCCAGACATAGTGGTGTGTGCTTGTAGTTCCAGCTACTCAGGAGGCTGAGGTGGAAGGACTGCTTGAGCCCAGGAGGCGGAGGTCGCAGTGAGCTGAGATTGTGCCACTGCACTCTGGCCTAGGAGACAGAGTGAGACCCTGTCTCAAAACAAACAAATAGGGCTAAAAAAAAAAGTTCACACGAGCCACCCAAAGTGCAAAGGCGAAGCTTCTGGCACTGTTCCAACAGTAGCTGCCTTTGGCCCCAGCAAACCTGGGACAGGAAGAACTTGAAGTCAATAGCCCTGCGGAGGGAGAGCCACTTTATCCCCTCTTGCACAGAGCCTTGCAACTACTTCCAAGGAGGATCACTCCTTCCAGCTCCTTGGGGGCAGCCCCTGGATAGACACCAAGGCATACTCCTGGGGCTCTGGTTGGCAGTACCTGGCCACAGAGATCCAAAGGCGGCCCACGGTGCATATCTGGGAGTCTTCCTCATCCTCCAGGGTGTAGTTCTCCCCCAGTACCTTCACAGGCTGCCCAGCATGAATGGTGCCACTCAGCACCCGGCCAAAGGCGTGAAACTGGACTCCATCATCTGTGCTGTACATCTTAGTAGTGTGGCACATCAGGGGGCCCTGGAAGAGGGGACAGGGTGCAGCTTCAACCACATCTATGCTCCGGGGAAGTACTACTCCCCGCCATCTTCCTTGACAGCAAGGACATGAGCTCTATGAGGAGCTAGAGAAAGATGAGGTAGTCTCATCTCCAAACCATGTTCTACCCCATCCCTCTGAGAAGGATGAATAGGAGACATGGCAGAGCAAAAATATTCTCCTCTTTTTTTTTTTTTGGGAGGATAAGGGCATTGAGGAAGAGACACAGATTTAAGATAGCAGAGAGGCACTATTGGCAAGATTACTTACTGTCCCAAATTTCCTCTTAAGATGTAACTCAATTCTCAACTGGCTGTGTATTTATGATAAGAAACTAGACAGCCTAAGAAATGGCTGGGAAAGATGTTTTTAAAAGCCAGGACTGACAAGATTAGCTACCATTTGTTGAATCTTTAGTATCTGCCAGGCAACATGCTGAACACAACCGTAACACTTCCTTAATCTTATTTAAATCTCATAACAACCGCTCACATTTTATTATGCTCGTGTTATAGACCAAGGCCTTGAGGCTCAGGAAATGTGAGTAATGTTCCCAAGGTCATAGCACTAGCGGTGGCAACATCAGGCTTTGCATTCAGGCCTGACTGTGCTCATGGGGATGGGGAGGCAAGGGTGGGAAAGTGGGCATTACTCCTGTGACCAGAAATCAGTATCCCCACACAGGAAGGGGAAAAAAAGACCAGAGAACCGGGGAGCCACATGCCCTTACATCAGGGTCACAGTCACTCATAGCCTCGCCGAGGTCGGAGTCCACACCACCGGTGTAGGTGTGCTCAATCTTGGGCTTGGCGCCCACCTTTGGAGAAGGGATATGCTGCACACACATGTCCACAAAGCCTGTGGATGGAGAAGAGAAAGCCATTAATACATGCCTTCCCAGGGAGCACGAGCAGGAGTTACTGAGCCATTCACAATGGTCAAAAAGCTCAAAGTGCGGGGACTGATTGTTAGCTCTAAAAGCTCTGGCACTATAGATAGTGATAGCCTGCTTCCTGGGAATGTGCTGCTAGAAGATTTGGAGTCACCCTGATGCCAGAAAAGAGCAAGCAGCAGGTATCAGTGGTACATGGTTCCTTGGAACTCAGCTGACAAAAAGTTTAAAGTACATCGATCTATGAACTTTTATTGGCTATACGCATTTACGTGGAACAAAATAAGCACCCCATCTAACATCTACTTAAAACAATTCCCAACCTGACTCCCCTTGAGAAACACTGCATGCATCTCTATTCAATAAGTTACCCCGTTTTCTGAACACATTAATAAACCACATAAGAGGGAACCCCCATGAGCACACTGGGATAGGCCTGTGTGCCTTCAATGGTATCTGGTGTGTCAGATTGATGGGCAGACCAAAATAAGCTATTAAAACTACGCACCTTGGGGGCCCAGACACCTAATTCCCACCGGACTTAGAATCAGAGACTGCTGAGAAGACCCTCAGCCATCACCCTTTCCACTTCCCTGATTTTACAGATAACAAATCAGAGTCATGAAGAATTAGGTGGCTGGCCCAGGGTCATCTCATGGAATGGCCAGGGCAGGATCGAGACAGACTCAGGTGGTTTTTTCAACCAGTCCAGTGTCTTTCTGCTGTATCACGTGCCTTCTGTGTAACTAACCAAGTCTCCCAAGTCCTAGCCTAGTGCTTTTTGCACTATTTCACACTACCCAAGCATCCACCTTCCCGGCTGCCCCCTGGAAAATATACCAGAACCACAGAGCCTGCCTCCCCATCTCATTTACTTGAACACTCCTCCTGGCAGGAAAATGTAATTCCTTTTGGTTCCCAAGATAGAATGTGTGCCATCATCCACTAAGGAAAGCAGCTAGGAAAAACACCAGTGTTCTGCATCTGAATCTGTGGTTTGTTGAAAAGATCCTCAGATTTCTGACCTCCATCGCTGGGTGAGAAAAAATTGCTGTGATACCTGTGGCAGGGCACGAGGATGACAGAGTTAAGGGGCCACGAGCACATTATTACCTGTGAACTCGCCAAAGAACTTTTTGCAGACCAGCCTGAGCAAGGGGCGGATGTTCAGCTTCAGCTCCTCCTTCGTCAGGTGGATGCCAAGCTCGTCTAGGGTCCGTGGGAGGCTGGTGTCCACGTCACCTACAACCTGTGAGGGTGTAAGACACCATGTCAGCTGTAGTGAGAGCCTGAGCATGGTGCTAGAGGGAGACAAGGGAAGTCCAAAGAAATATCTGAAGAACTCCTTCACAAGGCTCTCTTCTATGGAGACAAAGCTCTTGGCAAGGACAAAAGTTTGGTTTCAGCGGCATCTCTGCTACCTACCCTTCAAACCACAGGCAAAGCCAACTTGGTTACATCCCCATCCCAGCCAATAAACCAAGCACTCAGATTGATTACTCCCAGTGCTGCCCCCTGGTGTCTGAAAAGCAGCATCTCCTCCCACTCAGAAACTCCCTCACCTATTAAACAGAAGTCTATTTACAGACTTCTCAGATTTAGAGGATCATTGTGCACTGGAAGGAACCAAAAAAGGTCACCTTGCTGTGGATCCTGTCAGGGCAGGGCCAAGCTAAATCACCCTCAGTAGACTCAAGGTCTCTACTGAGGCAGGCTCTATAAATTTTTTTTATTAATCCATTCCAGTCTGACATAAGATACTAAGTATTTTTCAGCACTAATAAATTTTAATTGCTATTTTATCTTGTTGCTAGGTTTTGCTGTTTTGTCCACCGGAATGGCCACACACATTTTGTGTATGTGTGTGTCCACTGTGCTTATTAAATACCTGCATATTTTATTACTGCCTTGGGAGAAAGGTCTGTATGAAAATTCCTATAATTTTTACCCTTTTAGTCCCATCTTTTAGGGAGTACAAATTCATATAAACGTCATGCTATATTCCCTTTTTTAGAGACAGGGTCTCACTCTGTCACCCAGCCTGGAGTGCAGTGGTGTGATCACGGCTCACTGCAACCTCCACCTCCTGGGCTCAAGTGATCCTCCTGCCTCAGCCCCCCAAGTAGTTGGGACCACAGGCACACACCACTACAACAGCTAATTCTATTTTGTGCGGAGATAAAGGGTTTAGCCATGTTGTCCAAGCTGGTCTTGAACTCCTGATCTCAAGCGATCTGCCCACTGGGACCTCCCAAAGTGCTGGAATTACAGGCGTGAGCAACCACATCCGGCCACGTTATATTCTTTGCTTCTCAGCATTCCACATGCTTAATTAAATCCTTACCATCTCCTGACAAATGATTTCAATCTGACAAGCATCACATATTGTGCAAACAGTTAAGAAAGCAAAGTTCATACGAACATGCTTTGTTTTGTTTTTTTCTGAGACAGGGTCTCACTCCATCACTCAGGCTGGAATGCAGTGGTGTGTGATCATGGATCACTGCAGCTTTGACCACCAGGGTTCAAGCAATCCTCTGGCCTCAGCCTCCTGAGTAGCTGGGACCACAAGTGCACACCACCAGTCCCAGTTGATTTATTTTATTTTTTTTGAGACGGAGTCTTGCTCTGTCACCCAGGCTGGAGTGCAGTGGCACAATCTCAGCTCACTGCAGCCTCTGCCTCAAGAGTAGCTGGGATTACAAGCATGAGCCACCACGCCTGGCTAATTTTTGTATTTTTAGTAGAAATGGGGTCTTGCCATGTTGCCCAGGCTGGTCTTGAACTCCTGGACTCAAGTGATCCTCCCGCCTTGGCCTCCCAAAGCGTCTGGATTACAGGCCTGAGCCACTGTGCCCAGCTCAGACATACTTTAAGTGGTTGCAAAGCGGTTCATTTTATGGGATGTACCATCACTCATTTAATCAGATTAATGAGCATAACTGACAAACATTTAACTTATTTCCAGTTTTTTCCCTTTTCCTGATGTTACAAACAATGCTATAAGCTGAGGTGGTGGACTCCTGCCTGTAAGCCCAGCACTTTGGGAGGCCAAGGCAGGAGGATCACTTGAGGCTACAAGTTTGAGACCAGCTTGGGGATAATGGCAAGACCCTGTCTCTACACAAAATTTTTTAAAAGTTAGCCAGGCATGGTAGCTTGCACCTGCAGTCCCAGCTTCTCAGGAGGCTGAGGTGGGAGGATTGCTCAAACCTAGGAGTTTGAAGCTGCAGTGAGCTATGATCGTGCTATTGCACTCCCACCTGGGCGACAGAGTGGGACCCTATCTCTAAAAATGCTATAATAAACACTTTGACTTATATGAATAAGCAGGAGGACTTTCACAATTATATCTGTAAGTTAAATTTCCGTAACTGAAATGATTAGTTCTAAGTGTCACATTCTTCTCAATAGTCAAGATCTGTTCATAAACCTGCTCTAGGAGAAGTCTTTTCTTTCATACCTTTTCCCTTTCCTTTGATTTTTTTTTTTTTTTTTTTGGTGACAGAGTCTCGCTCTGTCGCCCAGGCTGGAGTGCAGTGGTGCAATCTCGGCTCACTGCAACCTCTGCCTCCTGAGTTCAAGCAATTCTCTTGCCTTAGCCTCCCGAGTAGCTGGGACTACAGGCGCCCGCCACCATGCCCAGCTAATTTTTTGTATTTTGGTGGAGACGGGGTTTCATCGTGTTGCCTAGGCTGGTCTCAAGCTCCTGAGCTCAGGCAATCTGCCCACCTCGGCCTCCCAAAGTGCTAGGATTACAGGCATGAGCCACCATGCCCGGGCCCCTTTCCTTTGATTTTAATAACACTTAGAGTAATGTAGTGTTCTGGATCCAGAAGATTACTTCTGGAACAATTAGTGACCAACAACCACCCTTATACTTGACATAAAACTGAGCAGGTTTAGGGACAGAGGGAAGTGTGAGTTCACCAGCTCTTCCACACTGTGCTTATAAGAGCAGATCTGCCCAGTGTGACCTGACACACTCACCTGGGCGAGGATCTTATAAAGAGGCTCCAAGATAAACTCCACGAAACTTCTCTGGGAGCTGCTAGTTGGGGCCTTTTTGGTGAACTTTCGCCTAAAAGGAAAAATAAGTTCTGAGTGACCCAGGGGAAAAGGCACTATCACTGATCCCAAGAGGCATTGTCTAAGTGCTGAATCTGAACAACAGCCCAGGGGAGGAATGTGTGTGTGACTGTAAAGTTTCCAGAGACAGATTCCTGGAAGGATACATGGTTATGACCCTCCTGGATGCCTGAGCTGGGCTGTAAAGACTTCAGGAGAAACAGCTTCTCACCAGATCAGAGCTTAGGAAGCCAACCCATTTAGGGGAGGAAAGACGGTAGTTTACATTAAAAAAAAAAAAAAAAGTAGGTATTTAATCTTTGAACTCAGAGAATTTCACTGTCCTCACTTACTGGGTAAATGATCACCCCTCTGGAAAGTCACGTCCCATACTCTACTTACGTCTTAGGGTTGAAGTAGATGTCACCCCAGAGTCTTTTAGCAAATTCTTGGTAATTAATGTCACCTATGGGAGAAGCCACACAATTATAATCTACCTAGCAAAGTGTCGTTCAAAATTCTGTTTCAGGTGCCACAGGTGGTTCATAGCTGAGAACTTCTAGCACTTTCCTTTCCAGGGTCCAGGCAGTTCCTTCTAACCAGAGAGGAAAACGAGGACACTGAGGCACAAAGAAGGACAAGACTGGTCCAAAGTTGACAAGGCTGTGCTGGAGCCAAAATGAGAACCCAAGCCTCTCCATCTCCACCAAGCACTAGGATTGAACTATGGACAAGAGCATGGGTTACATGTTTTCCTTCGATGGAACAGGGTCACCTACTGTGTGGCATCCTCTATCTGCATCTAAACCCTGTCCCTTCTGGAAGGGGAATTTAATGGTTCTTTCACCCTTTCCTGATGTAGACAAGCTCGACTCTGCTGCCAGTGTGGGCCACCTTCCAACTGCAGTGTCACCATAAGGTTCTGGCTAGCCCTAGGCCTCAGGTAAGCAATTACTCAGCCCTCTCGAGAGAAAACACCAAAGCCAACCTTTGGCTCATCTTTCACCAATTAATATTTTTAGTTTGACTATAACTGCTAATCCTGGTCAGACTGTACCAAACAACCATAGCTTTTAAAAGTCAAGACGTTGGGTGACATCCAATTAGATAACTGATAGCACCAACCACCTCCTGGATATTTCTACCCAGATGTCAGACTGTCCCCTCACCTTGTATGGGATAAAGGGAATGCACTGGCTTTTCCCGAAAGTCACATTCCCCTTCAGACTTCTCTGTCTCCATCAGTAAGGTTACCACCAAATTTTCAGCTAAACTCAAAATCTTTTTCTTCCCTACTCTGTTAATTACCAAATTCTCCCCTTCTTTCCCACATTGTTAGTTACTGAAACTTTCCTTCCTCTGAACCACTGAATGTTTATGCCCTCTGTTAATGCACTTACCATGCAGTATAATCACTGAACTTTTTTTCTTTGAGATGGGGTCTTGCTTTGTCATCCACACTGGAGTGCAGTGGCATAACCTTGGCTCCCTGCAGCCTCGACCTTCCTGGCTCATGCAATCCCCCCACCTCTGCCTCCCGAGTAGCTGGGACTACAGGTGTGCGCCATCACGGCCAGCTAATTTTTAAAATTTTTTGTAGAGACGAGGTCTTGCCATGTTGCCTAGGCTGGTTTTGAACTCCTGGCCTCAAGTGATCCTCTACTTTGGCCTCCCCAAGTGCTCGGATTACAGGCATGAGCCACTGGACCTAGCCTGAACTTGAACTCTTCTCCTTGGTTAAACATTCCACTGTTACCTGAACAGGCCATGACTAACACCACCTGCCTCTATGCCTCTTTCTCCAGCCCTGCAAGTCTGGAATTCTTGGCTTTCTACTCTTTATTTGCCCAAGCCCCATCTCTTTCCCTCGGCTTTACCTGACTCCAAGCCATTGAGGCTGAGCCCTACCCCACCCCTAAATTCTCTCAGCTGTATCTGCCTACAGCACTCAGCTCACACTATCACCTCACATTGCCATTCATCACTCTGTGGGATTCTGTTCGTCCACTGGATGAAGTTTATAGAAGTCCGAAGTTGTTCATGATGCCTTATTGTATTATATTCCTAGCGAGAGCACATGGTATCAGTTTTGGTAGTAAGGTGTAAATGGATTCTAGTTCCTACTCTATTAGTAATTTCTGTGACCATGGGCATAGTTTCCCCTCATGTAAAATGAAGAGGACGACTCAATGATCTCTTCAATATTCCCTTCAGTGCTGACTTTACAGAAGTCTACACATGGCTTTCCATGATAACGCTGCTGCAGCCCAGCCCATAGCTAGCTCTGGCATAAACTAACAGTGGGTTCAAAGGATGAACAACAATCTCGCCCAAGGCTGAGGATCATTTTCAATCAAAATTGGAATCATCTCTGCATTATAATTACAAAAGGGTTTTGGATTTTGCTTCACATGCTCATACAATGGACATTTAGAAACACAAACTTCTACTGGAACCCTGTTCAGTTTAATTTCATTTATTGTTTAGCTACCCATTTTTAAAAAAGAGCCATCTGGAAATAACTGATATATACATCTAATAACAAGAAAATGGTCAATGGCCCAATGCTGTGTGAAAAACACAGATTACATATGTATACAGTTGACCCTTGAATAACATGGTTTGAATGTCTCGGTTCCAATTATACATGGATTTTTCTCCTGCCTCTGCCACCTGAGACACCAAGACCAATGCTTTCTCTTCCTTAGCCTGCTCAATGTGAAGATGACGAAGATGAAGACCTTTATGATGATCCACTTCCACTTAATGAACAGTAAATGTGTTTTTTCTCATGATTTTCTTTGTAACATCTTCTTTTCTCCAGCTTACTTTATTATGAGAACATAGTACACAGGCCAGGCACAGTGGCTCATGCCTGTAATCCCAGCACTTTGAGAGGCCGAGGTGGGCGGATCACGAGGTCAGGAGTTCGAGACCAGCCTGACCAACATGGTGAAACCCCATCTCTACTAAAAATACAAAAATTAGCTGGGCATGGTGGCATGTACCTGTAATCCCAGCTACTCAGGAGGCTGAGGCAGGAGAATCACTTAAACCCAGGAGGTGGAGGTTGCAGTGAGCCGAGATCGTGCCATTACACTCCAGCCTAGGCAACAGAGTGAGATTATGTCTCAAAAAAAAAAGAAAAAGAACCAAATTTTTCTTGTTTTTTGAGACAGGGTCTTGCTCTGTTGCCCGGGCTGGAGTGCAATGGTGCAATCACGGCTCACTGTAGCCTCAACCTCCCGGGCTCAAGTGATCCTCCCGAGCTCAGACTACAGGCCAGTGCCATCATGCCCACCTAATTTTTTGTATTTTTTTGTAGAGATGGGGTTTCGCCATGTTGCCCAGGCTGGTCTCAAACTACTGGGCTCAAGTGATCCGCCTGCCTCAGCTTCCCAAAGTCCTGGGATTACAGGCGTGAGCCACTGCACCTGGTCAAAAAAGACTGAACTTCAATTTTTTTTTTTTTTGAGATGGAGTCTTGCTCTGTCGCCCAGGCTGGAGTGCAGTGGCGTGATCTCAGCTCACTGCAAGCTCTGCCTCCTGGGTTCACGCCATTTTCCTGCCTCAGACTCCCAGTAGCTGGGACTACACGTGCCCGCCACCACGCCTGGCTAATTTTTTTGCATTTTTAGTAGAGACGGGATTTCACCGTGTTAGCCAGGATGGTCTTGATCTCCCGACCTCGTGATCTGCCTGCCTCAGCCTCCCAGAGTGCTGGGATTACAGGCGTGAGCCACCGCGCCTGGCCAAAAAAGACTGAACTTTAATCCCTCATTTTTTTTTCACAAGAGCAAAGGGCTCCATGCTAAGAGTGCGGCAGGACAACTGACTGGCAAGAATAGAAACGCTGATGCTCCACCGCCTACTGGTCATGAGACATCTCACGGAGCCTGTCTGCTCGACTCTAAGAACGGGGTAACAGTGACTTCCCTCTAAGGAACTGCAACATTGAACACAGAAAAGACTCTCAGTGCACGATTCCTATTGGAATCTGAGGTAACTGGGGAAGTGCAAAGATGAAGAGCCAGGGAGTCTCTCACAGTGGGAATCTGGTCTCAAGGATCTGGTGTTGAGGCTCCAGGAACCCATGATATCATGCGGCTGGGCATGTTAGCAGAGGCCTGTAGATGCTGGCTGCAAGGTCACCATGAGTTCTCAATTAGACCCATGAAATTGATGTCTGCCTCCATACGGCTGGCTAGAAGCACTAACAGTGAGGGAGATGCCACCTGTGAGAAGGTCTGAAAGTGCCTGTGGGCATGGATGATTCCTGTTTTACAAAACCTGTCTCACTCTAGGAGAGACTTTTATTCCTAAAATGACCTCCTTCTTCTCCCATGTCCTCCTATTCACTTTTATTTTTCTATTATTTAGAAACCACTTAGCCTGAAGAAAGGGTCTCAAGGCCACAAAGACCCCCAAATGTGATAATAACAGGTGATAAAATGTTCCCCCAGCAGGGTGCTGATACGAAGCCAATTTCTGAGTCATTCAGCAGGAAAGGCACACAGGACTCAGGGGAAGCTGGTGAGACAGACTGCCAGCCAGCGCTTACCAAAGGTGTCGGCATAGATCTTGGCAAAGGAGCCCAGCGTGAAGCAGATGCTGTACTGGGAGCTGGAGAAGCAGACGTTACCCAGGAGTGGGGAAAGGATCAGGTTCTCATCAGTGGAATACATGCTGAAACAGAGACAGTGGTGAACACAGTGCCAGGCTGCAGCAGCCCGGACGCACTGCCAAGGGGAAGGGCAGGAACTCGGTATCACAGCCACTCTCCAGCCCTCGGAAGGGACTTGTGCAAGACACTCAGTTTTGCCAACAGCCTGGTCCAAGAAAGTGACATGATGGAGCTGTTCCCCTAATTCCCAATAACAAGTTGATTTCCCAGAGCTGGGAACATTCTGCACAATCTTGGAAAAGTTAACTGCACCAGACAGACAAGGGGAAACCTACAGGACAGAGACAAAAACCTTAGAACACAGGAAATGAATCTAATGTGATAAGACAGAAATACATTTGACGAAAAACCTCAATTTCACAAATACAAGCAGACATAAACATCATTTAAAAAAGAGAAAAGAAAGGAAATGAAGAAAAGCAACTCTGCTCTTTACCCTCACTGCCATACTCTTTATTCTTTTGTGTTTGGCTTTTACAGTGTTAAAACTTTCAATCTTAAAAGCCATGCAGAAACCACGAGCATCTGAGTTCACTAACATTTATAAGAAAACGAGTTGTACAAGGGGATCAAATCCACAACCCTAGCCTTACTGGCACATTATCTTATGGAATGTCCCAATATAGAAATAAAGGTATGGCTTATAAAGAACAGCCCTCTACCCCATTGCACTCTACCCCCAAGTTATGCTCCCTAGAGGCAACTGCTTTCAACACTTTTAAAGCTGCTTTTAGAGTATTTACCTTCAGGTTTCTAAGTAATATGTTTATGTTACTTTTTCTTGCTTAGAGGTTCTTTTGCTTTTGAGACAGGGTCTTGCCTTGTTGCCCAGGCTGGAGCACAGTGGTACAATCACCATTCACTGTAGCCTCGATCTCTCAAGCTCACGCAATCCTCCCTCCTCAGCATCCCAAGTAGCTGGGACTGCAGGCATGAACCACCAAGCCTGGCTAATTTTTGTAGAGATGAGATACAAAAGCCATGTTGCCCAGGCTTGAACCTTGAACTCTTGGGCTCAAGCAATATCCTGCTTGGCCTCCCAAAGTGCTGGGATTCTAGGTATAAGCCACTGTGCCTGGCCTCTTGTTTAGAGGTTTGAAACATGACCTCTTGACTTCCTATTTTAGTAAATCAGGTTAAGTTCAGCTCTATCCCACTTCCTACTTTTTTTTTTTTTTTTTGAGATGGAGTCTTGCTCTGTTGCCCAGGCTGGAGTGCCGTGGTGCAATCTCAGCTCACTGCAAGCTCCGTCTCCCGGGTTCACGCCATTCTCCTGCCTCAGCCTCCTCAGTAGCTGGGATTACAGGCGCCCGCCACCAAGCCCGGCTAATTTTTTTTGTATTTTTTAGTAGAGATGGGGTTTCACCGTGTTAGCCAGGATGGTCTCGATCTCCTGACCTCATGATCCGCCCGCCTCGGCCTCCCAAAGTGCTGAGATTACAGGCGTGAGCCACCGTGCCCGGCCTCTTTTTTTTTTTTTTTTTTTTTTAAGAGACAGGATCTCACTCTGTCACCCACATTGGAGTACAACAGCACAATCATAGCTCACTATAACCCTGAACTCCTTGGCTCAAGTGATCCTCTTGCCTCTGCCTCCCGAGTAGCTAAGACTACAAACACATGCCAGCACGCCAAGCTAATTTCAAAATTATTTTTTGTAGACACAGAGTCTAGCTATGTTGCCCAGGCTGGCCTTGAACTCCTAGCCCCAAGGGATCCTCCTGCCTTGACCTCTCAAAGTGCTGGGATTACAGGCATAAGCTATCACGCTTGGCCTTCTTATTAAAATATATTTGTCATTTCATCCTTTGGACTCATGATGTCACACTGGGCTCTAGTCATTCTCAGTCCTTGCAGAGATGGGGTGAAGATATTCCTTTTGAAAAGTAGTGCTACACACTGGGAAGGCTCCTGAAGGTATCTGTCTCTAGCCACACAGGTTCCATCCCCAATCCTTAAATGGAGAGGCATTCTTTCAGTTGGAGAGGCATTCTTTCAGTAGGACGGCCTCCTCACAGGCCCATTTGAGGGGCTGCAGGAAGTCATCTAGCACATCTTTCAGCCTGTAGTAAGACTGTCTTTAAGATATATTTAACCTCTGTTTCAAAGGCCCTTTGATATTATATTCTAAGGTATCATAACCATCACTCATATGTATCAATGCAAGCCCTAAATCCATCTTGTTGAGAAGCAGGTATATCCACAGAAACACAGCAAACAGTTCTTAATTTATTTAGACTGTGTTAATTATAAGATAATAGCAGCTAACATTATTCAGCACATCAGCTGCTACATTGCAAGCACTGTGCTGTGTTCCATCAAATATCTATTTAATTTCTTATAACATCCCTTGTAAGTTATGTTAACTTATACTATAAATGCCTAATAATATTTGCTACTATTGCTGTTAGGCAAATATTATTCCTTTTTTACTGAAGCAGAAACTGAACTTAAGTAATCTGCCCAACTTTACATGGTTGGTATGTGGTGAAGAGGAGGCTGATTCTAGAGCCCAGGCTGGGTGCAGCGGCTCAAATCTGTAATGCTAGCACTTTGGAAGGCCAAGGTGGAAGAATTGCTTGAGGCCAGTTTAAGACCAGCCTGGGCAACATAGCAAGACTCCATCTCTACAAAAAAAATATAAATAAATAAAAAATAAAAATTAAAATTAAAAAAAATTGGCCGGGGGTGGTGGTTCACGCCTGTAATCCCAGCACTTTGGGAGGCCGAGGTGGGCGGATCACGAGCTCAGAAGGTCAAGACCAACCTGGCTAACACAGTGAAACCCTGTCTCTACTAAAAATACAAAAAATTAGCCGGGCGTGGTGACGGGTGCCTGTAGTCCCGGCTACTTGAGAGGCTGAGGCAGGAGAATGGCATGAACCCGGGAGGCGGAGCTTGCAGTGAGCCGAGATCATGCCACTGCACTCCAGCCTGGGCGACAGAGCGAGACTCCGTCTCAAAAAAAAATAAATTAATTAATTTAAAAAATATATAGCCAGGTATGGTGGCACATGCCTGTGGTCCCAGCTATCAGGAGACTGAGGTGGGAGGATTGCTTGAGCCCAGAAGTTCGAGGCTGCAGTGAGCTGTGATTGTGACACTGCACTCTAGCTTGGGTAACAGAGATCCTATCTCTAAAAAGAGAAGAAATTAATACAGCCCAAGTACTGATCATAATAGTAAAATGAAGATGTGTTAAAGTATGAAGTCAACCCCTGCAGAGTCCCAGGATGTGCCTCTAGTTTTGCCCAACAAACTCATCAACACACGCTTAGAAATAAATCACAGTTGTTCCCAGAGGTATTCAGGGTTAAAACCCAGAGCCTCCGAGGACAGGAAATCCACTCCCAGGGGTTTTCTACCTTATTAATCCATTGACCTCATCCACAATGTGGCGCAGCTTGTAATAAGCATCAGTTGGAGGCAGCTTCAGCTCCAGGATCAGCCGGTCAATCTTGTTGATGCACACAGTGACTGCCAGCCTCTCCTGCACCGCATGCTTGATCAGCCGCTCTGTGTTCAGCATCACCTGAGAAAAACAAGGCTCAGAAGGTGGTAAGAAGAACAAGGAGGGCAGAAAGTTCAAAGCAGAACCAAAGAAGGCACTATTTCAAACCATGAAGCCTGGGGAGAAAAAAAGACCTCGGGAAATATTACTGGGTGGAAGCAGAGAGCATCCTGCCCGAAGATAGACACAGGAACTTTAAGAGGGCACCTTGCAGGATTGAGAAATGAATAAACCCATGAACAATGATGTTGGGAGCCAGGTTTCTCAGTGCTAAAGAAGGAACTAAGAAGGCTGGGAAGAGCCAGTGGTGCTGAAATGGAATTGGGGGTATTAGGATTAATGCATGATTTTTAATATATGTGTGTAGAAATAGTTATAGATATGTATGAGTGTATATAACCTAGCTGTGCTCAGTGAGAGGGCCTAGAAGCAATGTACCCCAGTAGCAATGAGCACATCCAAACCTTTGTTTCTAAATACTAATCCCCACTGGCCGGGCACAGTGGCTCATGCCTGTAATTCCAGCACTTTGGGAGGCTGAGGTGGGCGAATCACGAGGTCAGGAGATCGAGACCATCCTGGCTAACACGGTGAAACCCTGTCTCGACTAAAAATACAAAAAGATGAGCTGGGCGTGGTGGCAGGCACCTGTAGTCCCAGCTACTTGGGAGGCTGAGGCAGGAGAATGGCGTGAACCCGGGAGGCAGAGCTTGCAGTGAGCCAAGATCGCACCACTGCACTCCAGCCTGCTGGGCGACAGAGTGAGACTCCGTCTCAAAAAAAAAAAAAAAAAAAAAAAAAACTACTCCCCACTATGAGCCAGAGCTGCTAGGCTAGGTGCAGTCACTCACACCTGTAATCCCAGCATTTTGGGGAGGCCAAGGCAGGAGGATTGCTTGAAGCCAGAAGTTCAAGACCATCCCCGGCAACAGAGCGAGACCCCATCTCTCAAAAAAATATTTAAAAATAAGCTGGGCATGTTGGCACATACCTGTAGTCCCAGCTATTTGGGAGGCTGAAGTGAGTGAATCACTTGAGCCCAGGAGCTCGAGGCTGCTGTGAGGTATAATTGTACCATTGCACTCCAGCCTGGGCCAGAGGGCAAGATGCCATCTCTTTGAAGGAAAAAAAAAAAGCCAGAGCTCCTTGAAGAAATGGCTGAGTCCAGGATTGGGACAAGGAAAGATAACGTCTAGAACATCTTTTTGTGCTTGAAAGTAAGGAAGTGCTCAAAAAACGATGAGGCGTGAAAAAGATGATGGAATCAGCCTGAAGGAGCTCTCAGTAGCCAAATCTGGGACAAGAGCACTAGAGCACCGGAATCCATAAGGACAGTAACAGATTATAACTCACTGAATAAAATGCAAACCCAAATATCCACAGTGATAATAAGCAAATGGGGGAGAAACAAAAGCACTTCTTTACAACATAATTCCAACCAATAGGCCAGGCGCAGTGGCTCATGCCTGTAATCCCAGCACTTTGGGAGGCCGAGGCAGGTGGACTACTTGAGGTCAGGAGTTCAAGACCAGCCTGACCGACATGGTGAAACCCCATTTCTACAAAAAATTCAAAAATTAGCCAGGTGTGGTGGCAGGCGCCTGTAGTCCCAGCTGCCTGGGAGGCTGAGGCAGGAGAATCACTTGAACCTGGGAGGCAGAGGTTGCAGTGAGCCAAGATTGCGCCACTGCACTCCAGCCTGGGCGGAAGAGCAAGACTCCATCTCAAAAAAACAAAACAACAACAACAACAACAACAACAAACAACAATGGCTGGAAGCGGTGGCTCACGCCTGTAATCTCCACACTTTGGGAGGCCTAGGTGGGCAGATCACTTGAGGTCAGGAGTTCGAGACCAGCCTGGCCAACATGGTGAATGAAACCCTGTCTCTACTAAAAATACAAAAATTATCCAGGTGTGGTGGCGTGCACCTGTAATCTCAGCTATTTGGGAGGCTGAGACAGGAGAATTGCTTGAACCCAAAAGGCAGAGGTTGCAGTAAACTGAGATCGCACCACTTCACTCCAGCCTGGGCAACAGAGCAAGACTCCATCTCAAAACCAAAACAAAACAGAAGGAATAAGAAGAGTTAGAAGACTCACTATTTGCAACTATTGTAGGAACAAGCCAAGAATCATCAATAGATGACAAAACTAGTAGATAAAGTTTGATAAGGAGAAGAATAACCAGATTCTAATAACCAGAGCTTAATCACGAGGAAGTATTAGACAAACCCAAATTGAAAGACATTCTACAAAATAAGTGCCCTGTACTCTTCAAAAGTGTCAATGTCATAAAAGACCAAGAGAGGCTAAAGAACAGCTTCAATTCAGAGAGACTTGAAAATCATGAAAACTAAATGTTATGCATCACTCTGGATTAGGGGAAAAAATTCTATAACGGAAATTGTTGGTATGATTAATAAAACTGAATAAGGTCTGCAAAAAAAGATCTGTACAACAGGACTGTATCAATGTCAAATTTTCTGATTTTGGCAACTGTACTGTGGTTACATAGGTGAATGTCCTTATTCTTAGAAAATACATTCTGAAATATTTTACTTTCAAACAGTTCAAGGGGAAAATGTACACACCTGTCTCTCTGTGTGTGTCTGAACGTGTACAGAGAGAGAATTACGAAGTAAATGAGGGTGGGTTCTTTGAACAATTCTTGAAGCTTTTCAGTTTGCTGCTATTCCAAAATGAAAAGTCAGTTTAAAAAAAGACAATTCTGGCTCCCTCTGCTGGCTGTCTCACCAATGATAACACGAATAAGGTTAGCCAAAGTGTTCCATCTCTCAATTGAGGAATACAGAAGACACCCTGGTATTTTAACTCCAATCTCTTGGAAAAACACAACTAATATTAAAAATCCACTTACAAGAACATACACTCCTCCCTTCCTTTTATTTACATTTGTCATTTTATCTTTGTGTTTTCTGAATAGCAATGAGTCTTATCATTTTGAGCTTCACTGAGCAGGAAGCAAGGGCACCCACATTGATAATTTTTTTCTTCGTTTTTTGAGAGAATGTCTCACTCTAGCACCCAGGCTGGAGTGAAGTGGCGCAATCTCGGCTCACTGCAACCTCCAACTCCCAGGCTCAAGTGATTCTCCTGTTTCAGCCTAATGAGTAGCTGGGATTACAGGCATGGGTCACCACACCTGGCTAATTTTTGTATTTTTGGTAGAGACGGGGTTTCGCCACGTTGGCCAGGCTGGTCTCGAACTCCTGACCTCAGGTGATCCACCCACCTCAGCCTCCCAAAGTGCTGGGATTACAGGTGTGAGCAACCACACCCGGTAAGAATTAATTTTGAAACATTTGCTGCTTTAATTTTAGAGCAAATTTGAGCCTTAATCCCAGAGAGTTTCAAGTTCTCTGGCTCCCAGCTCACTCAGTGCTCTGGGTATTGTTGCGGGGTGGGGGCAAACATAACAGGTGGATGAGATTCTGGGAGCTGAGTCTGACTCACCCCCTCAGCAGCATCAATGAAAAGGACCACTCCATCTGAGATGCGCAAGCCAGCTGTGACCTCATCAGAGAAATTCACATGTCCTGAAAAGCAAATACTAAGTAAGTCATCACTTGGTGCAGGATAAAGCACAATTAACTGGTAGGGTGAACTGAGGGGGCACTTCAAAGCCCGTGAACCTCCGAATATCCCCTTTCCTCCTCGCCATAACCCCCCACAGGGTAAAAATATCCCCCATTAGTGTCATATCCTTGCATTAAGCTTTCCTACGGGAGGCTCCCTACATAAAAAGAGGGACTCCTGGGACTCATGCCCAGGAGAGCATGAGTCCACACACACAGACCAGCTTAGCCTAATCAGCAGTAAGTAGAGTTCTGTGGGATTCAAGACAATCTGGAGGCAGGAGAAAGGGCAAAGCAGGGCCTGGAGCACAGTGTGCTGCTCGAGGAAGGCAGTTCCTGGCAAGGTGCTATGGGGGCAGGGGCTGAGAGGTATCAGGACACTGGGCATCAGATGGTGCCAAGAAAGCAAATCAGCCAAAACCTAAAACCTTCCAGTTTTTAAAAACTCTGCCCCAGTTGGTCCTTTCCATAGGAGGAAGAGTCAGCCAAGGTGCGCTGCTCCCAAGGTCATCAGGATGTTCACCAGTCTCCTTCAAAAGACTGAGAGTACTCAAGGCCAGGGACTGGCTCTGACTCACCTTTAGCTCCCCAGCAGATAGCATGGGGCCTGACAGGCTGAAATGAATAAATGAATACAATTCCCTAACATTTTTAAATATTCGAAAGAGTAAAGACATGAATAGAAGGCCTGGAGTATGATGCTTGCTAAATTAACAAGTCAGAAACAAAGGAGAGAGTCAAAATGGAAAATGGTTTCAATGAAGGTGAGGGAATGTAAAAACAAAGATGCACTGCTCCGTTCTGCTCCGAAAAGTGAGAGGACACACGCAAAACCAAGACAAGGTTCTAATAATCAAAAGCCAAAGGATGTCCTACCTGGAGTGTCCATGATATTGAAGAGATAAGATTTTCCTTTGGTGTCTGGCAAGACCACTGTCACAGGAGTGCTTTTGATGCCTACACCTCTCTGAAAGGAACAAAGAGTGGTCAAGACCTCTTCCTATGCAAGAGGGGTTCATTTTGTTTTTGGGGCTCCCCAGTTGCTAGTAAATTACACTGATGCCTCTCCTTATAGTGGGTGATTTTTATCTAGGCCTCTAGCCAGCATGACCTTGAAGATAAAATATCTTGGTGTTAGACACCATTTTTGGGGGACTTGTTTCAAATGTGAAAAGATGAAAATGAATTACTGCAAACAAAACAGTATTAAGCCTTATCAGAGAATCCAGGGTCCTAGAATCTCATCCTCTTTATACATTAGAAACAAAAACAATAGCTGAGCACCTTGAAAGTAAAAAGAAACAATCTGGGGTATTTTAGTTTTTTTTTAAAAAAGAAATATAAAAGCTATGACAGAAATAAACATTTTTTTTAAAACTCCAAACAAATACATAAATACATTATAAAATAATAACAGCTAACATTGATTGCCTATCTATCTTTACTAATTCCAAGTGCCTTTAGTTAACCATACTTATTATACTTAAAACTTCCATTAGGAAAAAGAGACAGAAATAAGAGGAGGGAAACAGAAGGGGTCAGAGATTAGAGAGAAAGATCCGGAAGGAAAGACAAAAAGAGAAACACAAAGATATAGGAACCCATTTTCAAAGAGAAGCTACTCCTAGAAAGAGGTCATCATATGGATGGACTCATCCTGCGGATTTTTAAAGGATGATGTCATTTTAAAAAAATCATGTTGAGCTTCTGCGTAACTTATAGCACAAATGCAGACATCGCCTCTTAGTACTTCTCCTATATTAGGCCAAATTTAATCTAGTCAAGAACAGGAGGGTTCCCCTCCTAACCTACAGCTTGCCTACCCAGTTCTTTTTCAAGTTATAACCCTGGAGTAACTGGGGGAAGAAGGAGATGGGATGTGAGAAGTGGAGAGAGAGGAGTAGGATATGAACTAAAATGCTATCATAAAGGCTCCTCTACATTCCCTACAAAACTATTACTGGTGGGTCTGGTGTAGGTGACAATCAGATTCCCCAAGGCATGCTTACCTCTTGCTCTGTGAAGAGGATGTCAGTATAGCACAGCTGAAAAAAAATTAACTGTTGTTACCACCTGAGTTGAGACTGCTCTCCCACAAACGAACCATCAATCACTTTCCCTCACTACCTCCCAGCTCAAGGGTTTCTTTGAGATTAAAGAGAGAGAGAGAGCAGGGTGTCCCCACAGCAATTACAGACAATGAGACCAGTGCCCTCCCAGCTGGAAATGCTCCTGGGTGTGTGGAGGGATTTTTTTATTTTTACTTTTTTGGAGACAGAGTTTTGCTCTTGTAGCCCAGGCTGGAGTGCAATGGCGCGATCTCAGCTTACTGCAACCTCCTTTGCCTCCAGGGTTTAAGAGATTCTCCTGCCTCAGCCTCCCAAGTAGCAGGGATTGCAGACGTGCGCCACCATGCTCAGCTAATTTTGTATTTTCGGTAGACACAGGGTTTCATCATGTTGGTCAGGCTGGTCTCGAACTCCTGACCTCATGTGATCCCCCCGGCTCAGCCTCCCAAAGTGCTGGGATTACAGGCGTGAGCCACCACACATGGCTGGGTTTTTCTTTTTGGTTGTGATTTTGTCTTTTTTTGAGATGGAGTCTCACTCAGTCGCCCAGACTAGAGTGTGGTGGCATAATCTTGGCTCACTGCAACCTCTACCACCCAGGTTCAAGCGATTCTCCTGCCTCAGCCCCTTGAGTAGCTGGGACTACAGGTGTGCACCACCGTGCCCACCCAGCTACATTTTGCATTTTTAGTAGAGATAGAGTTTCGCCATGTTGGCCAGGCTGGTCTCAAACTCCTGACCTCAAGTGATGCTCCTGTCCTGGCCTCCCAAAGTACTGGGATTATAGGCATGAGCCACCACTCTTTTTGAGTTGGGGGAGGTCACTAAAGACCAGGTATAGCTGAGAGATAATTTATATCAAATGCACAGAATTCTTAGTGTGGTAAAGGGAGACACATGTCAGCCTTAATGCTAAAGTGTTAAAACAATCAATCTGGCAGGGTTTGAACATTTATTGCACTGAGACTTGCAGACACAGTTGGCCTCATTCACAGGCATTTAAATTTACCATGAAAACCAGGTACAATTGTACCATATTTATAGAGCAGGCTATTAATACTATAACAGGAAAGAATAGACTATAAAAGTCAGGATATATCATAACAGAGGAGGGATCCCAAGTGCAAAATGGATCATCCAAAAATACTGCAGCTCAATATTCTCTATGCTCCCGAGAAAGTTGAAATTATTTTCTTACAGCCTATTAATAGAGATCACAATTATAAAGCTGCACTTTGGAGGCGTCATTATTTATAGAGAACAGGAAGGGTGAAGGAAGGAGGAGAGAGACATCTCTATCTGTTCTGAATGGTTCATCCTAAACCCTCAACAGAAGTTCTACTTACATCTTGGTCATAGCGCTTTCTGATTTCCGGGTGAGTCTGTTCAATTAAACAATCCACAAAACATGTCTAAAAGGGAAGAAACAGTTAACATCTGCCGACCACAGAGGAAAATTTACTGTGCCCTTCCCCCAGCTCCCAATACACCACATAATTTAGGGATAAGGAGAGAAAAAGGAGAGCAAGGAGGGTTATGGGACAGCAAATAATTAACACTGAAGCCACAGGATTATTTTCAAATAAAAGATGAAATCTTTCTTAGACAGGCATCCCTCAGGAAATGAAAACTTATAAAAATCAGAGTAAGGCTCAATTTCCCATCTTCTGTCCAGATGTAGACATAAGGCTCAGGCATGCAAGTGGCTTAGGAACAGGCTCCACCTGCTGCTTGGGAAAAGCCAGAATTTCACAGTATGACTTCGTAACAGGCATGCAGCACCCCTAGTCAGGAGGTTGAGCCTTGTGACCTCAAACCTCAACCGCTGTGACTCTAAGGGCTAAAACATGAGCAGGTACAAAAGAGAAATCCTGTTCCAAGTAGCTGAAAGTTCCGTCTTACCTTGCCATGGTGGAGATGTCCACAAAGGGTCACATTTCTGATGAGCTCTGAGTTATCCATCAGATCCGCCAAGAAACTGAAAGGACAAAGGAAAAGAGAAAAGAGAGATTGGCAAACGTTTCCAAATGAGGAGTGGTGTAAAGGTGTTTCAGGTATTTTTTGGCCAGGAACAACTTTCAGACCAACTGGAGAGTGCTCAGGCAGATGTGAATGTCTATACTTACATAGCTCTGGCTTTGGGAATGCAAGAAACTTATCCAAGAGGTAACACAATCTGTGAATGGACTATCACGGGGATTTCAATAGTAAAACAGCAAGACTAAAAAAGGAAGAAGAGGCTGGGCATGGTGGCTCATGCCTGTGATCCCAGCACTTTGGGAGGCCGAGGTGGGTGGATTACCTGAGGTCAGGAGTTCAAGACCAGCCTGGCCAACATGGTAAAACCCTGTCTCTACTAAAAATACAAAAATTAGGCCGGGAGCAGAGGCTCACGCCTGTAATCCCAACACTTTGGGAGGCCGAGGCCACCACGACCAGCTAATTTTTGCATTTTCAGCAGAGACGGGGTTTCACCATGTTGGTCAGGCAGGTCTCGAACTCCTGACCTCAGGTGATCCACCTGCCCTGGCCTCCCAAAGTGCTGGCATTACAAGCGTGAGCCACCACACCCAGCCAGGACTTCCAACATGGTGAAACCCCATCTCTACTAACAATATAAAAATTAGCTGAACGTGGTGACATGCGCCTGTAATCCCAGCTACTCAGGAGGCTGAGGCGGGAGAATCACTTGAACCTGGAAGGTGGAGGTTGTAGAGAGCTGAGATCATGCCACTGCACTCCAGCCTGGGCAACAGAGTGAGACCCCGCATCGAAAAAAAAAAAAAGAGAGAGAGAGAGCACCTAAATGATCCTACACATATATCTACCTCCTTTTGCTCTCCTTTTCAAAATAAAGAGTTGAGGGCCGGGCATGGTAGCTCACGCCTGTAATCTCAGCACTTTGGGAAACTAAGGCAGGAGAATCATTTGAGCCCAGGAGTTTGAGACCAGCTTGGGCAACATAGTGAAACAGTACAAAAAACACAAAAATTAGCCAGGCGTGGTGGTGTGTTCCTGTAGTTCCAGCTGCTCAGGAGGCTGAGGCAGACACATCTATTGAGCCTGGGAGGTCAAGGCTGCAATGAGCCATGATTGTGCCACTGCACTACAGCCTGAGCAACAAAACGAGACCTTGTCTCAAAATAACAACAACAAAAACAAAATAAAGAGCTAATATATTCCTAAAATACTCAGCAGTCTTATTGAGTCCAAACAGGCTCTGGTGGATCCAACAGTGATAACTGCAATACCCAGATCTCTCTTGAAGGCTGGCTTTCAACATCAAACTAAAGATCTGGAAGAGGAAACAGCTAACATTTGGATGAACACCAAGAGAAAAGTTAAGATTGACCCCAAATATCCCAGCAGCCACACAAGCTGAAGGAGAATTTGAGAGCTATGTACGGCCACAATTTACTAGCTATTTCAGCCAAAAGCCACCTCTTATCTCTACAAAAACATGAACCCACAGCATTCCTGCAGAGAAGCTGAGAAACCTTGTAACTTACTCCATCTCATACACCGTAACAGGTAATGTCTGCTCCATCAGAGTGAATTTCTTGGTTTTCACTGGCTTAATAATGGGTTCTAGAAGAAAAAAAAAAGGTAGTGATGTGTAGGTGGGCATAAAACATAAAAATACGGAACACTATTCCATTAGACTGACCTTTCAGAATGTATGATGTATGACATCAATTTATTTTACTCTCAAGGATCACTCATATGTTGAGAAAGTTTTGGAAATGCTGTTTGGCATGAGACAGTGAAGGACCTTGAATTGTGGAAAGAGGAGTCTGGGCTTCATTTTGAGGGACAGTGGGAGGGAGGGAGGGGGAATGGATGTAGGTTGAGGTCAATGTCAGTTCAGGATCTTTCCTTGCATTTATAAGATGCAATCACTTTCCAAAAGATCAATGAAAACTTTTTTTTTTGGGAGACAGGGTTTCACTGTTACCCAGGCTGAAGCGTACAAATGGCGTGATCAAGTGATCCTCCTGCCTCAGTCTCCCGAGTTGCCAGGAGGCATCTACCACCATGCCCAGCTAATTTTTGTACTTTTTTTGTAGAGATGGGGTTTCACCATGTTGCCCAGGTTGGTCTCGAACTGCTGGGTTCAAGCGATCCTCCTGCTCTGGCCTCCCAAAGTACTGGGATTACAGGCATGAGCCACCGCTTCCAGCCTATGAAAACTATTAAATGGACAATAAGGCTGGTTGCAGTGGCTCACGCCTGTAATCCCAGCTCTTTGGGAGGACAGGGCAGAGAGATCACTTGAGGTCAGGAGTTCAAGACCAGCCAGGCCAACATGGTGAAACCCCGTTTCTACTAAAAATACAAAAATTAGCCAGGCATGGTGGCAGACACCTATAATCCCAGCTACTAGGGAGGCTGAAGCAGAATTGCTTGAATCAGGGAGGCGGAGGTTGCAGTGAGCCAAGATTGTGCCACCGTAATCCAGCATGGGCGACAGAGCAAGACTTCGTCTCAAAAAAAGAAAAAGAAATGGACAATACATATTATGAGAACTGGTTAAAAGGGTTGGAGTTATTTGGATGGAAAAACATATCAGGCCACAGGGTAAATAAACTTAACGACAGTCTTCATGCACCTAAACTGATAGCAGATAAATAAGAAATAACTCTTATTTGCTTAGAAACTAGTTAAGAACTTTACTGAATATTAAAAAAGGATTAACTAAATCTTAAACCAGAAACAGTACCTGAAGGTAGTAAAGAAAAACTGATCAATTCATTCACTGAACTTTTAAGGTTTGCTGAGAGCTATGAAGTTTCCAGGTTTCAATTTCACTCCGCACAGCCCATGTCCTCCTGATGTACCTGTGAGAGGCTGAGTGTCTTCCTCTTGAACTATGGTCTCCACCTCAGGACCATACACCTCCTCGGCTGTTGGGTAGTACTTCTTGTCCTCATGCAGCACCACCTCCATCCCAGGGTGGTCATCGTCATGATCTCCTACGTCATCGTCGTCGTCATCATCATCCATCTGAAAGCAAGAGGGAGAGGGAGAATCGAAGAGGCACACGCTTTTCCTGTTTGATATCTGACTACCTCCGTGAGTGACAGCACTGACTGTACATGCTGGCCAGCTTCTTATTCTGAGTTCTATGCCAGTGGGGGAGGTTCCACTCCTTTGAGACCCTTCACAAAGAGAAGACTCTAAGCCGAGGCCATGGACAGTGCTCCTGGTTCAAACTTGCCCCTTTCTGAATGTGGGCCACTGGTCACAAGTGGGTTGAGACTGGAGAAAACAAATCACAGCACAGCCCTTTACGGGGAAAAAAGCAACTTTCTCCAAAGGCAGAAACCAAAAGCCAGAGGTAAAAACTGAAGATAAGCCCATACCTTTAAAATTTTCACTTATATCCACAGAATTGTTTTTGGAAAATAACTTTGTGATAGATAATAACAGGTGCTGGCAAGGATGTGGAGAAACTGAAACCTCCCACACTGCTGATGGGAAAAAGGTGCAGCTGCTTTGGAAAATATTTTGGTAGTTCCTCAAAATGTTCAACACAGAGTTACATATGACCCAGCAAGTCCACTCCTAAGTATATACCCAAGACAAATGAAAACTTATGGCCACACAAAAACTTAGAAATCAATGTTCATAGTGGCATTATTTATAATAGCCAAAAAGTGGGAACAACCAAATGTCGATCAACTGATGACTGGATAAATGAAATGTGGTACATCCATACAAAAGATTATTTGGCAACAAAAACAAACAAAATACCTATACTTGCTATAGGTATATACATGCTACAGCGTAGATAAGCCTTGAAAACATGATGCTGAGTAAAGAGGCCAGACTGAAAAAGCTGCATATTATATGATTCCATTTATATGAAAATATTCAGAATAGGCGAATCTATATAGACAGAAAGCAGATTGCCCAGGGCTGGCAGGGTAGGTGTGGGTGGGAGGACAATGGGTAAGGGGTGTGGAGTTTTTTTCTGAGATAATGGAAATGTTCTAAAATTGATTGTGATGACAGTTGCATGACTCTGTGAATACTCTAAAAGCCATTAAATTGTACACTTTACAATTAAATAACTTCAAATCTGCCTCCTTACAAATTAACCCATAGTCATATGCAACATTAACGAAGCCATTCTCACTTCTGCTAAAAAGTCTTCCAAATAATCTAAGGTGGCCACCAGATCACCCTTTAAGTCCTAAAACACTTACTGAGCACTTAATATGTGCTAAGCACTGTTCCAGGTGTTAGTAATAAAGCAATCAAGGAAAAAGAGGTGCTACTGAAGCAAAAAATCTGCAGACAGAGAATAAGCTCTACAGGTACCTGGGGAAGAGCATTCTAGTCGGCTGGTGAAACAGCGAATGCAAAGGCCCAGAGCCAAGAGCATGTGGCAACTTTGAGGTTTAGCAAGGAAGCCAATATGGTGAGAATGGAGCGAAGGATGGGGGAACAGGAAGCTGCGATCACATGGGAGGCAAACAGACAGGATCTTCTGGACCGCTCTAAGAATTTGGACTTTACTTTTACTCTAGAGCAAAAGTAGGCGGGGAGGTGCCATTAGCATCCAGTGGGTAGAGGCCATGGATGCTGCTAAACATCCTACAACACACAGAGTCCTCACAGAAAGAATTATCTGGCCCCAATGTCAACAGTGCTGAGATGAAGAAACTCTGCACCAGGGGTTTGGAGCAGAGAAGTGATATGATCAGACTTCTGTTTTAAAAGAACCACTCCAGCCCCTATGCTGAGAATACACTAGAAGCAAGAAGATTAGTTAGGGGGCTACTGCAGTGATTCAGGAAAGAAATAACAGTGGTGGTGGCTTGGAGTAGACAGAGTGGGAACTGGGAAGGTGGTGAGAAGAGGCTGAATTCTGGATACATTACAAAGGTAGAGTCAAAACTGTTTTCTAATGAATTGAAAGGAGGTGTGAGAAAAAAGAGAAGCAGTAAGGTTTTTGATCTGAGCACCGGAAAACAGCCTTGCCTTTATTGAGATGAGGAAGAAAGACTGTAAGAGCAGGTTGGGGGAGCAGGGCGGGGAAAGCTCAGTACTTAGGTGTGAGTTAACGCCAGGCTTGAGATTCCCTGTTAGACATTAAGTAGAGATGCCATGTAGGAAGGTGGACATACAAACATGCCATTCAAGGGAAAAGTCCAGATTGGAGATACAAATCTGAGTCGTCATAAAGTTATTTGATAGACTGGATGAGATCCCCAGAGGAGTGAGTGTAGACAGAGAAGACGTCTGAGGAATGGAGCCCCGGGCCTGCTGACATTTGGAGGTCAGGGAGATAATGAGGAAGCAGCAGCAAAGGCTGAGAAGGGATGGTCAGTGCGGAGGAAAACCAGGGGTTCTCTGAAAGCCAAAGGAAGAGAGTATTTTAAAGAGGAGGGAATGATCGGCTGGGACAGACGGATGCAGGCAGGTCATGTGGGCTGAGGACTGGGAACTGACCTTGGGATTTCGCAAGGCAGAGGTCAGTGGTGACCTTGACAAGAGCAGTCTGTGGAATGCGAGAGGCAAAAGGATGGAAGTGGGTTTGAAGGAAAATGGGAGGAGAGGATCTGGAGACAGCAACCATGACCACCTAATTCGGGATGTGCTGCATTGGAAAGCAGGGAAAATCTGGAGGTAAATGAAGGGGGATATGGGGTCAAGAGAGAGTTTTAGGATGAAATGACATTTTATCTGTGTATGCTGATGGGGATGATCCTGTAGACAGGGAAAACTGATGGCACAGGAGAGAGAGGGCAGAATTGCCAAAGGTCTTGAGTGGTGAGAAGGGATGGGATTAGTTTCTAGTAGACAGAAACATGAACAAATCATTCGTAAGAACGGAAGGGAAGGCATCGTATATGAGTACAGATGTAGGCAGGTGGGTAGAGGGACTGCTGGGTGCTTGTTTTCCTTCACACAAATTCCAGCATGCCAACCTCTTCCTTAAGAACACAAAACCCTCCAGTGGTGAGACCGGCTACCTCCTACCATCTTACACTCTACTTCTACTAAAGTGGCCTAAGATTACATTAGCTCTTTTGGCAGCCACATATATCCTACTGGTGGTGGCTCCAAATAGCTATCAAGCCAGTTTTCTCCTGCCCCATACTGCTGAATATATTATGAATCTAACTGCAGGATTTTATATAATAATTTCTGACTGCCTGTAATTATCTCTATCCGAGTCTACAGTAGCTCAACAAGTCTAAACAAATAAAACTAAACAAATATTCTTTTATCATTGCTTTTTCTAATTTTTAATTTTTTTATTTTTTTGAGATGGAGTTTCACTCTTGTTTGCCGGGGCTGGAGTGCAGTGGCGCGATCTCAGCTCACTGCAACCTCTGCCTCCTGGGTTCAAGAGATTCTCCTGCCTTAGCCTCTGGGCATGCCACCCAGGCGCATGCCACCACGCCCAGCTAATTTTTGTATTTTTGTATTTTTGTATTTTTAATAGAGACAGGGTTTCATCACGTTGGCCAGACTGGTCTCGAACTCTTGACCTCAGGTCATCTGCCCACCTCAGCCTCCCAAAGTGCTGGGATTACAGGCATGAGCCAACGCACCCAGCCTTAGAAGGGACATCTTTCTTTCCTGTCCCCATTACCAAAATCTATGCATCTCTACTGTTATATACCTCAATATAATTAAAAAAAAAAATCTGTCCAGGTGCGGTGGCTCACACCTGTAATCCCAGCACTTTGAGAGGCTGAGGCGGGCAGATCACCTAAGGTTGGGAGTTCGAGACCAGTCTGACCAACACGGAGAAACCCCATCTCTACTAAAAATACAAAACTAGCCGGGCGTGGACGCACATGCCTGTAATCCCAGCTACTCGGGAGGCTGAGGCAGGAGAATCGCTTGAACCCGGGAGGTGGAGGTTACAGTGAGCCGAGATCATGCCATTGCACTCCAGCCTGGGCAACAAGAGCGAAACTCCATCTCAAAAAATAACAATAATAATAAATCTATGCATCTTGTGGACTAGGAGGCTATAACCCTCATTCTGCTGGAAAGAGGGTAGACCAGTACAGCCATTTTAAAGGGCAATCTGACAGTACTTAGTATAAACATATTAACTAAGTATAAATACAATAAGCATATGTAGATAGAGATATAATATCCTACAACCAGCAACTCTGCTCTTGGGAATATAACCCAAAGAAATTTTTCCACATTGCATAAAGGGACACATATGAGAATGTACACTGGATTATTAATTACGGCGAGGGAAGGCTGGTGACAGGTAACCTTGGTGTCTATCACTAAGAGAGGAATGTCACCAGGGCAAACCGAGTAGCAGTCAGTTCCCACAGACTAGATGTACACACAGCAACAGGGAGAAACCCTAAAATGCACCACTCATCATGATGCTGAGTGGGAAAAGAAACAGAACAATGCAGACAATGATACCATTTACTTAAAATACACACACACTATGCAACTCATAGAAAAAGAAACATACATAAATTACAAAGAACTGTGGTGGCAGGTATGGGAATGAGATAAATGGGAATTAACAAATTAATTAAATAACAGCAGAGCTCTCACAGCAATGACACTGAGGAGTAAGAACTAAAGAGTATGAGTGACTCAACTGTTTGTACTGAGGTAAAAACCTTCATAGGGTCTCACTCTGTTGCCCACGCTAGAGTGCAGTGGCATGACCATAGCTCACCACTACCTCAAATTCCTGGGCTCAAGCCATCCTCCTGCCTCAGTCTCCTGAGTAGCTGTGACTACTGGCATGTACCACCATGCTTGGCTAATTTTTAAATTTTTTGTAGAAATGGGGTCTCACTACATTGCCCAAGCTGGTCTCAAACTCCTCGGTTCAAGTGATCCTCCTGCCTTGACCTTCCAAAGTGCTGGGGTTATAGGTGTGAGCCACTAAGTGTTTAGCCCATTATTCTTTATTTTAAAAATTTTTTTGTTAATAGCTTTATAGAGATATAATTCACATTCCATACAATCTATCCATTTTAAGTGCATAATAGTTTTTAGTATATTCACAGAATTGTGCAACCATCACCACGATCAATTTTAGATCATTTTCATCACCCTAAAAAGAAACTCTGTTACTTACCAATTCCACCTGCCCTCACTCCCAACAAAAAAATCCTGCCTCAGCCTCCCGAGTAGCTGGGATTACAGGCGCGCACCAGCACACCCAACTAATTTTTTGTATTTTTAGTAGAGACGGTTTCACACCACGTTGGCCAGGCTGGTCTCGAACTCCTGACCTCAAGTGATCTGCCCGCTTCAGCCTCCCAAAGTGCTGGGATTACATGTGTGAGCCACCACGCCTGGCCTATTACTGGGTTTTTAGTCCCAAATTCATGTATGTTGGGATCACTTTGAATTTAGATTCTGTTATCCAATACATTAGTTTTATGTCATGTGCAAATTAGATAAACCTCTGTTCTCTATCTTTACCCAAGTCACTAATAGGCTGAATGACGGGGCACAATGGTTCCCCTATGTAATCTCAGCATTTTGGGAGGCCAAGGCAGGCAGATTGCTTGAGCCCAGGAGTTCAACACCAGCCTGAGCAACATAGTGAAACCTTGTCTCTATTTAAATATATTTTAAGTTGAAAAGGACAAGACCAAACACAGATGCCTAGGACATGTCACAAGAGCTCTGCTGGTGACCCATTAATCAAAAATCTTTGTGTCCCACTGTTCAACCAGCTGTGACCTCCTCTAATTGTATTATGATGCAGCCCATGTTCTTTTCACTAGGACATCATGAGTTACAGAGGTTAACTGGGGAAGAAGAGTGAATGGAATGAGAACAAAGGAAACCTTTCTATCAACATGGTTTGAATGAGAATGTATTCATGAATTACCTATATAATTAAAGAAAAACACACTGTAAAACCTTTTTTTTTTTTTTTTTTTTTTTTGAGATGGAGTCTCGCTGTGTCACCCAGGCTGGAGAGCAGTGGCTCGATCTCAGCTCACTGCAACGTCTACCTCCCGGGTTCAAGCAATTCTCCTGCCTCAGCCTCCTGAGTAGCTGGGATTACAGGCATGTACCACCACACCCAGCTAATTTTTGTATTTTAGTAGAGACGGGGTTTCACCATGTTGGCCAGGCTGGTCTCAAACTCCTGGGCTCAAGCGCCTCAGCCTCCCAAAATGCTGGAATTACAGGCGTAAGCCACCACACCTGACTGTAAACCTTATTTTCAAAAAGAAAAAAAAATGCTGGTTTATAAGACATCAATAAAAAACTTCAAATGTCTTGCCCAAATCAAGATACATCATGTCCACAGCATGCCCCTGACCTGTGGCTCAACCTAGTAATCCTATCAAGAGAAAATTATTTTTATAAAACTCATGCTAGCTTCCTAAGTACTCAACAGTCATTTTTTTTTTTTTTTGTTTGAGACCGAGTCTCACTCTTGTTGCCCAGGCTGGAGTACAGTGGCACAATCTTGGCTCACTGCAACCTCCGCCTCCCGTGTTCAAGTGATTTTCCTGCCTCGGCCTTCCAAGCAGCTGGGACTACAGGCACGCGCCAACAAGCCTGGCTAATATTTGTATTTTTAGTAGAGACGGGGTTTCACCGTATTGGTCAGGTTAGTCTTGAACTCCTGACCGTGTGATCTGACCACCTTGGCCTCCCAAGGTGCTGGGATTACAGGCATGAGCCACCACGCCCGGGCCCTTTCTATTGCTTTTATGCATCTCTGAAAATCTGAGCTTGTGAGGGAGCTCCCAGTGCAGCTGTAGCTGGAAGAGTTGAGTATCTTTTCCAAGTGGGAATTATTCATGACTGTTAAAAGACACTTCAGGGAAATGGAAGAACTAATGATCAACTAGAGCTCAGATTACAAAACCATCTCATCAATGAAACTACATATTCCCTTTTGGAACCTTAGTAGCGAAGCTTTGCTGGAGCAGTATGAGATCCCACTAAGTCATGTTATAAAAAGGACAATCTCAAGAGACGTACCCAGGGTATCACTGGAACACAGAGGATTCAAAATTTCATTGTTTTTTAAAAAAAGGTGGGGGGGGGGGTGGGGGGGCAGGCATGGTGGCTCATGCCTATAATCCCAGCTCTTTGGGAGGCCAAGGCAGGTGGATTGCTTGAAGTCAGGACTTCAAGACCAGCCTGGACAACATAGTGAAACCCTGTCTCTACTAAAAATACAAAAAACATTAGCCGGGCATGGTGGCACACACCTGTAATCCCAGCTACTCAGGAGGCTGAGGCATTGAGAATTGCTTGGACCTGGGAGGCAGAGGCTGCAGTGAGCCAAGATGGTGCCACTGCGCTCCTGCCTGGGCAACAGGGTGAGACTGTCTCAAAAAAAAAAAAAAGAAAAAAGAGGGGGCTGGGCATGGTGGCTCATGCCTGTAATCCTAGCAGTTTGGGAGGCCAAGGCAGGTGGACTGCTCGAGCTCAGGAGTTCAAGACCAGCCTGGGCAATGTTTCATCTCCACGAAAAATAAAAAAAAATTAGCTGGGCATGGTGGTGCATACCTGTAGTCCCAGCTACTTGGGAGGCCAAGGTGGGAGGATCACTTAAGCCCAGGAGGTGGAGGTTGCAGTGAGCTGAGATTGCGCCACTGCACTCCAACCTGGCAAGAGAGTGAGATCTTGTCTTAAATAAAATAAATAAGAGTGAGATAAAAGAGCAATATATTTGTTTTACCTCATCAAGATCTTTGGTCTCTCTACCCAATTCATCATCATCTTCATCAGAATCAAGCTCTGGTCCAATATAATTCCCAAACTCATCATATAAGTCGGTATCCATGATGCTAAAATTCAAGGAGAGAAGAGTTAGATTCTGACAAGGTAATCAAGGCCTTCATGTGGTGGCTCCACCTGTCTAGTCTTAGTCTTATGGTTGGCCATACCCCTTTCACATGCCTCCTCTCCAGTGACATCAACCTACTGAATGCTCCTCCCAAAGCCCAGTACTTTCCCCAAGTCTCTGCCTTACTTGTCTCTATTTATGTAGTCTTCCCTCCACTTTTCTTGTTTTGGGTTTTAAGGAGCAGAGAGTTGAATAGGCAAGAAGGAAGAAAGAAGACAGAAGGAAGAAGCTCCGCCGTACAGAGATGGGGCGTGGGGGGCGCTCCAAAGCCAAAAGAGGAGGTCCCCCTCCCTCCACTTTTTTAATACTAAATTTAATTTTAAAACAACTCAGTATCAAAAAATGGCAAGAACAGTACAAATAACTTACTTTTTCCTAAATTATTTGAAAGTGAGCTGTTGACACAATGGCTCATCACCTCCTAATACTTTAGTGTAAGGGTGGGCAAACTCTGGCCTGTGGCCAAATCTGGCCCCTCCAGCTGTTTTTACATGGCCCTCAAGCTAAGAATGCTTTTTCACATTTGTAAATTGCCAGGGAAAAAGTCAAAAGAAAAATATTTCATGATACATGAAAATTAATTATAAGGAATTCAAATGTCAGTGTCTATTAAAAAAGTTTCATTGGGAGGCCGGGCGCGGTGGCGCATGCCTGTAATACCAGCACTTTGGGAGGCCAAGGCAGGCAGATGACCTGAGGTCAGGAGTTCGAGACCAGCCTGGCCAACATGGCAAAACGCTGTCTCTACTAAAAATACAAAAATTAGCTGGGTACGGTGGCTCACACCTGTAATCCCAGCTACTCAGGAGGCTGATATAGGAGAATCCCTTGAACCCAGGGGGTGGAGGTTGCAGTGAGGCGAGATGGCACCACTGCACTCCAGCCTGGGAGACAGAACAAGACTCCATCTCAAAAAAAAAAAAAAAAAAAAAGTTTCACTGGAAAACAGCCATGCATATTCATTTGCATCATTTACAGTTGCCTTCACACTGTAATAGCAGAGTTGAATAGTTGAGACTGAAACCATATGGCTCACAAAGCCTAAAATATTATCCAGTCCTTAATAGAAAAAGTTTGCCAACCTCTCCCTCACCATGTGTAATTCCTACAAACAAGAACATTCTCCTACATAACCACAATACAACCATCAAAATCAGAAAATTGATATTCACACATTACTACCACCTTCTTTACAGATCCCATTCAAGTTTCACAGATTGTTCCAATAATACCTTACACACCTAAGGATCCAATCCAGGATCATGTTTGCATTTGGTTGTCATGTCTCTAGTCTCTTTGGATCTACAATCTTCAGTCTTTGGATCTACAATCTTCAGTCTTTCCTTCCAAGGACTGTCATGAAATCCTTAAGGATGTCCCTTGATTTGAGGTTGTCTGATGTTACCTTATGATAATATTCAGGTTATGCGTTTTGGGCAGGAATATCATAGAAGTGATGCTGTGTTCTTCTCAATGCATTTCGTATCAGGTGATACATGATTTCAATTTGCCCCATTAGTGGTAACGTTAACTTTGATCACTTCATTAAGGTGATGTTTGCCAGGCCTCTCCATTGTAAAGTTACTCATTTTCCCTTTGTAATTAAGTAGTGTTTTGTGGGTTTTCTCCACTTCAATTACTGAAATTCTATTCAAAGAAACAGTTCAAATGCCACCACCTCCTTCAAGCTTTCCTAGCTCCTCAATTTCTCATTCCTCTATCCTACTAGAGCTTTTTGCACCTTTATCAGTATTTAATTTTGTCTTAAATAGTAGTTAACTGGCTGGGCACAGTGGCTCATGCCTGTAATCCCAGCACTTTGGCAGGCCAAGATGGGCGGATCATGAGGTCAGGAGATAGAGACCATCCTGGCTAACACAGTGAAACCCCGTCTCTACTAAAAATACAAAAAATTAGCCAGGTGTGGTGGCACACACCTGTAGTCCCAGCTACTCAGCAGGCTGAGGCAGGAGAATCACTTGAATCCAGGAGGCAGAGGTTGCAGTGAGCTGAGATCGCACCACTGCACTTCAGCCTGGCTGACAGAGTGAGACTCCGTCTCGAAAAAAATAAACAAAATAAATAAACAAATAGTAGTTACTAATTACCATCACCAACTATAGTTTATAAGCAATAAATAACAGACTAGAGCATCAGGGCTCTGGAGTTGGAAGACTTAGATTCAAATCCCAACTTTGTCACCAACAACTATGTAACTTGAGGTAAGTTACTTCATCTCTTCCAACCTGATTCCTATTCTTCAACTGGAAAATGGAATGAATAATCCTCACTGAATAAATGGTTATGAGGATTAAATAAAACACCCTGTGTAAAGAATTTACCAGAGTCCAGCTGGGTGCAGTGGCTCACGCCTGTAATCCCAGCACTTTGGGAGGCTGAGGTGGGTGGATCACGAGGTCAGGAGATCGAGACCATCCTGGCTAACACGGTGAAACCCTGTCTCTACTAAAAATACAAAAAATTAGCCAAGTGTGGTGGTGGGCGCCCGTAGTCCCAGCTACTGGGGAGGCTGAGGCAGGAGAATGGTGTGAACCCAGGAGGCGGAGCTTGCAGTGAGCGGAGACAGCGCCACTGCACTCCAGCCTGGGTGACAGAGAGAGACTCCGTCTCAAAAAAAAAAAAAAAAAAAAAGAATTTACCAGAGTCCTAGGCTCAATAAACGTTAGCTAGCATTATTTTTTGCCATCCTTGATCATGAGAACCCTGTGTTCCATGCACCTGCTTCTTCTCTTCACTTCTTTTATGATACTAAATTTAATTTTAAAATAATACCAAAAAGTGGCAAGAACAGTACAAATAACTTTCTTTTCCCCAAATATTTGACAGTATGCTGCTGACACAATGCCTCTTCACCTCCTAATACTTTAGAGCAAGAGTTGACAAACTCTGACCTGTGGCCAAATCTGGCCCCTCCAACTGTTTTTGCATGGTCCTCCAGCTAAGAATGCATTTTACATTTTTATTTTTTTATTTTTTTGAGACGGAGTCCCGCTCTGTTGCCTAGGCTGGAGTGCAGTGGCACGATCTCGACTCACTGCAACCTCCGCCTCACAGGTTCAAGCGATTCTCCTGCCTCAACCTCCCAAGTAGCTGGGATTACAGGCACCCGCCATCACACTTGGCTAATTTTTGTATTTTTAGTAGAGACGGGGTTTCAACCATGTTGGCCAGGCAGTCTCGAACTCTTGACCTCAGGTGATTAGCCCACCTCGGCCTCCCAAAGTGCTGAGATTACAGGTGTGAGCCACCGCACCCGGCCACATTTTACATTTTTAAATAATTGAGAAAAAAGTACCAATGCTAACACAGCCAATAGCCAAGACAGCACCTTGCATAAGTAGGAACTGGATAAATGTTAACTGAATGGGATGTTTAATTTTAAGATGCTGATATTTCTTGGATTAGACTGATACCTCCAACTCCCTCAATGCCACCTGCTGGGTGCTGAATGTAGAGAGAGAATTGGAGCTCCAAGGACCAATAATTAAATGTAAATTATTATGGAAACTTTCACATGCATATTCTTTTTACTTCTAAAAAGCTACTATCGCATTTATGCTTATCTCATTCTCCCAAGACCCCAGTCAAGGGATTGAAGAAATTATTTATTTATTTTATATATATTTTTTGAGACAGAGTTTTGCTCTTGTTGCCCAGGCTGGAGTACAACGGCACGATCTCAGTTCACTGCAACCTCCGCCTCCTGGTTTCAAGCGATTCTCCTGCCTCAGCCTCCCGAGTAGTTGGGACTACAGGAGTGCACCACTACGCCTGGCTAATTTTTTTGTATTCTTAGTAGAGATGGGTTTTCACCATGTTGGCCAGGCTGGTCTCGAACTCCTGACCTCAGGTGATCCGCCCGCGTCTTTCTCCCAAAGTGCTGGGATTACAGGCGTGAGCCACCGCGCCCGGCCGATTGAAGAAACTGTTATAGAAAGCTGTTCATGGAACAAGCCAAGCTCATTTCTGCCTCAGGGCCACTGCACTTGCCTTTCTCTTTGTCCAAAACGCTCTCCCCTTTGATATTTTTCACCTTGTTCCTTTATTTCAATCAAGTCTCCACTAAAATGTCATCTTCTCTGTCACTCTAAAAAGTCCCCCATACATACTCTCCAACTTCCCACTTTCACTGTTTTATTGCTATTCACAAATGTTATACATTTATCACTAGCTGACTTGTATCTAGTTGTTTACTGTTCATTTCCCCAACTACAATTGAAGCAAAGACTTTGTTCACTTAGTACTGTGCCTAGCATAGACTAAGCCCTCAATAAGTATTTACTGAACTAATGAATGACTCTAACAAGGTACACAGAATATAGCTGATTTGCCCACAGTTACACAAAACTAGCGACTCATGGTAACAAACCTCACTGCCGCTTCCCGCTACAATGCAGGAGCTCAGAGGACTTCGGAGGGAACTTGGCAAAGAACGGCTGAAAGCGGCACGGATAGAAGAGGAAGTGAGCGAGGGGACTGGACAGTTAGAGCACCACTCCTACCTAGCGATACGATTTTACGGACTGAGGCTATAGAGGCAGCCCCGAAATCGAGGTGTGTGCGTGTGTGCGCGCTTCGGAAGCCTTGGGAAGGCACGAGGACGACAGGGTCTTCCATTCTTTTTCCCGCTCCAGGCCTCAATTTACCGATCCGTAAAGCGAAAGGGGCCAATAGCATATAAGGCCCCTTCCAGATCTGACGCTTTTTAATTTCCTATCCCACCTGGAGCAACCCTTCCGTGCCGCTGACCCGCTTCAACTTACCTCTCGCCTGCTCAGCTAAGAGTTCCCAGGCCGCTGCCGGAGATCGTGCTTCCGCCCCACGCCGAGGAAACGCCTGCGCCCGCCGCCAGGAAGGACCCCGCAGACGCCGCTGTCGCCTTTCTGCCCGGGAGGACAACCCTCTGCCTGAGGACCAGTTCCGAGGTATGCCCGCCGCGGACTGGCAAGGCGGAGTAGCGGGTCCCCAAGACGAGTAGCCCAAGACGTGGGCTGCTCCAAAGAGGGTGAGAGCTGAGGATGAACGAATCTGATCAGGCGCCTCGGGACCACCCTGAAAATGGGGGGAGGGGCCTTCGGGCAGATCACGTGGTCAGGCTGTTAGCGCAGTTGCTAGGCAACCACAGCTGCGGGCGTGGTCTGCGCGGGGTTGCCCTCCTGTTCTGGTTTATCAGGGGATCCCCAAAGAAAGCAAGGGGACCAAGGCCGGGACTGCTGGGGTGAAGGTCCGGGAGGCTGAGTAAGGGGACGGAAGGGTTAGTTCTATGTATTAAATGCCTGGGGAGGGCTGAGAACTGGACACCTGATTTCGGTTACTGGCCACCCCAGCCCCTTCTTGGCGTTCAGATTCCCTACGTTGGGGTAGGGTGGCTATGGGATTGGTTGGGGACTTCCTGCTTCCTTGCGCTAGGGCTGTTGGTGATGACCCCGCCACAAAATCTAGCTCAACTCACTAGGAGTTTGCAGTTCAGAGAGGTCCCACAAGTAAATGCCAGAGCCACGACTAGAACCCACGTAGAGAATCTCTCTGCAGTGGCTCACGCCTGTAATCCCAGCACTTTGGGAGGCCGAGGCGCGCGGATTACTTGAGGTCAGGATCGAAAATTGCTTGAACCCCGGAGGCAGAGGTTGCAATGAGCCAAGATCGCGCCACTGCACTCCAGCCTGGGCAACAGAGCCAGAAAAAAAAAAAAAGAAAAGAATATCTCTGTAGAAATGATCAGTCAGCCTCAGATATGCAGAAACTACAGAAGTACAGTGATAGAACTAAAGGCATTGCCCAGGTACCTAGGGACCTCTGTTCCAGCCCTGGGCTGGACAGAGGGATTTGGGGATGGGGTCATTGAGCTCCTTCCTTTGCCCCTTCTACTTGATTTCCTGCTCAGTCATTGCATCTGGTTTGGGTGAAAGTCTCCTTCCTCATTAAAGACATTCAATGAAGAATGAAACTTTATCCCCGAGCTCAAGGGTAACTAACAAGAGTTCTGCCTTTGTGTGAGGTCCCCTGTCGAAACGACTTGCTGTAGAACAATCCTATGGGGGAAGAGTGAAGAAACTGAATTCTGAGATCCCAATGCCTCCTCGACTGAAGCACCAAAATTAAAAATATTTTTAGAGGCAAAGAGCAAAATTAAGACAGAACTCCAAATTGAAAGTCAGGACTCTGTATTCTATTTTCAGGGACAAGTCTTGTGTAAGTCCTCACTGTGAAATTCAACTTGTCTTTGTAAAATAGAAAACCAGATTTTTGTAACACCTCCCAATCTGAGTGACATGATGTCCAGAGTGCTTTGGGGTCATTTTGTGTTCTGGTGAATAATTCAGAGGTACCCTCTTTCCCCTGATATTGACTGTCCACTGACATGTATTCCCTTTGCCTTCCCAGGCACAGGCCATGGAAAGGAATGACATCATCAACTTCAAGGCTTTGGAGAAAGAGCTGCAGGCTGCACTCACTGCTGATGAGAAGTACAAACGGGAGAATGCTGCCAAGTTACGGGCAGTGGAACAGAGGGTGGCTTCCTATGAGGAGTTCAGGTTGGCTCACTGCCATTTTTCTCAGGCCCTCCTGTTATGGTGGATTATAGTAGTTAACTCTGAAATCAAACCATTCTGGGCTTCAGTCCTGGCCCCACCGTCTACTGTTTGATCTTATGCAATTTCCTTAACTTCTCTGAGTCTCAATTATTTATCTGTAGAACAGTAACTGTTATAATTAAATGAGTTCTTGCACATAAGACTGAGCAAGTGTCTGACACATGTGAGGTGCTTGAAAGCAGTCAGCTATCGCTGTTGTTATTATTATGGTCATATTGGTCCGTAACAGGTTTATCCTATACCATGCAAAGTCTAGCTGCCTCACACCCACAGACACAGCATTAAGTCCATTGCCTAATTTCTGTCCTTTGCCTACAGGGGTATTGTCCTTGCATCACATCTGAAGCCACTGGAGCGGAAGGATAAGATGGGAGGAAAGAGAACTGTGCCCTGGAACTGTCACACTATTCAGGGAAGGACCTTCCAGGATGTGGCCACTGAAATCTCCCCGGTAGGTGAGGCCCTGCCCCTTTAGTCCAGCAGGATTCTCTGCCCTAAAGCTTCAATCCTGTTTTTTCATTTTGTTTTGTTTTGTTTTGTTTTTTTAACCACACATACCTCTTCTTTATTTGTCATGTTAAACCAACAGAGATAGGTTTCTGCCTCCAATCCCAGAAAGAAAAACAAACAGCAGATGGCAAAGCTGAGTTGAAGTGGGCAGAATGAGTCAGAAAGTTGGGCTAGGAAGGTCGGCTTCCCTTAGTCCTTTGACTTTCATTCTCAGATCAGAATTGGGATGCTCTGCCTCTGGGTTGTATGGTGTCTAGTGTAATGATCCTGTGGCAGTGTTGAGAGAGAGACCCCAACATTCAGATCCTTGAGTTCCTTTCTCTCTTCCTGAGATTTCCAATCAACCCATCCACCCGACTTACAGTAAACCCTGACTTACTCTTGAAGACCAGAGCTATGTCTCCATTCATGAGTAGGAAAATTCCAGTATAAATGAGAATCTCAAATCATGGCGTGGATTCCTTGGGGCCCTCCCTGTTTCATCCCCAGTTTCCTCATCTGAAAATGAGGCCGCCAAGGACCACAGCTTTCCCAGTGCTCAGACAGTAGTGAGATGAAGACAGTAAGATGAAGAGCTACAGGCTCCCCTCCCTGTCACTGTTGCAGAACAGCTGGAAGAGCTCCTGACTCCCTTTCCTTCCTTTGTGGTCCAGGAGAAAGCCCCCCTCCAGCCCGAGACGTCTGCTGACTTCTATCGTGATTGGCGACGACACTTGCCAAGTGGGCCAGAGCGCTACCAGGCTCTACTGCAGCTTGGGGGTCCAAGGCTCGGCTGCCTCTTCCAGACAGATGTGGGATTTGGACTTCTTGGGGAGCTGCTGGTGGCACTGGCTGATCACGTGGGGCCGGCTGACCGGGCAGCGGTGCTGGGGATCCTATGCAGCCTGGCGAGCACTGGGCGCTTCACCCTGAACCTAAGCCTGCTGAGCCGGGCAGAGAGAGAGAGCTGCAAGGGCTTGTTTCAGAAGCTGCAAGCCATGGGCAACCCCAGATCCGTGAAGGAGGGGCTCAGCTGGGAGGAGCAGGGTCTGGAGGAGCAGTCTGGTGGGCTCCAGGAGGAGGAGAGGCTCCTGCAGGAGCTGCTGGAGCTGTACCAGGTTGACTGATGCGGCAAGCTACCCTCAGAGGTCCCAGTGGTCACTGGAGGCAGTTTTTTGGTTGTTGTCTTGGGGGTTCTGCAGGACCATAATAAGAAACCCACACCTGGTTCCCTTCTCAACTTGGAATTTTCAGAGCAAAAACAGGAATCAAGTCTTCCCCACTTCTCCAGTCCCTCAGTGTCTCGCTGTTTTGAACTGTGTGTATCCATGGACAGTCAAGAGCTCAGGAAGTTGAGAGCGGTTTTGTTTCCCACCCTTAGAGTCTGCCAAGCCTCTAGCCCACTGGCCTTGAGAGATGAGTGTGTGCCCAACCAAATGCTGGCTATACCAGTTACAGCCTCCACTCATAAAAGGGAAAAAGCAAAATCTTTATGGTAAACAAACACTGATCTCCACAGCTCTTAACAAGAATGTTTATAGCCCCAAACCAATGAATGGACATGTAATCAACAAATGATCAAATACTACATCATTTGAGGTGTTGAATTTTCCCCTAGAGACTCAGTTCTTGTGCAGGTTGGGCCTGGGAAAGTCCCAAGCCATCAGCTCAGGTCCAGCCAGCCTCCCGGATGGCCAGATATGCAGGAGGGTGGGTTTCCTTCATCCCCCAGGTTGATGAAAGACTTTTCCACCAGGCTGGCAGGGCAGGGCCTGGAGCACTGAGGCAGAGATCTCCCTGCCCGAGCACCTCGGCCCGCCCTTCTCATTCCGGTTTCCTTTGACCCATTCTTGGGTGAGCGCCAGTGTTCTAGAAAGGGGAGTAAAGGCCAGGTTCTAGAATGGCTTTCCCCCCCCACCCTGAGATCAGGTCTGGAATGTTAGAAGGGCATCTTGTACATCCACTGGGAATAAATTGCCTTGCACTTGGCGGCTTCCTCTGCAGATTGTTGCTGCTTTTCCTGGCTGCATAATCCTTTCCTCATCTAGAGGCTTCCGCTTAGCAGAGCTTTCTAGGAGCCCTATGAGCCTTTAATGCCCTGGTTTTGCCCTGCCCCTCTGACCCCTGCCTCCTTCAGGTATGCACCTGGCCCTCACCACTGTGCTCCTGTGGGCATGGGGGCTCCAGGCCTTTGAAATTGTGGAGAAGGAAAACATTTTTCAGAGGACCCCCTGCCCTGCTTTCCTGATGTTTGAAAATGCAGCCTACCTGGCCGACATGAGCTTTGAGCTTCCCTGTCACTGCAAACCCGAAGAGGTGCCAGCTGTAGTCTGGTTCTACCAAAAGCACCTAGGTAGCAGCCACACCAAAGTGCTGACGGACTTTGATGGGCGGGTGCTGACGGAGGCAGCCCAGGTACGTGTGGGCAGCGACATGCTGACCCGCTTCAGCATCCGCATGTTCAGCTTGTTGGTTTTCAGGGCTCAGTCTGAGGACTCAGGCCTGTACTTCTGCGGCACCCGCAAGGGGGACTACTTTTACGCCTACGATGTGGACATCCAGAACAGTGAGGGAATGGTGGCCACTTTCCAGGACAAGGGCCAGGAGCCCTTTGCAGATGAATACTATGGGCACCTCCATGTCTTCACCACCTTCTGGGAATGGACCCCCTGTGACCGCTGCGGAGTGCGTGGGGAGCAGTGGCGCATCGGCCTCTGCTACCTGCAGAGCCCAGACCTCTCCCCACGCTACCTCAAGGCCGTGCCCGATGTGGTGTCTTGTGGCTCAAGGGCTGTGCCAAGGAAGCTGCGGACCAAGGCCAGGGACCACACGCCTGAGGTGCTGGTTCGGAGCTGCTTAGTACCCTGTGAGAAGACAAAGACCATCCGGGAGGGCGTGCTGGCCATCATTAACTATGTGTCCAAAGTGGGCAGCCGGCCCTGGGTGCCCCAGGTGCCCATTCAGTTCCACCAGCAGAGACTGGGCCATGGACTCATCATCTCCTGTCCTGGGGCCCGGCCAGAGCATGCAGTGGCCTGGGACAAAGACCGCCAGCACCTCTACCGCACACAGTACCTGAAGGGTGTCAACAGGTCCATGAGGGTGTTCATTGACCACGGCAACCAGCTCCACATCCGCTTCACCCAGCTGGATGACCGGGGCATCTACTATTGCTGGAGGCAGGGTGTGCTAGTTGCTGGCTTCCGGCTGGGTGTGACATCTCATGGGCACTACCCAGCCTCGTTCTCAGATCCTGAGACTCGCTCGGCTGTGGAGCTCACCCTGATAGGCTACCTGCTCATCACAGCAGTCTTTGTCACCATTCACTTCTGTCGTTGCTGCTGCTACTTATTTCACTGTTGTCCCAGCTTCTCCCCCTAGGAGCTCTCTTCAGCTCTGAAGACCAGTTGTCCTTCAATGTGTTTGTTAAATGATACCAGATGTCTCTGGGTGGGTACCCTGGGTTGGGACAGGTGGTAGGAACATGTGGACAAATCTGTTACAGCCTGCTCCCCATTTTCATGGGCAGGTCTGGGACCTGATCTGAGAAGTGGAGGGGCCTGAGGCTGGTGGGAGATTGGGGACTGAGCTCAGGATGGAAGTAGGGCACATGTGTTTCCTGACTTCACATTTAGGTCAGAGAAGGAAAGTGTGAACTCAGATTTATCCAGTGGTAAACACTGATCAGTGTTGAATCATGTTTGAGCTGCTTTGCTTTCTTGCCTATGAAGATTGTGCTGGTTGAGTTGCAGGTAGCAGGGAGAGGAAGGAAGAAAAGAGTGGAGGGAGCTGGTGTATGTCCTCTTTGGCTGCGGGTGGAATTTGGTGAGGGCATGGGCCCCAGAGATGATCAGTAATAAGAAATGAGTTGGTCTTGTCAAAGGCTACATCTTGGCCCCAGTCCCGCCCTCTCATGAACAGATCAGAGTCCACTCTGGGGAAGGGCGCAGCATTTGTCTTTATTTTTCCTCAGCGACTAAAGGCAGCAGCAGTGCCCTGAAGATTAGCAGCAGCAGCAGCAGCAGGTGGCAGGAAGGAGTGGAGGGAAAGGACACCAAGTCTTGGGGAGAGGGAAGGACCCTTCTTCGGCCTTAGAGGGGAGAGGAGAACCCTGAAGTGGGCCCTCCCAGTCCCATCTCTGGGCACAGATCCCACCAGTCTGCTCACCAGTCTGCTCAGTCAAAGCAGAGTGGGTGCACTGGGGTGGACGTGTCAGCCCTGAGCACCCGGCCTCCAGGCTGCAGGAATATGAGCCAGTGTCTTCACTTTGCTCGTGCCTCAGTTTTACAATTGTAAAATAGGGCACTACCTAGAATACTGGGTACATTTTGTGTGTGAGTAAGAAGGGACCGCAAGAGGCCCTTGGCTTAGGGAAAAGCAGCCGGTCACTATGGGGTGGAGAGGGTCAGACGTGTGGCAGTGGCTTACTGGGGTTAAGAAGCAGCAGTCCCAGGGGCTCAGAGGCTGGGGCGGCCTGGTATGACACAGCAAGGAAGAGGCCTTTAGAAATGGGACAAAGTCATGCCCTGCCCCCATGGATACATCCCCTTTCTCTCCTGTTTCAGCATCTTCAAGAGGATGAGTCACTTCCTTAATTCCCACAATCCAGAGGCCAAGTGCAACTGGTCACCCACAACCCCTACTTGTATGCCTAGCGCCATCCCAATTGCCTCCTCCTCCATCTCTACCAGCGTCCCCTCCAGTCTGCACGGGGCAGTCCTCCTGGGCTTGACCTCTCTGTACCCACAGCTGGGGGCCAGGCAGCCCCCCTCTATCCCTCCCAGCACCTCATCCCTCTCCACGTACACAACAGATCCCCCAAGTGCTGAGAATCAAGCTCCCACCTGCCCACAGCGTGCCCACAGATGGCATCCCTGGATGGCAGCTCAGGTGGACTGAGACACTTGAGTCATCGCTCAGGAGGTCCTTCTGGGATCTGGGCAGGTGACTGCCCCAGGTGGCAGGACGTCCCCACCCATCTTAGACTGATCAGGGTCAGTCTAGGAGAACAACCCTCTGAGCTGGGCATGGTGGCTCCAATCTATAATCCCAGCTACACAGGAGGCTGAGGTGGGTAGACTGCTTGAGCCCAGGAGTTCAAGGTCAGCCTAGGCAGCATAGGGATATCCCACCTCATAAAAACCAAAAGACAAAACAAGCCTCTGGCCAGGGCTACCTTGTCTGTGGGGCCTTCCCTTTCCTGTCTGAGTCTCAGTTTTCCTCCAGCAGCCTGAGGAAACTCAAAGGCACAGTTCCCAGATACTCCGAGAGAACCTCCATCTCTGGCAACAGTTTCCATAACAACAGGAATCAGGGATGTGGAGGGCGATGTAGTAGGTGCCCCCCGCCCTCCTCCCCTTCTCTCCTTCCTCCTCATTCTAACGCAAGCTGCTGGCCATGCCCCTCCAGACTGCCCCTTGGGGGTGAGTTTCTTGTTAGTTGGAGTTGCTGGGTGCTGGGTGGGTGCCGTCTGGCAGGCCTGATACTGACGGAGCCTAGGGCAGCAAGCTGACCTAGGGACAGAGGAGGGAGGGGAGCAGCTGGGGTGGTGGGGAGCTCAGGTCTGGGGAAATGTGCCAGCAGAGGCGGAGCAACTATCCTGCTTCTGCTCGGGCCCCTCATGAGACGGGGCAGAGGCCACCAGGTGGGTCCTGCCTCACATCACATCCTTGTGCTCCTGCTTGGACTCCTTAATGACCTGCAGGGGACAGGGAACGTGCACAGTGCAACAGTTAGGAGTTCACACAGACCCCAGGTCCACCACCACGAGGCTGTGTAACCTTGGGAAGTCCCCGACTTCCCAGGTCTTACTTTTCTTGATAGTAACCACAGCTGCCTTGCGTGGTGGACAGAGGGGGTGGTGAGATAACACTGGGAAAGCATTTAGCGTCATGCCTGGCGAGTGGTAAGCTGCTGGAGTAAGATGAGCTCCCACTGTGGTTGGAGTGGCGTGGCGGATACGCCAAATCCCCTCTTCCCATTCCCCTGGTAGTTTCCTTTTACCAAGCTGGAAATGGAAAGCCCTCCCCATCCCCAACTGTGTCTGCTAGAGTTGGAAGTGAAAGCTACTAACTTTAATTCTCTTTCTCTCCCTGGCAAGCAAGGCCCCCGAGTTTGAGGGTGAGAAAGAGAGAGTGTGTATTAGGATCCCATCTAGTGGCTTTGGTACCAAGGCTCCCCTTAGAACAGCCTATGGAGGGACTGAGGAAACGGAATTACATTCAGTTTCCTTGCTCTCCTCCAGAATTCCCTGGGGAGCTACTGGGAGTTGCTGGGAACCTTCTATGTGCCAGCCCCAGGCTTTCCTCCATGGCCTGGCCTTGAGAATCCCTGGGGCCAGCCAGAGCCTGACTGGGCCCAAATCCCTCCTTACCTCTCCATCCCGCATCTCCACGGTCTTCACCACGATGTTCCTCTTGAGGTGGCCTTCTGACACAGACTTGGTGTCCAGGCTGGTTTCTGCAGATGTGGGGAGAGGAGGCCTCTCATGGACTTTCAGGGCATGAGCCATCCTCTCCCATGCCCGGCTTCCCCATCGCACCCCCCTCCCCATCATGAGTATGAGAACCTATGCAACCGAGCAGAGAGAGCCTAGGCTCTTCCAAACGGGCTGGAGAGCCCCCAAATCCCAATAGTGCTGCTGCCAGAGTCCTGGCTGCTCTGTCTTCTGGCCTGGCTTCATTTCAGCCCCTCTGCAAGCCCTGGCCTGGCACCTGGCTTTCTGAAAACCCAGCACGGTATTGAAATCAGGAGACCAGGAGGGGTGCGGTGGCTCACACCTATAATGCCATCATTTTGGGAGGCTGAGGCAGGTGGATCACCTGACGCCAGGAGTTCGAGACCAGCCTGGCCAACATAGTGAAACCTCTACTAAAAATACAAAAAATAGGCCAGGCATGGTGGCTCACACCTGTAATCCCAGCACTTTGGGAGGCCGAGGCAGGTGGATCGCCTGAGGTCAGGAGTTTGAGACCAGCCTGACTAATATGGTGAAACCCTGTCTCTACTAAAAATACAAAAATTAGTCAGGCATGGTGACAGGTGCCTGTAGTCCCAGCTACTCAGGAGGCTGAGAGAGGAGAATCACTTGAACCTGGGAGGCGGAGGTTGCAGTAAGCTGCGATCGTGCCACTGCACTCCAGCCTGAGCAACAGAGTAAGACTCCGTCGAAAGCAGGCAAGCAAGCAAGCAAGCAAGCAGGAAAGAGAAAGGAAGGAAGGAAGGAAGGAAGGAAGAAAGAAAGAAAGAAAGAAAAAGAAAGATTAGCCAGGTGTGGTGGCTCGCACCTGTAATCCCCTTACTCGGGAGTCTGAGGCACGAGAATTGCTTGAACCTGGGAGGTGGAGGTTGCAGTGAGCCAAGATTGCACTACTGCATTCCAGCCTGAGTGACAGAGGGACGCTCTGCCGAAGGAAGGAAGGAAAGAAGGAAGGAAGGAAGAAAAGAAGGAAGGAAGGAAGGAAGGATCAGGAGACCAGAGCTCAAGAAGTCCCAACTTAGCCACCAACCAGCCACATGACTCTGGGCAAGTTAATTGACCTCTCCCAGCCTCAGTTTCCTCATCTGTAAAATAAGGATGATGGGGCCTACTTCTCTAGGTGGGAGAGAGGAGACAATTAACTAAAATAAAGGCTGTTAAACATGTGGCACATATTAGTGCTCAATACACATAGGTCCCTTTCCTGTCCCCTTTCCTCTTTCCTACTTCTCTCTGCCATTTATCTGTGCTTTAGTGACCTGTGACTATCTAGGATTTGGCAGTATTACCTCTACTAGTCAGCCTGGTTAGCCTTTCTGATGCTGAATTAAGTCCTGAGACATGCATATCTAGTGGTCCTAAATATTCTAGTCCAGAAGAAGAGGAATTTTGTTCCTTAGCTAAGAATCATTTCAGGGCCAATGCAAGTAAAAAGTAATTTAGCTCCCCCCTCCCCCCGCCCCGCCCGAGAGAGAAAAATATAACACGTCACATTCACTAATATTTAACATTAAGAGCAGGGAACATAAAACTTTATTCACTGCAAGAGCTGCGGTCCTGAGGGAAGAATCCTCTGAACTGAGTCAGCACTGAGCTGAGCGATGGAGCCTCAGGGATGAAAGAATAAAGCAGAGAGCCTGGCGTCCAGGCACAGCGAGACCCAAGGGGCCCTCCCAGTGACAGGAAGAGGTGAGACAGAGGCTGCTGCTTGCTCAGAGGCCCCAGAGCAGCTCCACTGCGCACCCAAGGACTCACCACCTTTACCACTAACAAGCTCTGCCAGTTTAATGTACAGTTACTCTGTACCACGTCCTGGGCTGGGCACTGCAGTTCCTGGGAAAATGACGCAGTCCAGGCCCTTTAGGGGAAGCCTGGGAAGAGGGAACTCAGGGGGATTGGGAGGATGGGGTGGGTGAGGCTCACTCCCTGTCAAGCTGGGCAAAGCGCCGTGTCTGAGAGGCAGGCAGCTAACCGCGAGCCGGCGGCGTTCCATTTACAATCTGGTGAGCCTGTATTGGTATAACTCGTATTGTGAGGCTTTTGAGATATCTTGTGACCTTGTGATTTTCCCCGTCTTTGGTGCTTTTGCCCCCTGTAGTGACAAGCAGTTAAAAAAACAAAAACAGAAAACACTCAGAAGGGCAGTGCTTGCTCAGGGATCTGCAGACAGGGCAGATGTCAAGCTCTCACCCAGTTCTGCTGTCGAATGGGGTGCAGGGAGGGGAAGAGGGACCAGGGCCTAGCAGGACAGGGGCAGCTGCAAGCCCCACCTAGAAGTACCCTGGTATGATAGGCTCTGGCTAGGAGCGCTGCAGTGTCACGAAGGCCCCCAGGGAGAGCTGGATCCCTTTGCCCTGATCCTCAGTCCCAGTCTGGAGCAACCTACAGGCCCTGGAGGAGGGGGCAGGACTCCAGTGCCCTTCCCACGAGGCCCTGCTGTACTGACCTCGAATCTGCAGGTTGGAGAAGGTCTGCACGGGAATGGTGATCCTGAAAGAAAGCAGAGGGAGAGGGCTGCCCGGGCTGCCTGGGACACCCCTAGGCTGGGTCTTGGTGCGGGGCCATCATGACAACTTGAACGCCCTTTTCCTTGCCAGGAAAGTCTAACTCCATCTCCTAGCTTTTTCCCCAGCAGCCAACGTGCTATCTGGAGTTCCAAACGTCTGCAAGGGGCTTGAGTGTTATCTGGGAGGGGCGCATGTCTATCTGAAGGAAGATGGAAAAGGGAGGGGAAAGTGGTGAAGAAAGTTCCAAGGAGGCAGAAGAGATGGGTGAGGTGAGGAGTCCAATCTTGGCTGGGAAGATGGGGAGTATGCCTCTTAGTTTGGAGGGTGACCCAAGTCCTTGGCCTTGAGGCCTAATCAATATTGGTTGAATCCATCCATCCATTCAGTCATCAAACATCTAGTGACTGCCTGCTATGTGTGAGGCAGGCACTGTGCTGGGCATTGAGGTGGGAAGGGATCTGCACACAAGGCTGAAAAAGACTCAGTCCCTGAAGGGAGCAAGATGAGCTCTACCGTGAGGCAGCAGGGAGACTTCCCCAGGGGCTGTGATGAGGGCTCACCGGTTCTCCTCGCCCTCTAGCAGCTTCCTGTAGGTGGCGATCTCGATGTCCAGGGCCAGCTTGACATTGAGCAGGTCCTGGTACTCCTGCAAGTGGCGGGCCATCTCGTCCTTGAGGCTCTGCCCCTCTTCCTCCAGCCGCGCCAGCGCCTCCTGATAACTGGCCGCCTCCCGCACGTGCCGCTCCTCCTGCTCGCGCATCTGCCTCTCCAGGGACTCGTTCTGTGGGATGGAGCCGGCCGGTCCCGCGGAGCCCCGACCCGACTTGGGGAGGTTTCGAGGCCCGGCCCCCGGCCCCAGGCCCCGCCTCTAGCCCGGGGGTAACGTTCAGGCCCCGCCCTCGACCCAGGTCCTCGTCCCTGGCCCTTCTCCCCTGGCATCTCCTGGGGTGGCCGTCCCTGCTCCGCCCGTCCCCGTCCTGCCCTGGCCGCGCTCACCGTGCCGCGCAGAGACTCCAGGTCGCAGGTCAAGGACTGCAACTGGCGCCGGTAGTCGTTGGCTTCGTGCTTGGCCTGGCGGAGCAGCTCCGCGTTGCGGGCAGCAGCGTCTGTCAGGTCTGCAAACTAGGTGGGGGACACATATGGGGGGCTGTGTGGGCCCATGGGCAGGCACGGGCTCTGGGAAATCAGGGAGGTGAGCAGCACCCCAGTTAACCCCAGGACGTTGGCCCTGGCTGGGACTTTTCCCAACAACTGTGACCCATGGATGCGGGCAGGGTAGCGGGCTGCCAGACCTCAGCACCTAGCACAACACCTGGTCAGCAAGCGAATGAATGAACAGTGCCACAGAATCCAGAACCTTCCACACTGACAGCTGCATCTGCGGGACTGAACGCTGTCGTCTTAGGCGAGCGGAGGCCTGGGTGTTTTGTGTGTTTTTGTTTTTTTGTTTTTTTTGTTTTATTTTGAGACAGAGTCTTGCTCTTGTCGCCCAGGTTGGAAGTCAGTGGCACAATCCCGGGTCACTGCAACCTCTGCCTCCCAGGTTCAAGCAATTCTCCTGCCCCAGCCACCTGAGTAGCTGGGATTACAGGCATGCGCCACTACACCCGGCTGATTTTGTATTTTTAGTAGAGACGGGGTTTCACCATGTTGACCAGGCTAGTCTTGAACTGCTGACCTCAGGTGATCCGCATGCCTCGGCCTCCCAAAGTGCTGGGATTACAGGTGTGAGCCACCTCGCCTGGCCTCACCCTGGGTTCTAATAGCCCTTTCTCCCCTGCCTGCAGGGAGGTCCTCCCAGCCCCATCGGGCCCTCACCCTGCTCAGACACCAGTGGCTTCTGCCACTCACACTCCTCAGCTAGGTGCCCTGGCTAGGCTAGCATCTTGGGGCCCTGCCTCTCTGTGCTTTTCTGCCTCCAGGCTCTGTCCTCCACTAGGAATGGCCCTCCCTTCTTCTCTTCCTGTCCACAGCGTGCCTGTCCTGCCTAGCCCAAATGCCCCCTCTACAGTGTCTTTCCTGGCTCCCACACTACATATAAGCTCTGAGCTGTGGTGTTCTCTACGGGCACTATGTTTGGGTGCACGTCAATATCACACCTTCCAGGTCAGACACCTCTCTGTGTCCTGGGGGGTGCCTGGCATATGGTAGAGGCTCAGTAACCCAAAACAGACTGGCAGAGGCATGGAATGCAGGCTCCCAAGTGAGATGTGCTAGAGTTGGAAATCCAACTCTACCACTTAGGAGCTGTGTGACTTTGAGCAAATTAGTTAACCTCTCTGGACTTCGGCTCTCTCATCTGTCAAAGAACAGCACCTACTTCATAGTAAGGTAATCCATGAAAAGCACAGGGCTTAGAACAGAACAGTATCAGCTACTACTAATAATAGCAATAGTAGCAGTAATAATAATGGGTACTTTTGAAAGCAATAGTGCCTGTGTGACCCTGGGCAAGCCATCTCACTTCTCTGGTGAAAGTCAGTCACCTGGAGAGGATATTCTCCCAGCTTCCTCCACCCTCCTTCCCCCATTCTCTTGTACAGAGCAAGAAGGGCTGCCTGGAGGAGGCAGGCTGGCCCACAGGCAGGGCTACCTTGGAGCGGTACCACTCTTCGGCTTCATGCATGTTGCTGGACGCCATTGCCTCATACTGCGTGCGGATCTCTTTCAGGGCTGCGGTGAGGTCTGGCTTGGCCACGTCAAGCTCCACATGGACCTGCTGTCGGGCCAGCTGCTCCTGGAGTTCCCGAACCTCCTGACCAGGGTGAGAGAAGCGGTACCAGGGCTCAGGGTACAGGCCACAGCTGGGGTTCCCCACGCCATTGTGTCCTCTTCTGCCTGCCCCTCGGCCAGGAGTTCGAATGCTCTCTTGTCTCTTTCCGTCTCCCTTAGTGTCTTTCTGTTTGTCTTTCATTTCCTGTCTCTACCTGCCAATCTCTGTTTCTCTCCTCTCTCTGAGTGTCTCTCTCAGTCTCAGCTTCTCTGTCTCTGTCTCTCCCTCTCTCAGTTGCAATCTCTGTGTTGAGCTTTCCTCCCTCTGCCCTGGCCTCACCTCCTCGTGGATCTTCCTCAAGAACCGGATCTCCTCCTCCAGCGACTCAATCTTCCTCTCCAGATCCAGACGGGCCAGGGTGGCTTCATCTGCTTCCTGGAGTGGCAGGAGGGGTGAGGAGTAGAGGGCCACTGGGGCCCCAGGCTCCTTCTCCCCATTCCTCAGCCTTGCCTTACCCCTCCTTCTGGGGCAGTGGGGAGCAGCACATTGCTCTGGCGGGCTGAGCTTGGGGGCTGTGTTTGGGTGGGTGGCCATCAATCCTTTCCTCCCTCCCCTGCCCCTCCCCTCCACCTCCCTGACCTGTCTATAGGCAGCCAGGTTGTTCTCGGCTTCCAGCCTCAGGTTGGTTTCATCCTGGAGCCTGGAGTGGGGGGACACATTCCTGGGTCCAGGCTCTTCTGAGGACACTTGAATACCTGCCTCAGTCTCCCTTGAGGCAGCTGTCACAGAGACCACCCCCACCCAGGACCAGTAGAGCAGCAGGAGGATTAAGGGTTGGGGGGCCTTAGACAGAGGACTTGTCTGGAGGATGAGCAGATGTGGGCTTTTGCCTTAACTCATTACTAAGGTGCCTTATCAGGGTTGGTGCACCTGCTTCTGCTCACACAGGCGCATCCACAAGCATACACTCACTGTTGCACACACACACACACACACGCACATGTCCTCCTGCACTTGAAGGCACACATGCATGTCCTGTCAGCTCAGTGAAGCGCCATGCCCCTGGGGATTCCTCTGATCCCAGGTAACCACCTTTTGAAATGAATTTTATTATGACCACCGCTTCACAGCTGTGCAAGTCAAAGTAACTTGATGGGGGTCACAAGCTGGTGGCAGGCAGTCACCTGTGCTTTGCGCCCAGACCTGCCTGCTCTTTCCCTCACTTTCTTCACCCCAGAATCCAATCTCCCTCATGGACATCAACCTTCTCCGCTTCCAACTCCTCCTTTATATGGACACAGGCTCAGAATAGGTGAGCTCGCTGCCCACAGTCACAAAGCCCAGCCATGAATGAAACACAGGGGCCCCGCTGCTCCTGCACTGCTTTCCCCAGTAGGGAGGTGCTGAGGGGACCCTGGACTCCTGGCAGAAGGCATGCGGGCATCAGATCCCCGGGGCCCTGGGCCTGTTTCTGGTCCCTCCCATCATGTTGGGGGGCAAGGATAGTGCCCCATCAAGAGGTAGGGAGGCCCAGGGAGCAGGGAGGTTCGGCCCCTCCCTGAGACTTCTCGGGCACTCCTTCTTGGGGATTCAGCCCCTTCTGCTCACAAGGCCCCCCTTCCCCATCCCCTCCTCACTTCTGCCTCACAGTGGCCAGGTCCTGTGCCAGATTGTCCCTCTCAACCTCCAGCCGGGCGCTGTTGGCGGTGAGTTGATCGAGCCGCAGCCGCAGCTCTCGCAGCTCAGCCTGGTAGACGTCTGCCAGCTTGGTGGGCTCCTTGGCCCGCAGCTGGTTCAGCTCAGCAGCCAGCGCCTTGTTTTGCTGTTCCAGGAAGCGAACCTTCTCGATGTAGCTGGCAAAGCGGTCATTGAGCTCCATCATCTCTGCCCGCTCACTGGCCCGGGTCTCCTTGAAGCCAGCATTGAGTGCCCCAGCCAGGGAGAAATCCACCCGGGTCGGGAGTGGAGGGGGCATTCGAGCCAGGGAGAGGCGGGTGCCAGGACCCAGACGGCGGCCAGGAGCCAGGCCCCCCACCATCATCTCCCCTGAGGAGACGTAGGAGCGGCGAGCAGCGGAGGTGATGCGTCTCCTCTCCATCCTGCTCTGGCTCTGCTCGCTCCTGGGATGCGAGGGCTTTATGAAGGAGTGGGCTAGACTGGCGATGCCCGGGTGCCCCTGGCAACACCCCCTGGCATAGCCTGAGGGGGTGGGGTTGGGCCGCAGCCCAGCTATGGGGAGAGCTCCCCTCACCCCACTGAGGTCACTGTGCCCAGAGGCAGAGCTTCCTGGGCACGCCAACTCCTGCATGAGGCAGGTGGTACCTGGAGCCAGACCATGGGTCTGGGGCCCTGACCGCTGAAGCAAGAGGACCCTCTCTCTAGGAAGGTGGGTCAAGAAAGGGTTGGTTGGACCATGATGAATACTTACAATTATTATGCATCAATTAAAAAGGAAGGAAAGGGCTGAGTGGGGTGGCTCATGCTTGTAATCCCAGCACTTTGGGAGGCTGAGGCTGGAGGATTGCTTGAGCCCAGTAGGTTGAGGCTGCAGTGAGCTGTGTTTGCGCCACTCCAGCCTGGGCAACAGAGAGAGACCTTGTCTCACAAAAAAAAAAAAAAAAAAGGGAAGGAAGGGCTGTACCAGATGACCTCTGACCTGCTTTCCAACTTTTTGATTTCATAACCCAGGCATTATCTCACTCAGCTGTAAGTGCCTGCAAGGTGCTGGGAATTTGGCGAAGAATGAACCTGTTCTGTACCCTCAAGGGCCACCTCATTTCCTACTAGGCCTCATTCCCAGCAGACTCCTGGAGTCCTTCCCTTGAACACAGATGTCCCACATTCCTGCTCTCTGCCCATTCATTCCCTGGAGTTCTGGGGCTGGGGGCTGGGATTGGACACCAGCCCTTTGTCTAAGGGTCAATCATGGCCTCTATGTGGCAGTGGAGGTCCTGATAGGGCAAGAGGGGGCCGGCACTCTCTTGCCTTATCAGGACTTTAGCCCCTGGATCTGTCCCTCCAGGTCACCCCTTCCTTGTCTGGCCTCCCTGTGCCTCTCTCCCAGAGACCAGGCCTTGACAGCTCCACAAAGCCGTTACACATGAGCTGGCTGTGCTGGCTCGTCTTTATTCCTGCAGCGCCCCGTTTCCCTGGCCACCCCTCCGTCTCCCACTGGAGATTTATTTCCTCGAGTTCCCACACATCAGCCTGGAGAGATGGGAAGAACCTCTGGGGATGGATGGGTTTGGAAACGCTGGAGCCACTGGGCCCAACTAGGAGCCTGAGACCTGGGCCCTGTTGTCCCTGGAGACTTCAGGTCCATCTACGCCCTCCACTCTGGTCCCACAGGGTCAGAACCCTGCCCAGTCCCCTCACCCATTTGTGTCCTTGGACTTCTGGGAAGCAGACAGCCCTCCTCTCCCCCCCTGCCACCCACTGTCCATGCCTGGGCATCCCCTGATCCCCTTTCCTGGGCACAGGCTGAATAGAGCCTTGTTCTCCACCGCCGGTGGCGCCACACAGCAAGGGCAGCCCCTAGGGGGCTGTGCTGCTTTTATCCCAAGATGCCAGGCTGTCAGGCTGGGGTGCAATGCAAGCCCCCTGCTCAATGGGCTTCTCGGAAGGCATTTGAGGGGGGCTGGGGTGCGGCGGGAAGCAGGCACTGTGCCCACCCCGAACATTGTGTCTGTGCCAAGGTGAGTCATTCACTGGGCATGAAGAGGAGGCCCTGGGGGGCGGCCAGCCCAATGCTGCCAGGTCTGCTTGCAGACAAGGCCTGGCTGTCTGCCTCCTCCCCAGCTCACAGAGCCAGCTCAGGCCCCCGAGCCTCTGTCAGAGCAGCGTCCCCTACTCCACACCAGGATATGTTCTTTTTTTTTTTTTTTTTTTTTTTGTCTTTTGAGACAGGGTCTCACTGTTGCCCAGGCTGGAGTGCAGTGGCGCAACCACGACTCACTGCAGCCTCAACCTCCCAGCCTTAAGTGATCCCCTCACCTCAGCCTCCTGAATAGCTGGGACTACAGGTGTGTGTCACCACACGTGGCTGATTTTTTAACTTTTTTTGTAGAGATAGGGTCTTGCCATGTTGCCCAGGCTGGTCTAGAACTTCTGGGCTCAAGTGATCCTTCCACATCAGCCTCCCAAAGTGCTGGAATTACAGTTGTGCGCCACTGCGCCCAGCCCAGGGTATGCTCTGCATTTGGACATGTGATGGACAGACTGCCTCCTGAGGTCTCCCTCTGTGAGTCCCAGCACAGAGAGGGAGGTGGGAGCTCCTTAGGCTCTAGTCACATCTGACCTGGGCGTAAGCAGTGACATAGGAAAGAGCATCTTGAAGACGGGGTGAGCGCCCAGTGACCTTTGATCCTGCTATGAACTGGGGACCTGGGGAAGGACAGGAGGCTTTAAAGGAAGAGCAAGGCTGGGCATAGTGGCTCATGCCTGTAATCCGAGCACTTTGGGAGGCTGAGGTGGGCGGATCGCTTGAGTCCAGGAGTTCGAGACCAGCCTGGGCAATGTGGTGAAATTTTGTCTGTACAAAAAATACAAAAAAATTAGCCAGGTATGGTGGTGCACTACTGTGATCCCAGCTATTCGGGAGGCTGAGGTGGGAGGATCACCTGAGCCCAGGAGGTGGAGACTGCAGTAAGCCAATGTCGCATCACTGCACCCCAGCCTGGGTGACAGAGACTCTGTCTCAATAAATAAAAAAATAAAATAAAATAAACAAAATAGAAAAGGAAGACTGGGGATAAGCTCTTGTCTGAACTCTGTCTCATCTCTGTGGCTAGGAGTGGCCCGCCTTTCCAGGCTGCCCAGCAAGTCACAGCATGTAGCCTTCCCTTTTGGTTCAAGGGAAGTCTAGTTAAAATAAGGGCAAAGCTGTCCTAGAGAGAAAAGATGTGATGAGCAGGAGGTGCCTGTCATTGAAGCTCAGTGAACTGTCCCTGTGTATGTGAGACACAAGCTTGTTTCAGCATCAGCAGTTGGAGTCCCCCAGCTTTTGCCATCAGCCACCTCCGTGGACCCCTGTCATAGGCCCAGGTGCATCCTCCACCCCTTCTCAACCCTCAGACCTTTCCTCACACTCAACCCTTAACTATCTTGTTTTTGTTTTTTGAGACAGGGTCTTGCTCTGTTGCCCAGGCTAGAGTGAAGTGGTGCTATCACAGCTCACTACAGCCTCAATCTCCCTGGCTCAAGCGATCCACCCACCTCAGCCTCTCTAGTAGCTGGGACCACAGAGATACACCACCATGCCCAGCTCATTTTTGTATTTTACTAGAGACAAGGTTTCGCCATGTTGCCCAGGCTGGTCTCGAACTGTTGGGCTCAAGTGACCCTCCCACCTCTTCCTCCCAAAGTGCTGGGATTACAGGCATGACCTATACAACCGGTACATATAGATCACGCCTGGCCAACCCTTAACTATCTAAAGGTGTCTGCACAGAGAACCAAAGATACAGACAGATTTGGTCGTGGTTGTGTTCCAAACTTTCATTATCTTTTTAATTAAATATTCATTGTAGAAAGGTCAGAAACTATAGATAAGCAATACAAAAAAATGTAATTAGCCATCATTTTGCCACCTGGAGATAAACACTACCAGATTTTTTCCACACATATATAATCATTTTTTTCAAAATGGGCTCATGCCGTACAAATTATTTTGTAATTTGCTTTTCTCACTCAACAATATGTTGTGAACATCTTTCCACATCAATAAATATTTGTCTGCATCATCATTTAACAGCTGCATGATTTTCCACTATATGCATTCATGTACCAAGCCCTAGTGGTGGACAGTATGACAGTATGTTCTCTCTCTCTCTTTTTTTTTTTTTAGAGACAAAGTCTCACTTTGCCACCCAGGGCCAGAGTGCAGTGGCACCATCATAGCCCACTGCAGCCTCAGACTTCTGAGCTCAAGCAATCCTCCTGCCACAGCCTGCCAAGGAGCTGGGACTACAGGCACATGACAGTGTGCCCAGATAATTTTTTTTTTCAGAGACCAAGTCTTGTTATGTTGCCCAGGCTGGTCTTGAACTCCTGGCCTCAAGTGATCCTCTGGCCTCAGCCTCCCAAAGTGCTAGGATTACAGATGTGAGCCGCTGTGACTGTCCTCTCTCTGTTCTAAACCACACTCTGATTTGCATCTGCTGCAGGCAGACACAGCAAACAGAGAAGGGTAGGCCCTCAGCCCGTCCAGCCTCCACCCAAACCCCCCATCCTCCTAGCCTGGCTCAGGCCCCATTCTCTGGGGTGCCTCCTCTCCTGCTTCCCCAAATGGAAGGCCCCAACTTCTAAAGCCTCTGGCCAAACCCTAGACTGCCTTCTAGACTGCACAGCAGGATAATACCAGCCATGGAGAGAGAAGTCTGGATGCCCTTTCAAGGAGCCTACAGCCAAGCTGTGCCTGCTTCAAGCTGAGGTGAGGACAAGATGACCTTCCTGAGCCCCTCCCTCACATCAGAATCTGCTAGATGACCTTCTGCTTACAGGGTAAAGCCCAGATGCCTCCTGGGACAGACCAGCCCCACATGTGGCATCAACCCACACACAGGGTGCCTGGTGTTTGCCAAATAGGCCAGCCTCTAATTCAAACGGCAGTTTTGCCACATGACTGCTGCCCGCTGGTTCTGCTTGGGCCCTTGGCCCTGGCCCAGTGCCTGGCACAGCGTGGTGGTCAGCAAGCTGGGTGAAGAGAACACAGTCTCTCTGGCTGAGCCTTGGTGACCAGCAAGTCTGTTCATCCATGGCCTGTCCCGAGGAAGGGAACTGAGCCTGGTGGCCACTAGATGGTGGTGCTCAGCTGGTCAGGTGTGAGCCGCCACAGCCACCGCAGTTTAGAGGCAGGGAGAAAGCTGTAGGCGGAGTTTTCTAAAACCCAAATTTGTTTCACCCAGGGGCATCACCCGCTTTGTTCTCTAGACTTGACTCTGACTGCTATAGCACTGTCCTCAAGGAGAGGGAGCAAAGCCTTGGCCACTCAGTAGCTGTGCAGTCTTTGATGACTTTAAGAACCTTGCCTGAGTCTTCATTTCCACGTCTGTAAAATGGGGATTCAACCATGCCTGCTCCCCAGGTAGTTGTAAGAATAAAATCAGTGAAAGCTGAACACAGCAGGTGCTTGACAAATTAGAGCTTCCATTTCATAACACCTACCAGGAGCTTTACCTATCGACATGTTAGCGGATCTGCGATGGGGTTGGCGGAGGGGCAGGAGCTGGGACCTCTGAAAGGGCTTCTGTATCCTGTTAACTCCTTTGGGAGTATGTGGACATCCCTCCCCCAAGGGCAGTTACTTGGCAGTGTGGACAGGACAGAGAGCAGCAGCTAGTGAAGCATGGGGGAGAGCCAGCACTGTCTACCCTCAGACCACGAGTTGTTGGTGGCTTCATCTCCCAGGGGACACAGGCAAGTTATCTCCGCCGGCCCTGGAGACTCAGAGTACTGAGACTGCTTTCCCACCTGCTTTCTTGGCTCTCTGACTCCCCCAGTGGGTGCTGTTTTCTCCATCCTCACCCCTCCCCATCCCTAGACTTGAGCCCCACAACTCTATCCCGTTTGAAAAGCTCTGTGTGTCACCCCTGCTTGGGTGTGGGTCTCATTTGCATCTCAGCCTGAAGCTTTACAAGGAGAGGGGCCATGCCTTTCCCCCAACAGATGGGGACTTCCTGATGCTAGGACCTATGTCTTCCCAGCAAACTGGGGTCTCTCTAAGGACAGTGTTTCCCCCAACCCCAGGCTAAAGCACCCACAGGACAGGAGTCATCCTCTTCCCTTGGATAGGGGCTCCCCAATGCTAGAACCCATGGCTCATTGTCAGATGGGAGCTCCTTGAGGGCAGGAACTGTCTCCCATTCCATTGGAGAGGGGGTTGCCTCAGAGTAGGGCCCATTCCTTACCCCCATCCTCAGCCTGTGCCCAGCCAGGCTCTGCTGTCTAGAACTGACTCCTGTGGCTGCAGAAAGGTTCCTGGCTGAACCCCAAGTCCCTTCCCCTTGCTCTTCCCTGGCCTTCTCAGCATTGGTTCACTAACCTTCACAGACCCCAGGCTGCTGCACTGGGGTTAATAAGCTCAGGCCCGTTCTTCCTTGCTTCTCCCCACCCCAGCCAGGGCCCACTGTAGCCTGCCCCCCGCGTCCCAGCCTGTAACCCCGAGAGCAGCTTTTTAATTGCTTTCCCTGATCTGCTCTGTTCCCCACTCCCCTCTGCCTCCCTGATTGGCTCCCTCTGGAGGGTGAAAGGCGAGGACCAGATGTGGCCCTGGTGGGAGGAGCGGACTGGCGGGTGGCCTGTTATTTCCAGCCTATTAGTCCTCCAAATGGACAGGATGAACCGGAGAACGGAGGCAGGAGGGCTGCATGCGAGCTGTGGGAAGCCCTCAGGGTGAGCTGGAAAACACAGCCACCATCTCTAGGCCCCTGGGGTGATTCCCCTGCCCCACATTCTTTTTGTTTTTGTTTTTGTTTTTTTTTTTGAGACGGAGTCTCACTCCGTCGCCCAGGTTGGAGTGCAGTGGCATGATCTCAGCTCACTGCAGCTTCTGCCTCCCGGGTTCAAGTGATTCTCCTGCCTCAGCCTCCCGAGTAGCGGGGATTACACCATGCCCAGCTAAATTTTTGTATTTTTAGTAGAGATGGGGTTTTACCATGTTGGCTAGGCTGGTCTTGAGCTCCTGACCTCAGGTGATCCGCCCGCCTCAGCCTCTCAAAGTGCTGGGATTACAGGTGTGAGCCACCACGCTGGCCCTCACATTCTTTATCTCAAGCCCTCCTGGATCCTTCTTCACAAAGAACCATGGAAGAAGGGAAGATGACCGTGAACCAAATTCTAGCTGGGAGCCAGGATCCCCCAGACATGACCAAGAGCCAAGGGGACATTCCTGGGAGAATCTGGGGGTCTGGGAGGCAGGACTCCTGAGTTAGTAGCCACCACGGAGGCTCCCCAGGTGGTGACGAAGTCCCCTTTGTGGGCCAAGCTGATGACCGTGTGTAAGGGGTACCCAGAGAGAAAACCCAACCCCTTCTCCTTGGCAGATACCAACACCGATGGAGATTTGGACTTACACTCAGGTGATAGGAACAGGTGCCATCCTGATTCCGTGCATGGAGGGACCATGTCTTGTTCTGTTTTCAGCCCCTGGCACTGAGCCTGATTCTCTGAACTGGGCAGGATTTGTACCCCAGGGTGGGGGCCCAGGCGTGAGCTGTGGGTACTGAGTCAAGCAAGGAGGTGGGCATAAAAGGCCTGGGGCATGAGGATTTCTAAACTCATAGAGGTGGAGTGAGAGGCTTTTCCAGGCCTTTGAGGTGGAAGAGGCAGGATGAGGCAGGGAGCGGGGGGCGTTAGACCAGGCTGGGCCCTCAGCAGATGGGGAGCCATCGATCGCCGCGTTTCGTGGATGACTCTGTTTATGTAAGAACAATCCAATCTGAGTCTCATTGCCACCCACGGAGGTCAGCTGGGAGCTGGCTGTCAGCTTGCTGCCCCCTGGATCCCCTGCCAGCTCCCTGCGAAGCTCAAAGCTCAGACCAGACAAATTGCCTCCTGGCGTGGGGACACCACACCGCGAGTGAGCACTCTCAGCCCGACCTCCTGTGATTGAGGGCAGGAGCCCCATGTGTTTGACTCCATCGGCACAGAGTCGTTGTGAATTTAATGGGTTACCTGGGAGCACATTTTGCACCACGGAGCCACAAGTGTTTGCCGAGTGAATGACCGGCTGTAGAACATTCTTGTCAAGAGTGACCTCTTCCACTTGAGCTGCCCCCGGCCCAGGCAAAATTCTCCCTCATGCAACGGACCCTATTGGGTGAAGGTTGCCCTCCTGGCCCTCATTACCAGCTGCCTTGCCCTGTGCCTGCTGCCTCTGCACTTGCAGGGGTGATGGTGATGATCAAATAAGATAATATATGTGAAGGCCCCAGGAAATGGGGGATGTTATTCAATTTGAATCCAACCAACACTCAGTGAGGCCTCCTGAGGTCAAGGCACCATGCCAGGGCACTGGGGGCTACGATGATGTGAATCTGTGACTGCCTCTCTGGAAATCATGGTACACAGTGGGGGAAAACTTCATTAAGACTAATTGGAAAGGAGGGAACCCCAAGCACATGAAATGTCTGTCCTTTTCACTTCCCTCTGGAAGTGAACAGACATTGTTCACTTCTGGAGGAAAGCAGCTTGGTGTGATGCAGAGAAGCAGACCTCAGATCCAGAACGCTTGAATCTAACTCTGGGCAAGTTTTGTGACCCTTTCGGAGCCTATCATTATCTCCCTTATGAGGTGGCGCAGCTCAGTGAAGGGCCTGGCAGCCAGTGGGTGCTCGATGCTTCTGGCTGTTCTTTCCTCTACTCCAAAAAGGGCTCAGAGGCCAGGCACGGTGGCTCACGCCTGTAGTCCTAGCATCTTGGGAGGCCAAGGTGGGTGGATCACTTTAGGTCAGGAATTCGAGACCAGCCTGACCAACATGGTGAAACACTGTCTCTACTAAAAATACAAAAATTAGCCAGGTGTGGTGGCCCAGATCTGTAGTCCCGGCATTTTGGGAGGCTGAGGCAGGAGAATCGCTTGAACCCAGGAAGCAGAGCTTGCAGTGAGCCAAGATTGCACCATTGCACTACAGCCTGGGAGTTGCAGTGAGACTCTGTCTCAAAACAAAACAAAACCAAAACAAAAAGGGCTCAGAGCTGAGGGGCTGACCCGGTAGAGGCTGCTCCCCGAGAACAGCCAGGACTCACTTGAAATTAGCAGCATTTATTTACATGCTACTCACAATGCTCTAAATACCTTTAACATGTTTGTTTTCAGAAGCAGGTTAAACACAGACTCCTGTAATTTTGTTTACACTATTAATTCATTCAGCCAACCATGTCTTCATGGGGAGAACGGAGGGAAACTTATGTGGCACTGTCGCCCAATCCAAGGAAGTGGAGATGGAAGTCACGAGCCAGGTGGACGGGTGTTGGCAGCAGACTGCACTGGACTTAAGCCTGTGGGGATTAGCTTGGAGCCTCACCTAAGACCTGGGGGCCACTAAGAAGGCAGAACTCCTAGCAACCCACCGCCAAGGCCGTAGAAGGGTGGAACAGACCTCCAGGTGCAATTACTCCCAAACCCACGGAGAAGAGGAGGCCCTTTAGGGCGTATTGGGCTGTGAAGTGAAGAGCCGGGCTCAGACCTCAGGCTCCAGGAGGAGGCAGAGTGAGAACTGTTTTCTGTATATACTCAGAAGTTTCCTGAGGTCTTAAGAGTAGCAAGGTGAGAAAGGGAAGGTGTTGCTATCCTATCTAGGTGTACAGAGAGACACACACACCAAGGATGGAGACGGTTTATTGTTATACCAAAAATATATGTATATATCTATATATATATGCAGAAATAAAGGATCAGAAGGCTATAAACCCAAGTATCATTAGCATTTATATCTAGGTGCAGCATTAAGCCTGAATTCCCCTTTACACTTTATTTTACACTGAACGTGTATCCTATGTACAATAGAGTTAAGCAATAAAGCTGTCTTCATTTGGAAATCAAGGCACCATTATCATCCACATCTTCACCAGGACTGTGGTTGGGGACCAAGGGGAGTAGGGATGAAGATGTCCCTCTCAGAAACCAGGAAGAGCCAAGCCGCGACTCCCCGCTCCCCAACCCATCCTCATTCCTCCTCTACTGCCTGTGGCCATCACCGTGGGGCCTGTGTTAGAGACAGGTGGGGAAAAGAGCCCAAGAGCCGTCTGCCTGCACAGAGGGCATCATAAATGAGAGGGGAGGCCGGGCGCAGTGGCTCACGCCTGTAATCCCAGCACTTTGGGAGGCCGAGGCGGGTGGATCATGAGGTCAGATCGAGACCAGCCTGGCTAACACGGTGAAACCCCATCTCTACTAAAAATACAAAAAATTAGCCAGGCGTGGTGGTGGGCGCCTGTAGTCCCAGCTACTTGGGAGGCTGAGGCAGGAGAATGGTGTGAACCTGGGAGGCGGAGCTTGCAGTGAGCCAAGATCGCCACCACTGCACTCCAGCCTGGGCGACAGAGCGAGACTCCATCTCAAAAAAAAAAAAGATGGGGGAACATGGCAGCACCTTTAAAACAGCAACACGGGCCAGGCGTGGTAGCTCATGCCTGTAATCTCAGCACTTTGGGAAGCTGAGGCAGGCGGATCACCTGAGGTCAGGAGTTCAAGACCAGCCTGGCCAACATGGAAAAACCCCCTCTCTATTAAAAAGACGAAAATTAGCTGGGTGTGGTGATGGGTGCCTGTAATCCCAGCTACTTGGAAAGCTGAGGCAGGAGAATTACTTGAACCCAGGAGGCGGAGGTTGCAGTGAGCCAAGATCGTACCACTGCACTCCAGCCTGGGCGACAGAGTAAGACTCCATCTCAAAACAAAAAAAACAAAAAACAAAAACCACCAAAAAACAAAAAACAGCAGCACATTAACACTCACAAATGAATATGTACATGCCAAGAAGCTGAGTGTAACAGGAGATTAACAGAGGGTGAGTAGCAGGATGGATGTCTGGGGAGGGATGTTAATACAGCAAAGGTGTGTTGGCACTAATTGCTCCCAGGTAAGGAAGGCAGGTCCAGCTCCTGGTGCAGGTGGCTACAGGTCCAAGAGGGGTATCCAGCAGAGGGGCCGGTAGGTTAGGACACCTTGGTGGTCAGGACATTCTGGCGGTCAGGACACCTTGGTGACGCCGTTCCCTGCTGAGAGTGCTCTCCCCACCCTGATGAGGTCCTTTCCATTCCTCCGGTTGCTAGGGCACAGGGGACTCAAGGGCAGCTCTGCAGGCCAGTTGGATGGGTGGCGGGGAGTGCAGCGAGGAAGGAAAGTGACGCTCTGTCCCCGTCCTCCAGCCCACCTCCCACCTGTCTCATCAGCAGCATCCCTGAGATGCTTGGCAATACCCTAGGCCCTCCTTTCTTCTGGGTCTCAGCTCCCCGTCCCCTCCTCCTTCTTGTCTTCATCGGCCTCCATGGCCCAGGCTATCCCTGTCCCTAGTGCCAGTCACCTGGGAGTACAAGGGGCCCAGCTGGCCTCTTCAAAGTGCTGCTGGGGAGGCGGGCGATGCGGCTGCGGCCATGGGAGACTGAGGAACTGAGGGAGGAAAGGAGGGAAGGTGGAAGGTTACGGCCCTGTCTCTGGACTATGGGTGTGCATTGAAGTGGGGCATATAAGTACTTGACACTAAGCCCTGAGAGCAAAGGCTGCTGGGCACCAGCAGGAGCTTCCAGAGCTGGATCTAAGGGTGGGAGAGGCAGTGTGTAGGGTTGGGGACACAAGAGGGAAGTAGCAGTGAGGATGGAGAGTCCCTTTGCTGGATTAATGGTGTGCAACATCTCCCTCATGGATAAATGGGTGCTGAGAGCCTCCCTCATGGATCAGCTCTGGGGTGATCCTGGGATAGCAAGGGCCAAGGAAACCTCAATAGGAGAACTAGATGCGGGCCCTGCTCACAGGACCTCAGCTGCTTGCTCCGGGGGTGTAGAGACAGAGACACTGGGGGCCCAGAGTCGGCCCAGGTGTCTACTGCCCTGGTGAGAGCGAGCTCCTTCTCCCAGACAGCTGACACCTCCCAAACCTCACCTCGCAACGCGCTTCTTCTTGCAGGCAGAGGTCCCAGGGAGGGAAGATGTTGGCTTGGGGCCCTTCATGGTGAACAGGGGCACAGGTGCCCTGGGGAGGGAGGACAGGGAAGGAGGCTGATCAGCAGGGAACCGGAAGCAAGGCCAGCCACTTCCTCCCTCCAGCCCCCAGCTCGGGCATGGGGGAGGGTGGTTGGACAAGATGACCTCTGAGGTTTCTTCTACAAAGAGGTGGATTCCTCTCTCTGCCTGGCTGACAGCTGAGTGACAGGCCTGCTCTGGGAGGACATCCAGATGCCAGTTTCTGGTGCACCCGGGGAACTGGAGTTCAAACAATTTCACCCTTCCACCTGCCCAGCTCTGCGCTTGTTACCGAGAGCTGCTTCTCGGGCTATGGAATGGGCGGGTGCGTGGGTGGGCAGAGCCTGCCAGCCTCTGCCCCACAGGTGCAGGTCAGTCTGCCACTGGTTCTTGGCCTTGGACTGTCTTGAGCAGGCTGCTGTTCCCCTCCTCTGCCATGTGTGTGGAAAGGGGGAGTGACAGCTTCGTCTTCTCACTGGAAAATACTGAACTGAGTTTTCTAAGGACCCCCTTTCCTGTTCCAGATGCTGGGCCGGAGGCCAAAATCTGGAGTAGAAGTGGCAGAAAGAGGTATTTCCCAGTGGAACATAGAATGCAGCCCAGGCCAAAGAGCCCAAGTAAAGAGAGGAACAGAAGTGTTGGGTTCCCCTAGTACATTCTTGTTCCCTGCTGACTCTTTCCAAGTTGGGGTCCCATTAGCTACTCATGAGCATGCTACAAACCAGCACAGAGTGGGTGGCTTTGCAGCATGGACAGACCAGGCAGGGGCCCCAGGAGAAGTGACACCTCCCTGGCAGCTGTTGGGCCTGGGGAGCAAAGCGGATCACAACCAAAGTGGAACAGATAGGAACCGTCCCAGCTCCAAGGCTGTCCTCCATACTTCTCAGCAGCACCAAGAAGTCCCTTGCTGACCACTGACCACTGACAGGAGGGGTGGAGCGAGACTGGGAGACCCACCTGGGGATGAAGGGCTGGTCCAGCCTGCTCAGCTCCTGGGGTATTTTGTCCCAGCCAATGCATTCATGGAAACTGGGCTTTGAGGGAGGCTCCTCAGAGAGATCAAAGGTGGCATTGAGGTCTCGAGTGGGCAGAGCCAGCGGGGTGGAGCAGTTCTGCATGGCGGAAGGGCCCAGGGGCACCCGGCTTTTGATGACTGTGGCTGGGCAAACGCGAGGGGAATGGCAGGGGGAGGAGGCCCTTTCTCCTTTGGGGGTGCTGGGCCCCTGTGAAGGTTGGGTGTCAGGCAGAGACCCTCTCCTTAGGCAGGGCAGGAAGGACTGGCGCTGGCGCTTGGTGCCCCGCTTTGGGGCCATGGGACTGTCTGCCTCCAAGGCGCTTGGTCTCCTCCTCTTCTTCTCCATGGGCCATCGGGACCCCTGGGCTGGGGTGCAGTTGGGTCCAGGCGGGATTCCCAGGGTGTGCAGGGGGCCACTCAGTCGCCTCGCCATAGTCCGGGTCACAGGGCCAGTGTATCCTGGAGGCTCTGGGCAGAGAGGAGACGGCACAGGGACTGCACAGAAGGAAGGAGAGTTTGTAGAACTTGGGGAGCCAGACACTGGAGACATGAAGGAGCCCATAACCCCTCAGGTCTCCTGGGGCCTCTCTGTGTGCAGAAGTCTAGGATCCCAGGGGCCCAGCCTCCTACAGCAGCAAAACCCAGCAACTGAGGCCCCTGGACACCCCTTGGCCCCAGTGGGGCCTTGAAGACAGCACCTTGAAGACAGGCAGGGGAGAGCAGGATGAGACTCACTTGACTCTGAACACAGCTCCTGAGCCAGAGGTGCCCCCCTGGCCAGGCCTGAAGTCCTCAAGGCCTCTGCCCCAGGCTCAATTTTTTCCTCTTGCACCAGCTGCTGTAGGGTCTCAAACTCTGTGATCATGTCGGGCGTCAGGAGGTTGGCTGCTTGGAGCAGGGAGTACTGCCGCTGGGCAACGCACAGCACCTTTAGGGCCAACCTGGAACAGAAGAAAGGGGATTCCCAGCCCTGCTCAGACTCAGCCTGACCAGGAGCCTCTATGCCATGCACCTGTCCTCATCACTCCAGCTGTGGTTGAGGAGTCTGAACTGGTCCCCTGGCTCCCTCCTGCCTCACCCCAGACAGGCTAGCCAGACTCACCACCCTCTCAGCCACAGCTCCTGCTCTGCTATTGCTGAAGGCCAAGGCCGACCAGGATGGCCACGGGTAATGGTGGGAGGTGTCACCCACTAAACACGCCCCATGACAAAGACAGTGATCTGAGAAGTAGGGAAATGGCACTAGGTGGCCCTGGACTCAGAAGGTCTGAGTCTTCTCTTGGCTCTGCCACCTACTAGAGCTGCAATCATGAGTTCATCTACCCTAAGGGCAGTGCAAAGGGGCAGTTAAGAGCCCAGCTCAAGTCAGACTGCCAGTTTCCCACTCACATCCTGGCTCCAATACCTCCCAGCTGTGTGATCTTGGATGCACTGGTTAACCTCAGTCTCCACAACCTTAGAATGGGGATAACAAATGCCCCCACCTCATAGGGTTATTGGAAAGACTGAATGAGTTACTTTACAGACAAAATGTTTAAAGAATACCTGACATGTAATAAGCACTGTAGGTCTAGCTAACTATTGTTTCCTGTAAAATGGAAATAATACCATCTTGCTGGTTAGGATAAGAGGAGATTATGTAAGATAGGCTATGTTCATTGTGGTTCTAAGAAGGCCCTCAAAAACGCATTCCGTCTATGCTTTCTATTTAATGACTGGGATCCTGAAAAAGTATGTGTGAATCAAGGCGTATTTCACAGGCACTGGGGGGCTACTTGAAGGAAATGATGAAGGTAATGAGATTATTGATGTTGTAAATTTAGATTCTAATAAAGCATATTTTCTTTCTGTAAGGCACACCTATGATAAAAGAATAAACACAATTATCTCAGTGGGAATTATCCATGGAAAATGGTTTATCCTCAGGTAGTTCTACTGGCCTGGACATCTCTGAAGCCCCCTCCACTGCCCTCAGTCAGGGTGTGCTGAGGGAACACAAACTCATTTTATAAAGCAGCCTCAAGGCCTTTTTGAAAAAAGGCAGGATATAAATTAAAATGGACACAGAGGAAACTCATTCTATATCTGCACGGGCCACACATTACAAGGAAGATTAGACAATTGCGAAGCATGGGCGTTTGGGGGAAATATCCAGGCTCTGGCCCCGTCCCTCTTGCTATGTGAGCCTGGACAAAGGCTTCAGTGCCCCATCTGACAAATGGGGAGCTGGTCTAAATCTGGAGTTTTCAAATTAGGTTTCAAAAACCCATCAGACAGAGTAACTCTGTTTTGACTGTTCTATGCATTAGACTTCAGCATAAGATTTCATTTGAAGAAAGTATTTTGTAGCTAAAAACAATAAAAAAAAATCTGAAAAACCACTGAACTGGAAAATCTAAGATCTACTCAGTACCTAGTGGTCCAAGATTCTAAATTCTAAAATCAAAGGGAAATTATTTTCAACGATCTGGCTGTTAGGACGTTTCCAAACATGGAGATTTGTCACATTTTATTAGTACTTCATCCCCAAGAAGTAGGGAGACCGGGGGCTATGATCCCCAGTCAAGGCCAAGGTTGAAGCAATTTGTTGGAGACCACAAAGCCAGGGCAGAAATAAGGACCCTGGTGTCCTCTCTCCTTATAACAGGGGACCCCTAGCAGAGGGGCCCTGGGTCATCGGTAGGAGCTCATGGTTGTTCCCTGGGAGATCAGGGGGATGTCGCACCAGAGCATCCTTGCCTCTCCAGGGCCCTGGGCAGGACCTGATAAGCAGGAGACAGATAATGAGCTGCCGATTATTCAGACTGCAGCATTTTTGCTGAGTCGGGAACAGACACTCCCCAACAAGAAATAAAATTAAACAGGCCCTTCTGTCCAGAAGCTTTAAATACACTGCCTAGCATGAAGCGTGCTGGGGAGGGAAGAGCGGGATGGCAGTAACAGAGCTAAGTGGCAGGGGATTTAGGAACTAGGGGCCAAGGAGAAAAATATTAGCAGCATCTTTCTATGAAGCATAGAAAGAATGGTCCAAAATCCATTTTTCTTTGGCTTTGATTAGTGGTTTGTATTTACTTCTGAGAAAAAATAGCCGCAATCAATCTGTTGATGAAGATACATGAAAAACACTGGCTCAGGAAGGCTGTCCCTTCCCCAGCCTGACGTTCAGCTTCCCTTGGCTGTCCCCTCCTTGCTGTGGAGGGGCAGCCTGGCCTCAGACTGGAAAGCAAAGCGTAAGCCCCAGCCGCCCTGCCCTGACCCAGGGTCTGCTGGCTGCCTGGATGTACTCTGGCATTTTGCTTCCCTCTCCTGCTAGGCAGCCAGCTATGTAGAGGAATACATAGAGGTGATAAGTTAATCAAGTAGGTGACGATAACAACAAGGAGGTGAAACCAGGTAAAGGACAGTGCTGATGAAGAGACAGGGCTTTTGTGATGTGCTTAACACCAATTCCCACACCCAGGGAGGCTGAGCCCATTGCTTCCCACCTTGATTCCAGAATACAGCAAGAAGATACCTACTGCTTAGAACGGTCCCCATCCAGTTCCCGTGCTGAGAAGTGGCCCACGACTGGCTTGGGCTGCAGGGTCAGGCGAGGGGACTCTGGCAGTGCATGTGTGGGGTTCTGCTCTGGCATCTGGGTTGGAACCTAAAGAGGAAGGAAAAGGCACAGGTAGAGGGGCCAGGATGGCCTCCTCATCTTTATAAACAGCTTCTAAAATCCTTCCCTCCTACAAGAGTGGAAATGACAGCTCCTAGAATGACCAGGTCCTGGTCACTTCCAAACACACAAGGATCTGATAAGAGTATTTCTTCTTCCTGCACAGAATCTGAAATCCTCCTAATGACTAAGGTGCAAGACATCCACATAGAGACGGGACTAAAGGGACTCTGAGTCAGGGAGAGGCAATTTTTCCAATATCCCACCAGCTCCAAGCCCTCCCGATACCCAGGCCTCACACCCCCAAGTCCTACCTCCTCAGCTGGGCCTTCATCCTCATCCTCTGGGGACTGCTCCTGGTCTGAAGAGTTCCCTTCCATGGCCCTCTCCACCTGGGCCTCCATCCCCAGACTCTCCTCTTGAAGGGCTCTAGGCCCTGCAGGGAGCTCTGGGGTGCAGGGCTGGCTGGGAGGGTGGGGTGGCAAGGGGGAGCTGGGAAGGCTAAGCGGGAAAGGAGGGTTTGAGAGGCAGGATGTGGGCCAGGTGGGAGAGCAGGGAGCGGGTGGGATCTCTGTGGCACCCAGGTCGTATAGAGTCCATAAGGGACAGATGCTTAGGTGACAAATGGGCAGTAGCTGAGGGTAGGAGGAGTCAGGGATTTTCTGGTTTGAGAGACAATGACACACACCCCTAAGTTCACCTTCTCTCGAATAGTAGGCCCTGCTCTTACGGGCTGGGGTGCCATTTACTCATTGGACACAGCACTCTAGGTGACAGTCAGTTGCTGGGCAGGCACTGGGTGCAAACCCTTAACCCTAGGGATTGGAGCAGAAGCAAGGAGTCCTAGTCCTCCAGAAACTGGAGAAGAGGGCCTGGCTCCCCATCCTGGCTGAGCTGCAGGGTGGGGGCGGGAATGGGCAGTGGAACTCACTGTTCTGGTGGTGGTCCCGACTTGGGAGATCCTGGGAGGTCCTGTGGTGGGGGCTGGCCTCCCCCCTCATACACTTGGAGCTTCTTCCTCAGAGCGGCTACCTGGAACAGAAGCAGCCCAGCCCCTGAGAGCCCCAGCTAAGCACAGGAGGGGAGGGGCAGACAGAGCCCCCGCCACACCCTCAAGCTCCTGCCTCTGGCTGTCGGCCCTCCAGCCTGCCCCCAAGGCGGGCTCCTCACCTCAGCCTGGAGCTGTTGGCAGATGGTAGCATACTGGCTGATGTGACAGTCCAGGCTGGTCACATTGCTCTTCAGCTGAGATGGGGAACAGGAGAGAGATTTATTTGTTCATTCAAAGCAGCTTTTATCAGCCACCGCCGATGGCCAGGCACTGCACTAGGTCTCTCCCACGTCCCCATGACCCACCCTCGCAAGTGGGGAGACACAGCAGAGAAGGTCAGTATCATGCCTGAGACCACAGCGAGGGGCAGAAGACCCCTGACTCCACGACTAAGACCTTCTTGCCAGGGTTAGGGTGTTCTTGCAGTGGTCCCAGGAGAGCCAGGGCTCCCTGGGGGGAGGGAGGAAGAGAGGGGTCAAGCAGATGTGGCAGAAAGCATATATTGGTGTTTATGTTTTGCTGAAAATATGCTCCCACTGCTAAAAACAAGTCTGAACTAGACCACTGGCCAATGAGAGGCCACCCTCCTGCCGTCTCCCTTGGTTTTGGAGAACATCTTGCCCCTCTCAGCTGGTGGCTTCCCACCCAGGGATGGGGACTGTGTCGCTTCTATCACAAAGACTCTCTGAAGACAGAGGAACTTCTTTTTTTTTTTTTTGAGACAGAGTCTAGCTCTGTCGCCCAGGCTGGAGTGCAGTGGCATTATCTCAGCTCACTGCAACCTTCATCTCCTGGGTTCAAGCGATTCTTCTGCCTCAGCCTCCAGAGTAGCTGGGATTACAGGTGCCCACCACCATGCCCAGCAGATTTTTGTATTTTTAGTAGAGATGGGGTTTCATCATGCTGCCCAGGCTGGTCTCGAACTCCTGACCTCTGGTGATCTGCCCACCTTGGTCTCCCAAAGTGCTGGGATTACAGGCATGAGCCACCATGTCCAGGCCAGAGGAACTTCCTTCCTCTGCCTTGGGGACACTTGGCCCAGGGATCTATTGGAGCTGCCTGGGTCCCACCCTTTCCTGCTCCCCGGCTGGAGCTGCCCCACGCCCAAGCCGGCCCTGGCTGGCACGCACCGAGAGCCTGATCTCCTTGGCCCGGTCGGCATATTTGAGGGTGTTGTACGTGTCCTCGTAGGTCAGGCTGGAGGGGCTGATGGCAGCGATCATCACTGTGCGGCAGTTGCCCCCGAGGGAGTCTTTGAGCAGGCGGGTCAGTTTGCTGTCCCGGTAGGGCACATGGGTCTTGCGGCCCTGGGGGGCAGTAAGCAGGTGTGGGGTGAGGCGACTGATGGCACTGACCCAGGATGGGGCCCTGTGGCCTTTGGCCCTGGGTTCAGGTGCTCAGTTGCTATCCTGGGGAGAATACTGGCCTGTGCTGCTTTACCTTTGCATCGGCCAAGGCATTGAGGACGTTGATGAGCGCCAGCAGAGAGCGGTTGATGTTGGCCCCCTCCCGCAGCCGCTCCCCCTTCGCATGGGTGCTGGATGCCCGCTCTGAGCCAGCCAGGTCAATCAGGCTCATCTTGGCCACCTGGACAGCCTGGGTCAGTCCTGGAACCCGGTCCTGCTGCTTCACAAAGATCTGAAGGCAGATGGCAGGGGTGAGGGGGAGATGGGCATCAGGGGCACTGGTTTCAGGCTCTGACCCATGACCTCACCTGGAAGATGGCATGGGAGCGGGAGGAAGTCGCGTTGGCATCAGTGGGGTGCTGCGTGCGGTTACGGTTCCCCCTGGTCAGTATCTCCAGCAGCTGCTCGGCTGAGGCTGGCTACAGAGGAGAAGCCCAGGAACGGGGCTGTGGGTTCCCGGATCAGGACTTTTCCCCTAACAGGAAGGGCTGCTCTTCAGAATCTACATCACCCCCTTGCTACCACCACCACTGCTACCACCATCACAGGACCCAGGGCATCCCCAAACAGTTTTGTGAGGGAACCCCAAGGACCCATGGGGCCGATCATCCTACCCGAGCCCAATCCCACACCTGGTGGAAAGAAAGTCCTTGCACCACCACCCCCTTGTCGGGGTCCTCGCGGATGGCAAGGGGCCCCTTGGGCTCCAGGAGGTCATGGATCTGTTCATTATACACCTGAGAAAGGAAGAAAGGAAGAGGCCTGAGGGAGAGCGGCCCATCAGGAAACCTCTCCCTAGCGGCTGGACAGGGGAGCTGAGGCCGGGATGTATCTGAGACACCCACAGAAGTGGCGCTTCCCAGGACTGTGTTACATGACCACAGCAGGGTGAACAGGCGGGTGTCTCTAGTGCAGCATCTCACTGAGCAGTATCTATCTCCTTGAGGGGTGCCAGCTCTCCATTTCCTGCCACCCTGTCCCACACCAGCTCACTCCACCCCATGGGCTCACTTCCCCCCGGGTGGTTGTGAGAACAAGGCCCAGGGCAGGGGCAGCCGACCTCCTGGTAGCTGATGAGCACCTCGAAGTGCTTCTCCTGCTGGCGGGCCTCCAGGCGCCTGTACAGTTCCACGGTGGTCAGGTACATGATGCCGGGGTCCCCCTCCCTTCCCAGCATGGTGTGTGTCTTCCCAGCCCCGGTGGCCCCGTAGGCAAACACTGCAGAGGACATAGTAAGGAGGAGGACCCCAGTGCCTTGCCACCCAGCTCAGCCCTTCCCTCCTCCCTCAAGCCCCTTTCCTTTTCCTCCTGTGTTCCCTGGTCCATTAATCCCACTAATCACACCCTCCATGTTCCCGCTGCAGGGCTGGAGTTCTCTGTGTGTTTGTTCTGTTCCCCCATAGGCCAGTGGATTTGGGATGACCTGATCTCCACTATGGGTGCGGGCTATGCCTTCCTTCTGTAGGTGAGGCAGCTTTTGGTGTTGAAGGCTCACAGTTATCTCCCTCTTACCACTTACCCTGGTTTATCCCCACACACTGTGGGTGTGATCTGTGAGTGGTGTCTTCTCCCCTCTAGACTGTAAGCACCAAGTGGACAGGAACTGTCCTGTCTGATTTGCTGTTGCAGTCCTGGGCCCAGTAGAGTGCCTCCCCCATAGACTGAATGAATGAATGAGTGTCCCACAGAGCATGATGGGACATTGTACAAAACTCCTTAGTAAATCGTGCCCAGCTTGGGGGAGGCGGGCACATGCCAGAAGACACATGAAACCCTTCCCTTAGGAGGAGGCAGGGAGGCCAGGCCACTGCCAGGCAGGGCTGAGGTTCTCACCTGAGCAGTTGTAGCCCTGGAGGAAGCTGTCCAGGACGCTGTGCGTGGTGTGCTGGAACACGTCCTGTTGGGTGGCCGCCTCGCCAAAGACCCGGTCAAAGACAAACGTCAGGTCTTTGCCCTTCTTCTTGGGGCCATCATGGGTGCCACCCCATTTCAGGCCAGGGAACCCTCCATCGGGCTCCTCAGGGTTAAACACCAGCACCCGCTCGTCCACCACCTGAACCACTGGCCGCCGCTGACTGTCCAGCTCCCGAGGGGTGGGGGGCCGCACCCGTACCACTACTTGCAGCGTGCTGTCCTCCACTGCCATCACTGTGGTGACACCTGGGTGAGACATGGTGGAGCTGAGGACCAATCCCACCCCAGGCCTGACCAGGTGCCCCCTCAGTACTCCAAGGTCCCCTCCACCCACTCCCAATGACTGGTCTCTGTTTTATGCCTCAAGAGAGTAAAAATATTGGTGCTGAAACCAATTATATCTCTTTCTCACTTGAAATACCATCTTTGTCATACTCAAATGACTCTCTCTCTCTCTCTCTCTCTCTCTCTCTCTCTCTCTCTCTCTATATATATATATATATATATATATATTTTTTTTTTTTTTTTTTTTTTTTTTTTTTTTTGAGACGGACTCTTGCTCTGTCGCCCAGGCTAGAGTGCAATGGCATGATCTCGGCTCATTGCAACCTCCACCTCCCAGGTTCAAGCGATTCCCCTGCCTCAGCCTCCTGAGTAGCTGGGATTACAGGTGTGTGCCACCATGCCTGGCTAATTTTTTTTTGTATTTTTAGTAGAGATGGGGTTTCACCATGTTGGTCAGGCTGGTCTCGAACTCCTGACCTCATGATTCGCCCACCTCAGCCTCCCAAAGTGTTGGGATTACAGGCATGAGCCACCGCGCCAGGCCTCAAATGACTATATTGTTAGAGGCCTCTTACTGGGCTTTCTAGTATGTTCCACAAATCCATTTGTCTATTCTTTTTTTTTTTTTCTTACCTTTCATAACCCTCATGTATCTCTGTCTATTCTTGGGCCAGTGCCACACTGTTTCCATATTACTTTACAGTATGCTTTCCAGCTAGTAAGGCAAGAACCTCTTCATTACTCTTTCTTTTCTATAGCTTTCTTGGCTATTTTCAGGCATTTATTGTGCTACTTGATTTTAAGAAAATTTTATCAATTCTACCCCCAACCTAGAGCCCTCTCCTCCCTCAAAAACCCTACTGGGGCTACAGTTTGAATTGTATTACATTTACGTATTTATTATACTGAGCCTTTTATTTTATTTTTTTACTTTACATAAGCCTTTAGCAGCCAAGTGTATTAAACTCTTTCAGGCAAGATTGTGGCTACTGCCTTTCTTTTTGTTCAGATATTTTTTATGTCCCTCAATAAGATTTTATAGTTTTCTATCTCTTCAGTTAGTTCTGTAATTGTCCTTTTAATATATTTCTCAGGTATTTTATGTACTTAATTGCTCCCGTGGATGGAACACTTTTCCCCATTTACATTTCCAGCTGATAATTACTAGTATGGAGGAACACAACTAATTTTAGATATTCACACGATATCTACCATCCCCAAACTCTCTTATTAATTTCATTTATTTTTATTAGAACTTATTGGGTTTTCTAAGTATACAATTATGTATCAGAAGAGGAAAAAATTTTTACCTTTTCTTCTCCATATTCATACCCAATATTTCATTTCTTGTCTATTGCAGTCTCTAGAATTTCTAAAACAATGTTGAATAATAATGATGATAATGTGCATTCTTGTTTTGTTTCTGATTCTAAAGGAAATGGCTTTAGTGCTTCCCTATTTAGACATTAGTTTTATACAAGTAGTCTTTATAACATTAGCAATTTCTTCTATTCTTGTTTTACTTGGGGTTATTGTTAGGAAAGTCTAGAATTTTATCAATGCTCTTTCAGCATCTCCATACACACACACACACACACACACACACACACACACACACACATATATATTTTTTTTGAGATGGAGTTTCACTCTTGTTGCCTAGGCTGGAGTGCAATGGTGCGATCTCAGCTCACTACAACCTCTGCCTCCCAGGTTCAAGCAATTCTCCTGCCTCAGCCTCCCCAGTAGCTGGGATTACAGGTGCCCGCCGGTGCGCCCAGCTAATTTTTGTGTTTTTAGTAGAGACGGGGTTTTGCCATGTTGGCCAGGCTGGTCTCAAACTCCTGACCTCAGGTGATCTGCCCACCTTGGCCTCCCAAAGTGCTAGGATTACAGGTGTGAGCCACTGCACCTGGCCCTCCCAATATATTTATGTGCTTTTTTCTCCCTTATTTTGTTGCTATGGTAATTTATTAGATATTATTCCTGATATCAAACCAACCATGCATTCCTGGAAAAAATTCTACCCTGGCCATAGTGAAGTTTTTAACACTTAAATAGTCAGACATGTCAATCTTTTCTTTTATAGCTTTTATGTCATACTTAAGAAGACATTTCTTCTCCAAGGTAATAAATCCTCTTCTTATATTTCTATCTAATATTTTTTCTTTCTTACATTTAGGTTGTCATGGAGATGGAATTTTTTTTGTGTGTGTGAACTGTGTGAGGAAGTTTCTAAATATCTTTTCTTTCTAATTGGTAAGCAATTATCCCCAAGGTCATTTATCGAATAGTGCATTCTTCCTCCACCAATTTGAAATGCCAAATTTAACATAACTAAAGTCTCATAGAAACATGAATTTGTGGCTGGGTGTGGTGGCTCATGCCTGTAATCCCAGCACTTTGGGAGACCAAGGTGGGCGGATCATCTGAGGTTGGCAGTTCGAGACCAGCTTGACTAACATGAAGAAACCCCGTCTCTACTGAAAATACAAAATTAGGCGGGTGTGGTGGCACGTGCCTGTAGTCCCAGCTACTTGGGAGGCTGAGGCAGGAGAATGGCTTGAACCTGGGAGGTAGAGGTTGCGGTGAGCTGAGATCGTACCACTGCACTCCAGCCTGGGCAACAAGAGTGAAACTCCATCTCAAAAAAAAAAATTAATTAATTAAAAAAAAAGGAACATGAATTTGTGCCGGGTGCGGTGGCTCATGCCTGTAATCCTAGCACTTTGGGAGGCCGAGGTGGGCAGATCACCTGAGGTCAGGAGTTTGAGACCAGCCTGGCCAACATGGTGAAACCCTGTCTCTACTAAAAATACAAAAATTAGTCGGGCACGGTGGCGGGCGCCTGTAATCGCAGCTACTCGGAAGGCTGAGGTAGGAGAACCGCTTGAACTTGGGAGGCGGAGGTTGCAGTGAGCTGAGATCGCACCATTGTACTCCAGCCTGGGTGACAGAGACTCCATCTCAAAAAAAAAAAAAAAAAAAAAAAAAAGAAACATGAATTTGTTTCTGGACTTTCTCTTCTGTTTCGTTATGTCCATTCCTTTTCCAGTACCTCACTGTTGTAATTACTGTGGTTTTATCATATATCACCTCATTGCTCTTTTTCTTGGCTATTTTTAGGTATCTTGTCTTACATATGATTTTAGAATCAGCTTATGAACTTCTATGAAAAATCCTGCTAAGATTTTAATTTGGATTATTTTGAATTTATAGATTAATATGAGGAAAATTGGCATCTTTACAATATCAAGTGTTCCCACCTAGGAACTGATATCTCTTTCCATTTATTCACACCTTTACAGTCTTTAGTAAAATTTTATAATTTTCTTCACATGGGTATTATATATTTCTTGATAGGTTTATTACTAGTTATTACATGATCTTTGCTATATTATGAATAGGCTCCTTATTTTATTTTTATTTTTTTTTTAGACTGAGTCTCGCTATCGCCCAGGCTGGAGTGCAGTGGCACGATCTTGGCTCACTGCAACCTCCGCCTCCCAGGTTCTCTTGCCTCAGCCTCCTGAGCAGCTGGGATTACAGGCGTGTGCCACCACGCCCAGCTAATTTTTGTATTTTTAGTAGAGGTGGGGTCTCCAACTCCTGACCTCAAGCGATCCACCCGCCTTGGCCTCCCAAAGTGTTGGGATTACAGGCGTGAGCCACTGCGCCCACCCACTCCTTTTAAAATCACATTTTCAAACTCCTTCTTTCCAGAAGATAGGAAAGCTACTGATTTCTGCATGCAGATCTTGTATCTGGCCACATTGCTGAACTCCCTTATTGGTTCTAATAGATTGTCATTGATTATCTTAAGTCTTTCAATTAAATGATGATATCGTTTGCAAATAATGAGAGTTACTTTCTATTTTTAGCTCTTCTATGTTTAGCTCCCCACCTCCACTGCCCATTAGGAAGGTAGGAATGGGTGTTGAATTTTATCAAATGCTTTTTGGCACTTGTTGAAGTGATCACACATATTTCTCCTTTAATCTATTAATGTAGAGGGTGACTCAACAGATTTCCTAATGTTGACCTGGTAATAATTCCAAACATATATTTACTCATTCACTCTTATATCATCCCCAGACCTCTCTCCCTGGTTTTTCATTTCTCTTTCGAAACAGCGTACCAAAGGTAGGGATGGAATTTTTGGAATGCAGCGTACCAAGGGTAGGGATGGAATTTTGGAATGCAGCCTGGAAAAGTTCAGCCCAACTCTGGGGATATATTGACAGGGGTGAGGAACAGGGGCTGTTCCTGGGCGTTATGAATAGATGGATGCCTTCCAGGTAAAGACTAGCTTCCACTGGTGGGTCACAAATGCCAAGGTCATTCAGCAAAGAAAAGTGGGGTTTCTACCTGACACTCTAGCAAACAGCTAAGGTTTTCCTTGGGGAATGAGACAGAACTGAGCTGATTTGAAACTCCTGTCCCCTCATCCCTAAACTTCTTAACTTCGTCCCCATATAAAACAAGAAAAAGATATCAACCAACCATAATCCTTTTACATGTATGTAATTCTATTCCTGTCCCAGCAATCAGATTGCCATAGTAAGCATATTAGCTAAGTGCTCACTGCATCAGGAACTGTTCAAAGCACCTTATGCATATCATCTCCTTTTATCCCCATTGCAATCTCACAAGATGGATACTATTATTATACTCATTTTTCAATGAAGAAATTGAGACAGAGAGGGTTAAGCAATTTGCCCAAGGTCTCAATGCTAGTGAGTGATGGAGCCCCATTCCAATCCAGGCAGTCTGACTACACATCGGGCTATACTGCCTTATAGTGATATTATATATTATGCTACAATGATCACATCATTGTAATAGTCCCTTATGTTTGTATAATAATTATAATTCCTTTTATGGAATTAGCGTTCTGTATTCTACACTTTCAAATATATGGACTGTACCTAATTTTCTTTTTCTTTTTTTTTTTTTTTTGAGACAGAGTCTCGCTCTGTCGCCCAGACTAGAGTGCAGTGGCACGATCTTGGCTCACTGCAACCTCGGCCTCCCAGGTTCAAGGAATTCTTCTGCCTCAGCCTCCCCAGTAGCTGGGATTACAGGCGCCCACCATTACGGCCAGGTAATTTTTGTATTTTTAGTAGAGATGAGGTTTCACCATGTTGGCCAGGCTGGTCTCGCACCCCTGACCTCAGGTGATCCGCCTGCCTTGGCCTCCCAAAGTGCTGGGATTACAGGCGTGAGCCACTGCACCCAGCTGTACCTAATTTTCAACAGAGAGGGTTCCTGTCTCCTACTCTTGCAGACCTACCCCCAGGAAACCCCACTTTGGCACCCGGGGAAGGGAAGGCAGAGGGTGCCTGGGTCCACATTTCCCAGCAGTCCCTGCTCCCCATGGGGAGGGCTTTAGCTGAGGAGGAGCCACAGAGCAGCCTAACATTCTAAGCAGGAAATTAAAAAGGGCACTGGCAAAGGAGTGCTCATAACCTTTACAGTTCTCTCCTCCCGCCTCCTGAGGGCCAGTGTGGCTGAGTCTGTTTGCCTAATGAGATGTTTTCCTTCTTGCTGAGATGGTGCTGGGGGCGTGGGGCACAAAGTGTGGATGACACTTGGCATAGCCGCCGCTAGGATGCCTGGGTCCTGGTCCCTGTTCAGCATCTGACCAAGGGGGAGGTCTTTCCACAAGCCACACCAGGTCAATGTCGCATCAGCTTCCCTCTTTGAGAACCAGAGAAAACAGCTACCGATCTGCTCCCGCCCCAGGGGATGGGGAGATTAATGAGAGAATGTGTGTCAAGTTTGCTTTGATCCTTGGTTGGAAAGAGCATTTCAGCCCAAAGTACAAGGGAGATGATTCTTTAATAAGATCTTCAGGATTCTCAGCCAGCCACAGTCACGTCCTGTTTCTAACCCAGGGCAGCTCATTAAAACCCAGAGGCTAGTGCTCTGCCAGGCTGGGGCTGGGAAGCCAAGATTCTGTTGTTTTGGGGAGAGCCTGCTCTGCCCACCCTAGTAGAGACAGGTCCAGTGAGCCCAAGCTCCTCACAAGTCCCTGGAGAAGAATTTCAGAGGACTTGAGGGAATCTACCTGCAGACTCTGGAAGCTGAGGAACGTAGTAGGGGTGAGGGGGTAGGGGAAGAAGCCCAGCCCCTGGACGTCCTATTTTTACAGGCGATGCTGTAGCCCCCTTCATCTCTCCTTCACAACCCTAATACACTTGTTTTTTTGTCCTTAAACTCCAAGAGGAGGACCTTCTTCTGACATAGTCTGTGTACCCCAGGTGCCTGGGCACCCGGCCCAGCATGCAGCAGATGCTGAATTTGTCCTATGAATAAATAAGGGCCAGAGAAGAGCAGAGTCTGAATCCAAAAATCTAAAAATAATTATTATTACAGCTAACATTTACTTAGTGCTTACTATGAATTAGACACTATGCTAAGTGCTTTACAAATGGTGTTTAACTTTCACAACAATTGTCATATCCCTACTGTACAAAAGGAACAGGAGGCACAGGAACTTGTCTCCCAAATGTGAAGTAGCAAGGCTAGAACTTGACCTTCTGTCACCAGGGGCACTACCCCATCCTTAGGCTGTTCTGCCCTGCAATTGGGCTTGGGTAGCTCCCATCTCCCCCTCACCTTGGTACCCACAAAAGAACAGCACCCCCGATCCACTGGTTCTTCCTACATGTTGTGGTCATGCAGAGGAAGAAATTGTGTTTTTTTTGTTTTTTTTTTGAGGGAGAGTCTCGCTCTGTCGACCAGGCTGGAGTGCAGTGGCGCCATCTCGGCTCACTGCAAGCTCCGCCTCCTGGGTTCATGCCATTCTCCTGCCTCAGCCTCCCAAGTAGCTGGGACTACAGGCGCCCGCCACCACGCCCGACTAATTTTTTGTATTTTTTAGTAGAGGCGGGGTTTCACCGTGTTAGCCAGGATGGTCTCGATCTCCTGACTTTGTGATCCACCCGCCTCGGCCTCCCAAAGTGCTGGGATTACAGGTGTGAGCCACCGCGCCTGGCCTCTTTTGTTTTTTTAAATAGACAATCATAAGGCTGTAATTGATGATAGCGTTGTTAGTTTCTTTCTAATCTTATTTTATTTTTATTTATTTTTCTTGTCTTACATTTCTGGTTAGGACCTCCAGCACAATATTGAATAAAAGCAGTAATAGTGAGTATCCTTGCCCCTTTCCTGATTTTATAAAGAATCCTTCTACTATTTCACACTTTGTTGGTTTAAGGAAATTTGTCTCCATTTCTAGTTTACCTATATATATTTAAAAGTCATGAATGGATATTGAACTTTATTGAATTCTATTTTCTTTTCCTTTTCCTTTTTTATTTTTTTAGACCAGGTCTCATGTTGTTGCCCAGGCTGGAATGCAGTGGTGGGATCACCACTCACAGCAGCCTCGAACTCCTGGGCTCGAGCCATCTTCCCACTTCATCATGTCACCTACCTCCCCAGTAGCTGGGACCACAGGTGTGCCACCATCCCTGGCTAATTTTTAATTTTTTTGTAGAAATGATGTCTCACTATGCCGCCCAGGCAGATCTCCAACTCCTGGGCTCAAGTGATCCTCCCACCTCAGCCTCCCAAAGTGCTGGGATTGTAGGAGTGAGCCACCACACCGGCTCCTATTGAATTGTATTTCTGTGCCTAATGGGATATGTTTGCTCTTTAAATCTCTAAATGTGTAAATTATATTAATAGATTTTCCAATGTTAAACCATTCTTGCATTCTTGGGATAAATTCAACTTGGTCATAATCTAGTTTTTAAATACATAACTGGTTTCTGATTGCTAATATTTTAGTAAGATCTTTGCAACTACATTAACGAAACAGATTGACTTGTAATTTTTTTTTTTTCTTTTTTGAGATGGAGTTTTGCTCTTGTTGCCCAGCAGCCTGGAGTGCAATGGCGTGGTCTCAGCTCACTGCAACCTCCGAGTCCCCGGTCCAAGCGATTCTCCTGCCTCAGTCTCCTGAGTAGCTGGGACTACAGGTGCCTGCCACCATGCCCGGCTATTTTTTGTATTTTTAGTAGAGATGGGGTTTCACCATGTCGGTCAGGCTGGTCTCATACTCATGACCTCAGGTGATCTACTGCCTTGGCCTCCCAAAGTGCTGGTGCTGGGATTACAGGCGTGAGCCACCGCGCTTGGCCCGACTTGTAATTTTCTTTGTGTTATTTTTGATATCGTAAAATAGACCCAATATGTTTTCTCTTTTTTATAGGGACGGTTTGTGTAAAGTAGAATCATCTTTTTCAATTGCCTGTAAGTTTCTGGTGGAATTTGGTATAGGTTTTTCATGCCTGTGAAGATACATTTTAAACTAACTCAGTTTCCTCTATGGAAAATTGAATTCCTCAATGGAATAGTCCTAGATCTAGTCAAAATTTCCATAACTTCTTGAGTCAGTTTTGGCAAGTTGTTTTTTCCTAGAAAATTTTCCAAGGGCATTGTCAAAAAGAATGTTCCATTGCCGTTTCTCTTTCTTTTAATCTCTGTAACTGAAGTATGTCCCTATTTTTGCTCCTAAGGTCTTTTTTGTATGTTTTATTTATTTCTCCATCAATATTGCCAGAGGTTTTTAAAATTATTATTCTTTTCTAAGATACAGCATTTGACTAAAATAATCCTATTATATGATAAAACTCTATTTCATTGATTCTGCTTTTAGCTTATTTATTTATTGAGACAGTTTCACTCTGATGCCTAGGGTAGAGTGCAGTGGCGCGATCATGGGTCACTGCAGCCTCAACCTCCTAAGGCTCAAAAGATCCTCCCACCTCAGTCTCCTGAGTAGCTGGGAATCACAGGCACACGCCACCACACCCCCCAATTTTAAATTTTTTTATAGAGATGGGGTTTCACCATATTGCCCAGGCTGGTCTTGAACTCCTGGGCTCAAGCTGTCCACCCGCCTTGGTTTCCCAAACTGCTGGGATTACAGGCGTGAGCCACCATGCCCAGTCTTATCTTCTTTTATATTCTACATATGTTCTCTGCTGTTCTGTCTTATTAAAGTTGGATATTTGCCTCATTAACTTTCAGCTTCTTAAACAAAATGTTCTAATATAAGCATTTAAGACTATAAGTTGCCCTCTAAGTATCGCTTTAACTGCATCCCACAAGTTTTATAAATAGTATTTTTATAATCGCTTCATGTTAATTATCTTTTAATTACAATTATGATTTCCTATTTGACCTACTTAAGTGTATTTTTAAAAAATTTCAGGCCGGGCATGGTGGCTCACGCCTGTAATCTCAGTACTTTGGGAGACCGAGGTGGGTGGATCACCTGACGTCAGGAGTTTGAGACCAGCCTGGCCAACACGGTGAAACCCCATCCCGACTAAAAATACAAAAAATTAGCCGGGTGTGGTGGCGGGTGCCTGTAATGCCAGCTACTCCGGAGGCTGAGGCAGGAGAATCGCTTGAATCTTGGAGGCGGAGGTTGCAGGGAGCTGAGGTGGTACCATTGCACTCCAGCCTGGGCAACGAGGGAAATTCTGTCTCAGAAAAAAAAAAAAAAAAAAAAATCCAAACATGGGCTGGGCACAGTGGCTCATGCCTGTAATTCTAGGGCTTTGGGAAGCTGAGGTAGGAGAATAGCTTGAGGTCAGGAGTTCAAGACCAGCCTGGGCAACATAGGGAGAACTTGTCTCTACTTCCAAAAAAAAAAAAAAATTGTAAATGTGGTATTTATAACGTAATTGCTTATGTAAAAAGATTATGTTTTATACAATACTCTGATAATTGTTTAGATTTGTTTTGTGGCCAGGTAGAAAAACAATTTATAAATTTATAAAATATGCTACATGGATACTTTTTTTAACTTCTATTTTATTTTTTTGCAACAGTATACATGTATACTTTTTTAAAAAGGTATAAATGGAATTCGGTTAGATAATATAAAGACCAACATCTTAAAATAACTCTCTAGAGGTAGGGAAATTCAATAATGAAATGGGCAGAGAATGACTGGATACCTTTGTACTTGAAGCATGGGATGCAGTGACTGGGGAAGAAATAGAATAGGGAGAAGATTGGAGAAAGCAATATAACATTGAGATGTTCTCCTCTAAACTAGGCTTAACTTCTCTGAGCCTCAGTTTTCCAACCTGTACATTGTAAATAATATTAGTATCTACCCCATATATTTGTGAAGATTAAATGAGTTCATTCAAACCCGGTAAGTGCTCAATAGATATTAGTATCACTGTTAGAATTATATGACATATGGCATTTTCCCATGACGATGGAGGAACCAGTGTCTTCAGTAAAATCCCTTAAGTTCTGTGGCACAGACCAGGCTTAATCTTTTCCATGTCACTTCAGTTCCCTAAAAGGTCAAAGCTAAGGGGAGATGCATCCTAGGAGCAGTAACAAAGGCCTGGTCTTCTGTCATATAAATGTTCTTTCACTTGTTCCTTCATTCAATCAAACATTTGGCCAGGCGCAGTGGCTCACATCTGTAATCCCAGCACTTTGGGAGGCCGAAGCGGCGGATCGCCTGAGTCAGAAGTTCGAGACCAGCCCGGCCAACCCTGTCTCTACTAAAAATACAAAAATTAGCTGAATGTGGTGGTGGGCGCCTTTAATCCCAGCTACTCGGAAGGCTGAGGTAGGAGAATCGCTTGAACCCGGGAGGCGGAGGTTGCAGTGAGCCAAGATCGCGCCATTGCACTCCAGCCTGGGAGACAGAGAGAGAGAGACTCCATCTCCAAAAAAAAAAAAAAAAAAAAAAAAAAAAATTTTACTGCGTGCCAGAGCCACCGGCACGTGCAGCTCTGCAATCAGTTCAGTAGATGGGTGGAGGGGGGCTTACATACTCCTCACTGACATGCAGGGAGTCCCAGGCCTTTAGTTGTAGCGTGCAGAAGAGCCCAATTCTTCCTCACTCGCGAGCAGGAGGACCTTTCACGGGGCCGACGTACAGAGGGCCAGGCCCCGGTGGCAGATGTGCAGGCCCAGTCTAGGTCCAGCATAGATGAGCGGAGGGGTCCTGACCACCCGTACGGGTGTGTAAGGAAGCGCTCCGCTTCCCGCCCAGTTTAAAGGGGTCCATGCAGACAGAGCCTGCCGGGGCGGCAGCAAAGCTCGTTCTCCGCGCCGCACCTTGACGTCCAGCACAAAAGAGGCCTGGCACAGGCCTCCCGCCCGGAGCAGCTGGGTCTGCGCGTCCGAGACCTGAGAGCAGGCGTTCGCGCGGTCGGTTCCGCCGTGGGCCAGGACTTACCTTTCGTCGGTTCTCCGCCGCTGGCGTCGCTGCTTGCTCACGGGTCCCACAGCCACACCACAGACAGCAGTACCCACACCGGGAGAGAGCGCCCCACACCCTCCCCTACCCGCGCCAACCTCCACCCGGCGCCTTGCGTTCAAATTAGCCGGGCGGGCCGGACCGTGCTTCCTATTGGTCAGCGTCCGTATCGCTGATTGGCTGTTTCCTAAGTAACAAAGTGTTGCGAGAGCCGTTCACAGTGGGCTTGCTCACTTCCTCTTCCTGTCGGCTGCAGTTTCCCAGGCGGTGTCTCCGGGGTTGGGCACACGAGAGTAGCGGGCAGAAGCCAACGCAGGGTTGGGATACGTGGGGCCACAGCCAGTCTCTGTGGTCCCCGGGTCTAGGCTTAGCACCAGTTACAGCAACCAGACATCCAACAGGTGTTTAAACCTGTTTTTTCTGTAGGCTAAATTCACATCCGTTTGTCAAGAGGGGATTGTCAACCTCTGTCCAGCGTCTCTTTCCGCTGCAGGACCATCCCAAGATGAACTTAAAGGACAGCCTTGATGTGGCAAAGCCGGCGGACGCCAAGAATGGCAATTCCATCCGCTTGGCTTTGACAGTGTCAGAAGCATGATGCCTGACGATTGCGCATGAGGGTCGGCCCCTTGCGGCAGCGGTGGGGTGCACTGCCTCCATAGTACACCGCTGCCCGCTGCTTGGATTCTGGTGGGCCCACCTCATGCTGATTTCCAACACCTGAGGTTGTGGGAGTTGAAGAGTTTCCAGTTGTGGCTCAGTCACTAACTAGTGCTGAGACTGCGAGGCACTTCAGCTCTCTGAGTGTCAGTTTCCTCATCTATAAAATGGGGCCGATATCCTGCCCTTCCTACTCACCTAGGAGAGCGTAGGTATGAAAGCCTTCCAACGTCCCCAGCATATGTAAGGGATAACCTTTATACATTTAATTAGAACCAAATAGGTGAAGGCTGCAAAGAGCCAGGTGCTCATTACTTTTAGGAAATCTTCAGTACATCTGTTCCCACACTGGGACTATGAGCAGGTTTGCGGCATGTAAGAGAAGGGTGAGGCAAAACTCCCTCATCAGACTTGCCATCAGGATAAGGGTTACTATTTAATACCTAGTTGACTTGGCCCAAACTCATTCACCTCCCTGGACCCCAACTGACCCCTATACAATAGAATAGCATTGCTGGTTTGGTGAGGTTAAAACCAGAAAATTATGTGGAGGTGCTGGTCATTGTAAAACTACAAGAAATTTGGAGTACTCTTGCCATCTCCACAACTCATGATAAATAAAAACAAAAAATGAAGGATGGCTTACAGCATAAGGGTCTCTTCCTCCCTTACTGGGATGTGTATTTTAACAGAGGTTTTGGCTCCCCAAGAGCCATCAGGGGAGCCTCTTGTGTCCTATAAGCCAGGTCTTGCCCTGGTCCTCTTCTGGTCCACACAATTAACTGGAGGTTAGGTGAGCCAGGACAAGGCAAGGGGCAGAGTCCAGCCCTGCTGCAGGCAGGGGACAGGGGACACTTACTTGCTGGATAATCTTGGGTAAGTCACCAAGTCTCTCAGAGCCTCAGTTTTTGGAGTTATAAAACAGGGAATGAAAGAATACTTAGCTTGTTACAAAGATTAGAAAAAAAGTAGGTAAAGCCCCTTGCTGACATTCAATAAAATGGTAATGGGTGTTCTCATATTCATTTATTTAACAACTACTTACTAATATGAGACAGGTGGGCTCAGAGAATAGGCTGCTCAGTAATCAACACCCTCCTCCTAGCCTCGTGGAGCTTGCAGCCTATGGGAGAAATTAGACAATTAAGTAGGAACAATGATGTGAGACATAGACTATAATGAGAACATGCAGGGGGAAGCAGGGCTGGGGAGTGGCATGCTAGCTGAGGGCTGTAGGGAGATTGGGAGCTTGCCTGGCAGGTGAGGCTGTTCCTTGGATCTCAGAAGACAAGGGAAGACAATCTCACAGGTGAGAGGGTCAACCTTGGCGAATAGTGCTGAGAGGTCTTGGTAGGGCCTGACCAGGCCCACCTTAGTGAACACAAATGGAAATTTTCCGGGCCCTACACTGCAGATGCTGATAAGGGATGAGATTGGTTTGGAATTAGCCCAACAAGAATTTCAAGGCCTAGAACCCTAACCTGAGGACTGGGTGCAAAATTTTTTTCTTGTGTGGAGGCAGAAGGTGATTCTAGGCTGATGTGATTGGGGTGTGAAAGGCAGCAGGCTCTGTCTTCTTAGGAAGTGTGTGGACATCTCACTACCTGTGACTTCTGAGACCACCGACCCCAGGTGCTCAAAGGAAGCAGAGGAAAGGCACATCCTCCCATCCTCCCACCTGTACCCTTATCATTGCAGAGCCTTTGCTGTACCCTTATCATTGCAGAGCCTTTGCACCACGGTGTGGCATTAGCTACTTTTTTTTTTTTAATTAATTTTTTTTTTTTTTAGACAGAGTCTCGCTCTGTCGCCCAGGCTGGAGTGCAGTGGTGTGATCTCGACTCACTGCAACATCTACCTCCCAGGTTCAAGCGATTCTCCTGTTCTCCTGCCTCAGCCTCCTGAGTAGCTGGGACTACAGGCGTGTGCCACCACGCCCGGCTAATTTTTTGTATTTTTAGTAGAGGCGGGGTTTCACTGTGTTAGCCAGGATGGTCTCAATCTCCTGACCTCCTGATCTGCCCGCTTCGGCCTCCCAAAGTGCCGGGATTACAGGCGTGAGCCACTGCACCTGGCCCGTTTTGGTTTGTTTTGTTTTGAAACGGAGTCTCGCCCTTTCATCCAAGCTGGAGTGCAGTGGCGCGATTTCAGCTCACTGCAACCTCCGCCTCCTGAGTTCAAGCGATTCTCCTGCCTCAGCCTCCCAAATAGGTGAGACTACAGGTACAGACCACCATGCCCTGCTAATTTTTGTAGTTTTAGCAGAGACGGGGTTTCACCATATTGGCCAGGGTGGTCTTGAACTCCTGACCTCGTGATCTGCCCGCCTCAGCCTCCCAAAGTGCTGGGATTACAGACATGAGCCACCGCGCCTGGTCTACTTTGGATATAGGCCAGTTTTAGAAGGTCCTTGAATCAAGTATCCACTTGGTTTAACAAGAGGTCATGGGTGGCCTTTTTTTTTTTTTTTTTGAGACAGGGTCTTGCTCTGTCACCCAGGCTAGAGTGCAGTGGTATGATCTCAGCTCACTGCAATCTCCACCTCCTGGACTCAAGTGATTCTCCCACTTGAGCTTCCCAAGTAGCTGGGACCATAGGTGCACACCACCATTCCCGGCTAATTTTTTTTTTTTTTTGAAAGATGGGGGTTTCACCATGTTGCCCAGGCTGGTCTTAAACTCCTGAGTGCAAGCCATATGCCCACCTCTGCCTCCCAAAGTGCTGGGATTACAGACATGAGCCACTATGCCTGGCCTAGGGTGCCCTTGACAGGAGCAGCTTCAGAGGAGTGACAACAGCCAGATGACAGTGGGATATGAGGACTTTGTAACAACTTTTAAGGTAATTTAGCTATCAAGGGGAGCAGAGAAATGTAGTAGCTGTAAGAGGGGTGTAGGGTCAAGGGAGGATTTTTTTTTTTTTTTTTTTTTGAGACAGAGTTTCGCTCTTGTTGCCTAGGCTGGAGTGCAATGGCATGATCTCGGCTTGCTGCAACCTCTGCCTCCCGGGTTCAAGCGATTCTCCTGCCTCAGCCTCCTGAGTAGCTGGGATTACAGGCATGCACCATCCTGCCCGGCTAATTTTGTATTTTTAGTAGAGACGGGGTTTTCTCCATGTTGGTCAGGCTGGTCTTGAACTTCTGACCTCAGGTGATCCACCCACCTTGGCCTCCCAGAGTGCTGGGATTACAGGTGTGAGCCACTGCGCCCGGCCTCAAGGGAGGAGTTTTAAGGATAGTAGAGTTTTAAATGATGATGGGAAGGAGCCAATATACAATGAGCAGCTGGGCTGAGTGTGGTGGTTCATGGCTATAATTCCAGCACTTTGGGAGGCCAAGGCAGGAGGCTTGCTTGAGGCCAGGAGACAGAGACCAGCCTAGGCAATATAGTGAGACCCCTATCTCTAAAAAAGAAATTAAAAAAAAGAAGAAAAATTAGCCTAGTGTGGTGGCACATGCCCTGCAGTCCCAGCTACTTGGGAGGCTGAGGCAGGAGGATCATCTGAGCCCAGGAATTGGAGGGTTCAGTAAGCTATAATCATGCCACTGCACTCCAGCCTGGGCAACAGAACAATACCATGTCTCTCTCTCTCTCTCTCTCTCTCTCTCTCTCTCTCTCTCTATATATATATATATATATATATATATGTATATATGTATATATACGTATATATATGTATATATGTATATATACGTATATATGTATATATGTATATATACGTATATATATGTATATATGTATATATGTGTGTGTGTATATATATATCAAGAGGTGTGGTTATCAATTAAGTGAAGTCCTGAAAAAGGCTGGAGACTTTTGCCAATCTTTTTCAACCATCCCAATTCATCTGGCTGGGACTTAGGGGTTTCATAGGACTTTCAGTTTTAAACTGGGACAGTCCTGGACAAACAAGGACAAGCTGGTCACGCCGGTGGGAGGGCATAGGATGCAGACAGAGCATCTTCCATGAAAGCAAGAAAGGTGAAGAGGAAGGGCGCAGGTTCAGGGAAGTTTGTGATTTTATGGTGGAAAGTTGATGGGGTGAGGCTGTCTCTTGTGACTTCTGGCTTCTCTGTGGGGTAGGACATGTGATCACCCATTGGGTAGGCACCTTTTACACTCTATCTCCTGCCCTTGCTGCTGGGCCTGCAGATCTATCTATCTGCAGGTACTCAATAGATATTGGCTAAAAGAATCAGTGAATGAATGAGACTGGGGTAGGTCTCACAGGTTGAGTCCTCTGTAGAGAGACCCTGGGACAGAGATCAGGGTGCAGGAAGTTTATTGGAGCGTGCTCTTGGAATTAACACCTGTGTTTTGTTTTGTGCCAGGGTCTTGCTCTGTCGCCCAGACTGGAGTGCAGTGGCAATTGCTCACTGTAGCCTTGAACTCCCAGGCCCAAGTGATCCTCCCATCTCAGCCTCCTGAATAGCTGGGACCACAGGCACACACCATCATGCCTGGCTAGTTTTTGTTTTGTTTTGTTTTGTTTTGTTTTGTTTTGAGACAGGGGTCTCACTATGTCTCAGAGGCTGGTCTCAAACTCCTGGGCTCAAGCAATCCTCCCACCTTGGCCTCCCAAAGTTGAGATTACAGGCATGAGCCACTGCACCTGGCCAAATTAATACCTGTGGAAGAGAAGGAAACAGGATTGGGCAGAGGGAGAAGTTGAACTGGGAACTCTGAAGCGGGGAAGACACTTCAGAGCTGCCCTGAGTAGGGGGTGGAGGGCCAGGCAGATAAAACCCATGCTGATCAGTTATGGGAAGCAGGCTGCTCTGAGAAAGGGGCAGGACATTGAGGAAGGCAGCTCACATCAGCAGGGGAAATCCTGAAAGGGGGCTGGTAGCTAAGAGCCATCTGCTGGCAGCAGTCTCTGGAGTTCGGGGACAAGATCCTTCAGTTCTGAAGGAGACCTGGGCAGTGCACCGCAGCATCCATCACAGCAGAGAAAGGTGAAAGTTTAAGGAGAGTGAGAGATGGTGAAACAACTGCTCTTACGGTAGAATGGCTATTATGCGGCTGGCACAGTGTTACAGTACTGAGTGAGACAGCCCTACTTGGAAGATGCTCAGTCCAGCCTTGGAGGCTTTGGAGCCTTTGGAGAGAGACCTGCTGCGGGAGTGCAGAAAAGCTTCATGAAAGAGCAGCCAATCTGCCTGGGCTTTAAAGAATGAGCAAGCATGGCCGGGCACGGTGGCGCACTTTGGGAGGCCGAGGCGGGTGGATTATCTGAGGTCAGGAGTTTGAGACCAGCCTGGCTAACCTGGTGAAACCCCGTCTCTACTAAAAATATAAAAATTAGCTGGGCGTGGTGGCAGGCACCTGTAATCCCAGCTACTCATGAGGCTGAGGCAGGAGAATCACTTGATCCCAGGAGGTGGAGGTTGCAGTGAGCTGAGATTGCGCCATTGCACTCCAGCCTGGGTGACAGAGCGAGACTCCATCTCAACAACAACAACAACAACAACAACAACAAAAAGAATGAGCAGGCATTCTGCAGGCAACAGAGTAGGCAAGGGCCTAGCAGACACATATCTGGCTCTGGTGAGGCAGGGAGAGGTCTGTAACTATCCTAGCCCAGGCAGTTTTCCTAGTCCAGGCCAGTGCTTACCACTGAAGGAGCAAAGGCCTGTGCCTTGAAGGCCTGGGAAGGAGCCCTCAAATTTTACTTTCATCATCTGGGAATAGGCAGGAGCCCCATCCCCTGAAGAAGCTGCTCTCTGGGTAGTTTCTTTCTTTCTTTTTTATTTTTATTTTAAACAGAGTCTAGCTGTCATCCAGGTTGGGGTGCAACGGCACTATCATAGCTCACTGCAGCCTCGAACTCCTGGACTCTAGTGATCCTCTCACCTCAGACTCCTGAGGAGCTGAGAATACAGGCTTGCGCCACCATGCCGCTAATTTAAATAACTTTTTTGTAGAGACAAGGTCTTGCTTTGCCACCCAGGCTGGTCTCAAATTCCTGGCTTTAAGTGATCCTCCTGCCTGAGTCTCATGAAGTGCTGGAATTACAGGCGTGAGCCACCACACTTAGCTTTCTTTCTTTCTAAAATCCCACATATAATCATTCCCAATCTGGGTTATTTCTTTCTTCATTTCTTATTCTTTCTTTTCTTTCTTTTTCTTTTCTTTTCTTTCTTTTTCTTTTTTTTTTGAGACAGAGTTTCGCTCTTGTTGCCCAGGCTGGAGTGCAATGGCACGATCTCGGCTCACTGCAATCTCTGTCTCCCAGGTTCAAACAATTCTCCTGCCTCAGCCTCCCAAGTAGCTGGGATTACAGGCAACCATCACCATGCCCGGCTAATTTTTCGTATTTTTAGTAGAGACGGGGTTTCACCATGTTGGCCAGGCTAGTCTTGAACTCCTGACCTCAGGTGATCCACCCTTCTCGGCCTCCCAAAGTGCTGGGATTACAGGTGCAAGCCACTGTGTGCCCTGCCTTTTTTTTTTTTTTTTTTTTTTTTTTTTTTTTTTTGCTCTGTTGCCCAGGCTGGAGTACAGTGGCATGAACTTGGCTCACTGCAACCACCACCCCACTCCGGGTTCAAGCAATTCCTCTGCCTCAGCCTCCGGAGTAGCTGGAATTACAGGTGTGCACCACCACGCCCAGCTAATTTATGTATTTTTAGTAGAGACAGGGTTTCACCATGTTGGCCAGGCTTGTCTCGAACTCCTGACCTCAAGTGATCCACCCGCCTTGGCCTCCCAAAGTGCTGGGATTACAGGCGTGAGCCACTGCACCCGGCCGAACCCAGTTCTTCTGTCTTCATTTCCTGCGTGTCCACTGGGTCCTGCTGTCTCCTTTTCTAGCTCTGCCCTGAACCAACCCAGTCAACTTTGGCTTCCTCTCTGGGTCTTAGTGTTTCTGAGCTGCATAACGGGAGTGGCCATTCTGTGGCATTGATTCTCAATTTTGGCAGATGGCACAAATGAATGGAGAGCATGGGGTAGGTAGCCCTCTGGCCCCTTTCTCCAGCCCCCAGCTGCCCCCTCTCAGTATCCCTTCCAATCCCTTCCAGTTCCAAACATGTGTAGACTTTTCACTTCCACTTTATTATCACCTCATTAGTAGGATTTTAAGGTTTATTACCTAGAAGGGAGTGAGGAACTCACACCTTCAGTTCCACTTTTCAAATATACTGTCATCATGTGTGAAAATAACCTTATTAACAGCATCTAACCTGCTACAGTTTTGTCTGGGGGGCATCCACATAAATAAATGCAGAAGGAACCAGGGCATGGGCAACAACACAGCTAGCTGGGGTAGTGCGGCCTCTGGACCTCTGGAACTTTCTTCTAGCCCTTGGGGGTCCTGGAACTATTGTCAGGGTCAGCAGAACTCAGATGAGACCCAGAGCAGCTTTGAGCAATTGGCCGCCTTCTCTGGGTCTCCACCTCCTGCCTCCTCCTCTGATGCTCAGAGCTCCTCTAGGAAACAGCTCCTGGGTCTCCCCAGTTCCCCTGTCTCCTGGATGCTTGTCCAGGATTGATTCTCTGGGCAGCTCCCCTCCAAGCAGTAAATGAAATATTGGTTACCAGGAGTGACGCGGGAGGCAATTAACCCTTAGACCTCACCATGGCAGATGTGTCTATAGCAAGCTGAAATGGAGAGCCGGGCACACCTGCCTGGCCTTCCTGCAAAGTCATCCAATTAGGGCAGCCCCCAGCAGTGGGCCCGCTGCCCCCTCTGGTCCCCATAACCTTAGAAACCAGGGCAGCACCAGCTCCTAGGGCTGGTGGCTGCCTCCACACAGGATGGCCTGCCATTTCTCGTGTGGGAGAGCTCCAGGGGCACCTCCATCCTTACAACCCTCCTGGCAGGGACATTATTCATTAATTAATCACACATCTTCCTAAAGGGGAGGCAGCCTGGGGAGATTTGTTGCTTCTCCTCCAGAGTGGACATGCCGTTCTGCCTGTCCAGCTCCTTCCCACCACCCACACAGCCCTGCCCCCTGGAATGTTCTTGTGCCAGAAAAGAACCCTGACCGAGGAAGGGGGAGACAAATGCCCTGCTTTCAGGGAGCCCCAGTAGAAAAAACAGACACAGCCTCTGCTCTCAGAGAGCTCACAGTTAGGTAAGAAGACAATCTCTCCTTCAGGCAGCCCCCAGTCCGGGGGTGGAGACTGTCCCTTTCTCAGAAAGTCCTAGTTTAATAGAAGAAGCATAGTATCGGCCAGGCGCAGTGGCTCATGCCTGTAATCCCAGCACTTTGGGAGGCCGAGATGGGCAGCTCACTTGAGGCCAAGAGTTCGAGACCAGCCTGGCCAACATGATGATATCTTGTCTCTACTAAAAATACAAGAATTAGCCAGGCATGGTGGTGCATGCATGTAGTCCCAGCTACTTGGGAGGTTAAGGCAGGAGAATCGCTTGAACCCTGGAGGTGGAGGTTGCAGTGGGCCGAGATCGTGCCACTGCACTCCAGCCTGGGTGACAGAGCAAGACTCTATCAAAAAAAAAAAAAAAAAGAAAGAAAGAAAAGGAAAAGCACAGTATCTACCCCTCAGAACCACTCGTGGAAGCCGGTCTTTGCATCTAGGAATCCCCAGATCCCTGGTCTGGGTGGAGATACACACCCCACCCTCAAGGAGCTGACGATTTGAAGAGAAAACACAATCTTTGTCTTTGAGGCCCCCTAGTCTGATGGAGAAGATATGCCTCTTACCTTTAGGAAGCTTCCCAACCTGATGATGGAGACATAGTCTTTGCCCTCAGGTGTCCCAAGTCTGAGGAAAAAAATAGATTTGCCCTTGAGGAGCCCCTGTTTGATGGGGAGCATTTCCCTAGAAGGTTCCCCTGCAACTAGGATGTGGCTTGAGTGACAAGCAGCAGGCAAGCTGGCACTGCAGGACACTCCTGGTGCCCTTCAAAGGTCAAAAAAGTCCTTGGCTTCAGTCCAGCCCCAGCTGTGCCACAGCGTTACTGCATGACCGTGGGCAAGTCACGAATCTTCTTCAGACTGATTTCTTCACCTACAAAATGGAGATGTTAGCCCCATCTCTCAGAATGACATGAGGATTGTCAAGTTACCAGAAAGAAAAGAAACCAGGCCAGCCAGCCAGTCAGCCTGCACGCACTACAGAAAAGATTAACATGGCTTTTCTTGTAACAGAGGTCATAGATCAGTCCCAGTGGCCTCTGGGAAAGGTGGGGAGGCCCTCAGGTGTGGTGGCTGGATAATTCCAGGCCCAAATGGCCATTAGAGAACCCGGGGCTGTGGGCAGCACTGGGGGGCCAGAGGAGTGCCTTCTAATCTAATCACTCTTCCCACCAAGACTCTCATTCTAGCCAGACCTGCCAGGGGTTTTATTGGGTTTGTGGGGACCCGCAGATTTCAATCTCCAGACCCCACAGGGAAGGAACAAGCATTAAGCTAATTTTATTAAATGGCCACAGCTGGCAGTGGGGGAAGTAGGGAAGAGAAGGGAGGATAAAGAAAGTCATTCAAGTCTGCCAGCCATGACAAGGGTCTATACATGAGGCCTGGCCAGGAGGGAGGCCACCCCTCCTTCCTGTCTCTCCAGCTGAGCTAGACTGGGGAGGGGAAGCCAGATGGGACCTTTCCTCAATGTAGAGCCTTGGGATTCTCCAAGAGGCTCACTCCATGGCTGCCGCCCAGGGCAGATGCTTGTAAATACATCAGGCGTCTGCAGGGTTGGGGTGGAAGTGGAAGGGCTGGGCTCAGGCTGCCCCGGTGCCATCCTCAGATCTGCTTTGGAGATCCCAACTCTGAAATATGGTGTACCAGGTAAGAGCATTATCTTTGGTTCAAATACTGGCATTTGCCTGTTTTTAGCTCTGTGATCTTGGCAAGTTGCTTAACCTCTCTGAGCCTCAGTTTCCTCACCTAAAATGGATAAAATAACAGCATAATTTTAAAGGGCATGAGATAATTTCCTGTAGATCTACTGCCCACCCCTGCACACATATCCATGAGATAATATTTATAAAGTTCTTACGTAGTACCTGACATATAATGGGTGCTCTCTCAATATTAGCTATTGTTATCTAGAAATGCCCTGTGTGACATGGCCTCCAGTTATAGGAAGTGAGGATGGCAGTGGTGGAGTAAGGGGACTTGGTATGTCTTGGATTTTCTTTCTTTCTTTTTTCCTTTTTTTGAGATGGAGTCTTGCTCTGTTGCCTAGGCTGGAGTGCAATGGCGTGATCTCAGCTCACTGCAGCCTCCACCTCCAGGATTCCAGTTATTCTCCTGCCTCAGCCTCCCAAGTAGCTGGGATTACAGGTGCCTGCCACCACGCCTAACTAATTTTTGTATTTTTAGTAGAGACAGGGTTTCACCATGTTGGCTAGGCTGGTCTCAAACTCCTGACCTTGGGTGATCCTCCCACCTCGGCCTCCCAAAGTGCTGGGATTACAAGTGTGAGCCACCGTGCGTGGCCATGTCTTGGATTTTCAAGTGCAATCACAGAACTTAGAAACTATGTAAGCAAGATATTTAACCTCCCTGCAAGAATAAAATCTAGGTCCAACCTTCCAGGGCTGTTTGGAAAACTTGAGATGACATACTTGGAAGCATTTTGCAAGTTATAGATAAATAATAAAAGCTATGTTTACTGAGCACATAACAATAAACCTCACGAATCCTCAATCAAGTGAGGTAGGTCTCCTACGTTTATTGATGAGGAAACCGAGGCACAGAGGTCAAGTGCGTAGACCTAGGTTAACCAGCCTTTAGTCCAAAGGATGTTCCTTTCTATGGCTGTCACTAATCCTAAATTGCGTTGAAAGAAGTGACTTGCCCAGGATCATACACGGTGGCCCAGAGCCGGACCTAGGTCTCCCTGTTTAAAGATCACCTGTGCCTGTGGAATGCTGATGCCACTTTCAGCGAGGCTCCCGCCTGTAATCCCAGCACTTTGGGAGGCTGAGGCAGGCGGATCATGAGGTCAGGAGATTGAGACCAGCCTGGCCAACATGGTGAAACCCCATCTCTACTAAAAATACAAAAATTAGCTGGGCGTGGTGGTGTGCGCCTGTATTCCCAGCTACTCGGGAGGCTGAGGCAGGAGAATCGCTTGAACCCGGGAGGCGGAGGTTGCAGGGAGCCGAGATCTTGCCATTGCACTCCAGCCTGGCAACAGAGCGAGACTCCGTCTAAAAAAAAAAAAAAAAAAAAAAGGAATGTGTCCACCATGGAAGATGATGAAGTAACTGGGCTGCTTCCCATCCCAGCTGCCCAGGCCCACTTGGGTTGTGGTGGGCTTTAGGCCCTTTGGCAACTTCTTCTTGGAGTAGCTCTGGCTCTGGCACCTGGTTTCCCCTAGAAACTTCCACCAGACCCCTTCCTAATCTGGAGGAGGGCACGGTCCACCGTCGCCTCCCGCAGCCCTCCCCAGGGCACAGACTGAAACCCCTGCGGGGTGAAAATGTTTTTATTATAACTTTGGTCAGACGGGGCACAGCCGGGCGGGGGCTCTGAGGGTGCTGGGAAGCTATCCAGCCCCCAACTCCCCCCTCCCCCGGGCGCGCCACCCCGGAGGGAGCGGAGGGCAGCTCATCTCAGAGCGCAGGAAGCAAACCCGCCGCCGCGACCTCTCCCCAGGCTGGGGTGGGCTGGCAGGCGGAGGTGGGCAGTAAACAGTCCTATTGTACAAATATATAGCGCGGGCTGGGCGGGGGCGGTCAACCCCGGTTCCCTGGCACGGGGACAGGGCGCGCTGGGCCCGGCTCTGCAGCGAGCCGGTGGGAGGGCCTAGCTGTGGCCCAGGCGGTGTTGAGCACGGGCCGGGGGCGTCATAGCCGGGGAGGGCCGGGCAGCGAGCGGGTGGGCGAGGGGCGAGTCATCGTCTGCCCCGCCCGGAGGGGACCCCGGCGGGTGAGGGACGTGGGTGGAGGGAGACGTGGGGAGCTCAGTCGGAGTAGATGATGAAGCCAGAGAACGTGCTGTATTTGTTGCTGTTGCCGCCGTGTGCTTTGCCTCCATCCAGCTTGATGAAGACCTCGTCGCCGGCGTCCAGGTGCAGGATCACGCTGTTGCTGGCGTAGTCGTAGTTCTGGTCCGCGTCCTGGGCAATAGCACTGGCCCGCACCTGCGGGTGGGGGACACGGGAGGGAGGGCGAGAGGAGAGAGAGGATGAGAAGGGAGGGAGGTGAGGCAGTCCCGTGGGGGAGGATCAGCAGACCCAGAAACCTGGCCTCCAGCCTCGCCTCATCCCTGCCACGCTCCCCCTCCCCCGCCCCCTTCCAATCATACAGGACTTGTTTCAGGAAAGGGGCAGAGAGGATCCCTGGATTTCTAGGGCAGGTCTGATCTGGGCCTGAATTGGGAGTCAAGGCAGAGTCTTCCTCCTTAACTCTTATAGGGCTTTCCCTCCAGCTGGCTGAGAACCTCAATACCTCCAGGAAGCCTGGAAGCCTGTCCTTGCAAAGAGGAATTCTCTGGACCTCCAGGGAATGGAGGGCCTTCCCTACTCTCATCATTCCTTCCTCTCTGCTTTCATAATGATGCCATCGTTTCAGCCACACCCGCTGGATCTTATGTCAGTGGATGGACACAAGGGCACACCTTGGCCCCACAGGTCAGGCAGCTGGACCAATGCCAGGCTGCCAGTCAGCAACCACCCTGGAACCAGGGCCAGGTCTTTGGTCTGAAGTGCATTCCAGAGTCTCTCCTGCTGCAGCAGTGAGACAGAAGGCCTGGTAATGCTTTCCCCTCCCAGAGTTTAGAAGGGGCCTGGGTGCCAGCCTCCATGGAGCTGTAGCTATGTACCTGTCACTACCCACCCAAAGAGGATTGTAGCTCCTCCTGTCTCACCTCAGGGTGGTAGAAAGGAACTGGGTGGGAAGAAGGGAATCCAGGCCTTACTTCCCTCTGGGATTCTCAGTCTGATGTGACATCCTTGCTGGTCCCTGCCTTGATGGGGGATGGGGAGGGACAGGCAGGATAATGGGTCAAGGGAGCACCAGCATTTGGGCTTGGAGCCTGCCGTCACTTTTGGGGGCTCTGACTATAATCATAAGAGATTGTGTGGTGGCTGCATACGGTGGCTCATGCCTGTGATCCCAGCACTTTGGGAGGCCCAGGCAGGTGGATCATTTGAGGTCAGGAGTTCGAGAACAGCCTGGCCAATATGGTGAGACCCCCATCTCTACTAAAAATACAAAAATTAGCTAGGCATAGTGGCACGCCTGTAATCCCAGCTCCTGGGGAGGCTGAGGCAGGAGAATCACTTGAACCTGGGAAATGGAGGCTGCAGTGAGCCGAGATCATGCCACTGCGCTCCAGCCTGGGCGACATAGTGAGACTCAGTCTCAAAAAAAAAAAAAGGCCAGGCGCGGTGGCTCACGCCTGTAATCCCAGCACTTTGGGAGGCCGAGGCGGGTGGATCATGAGGTCAGGAGATCGAGACCATCCTGGCTAACAAGGTGAAACCCCGTCTCTACTAAAAATACAAAAAATTAGCCGGGCGCGGTGGCGGGCGCCTGTAGTCCCAGCTACTGGGGAGGCTGAGGCAGGAGAATGGCGTGAACCCGGGAAGCGGAGCTTGCAGTGAGCCGAGATTGCGCCACTGCAGTCCGCAGTCCGGCCTGGGCGACAGAGCGAGACTCCGTCTCAAAAAAAAAAAAAAAAAAAGAGAGAGAGAGAGAGAGAGAGAGATTGTGTGGTGGTGAACGAATGATCTACAGACATTCAGCTAACAGGTATGGAAACATAAGTCCTGAGTTTGAGGATCGGGGCCTCTCCAGGGTATCCTGGGTAGAGACATGGAAGAGAAGCGCCCTCTCCAGGACTGTGGCTTGTGGTGTGGGGAGGCTGCACTGAGTGGAGTTCTCTCAGCCAGGTTTCTCCACGGCCCCTCTCTATCCTGTCCCTTCACTGAAGGCAGCTTACCATCCCAACTCCCAGGGCTGAAGTCTGGGTAGAACCAAGCCAAATTAGGGGAGGGGCCCATCCTCTCTCCTGGGCTGGAGGCAGCACTGCAGGTCAGCTGTGCCAGAGCTGCTGACTCAGCCGCGATGCTGCAATGAAGAGGACCCGACATATTTGCATGAGGGCCTCCCTTTAAAGCCCTTCTCCAGCCCCTTCTTTTCCCTCAACCTCTTCTTCCCAACCTGAGAAGAAACTCTTTGTGTGCTTAGCTGGGAAAACTGGTCTAGTTAAAGGTGGGAGGGAATAAATGAAGGGGGAGATGCTGTCTGCCAAGGAGCTCAGTTTCTCTGTCTAGAAAATGGATGAGAAGACTTTGCCTCACCACTGCCACCTCTGTAAAAGTCTTTTGATGATAAAGAAAAAAAAACATTAGATCTTGATGGGGCTTTGAGTTATTAGGGAAGAGCTGAAAGCAAACAGCCAACTTCTGTATTGTTCCCTGAGCCCTAATCCTGGTAATATTTATTATTACACATGCATTTCATTATCTTTGCTAATAAATTACTACTAATAACAATTATTTTTATTGCCCAGATTAATTTAGCCTTAACTCATTAAAACAGTGTGCTCCTTAATAGCCAAATCCATTGGAACAGAGTCATCTGTCATCAGGAATCTCCTGGTGATGTGACTGCATCAGAACTGTTATGCTTATGTTTATTATTTATTCATCACCATGATTGTTGCCGTAATTATCCTAATTATCCATGGAGGCAGAGAGAATTTATGCCCTTCCATCCTTAGATGGTGGGGGATCCAAGAATGGAACCCAGGGGTCCCAATTCTCTGCCTGACTGGAGACAGTTGAGGCCTGCAGCTCCTCCTGGGGTCCAAGGGGAAGTGTGGGGAAATGAGGTTGCCAAGGAAGCAGGAAAGCAGGTTTGGGCCTTGTTATGAGGGAGCGCTGTATAATCAGCTCCTCAAGGGCTGCCAGGAGGGGAAACTGAGGCAATGGTCTGACCAAGGGAACTGGGTGAGAGGGCATCCAGGAAACACGTTCCTGCCCTCAGATCAATGCTGGGGTCTTGGGTGTACAGATGTGGCTCCCATAGGGGAGCCAGCCTGGCCCATGGGGGACACTTGCATTTTCATACATACATTAACTGCATTCCCACTGTGCCAGGCACTGTGCTCTGTGTTGTGAAAGGTATTAGGGGCCAGAAAGGATAGCCAGGGGGCCATCTGCCACCACCAGGGGAGAGGCTGATCTCCTTAGGTCTTTTTTCTTTTTTGAGACAGAGTCTTGCTCTGTCACCCAGGATGGAGTGCAGTGGTGCGATCTTGGCTCACTGCAACTTCCACTTCCCAGGTTCAAGTGATTCTCCTACCTCAGCCTCCCGAGTAACTGGAATTACAGGCACCCACCACCACACCCGGCTATGTTTTTTTGTATTTTTAGTAGAGACAGGGTTTCACCATGTTAGACAGGCTGGTCTCGAACTCCTGACCTCTGGTGATCCGCCCGCCTCAGCCTCCCAAAGTGCTGGGATTACAGGCGTGAGCCACTGTGCACAGCCTTCTTAGGTCTTTATACCACCACCTTCAATTTATATATGCCAGCACCTCTCGCCACACTCAGATTCTGTTGTCAAACCCCTGGCCCATTGGTGATACTCACCTCCCCACAGCCTCCTACCCTGGATAAGCAGCACCCTGACCACAGGCCCTGGCACATCCTCACAAAGCCCCCTGCCCAGTTTATTAATTTTGTGTCCTCTCCAACCCACCTGAACTGTGGATCTTGGAGGCAGCTGCAGGCAACTCACCACACCCAGGGCCCCACTGCCAACCCAGAGTCCTTTCCCCAGGCTCCTTGCATCCTAATGGCCAGGACTTGGTGCCATCAGGGGTGCTGATGCAAGGCTACCCCTAAGGACTGGGGCCAGTGGGCCTCAGATAAGGACAGAGGGAGCCTCAGTGCCAGGCATGAAGGTGGTGCTCCCCATCCCGAACTTGCCCGGAGAGGAGGCAGAGCCCAGATTCAGCTCTGCCTCCCTAAAGAAATTCTGGAAGCCTCTCTACAGGCAGGAAGCCAGGAAGGAAAAGCGCAGTGCTCAGGGTGGCCCCTGGTTCTGAAGTCACAAGAGATACAAGCTTCTCTCTTTTGTTCCCATACATTGTCTGGTCCTGCCATTTTTTTCTCTGCTTATTTAAATGTCCTTGTCCACCTCTGAGCTGGCTTTCCCCTACACTTGACCTTTTATATTCTCCCTTGTGGTATCTCCTCACTTTGCAGACCAAGGTTCACCATCTTCTCCCCCTGCATCAGGTTGGTCTGCACCAGGGTAGGCCCTACTGAAGCACTCCCTCCCAGCCAACACATTTGGGGACCAAAGTCATCAGCTGGGCTCCCAGCCCACCTTTAACACAGTATTCGCTGGGGCGTGTGGTTGTATGTTATGAATGTTCCCCCTGCATAGGCCATGAGGTCTTGGAGGGCAAGTGGACTGAACTCCTACAAAGCCTCAAATCTGGCTCCTAGTAGGGGCTCAAAACTAACAAGTGGGATGGCTAGTGAGATCAAATGAGTCTCTTGGGCAATTTGGAAGAAGTCATAAAGGACATGGGAGAGGGGGCTACGGGCCCCACTATTTCTCCTGGTTTTCTTTTCTTTTCGTTTTTATCTTTTCTTTTCTTTTCTTTTTTTTTTGAGACAGAGTCTCACTCTGTTGCCCAGGCTAGAGTACAGTGGCGAGATCTCACCTCATTGCAACCTCTGCCTCCTGGGTTCAAGTTATTCTCTTGCCTCAGCCTCCTGACTAACTGGGATTACAGGTATGCACCATCACGCCCAGCTAATGTTTGTATTTTTTTTTTTTTTTGAGACGGAGTCTCGCTCTGTCACCCAGGCTGTAGTGCAGTGGCGCGATCTCAGCTCACTGCAAGCTCCGCCTCCCGGGTTCACGCCATTCTCCCGCCTTAGCCTCCCAAGTAGCTGGGACTACAGGTGCCTGCCACCACGCCCAGCTAATTTTTTGTATTTTTAGTAGAGATGGGGTTTCACCGTGTTAGCCAGGATGGTCTTGATCTCCTGACCTCATGATCCACTTGCCTCGGCCTCCCAAAGTGCTGGGATTACAGGCGTGAGCCACCGTGCCTGGCCTAATGTTTGTATTTTTAATAGAGATGGTGTTTCGCTGTGTTGGCCAGGATGATCTCAAACCCCTGACCTCAGTTGATCCATCTGCCTCAGCCTCCCAAAGTGCTGGGATTACAGACGTGAGCCACCAGGCCCAGCCTCTCCTGTTTTTCTTTTGAGGGGGCTGGTCTGAATAACTATTAAAGTGCTGGGCCTTTGAAACCCCTAGTTAAAGCCACCTCCTTTTTTCCTACTAGCCTGTGGTCCCATCTCCAGTGAGCACCCCTTCATCAGACTCTGTCAACACCCTGCCCCTGCTGGAGGGAAAAGGAGCTTTTGAGATGGTTTTACCTCCCAGTGACTGAAGCAAGTTCCCCATTCTAAGCACATAGCATCTCCGGGGCCTCTTGTTGCCTCATCTCTGGGGACCTGCTGGGACTTCCTGAGGTGGTGCAGGGTCTAGGGCCAACCTGTGGCCCAATGACTGCCTCCCTATCCAGGCAAGCTGCCAATCCCCTGAAACCTCAGCTCTGTGTCAGCCCAAACTTCTTTGGGAAAGGAAGACATTCCATTGATGAAGGTGACATTGCTGCATCCCTTATTGGTGATTAATAGGGGGAATCATGGGGCTGTCTGCAGAATGAGCCTTTGCTGGATACTGGGGCCTCCCATTTGGTCAGGAACCAAGGACAAAGAGGAGAGACACGGGGATGTCTGATAGACACACGTGGGAAAGAGAGACATACAAGGAATAGAGAAGAGTGGGGTTAGATCCGGGGAGGAGAGGCCAGAAACCCAGGGAGAGATGGAAAAGGCAGACACAGGAGAGAGATGGACAAGAAACAGCAAAATAGAAGAAAGAGGCAGGGGAGAGGCAGAAACCAGAGAAAAGGTGTTGGCGGGGCAGCAGCCAGGCAGAGGAAAGAGAAGAAGGGCTGACTTATAAGCACCTGGCAGGCTATCTGCTCACTTTCCCTGCCTGCCCCTGTCTCTGCCCCTAAGACTTGCAGACCCGCAGGCTGGCAGAGCCTCAGGGCAGTGCTGCTGTGGGAAGGGTTCCAACAAGGTCTTGTATCTTAATCGTGAGAGATTCCTTCTCAACTTCCACTAGCTCAGCTTTAGTTCTGACCAGTGGTCCCCTTCTTCGAAGAGAATGCTCAGCCTGACCACACCCCCAGGTCACAGGCCACCACGAGTGAGAGCACTGGGAAGGGAGGTGGTATCAAGAGAGCTGGCTAAAATTGTCACCCCAGGGCGGGGCTGGGTGGAGGCTGGTCCTGGGGTCGGCCATTCCAAGGAGAGCTACACGCACATGCGAGTCCCGGTACCAGAGTCCCCGACACACTCAGTGCTTTCCAGCTGCAGCGTCTGAGATGGGGACGGAGAATGGAGAGGACCCCACACACTCCAGAGTCAGGAGGGGCTGGAGCTGGGAGACCAAGAGGAGGGGGAGTTTCCATCTCTTCCACCACCCCCCACCCCCCACCCCCTCCCCGCCTCAGGAGGAAAAACTCCCCCGCCCCCCAGACTGCCTTCTTTTTGGGGAAGCTCTGCTACAGTGGGAAACAGCTCCCCAACTCCCGGATTTTGCAAAGGGTGTCAGATTCGCCCAATGGTCCCTTCTCCAGGGCAGGGGAGGCACTGCAGCCAGGGCTGTAAGCACCGGGCTCCCTTTGCCTTTGTGCCCCAAACATTTCCTGCAGCCAGCCTTCTCCGCTCGCGCCCATGGCCACGCGCCTAGGCGCCCGCGGGCGCGGATGCTGCTTCTCCCTGTTCCATACGCCAGAGCCCATCCTTGCCCTCCCCTTATCGCCCACTGCTGTCGGCCCGAATCCACTTCCCAAGGGGCAAGCCCCCAAGGGCAAGTCCGTGCACCTGGGAGCCCTGCGCTCTGACTAGTTGGGTTCATTTCCCGCATTTCCAGTAGCGTTCCAGACGGTGCCCAGCAGCGTCTGTCTTGGAGCGGGAACCCAGGAACTGAGGATCGGCGATGTCCGCTGGCTCCGACCATCCCCACACGTGATGACCAAGCGGGGCCGCTGTGGGGTGGGATCTCCACCTGCGTCCGCCTGGCGCCCCCGCCAACTCCGATCAGGTACCCATTTGCCCCGGGCTCCCTGGGTGCCCTGGGCCCAGCCCAGCCCCATGCCCCCGCCTGGCCCACCTGGCCATTCTTGCAGAGGTCTGCCCACATACTGGTGCCGTCGCCGCCGCGCATGAGGACATGGTAGGTGAAAAAGTAGGTGCCGGGAATGTTGCACGTAAACTTGCCGCTGGCCGCGTCGTAGTTGTTGCCTAGGTTGGTGACCACGTCGTCAAACTTGAGTACCTCGTAACCCTCGTGGGGGTTCTTGAGGCCGGCGTAGAAGGCCACGCGCGGCACCGTGGTGTAGGTGGCAGTGCTGATGGCGCCGCTGCCCCCCGCGCCCGGCAGCCCCGGAGGGCCCGGCTTGCCTGGCTCACCCTTCTCCCCCGGCGGCCCCACAGGGCCGGGAGGACCTGGGTCCCCGGGAGGCCCCGGAGGGCCGGGCTTGCCGGTGCGGCCCGGCTTCCCCTGGGGGCCCTGCACCAGCGTGGAAGGCGGGGGCGCGCCGCTCTGCTCGCTCAGGGCGTCGCCGCCGTCGGTCCGCGCGCCGGCGCCGGGGCCCCGCGCGGGGTAGGGGTCGCACACCATGCGGCAGGTGCCCAGCATCTCATAGTGGCCTTCCGGGCCGCCCGAGCTCACCAGCACGGGGATGAGCACCACCAGCACCAGCAGCATCACCACACCCGCGGCGGCCGCTAGCAGCGTCTTTCGGCCCGCGCGGAGCCTGGGGAGCGCCGGGCCGCCCGGCCGCGCCGTCGGGGCAATGGTGCCGGCGGGCAGGGGGCGCGGGCTAGGCGCCCGCGCTCAAGGACGGTCCGGCGGGGCTGCGGGCATGGGGCCGGGCCCGGGGCGCCGCGCTGCGCTGGCTGCGCTGCGGAGCCCAGCCGCCGGCTCCTGCCTCGCGCCTCCCTCCTGCTGCGCTGCCGGACTGAGCGCCGCGGCCGCCGCCTCCCGCCTCCCGCCTCCCGCCTGCAGCCTCCCGCCTGACTCCTCCCGCCTCCTTGAGCCGGGCCACCGCCCCCTCGGCCGGGCCCCGCCCCGCCAGCTCCGCGCGGCTCTGGGCTCTCTAGGGGTGGGGCTGCGGGCGGGGCCGGCGCCTAATTGGGCCGCGGGCGCCTCGAGGTGGGCGGGGCATAAGGGGGCGGGGCCGCGGAGACCCCGGGCGGGAGCAGGGAGAGGAAAGAAGAGACTGAGTACGCGGAGACCGAGATTCGGAAATGGGGTGGGGGCCGGGGTCCGAGAGACCCGAGAGGCGCTCCAAGGGAAGGGGAGAGTAGGGACCAAAATGCGAAAGGGAGAGAGGGCCACAGGGAGAGCTAGAGAGCTCCGAGGGGATCGGGAGAGGAGAGGCTTCGAGGGTCGGTCACCAGGAAAACAGAGGGACTGGGGTCGCGACGGGCCAAGACCCGCAGGGGGCGGAAGCGAGGGGATAGCGCCCAGGTCTGCAGGGGACAAAGAGCGATTGAGGGGAGGACGGAGCGGGGAGCTGGAAGGTAGGATGAGAAAGGGGGTTATGAAGCGAAGAAGAGGATACGGAGGGGACCATTTGGCACTCAGGCCTCGCAGACCACCCGTCTGGGAGATCCAGATATCGGATGAATGCCTGTCCGGGGGCCCAGCGGAGCCAGACGGCAGCCGCCTCCTCCTTTCTGGATCTGACTGTTCCGGGACCCGTCTCCCCCGAGGTGGGGCAGGAGCTTCCAACCCCTCCTCGCCTCTGCCCCTTCCTCACCGAACTGTGGCCAGGCTGCTTTTTCCTGGGCCCTTTTCTTCCATCTCCCTCTGCTCAATCCCTTTACTTCTGCCTCTAGACCAGGGAGAAAAGGGGATCCTAAAAAGGTGGGCACCCCCACGTTATTTCTCCATGCTGACAGATGCAAATACGTCCCTGAGGGGTAACCCCCTTTTCCAGCCTCCAGGATGAGGGGTGGATCTCATCCAGCCCCTCAGCTCCTCCTCCCTCACTCCCCAGCCTCCTCCGCCGCCCCCTAACTCTTCTCCCCATCAGGCTGTGGGAGGCTCTCCTCTTCCTCAAGTGCAGCAAAGTGTTTAGGTTGCATAAACCGAAACGTGTCTGCTTCCATCAAAATATTTGTCACATTATCTGAGGCCCAGGTCGGGCTGCTCCACCGCTCCTCCTTCGCCCTCCTTTATCCGGCCCACCGGGGAGGATTCAGCCATTCGGAGGCGACTGGCCGGCTGCTAAAGAATGACATCCCAGCCTCTCCTCTCCCGAGAGCTACCCCCCGCCGGCTCACACTCTCCCTGTTGACCCTTCACCATGGGCAAAATGATTCCCTGGCCTTCCCTACCCAAGGTTGAGGTCGCTCACCTCATCCAGGGCTGGGAGTAGAAGGACACAGGGACATCCAACGAGGGGGCTGTGAAAGAGGACCCTCCAAGCACTAATGGCTGAGGCCAGGTTGGAGTGACCCCACCACCACCAAGGAGGGAGCTAAAAAATTTTCAATAAGTAGCATTTATTCAGGGTTTACTCTGTGCTAGGCCCTGTGTTGAATGTTTTACATACATGATCACCCTTGATCTTCACATCAGTCCAAAGAAGTAAAATCCAAGATTATTTTAATTTTACAGATGGAGAACTGAGGCTCTGGGAAGTTAAGAGATTTGCTTAAAGTCACACAACTAATAAGTGGGAGAGCCGGGACTCAAACTCGTAGCCTGGCTCCAGGCTCTTCCAACCTCAGCGCGATAGAGTCTCTAGGTACCGTTTACTGCCCAAAGCCCAGGGGTAGGGGGCTCAGGGCAGCCAGACCTCCCTAGGCTCAGGAAGAGTAGTCTTCAGCGCTCGGCTGTCAGGCAATCCGGTCCCCGGTTCCCCACGGCGGTCTCCTCGGTGTGCCCCACCAAGAGCGACAGGGCTGGTGACCCGAGGGGCGCGTGCGCGGTCGTCAGCCTGGGATTTGCACGGACCCCCTTCTCCCTAGTACGCTCGCTCGGGGGCCCCTCCTCTGCTACGCCGCTGGGGCTCGCCCGCCACCCACAGCCCTCGCAGAGCCCTCCGGGCACACCGCGGCTGGCCGCCCGGGGCCAAGGATGGGGCGGGAGCGCCCACCCACCCCCGCGCCGGCCGGGGCATCCAAGAGGCGCGCTCGCAGCCACACGGCGCCCCGCCTCCCGCTCCGAAAAAGCTCCTGCTCCCCTGGCGCGGTGTGGCGTCTCCGTCAGCCCAGCCGGATTCTCCCCGCTTCGCTGGAGTGGAAAATAACGGCTTCAAACTTTGCAGAGAGGAGCTGGTGCCAGCACTTTAATTAACAGCCATCTTGGCCTGTGAGCTGGGGCCACCGGCTTGGCGCCTCCCCTGGGCTCGCCAAGCCCCGCCCTGGCTCCGCCCAGGCCCCCAAAGAAGCACCCCTTAACCACCTACCCGACCCTCCACCCCCATCCCCTGCTCTCAGCGCCCCTCTTTCCGGGAGATGAGGGCTTGGCTGATTGGGGAGAGAGTGCTGCCTTGAGGGGCATCTCCCAGCTTAACACCTGAAGACAGTCACAACCCCCCCATCCGCCATACTGCCCCCCAACATTGTTTAAAGCTGGACTGTTGAAGATTCTGAAATTAAAGACCTGAGTGCCAGCCGGGCGCGGTGGCTCACGTCTGTAATCCCAGCACTCTGGGAGGTTGAGGCCCGAGGATCGCTTGAGCTCAGGAGTTCCGAACAAGCCTGGGCAGCATAGGGAGATCCTGGCGTTGTGGCTTTTACCTGTAGTCCCAGCTACTCAGGAGGCTGAGGCGGGAGGATCGCTTGAGCCTGGGAGGTCGAGGCTGCAATAAGCTGAGATTGCGCCACTGCACTCCAGCCTGGGCGACAGAGCAAGACCCTGTCTCATTAAGAACAAAAACTAAAACGGCTTGCGTGCCAATCCTACCCGGTGATTTTAGGTAAATAGCCTACCCAGCAGCCCCTGGCATCCTTTGGTAAAAGGGTGGTTGTGAGGATTAAATGATGTATTACGTATGTAAAGTCCTGGGCTCAGTATCTGACCCTTATTATACACCTCGTAAATGGTAGCTAATATAACTATTTCACCTCAAGGCCAAGAAAGCCCTCTCAGGAGACCCCCGGGCCTTGGGTCTACTTGGTCCTGCCAGCTTCCTACCCATTGCTGTCCTTGACACTAGGAGAGGGGGACAATGGACCTAGGCTCCCAGGTTCAGAGATGGAACTGGATGAGTGAGGGAAGAACCCTGAAGTTCCGGCTTCCAGGCCTCTTCTTCAACCACCTGCTAAGAACAAGGACTCAGGTTTTCTTTTTTTTCTTTCTTTCTTTTTTTTTTTTTTGAGACTGAGTTTCGCCCTTGTTGCCCAGGCTGGAGTGCAACCGTGCGATCTCGGCTCACCCCAACTCCGCCTCCCAGGTTCCAGCCATTCTTCTGCCTCAGCCTCCCGAAGAGCTGAGATTACAGGCACGTGCCACCATGCCCAGCTAATTTTTGTATTTTTAGTACAGACATGGTTTCACCATGTTGGCCAGGCTGGTCTCAAACTCCTGAGCTCAGGTGATCTGCCTGCCTGGGCTTCCTGCTGGGATTACAGGCTTGAGCCAGCTTGCCCAGCCGGGGCCAGGACTCAGGTTTTCAGAAGCGAAAAGGGAGGGAGGGTTTCAAGGTAAGGAGGGCGGCTGCACTCTCTGTAGCTGGGATGCTGTCAGTGGGGGGCTGAAGGTCTAACTTTGCTTCCCGAACTTCTATGAGTGTGAGGGGTCACTCCCACAGCCCCCATCTGGAATGACCCTACCATAGGAACTCCTACAGTGAGGGGGTGGTGCCGACAGCCCCAGTCATTCCAGGCATTGAGGTAGATTGTGGAAGGTACAGGGAAGAGCGTAGGTAAGGCTTTTTACCCAGGCATGACTGGCACTGACTTTAGGAACTGAGTGACTGTTCTGTGGTATTTTGGGGTTCTTTGAATGAATGTGAGTGGGTGTGAATGTGTAAGAGGCTGTTGATGTTGCTGTGTGTCTGGGTTTGGGAGTGAGGAAGGGGGGTGCTGTGCCCTGACTCATCAGCTGCTGGATCTGCATTGAGTTGTTTTTACATTTACTGAAAACAGCTAGCTAGGTCCTGCCTGGGTGAAAACACCTAGCTAGGTGGTGATGGTGTGTCCCAAGATGAGTAGGACCGGAAGGCTGAGCGGTGCCCCTGAGGAGTTCACTGTTTGGTGGGGGACACGTGCAGAAAGATAGGATACTTTGCCACAATAATTACCATAGCTAACAGTTTTTGAGCACTTACAAAGTGCAAGATCCTGTTCTTTTTTTTTTTCTTAGATGGATTCTCTCTCTGTCGCCCAGGCTGGAGTGCCGTGGTGCGATCTCGGCTGACCGCAAGCTCTGCCTCCTGGGTTCACGCCATTCTCCTGCCTCGGCCTCCGGAGTAGCTGGGACTACAGGTGCCTGCCACTATGCCTGGCTAAGTTTTTTGTATTTTTAGTGGAAACAGGGTTTCACTATGTTAGCCAGGATGGTCTCGATCTCCTGACCTTGTGATCCACCCCCAATAGGCCTCCCAAAGTGCTAGGATTACAGGCATGAGCCACCGCGCCTGGCCAAGATCCTGTTCTTAAGCACTTTTATGGATTATCTCATTTACACTTAACCTATTATCATGGATTTAAAACTATTACATGGCTTATGTCACGTACTAGTATTAACCTCATGAGGTAGGTACTATCATTTTCCCCATTTTATGGCTGAGGAATCTAAGGCTTGGGTAGAAATTTGTAGGAGGTGTTACGAAGTCCAAATGACGCATAGATGAAGAATGTCCTGCCCAGGCTGGACACAGTGGCTCACTCCTACAATCCTAGCACTTTGGGATGCCAAAAGGCGGGAGGATGGCTTGAGTCCAGGAGTTTGAGACCAGCCTGGGCAACATAGTGAGAACCCTATCTCTACAAAAAATAAAAAATTAGTCGGGCCTGTAGTCTCTGCGACTTGGGAGGCTGAGGTGGGAGGATCGCTTGAGTTCAGGAGATTGAGACTGCAGTGAGCCATGTTTGTGCCACTGTACTTCAGCCTGGGCAACAGAGCGAGACCCTGTCTCAAAAATAAAAAATTAAAAATAATCCCCTGCTGGGTGCAGTGGCTCACGCCTATAGTCCCAGCACTTTGGGAGGCTGAGGAGGGTGGATCACTTGAGGCCAGGAGTTCGAGACCAGCCTGGCCAACATGATGAAACCCCATCTCTGCTAAAAATACAAAAATTAGCTGGGTGTGGTGACATGCACCTGTAGTCCCAGCTACTTGGGAGGCTGAGGCAGGAGAATCACTTGAACCCAGGAGGCGGAGGTTGCAGTGAGCTGACATCGTGCCACTGCACTTCAGCCTGGGTGATAGAGCGAGACTCCATTTCAATAATAATAATAATAATAATGCCCTGCCCAGAGGAGTCCAAGAAGACTTTACAGAGGAGGTGTCATTTTTTTCCATTTATCCATCCATCCATTCATCCATCCTCCATCCATTCTATAAACCATATTAGCTGACTGCCCACCACATCTCTTGTTATCACGGGACACAAAGATGAGCAAAAAAGACTTCTGTTTGGCTGGTAAGGTTGGGGAGAAAAAGAGAAAAGGCTCCTGACCTCATGTAGTTTACCATGTATTGCTGAAACCTGGACAATTAAACAAGCAACTGCTATCTAGCCTGACAAGGTCACTTAGAATGTGGAGTACTTTGGGCACACTCGGCAGTGTCACTTAAATTCATCTGGGGGCAGGGAATAATAGGAAACTTTCTAAAGGAGATGATATTTAAGGTAAGCCCTGAAAGGAGTCATCAAGGTGAAGAATATGGCCACTGGAGGTGGAGGAGGGAGAGAAAGAAAAGGATTATGGGTAGAGAGAACAGCATGTGCTAAGGACCATGCTTGCAGAGCCTCGTGGGCTGTGACAAGGAGTTTATAATTTGTCCTAAGGGTAATTAGAGATTACTGGAGGGCCTGGGCATGGTGGTTCATGCCTATAATCACCAGCGCTTTGGGAGGCCGTGATGGGTGGATCACCTGAGGTCAGGAGTTCGAGACTAGCCTGGCCAACATGGTGAAACCCCGTCTCTACTAAAAATAAAAAAAAATTAACCGGGTGTGGTGGTGGGCGCCTATAATCCTAGCTACTTGGGAGGCTGAGGCAGGAGAATCGCTTGAACTCAGGAGGCGGAGGTTGGATTGAGCCAAGATGGCACCACTGCACTCCAGCCTGGACAACAGAGCGAGACTGTCTCCACAAAAAAAAAAAAAAAAAAAAAAAAAAAATTACTGGAGGGTGTTAAGTGAATGAATAATATAATCAGATTTTTCAGATTAGAATGAGCACTCTGGCTACTGTGAGGACAAAGGATTAAAATAGAGTAAGAGTGCTGGTAGGGAGACTTAGTACCAGGCAGTTGCAGTGGTTCAGGTGACAGCTAATGATGGCCTGACTTGGGAAGGTAGGAGGTGGAATTGGCTGACTTATTGACAGATTAGTTGGGGATGGGGATGGAGTAGGGGGCAGGAGACTTCCAGGCTTCTGGAAGGATCTTGAGATGTTTATTGAATGAAGGATGGATGGATGCTATTGCTGTTGCCTGGGTACTGATATGTGCCAGGTGCTTCACATACTCTATTTCATTTACCCCTCACCAAAAGTCTAAGGAATATGCATGATCTCCATATTGGAGATAAGGATGCTGAGACTTAGAGAGGTTCAGTGACTGGCCCAGGATCATACAGCTGGTAAGAGGGAGAGCAGGATTGGAACTCAGGTCTGTTTGACCCCAGGTGGGGGCTCTTTACACTCCCACTCTACCTAGCCCAGCAGGCACACACCTGGTGGGGAAGACAAGGAAAGGTACTTTAGGGTCAAGACCCAGGAGTATAAAAGGCGTATTTTTGTTTTCTGGTTGAAGCCACCAGTCTACAGCCCTGGCTTGGGCAGGATGAGGAGCTGGGCACCAGGAGGCAGAGACCATCTCTCAAGGCCCAGTGAGGATACCAGTTTGCCATGTGTGTTTGGGGATGTCTCATCACGCCCATCCATTTCTTTCTCTGGGCTGGGTAATTTTCTGGCTCTGAGAGGCTGTATTTCTTACATTAAAGACAGCCCAACACTGGCATCCATTTATATATTTTTTTAGATGGAGTCTTGCTCTGTCGCCAGGCTGGAGCACAGTGGCACAATCTTGGCTCACTGCAACCTCTGCCTCCTGGGTTCAAGCGATTCCCCTGCCTCAGTCTCCCAAGTAGCTGGGACTACAGGTGCGGGCCACCATGCCTGGCTAATTTTTTGTATTTTAGTAAAGATGGGGTTTCACCATGTTGGCCAGGATGGTCTCGGTCTCCTGACCTTGTGATCCACCCGCCTTGGCCTCCCAAAGTGCTGGGATTACAGGCATGAGCCACCATGCCCAGCCCATTTTAAACCCCAAGATGACTTTTGAATTCAGACATTTCCAGATCCTTCTTGTGAAAACCCTCCATAATTTCAGCATCCTTTTGGAGAGGGGGACTTTGGCCAGAAAGTATGGGAGAATGGAAGTTGAGTTGCAATTTGGGGTGGGGGTTAGGGTATGCCTCAGTGGGCTGAACTAGGCTGGGTCTCAGAACTCCTGAGTCCGGATCAGGCCTCAGAGGTTGATGAGGGGAGTTTGTTCAGGGGCCTCTCTTCCCAGCTCCATCTTCTGAGGAGGAAAGAGTGGGATTCAGCTGGCAGAGCCCAAGTACCCAGGTCACAGGCAGATTTTCTTATGCCTCTCTCACCAGAGAACCCTGAGCCTTGTGTCTGGGGTTCCAGGGACCTGCCCGGTCCTGGGGGTCCTCCCTACCCATTCTGATCGGCAGCTGCCTGCTGCCCATTCCAAATTCAGTTCCAGGGACACAGCTCCGAAAAGGCCCCACGGGAGGGAGGGAGAGACCTAAGGGGAGGGGCTATCTCCCCTCAGCCCAGCCTGCGGCTCCCAGCTGCATGTATAAGTGATGAGGCTCCACAGCCCCAACAGGAACCAATATAATGGCAGGTGCGCCGGGTCAGCTGGAGAGACAGATAGCAGGACGCGGGAGTGACAGGCGGTGCAATTATGCTGAGCCTCCTGCAAAGGCGGCAGAGAAGGCCCCGCCTGGCCAGCATGGCCCGCAGCCTCCCCACTCCCTCCCACAGGCCTTCCAGCCCCACCAGCCCCCAGCCCCACTCCAAGGTAAGATGCGGGGAGGCAGAGGATCCAGGGCTAGTTGGGAGCAGCTGGTCTTCCTGATTTCTGGGTCTGAGGAGGGGGGTATCAGGGAGAAAGCCTCCTACTCCCCAGAAAGCTTCCTCTTTGGAAGCCCTGTCCCTTCTAGGGAAAATGTCCCTTCTTCTTCCCACCTCAGGAGATCATAGGACTTAAGGTCTGGAGAGGTCTTAGAGACCCCACCTTTGACAGACAGGGAAACTGAGGGCCTGAGAGGGAAATAGCTTGCCTAAGGTCATAGAGCCAATCTGAGGCGGAGCCAAACGGGAATCCCAGGGGCTCTTTCCAGGATGGATGAGAGACCCCAGGGTGAGGGGAGGAGGGCCAATTGCTGGCCTCTGTGCTTCGGGGAGCAGGGGGGTTCCTCACAGAGCCTCTGAGGGTGGACATGGAGGGTGAGGCTCAGGGAGGTCTTACAGCTGGGTGTGTGGTTGGAACTATGGCTGCAGCAGTATCCTTGCAGGGCACCAATCAGCCAGGGTTGGGGGTGGCCCAGCCCCCTTCCATGTTCAGAGAGGGGTCTTTGAGTACCTCATCTCCATACATTTGAGGACAGGGTCAGAGAGGGGGTCTCTGGTGTGGCAGAGCCAGAAGAGCTGAGCAGTGGGTGCTTAGTAAATGTTCATCAAACTGAACTCCTACACAGGGCCGGCTTCATAGATGTGCCACCTGTTGGTGGCAAGGGCCCCGCACACAAAAGGGACCTGAACTTGGTTTAATGCTCTGCTATCACCACCTTGAGATTCTTAATGATTTTTGAACAACAGACTCACATTTTCAGTTCCCACCGGGTCCCACAAGTTATGTAGCTGGTCCTGCCCCTGAAACAGAGATGTGGTTTGTTCTTTGGAAGGGCTCCCCTGCCTCATCCCTGCCCCAACCTCATCCCAAGATGCCCCAAGCAGAGGAGGACACAGAGCTAGGAAAAGCTGATGTTTGCTGAGCTTCTTGGAGGTCTCCCCGAGTCAGGGCTGACCAAGCATGTGTCAGGGCAGGAGAACTTGGCTGCTCTGTCCTGGCAGCCTTGCTCCCATGCACAGGCCTGCACCTTGCCTGTCTGTCCATCTGTATACCCCTATCCCTGACCCTGGCCAGGGCGGGGATGGAGGGCTGCTGGGCCACAGAGCTCCTGGTCCCAGGGGGGATTCCCTGTTGTTTGGGGAGACTTGGCCCCTCTGCTCACTCCTACCCCTGCCCCCACTAGGACGGGAGGGGTTGGTGGAGGGGGTGGGAGGCTTAATTAGCAGCCGAAGCCAGGCAGCAGGCAGGAGAGGTGGAGGGGGGCGCAGATCGGGCTGACTTTTCCCACTATAGATCTGCTCTCTGGGAGAGGCACTAGCTGGCTGGCTTAGGCTCTGGCTTGGCTATTTTAGGAATATTCTTAACCCTTTCCATGCCACTGCCATCATCAGACTTCTCTTCCAGAGCACAGAACATCAGGCTGTCCTCTCTCCCTGTTCCCTCCTCCCCAGTCCCTGCTGTTCCTCCCTGGCAGCTGAGAAGGTCAGAGTTTTCTCAGTGGTGGGGCCAGTTGACTTTTGCCAAGGAAAACTCGCAGCCCCTGAGCCCCCTTCTTTGTTCCACCCTGAGCCTTCTCCCTCTCCACTTCCTCACAGCTCTGGACTCAGAAAAGTGGCAGACTGAGCATGGCCTCAGCTCTTCTTCTCATTTTATAAAATTGGGAGGGTTAGACTCCCCCACCCAGGGGAAAACAGCTGACCTGGATCCCAAGAGTAAGATAGGAAGCGTAGTCCTGGCTTCCAGCCTCTGGCAGAGCAGCAGCCCCTGCCTGCCTGACTTTGACGCCCACTAGGGGCGAGTTTCCAGGGGGTGTCCCACACAGCAGCCAGAGCCCCTCAGTGTCATGAGATTCCCTTTGCCTGATTTATCTCCCACTCTAGGTCCTTCCCAGGGTCTCACTTCTTGGGAAAACCTAGGCTAGGATATAGGCACCGCCTGGGCAATGCGAAGGGGAGTCCCACTGGGGACCAGGAGGGCTCAACATTGATAAATCTGAAATTCCAGCCAAGATGGGAAAGAGATCTCGGCTCTCACTGTCAGGAGTTCCTGCATCCGAGATGGGCTAGACTGAGCTGGGAGGCCCAGGACATCTGGGCGCTGTGGTGCCATCCCTCAGGCACATGACTTCTGGGACTAGAAGTTGGAGTTTGCCACAAAGTGCTATTGGGAAAGCTTGCTTTGGAAATCGAGGCATATGGCTGATGATGCCACATAAATGCCCAAGGGCTTGGGGTGTGCCTGGCACTGTGCTGGGCACTGGGGATAGAGGATTGATAATCAAGAATCATTCTCTGCCTGAGAAAGGAAGCTCTCAGGGGCTGGTTCTCCAGGTGTCTGACCACCAGCCTGGGCCAAGTATTGACGGGCTCGGGGGAGTGAGTCCTCCCTACAGGTGCCACGTAACTCTCCCTCCTCCAGATTGTCACAACCAGCCCAGCTCCAGAAGTGACAGGGCTGGCTGGGGGTAGGGGTGAGGCCAGAAAAAATGCTTTAGTTCCTATCGGGGGCTACAGAAGGGGCTCTTGTGATGGGGGTCACTGAGCTGCAGGTCTTCCAGCTTCCAATCTAGAAAGAGCCTGATGGATTGATCGTGGGTCCAGGGAAAGATTTTGAGTTCAAAGACGTAATACCCTCCAGGGACTCCAGGAGAATTTTCTGTGTCATGTAAAAAGTAAGAAGAGGCTGAGTGTGGTGGCTCGGCCCTGTAATCCCAGTCCTTTGGGAGGCAGAGGCAGGAGGATTGCTTGAAGCCAGGAGTTGAGATCACAGGCTGGGCAACATGGCAAGACCTTGTCTCTACAGAAAAAAAAAAAAAACAAAAACACAAGAAGATCCCTCTCTTTGCCCCTAATTGAGAGACATGACTAGAAGGCAGGAGGTTGGCTGTCGAGTGGGGAGTGCTTATCAGGTAGGGGTGGGGCAGGTTTCCCATGTTATCTTGGAAGGTATTTCTGGCTCTACAGTTCCTGATGAAGACATACTCGAGCACTTTAGGCCAACCATTGGTAAAACTAGGAGCAGAACTCAGGAGTCCTGGATGCCTGCCTCTCCAGTCTCCAGTGCAGTCCCACCTCTCCTCCCCGCTGCTCCTCGATTGCTAGCTCCCTCCCTGCCAGTTTCCAGGCTGGGAGCCCCAGCTGGCGGAGGATGTCTTGCTCCTCAGCAGCTGGGATTTGTAAATATTTATAGGAACATGGAACAGATCAGTGGCTGACAGGCCCAGGGAGCGGGCAGGGCCCTGCCCGGAGCTCAGCAGCTTCACTCCCCCTTCCCACACCCTGGCCTGATTTGAGGGAGCCCAGGATGACAAAGAGGGGGTGATCAAGGAGGGTATGGGGCCGGCAGCCTCTATATCCAGGAACACGAGCTTGAAGGATGCGTTTGTCCATCTGCCCTGGGCTCCGCTTTCACACCCAGTCACTCACATCCTTCCACCCTCACCACAGCTCACCTGCGTGCTCATGTGGCCAAGGCCACACTGACCCCCACCCTCACTCTTTCAACACTTCACTGTCACACTCACACATGTACACACATGCTTTCCAACTCCCACGTCCACGTTGATACTCACTCTCATAGGCTCACACTTTTGCACACTCACCACCTCATGCTCACAGACCCACTGGGGGCCCAGATCCCAGCCACTCCCCATAGGTCTTAACACAGGTCCTGGGAGGGCAAGTCCTGTTTCCTATCTGAGGTGGGGTATGAGTGCGTGTGTGTGTGTGTGTGTGTGTGTGTGTGTGTGTGTGTATGTGTGTGTATGCATGCTTGTAGGGAGCAGGAGGGAACAGGTCCTGAAGTCAGGAAGTGAGGAAGAGGGAGGAGAGAGGGAGAGAGGCATGGACCAAGGGCCATTCAGAGCTGATAGAAGCCTGGTGTGGAAGCAAGGCAGAGACAAAGGCAAGGCAAAGAAATAGAGACTGACAAGGGTCAAGCCAGAGGGGGAAGGGGGTGGGGACCGAGGCCCCCCCACCCAGATGAGAAGCTGTCACATTGCTGCTCCGGTGGCCATGAGACCAGCACCACCCCCAGCTGGAGCCTTTCCCCTCTGGATCTTGTCACTGTGGCTTTGCTGCTTGGGCAGCCGGGAGTGGTGACAAGCAGGGAAGACAGTCCCCAGGGCAGCTGGCCATGCCACTCCAGCCTGGCTGCCAGCTCACCCATCACTGCCCATCTCATCACCCACAGGGGCCCAGATGAAACCAGGAATCGGCCTGGCTGCCCTTGCCTCCCAGTGTCACAGTAGAGAGCAGGGGAGCCACTGGCCCCCTCCCCAAAACGTGGGCAGTGTTAACCACACCTTGCCCAGGTCCCTGGACCTTGAAGCTGGACTTGGGGAGAATGGGCCAACTCTCTGCTCCCAGGCACCCAGGACCTGCTAGACAGGGAAGGAACTGGTGAATGAGACAGGGTGCTTGAGGAGGGGGTTGGGGAATGAAGCCACTATGAGGAACCCAGTGTGTTTTGGGCATAAACTTTTTATTTCGTCGCTTTACCATGCACAAGAATGATGACCCCACATGCCCCTGGTGCTGTGTTAAATAATCGTCCTTCTCGCCTCGGGTCTGTCTCACGGTATTAGTTCTGGGGCATCAATCAGCCAGTTTGTGCTCTGCAATCTGAGAACAATCATTTCTATAAAATCAGTAAGGCAAAAAAGGAATCATAATACAAAGGAGGGAAAGTTGCACTGACTGCTGTTTTCCTGTTTTTTTAATCAGCAGTGCAGCTTTCCGTCCAGGTTTTGATGTCCTGATTGATTCATGCTTTCACGGGTTCATTCATGTATTTACTCAACAACCATTGCTCATCCGAGTGCCAGGTCCTGAGCTGCGTCCTGGGAGCCAGTGAGAAAGCCAGACAAGGTTCTTGCTTACATAGTGTTTAGAGTTGATCAAAACCAAACAAACGCACAACAAAATGTGATTCCCCCAAGGGGCCAGAGAGCAGTGTCAGAGTGCCCAGCCTGGGGACCCAGACATTGGGCTCTTCCAGTGGAACACTTGGAAATCACCCAGAATTCTTCTCTCGTCCCAGGATCAACATCTTCCCATCCCTCTCCTGCCTTGGCAGTTTCGCTTTTCCTAACAATCAGGCCATCTGGTAATGGGGGGATGTACGAATGTGAAACTGAATCTCAGCTTGGACACTCGCTGGCCAGGTGACCTTAGGCAAATTGCTTCATCTCTGAGTCACAGTTTATTTACTTTTCTGTGAAACGCAGTAAGTAATACCCATCACCAGGGTACCATTGACTTTTTAAGTATATACGTCACCAAAGAAGGTGCCTGGTACACAGTAGGGCCTCGACCAGTGCTAGTACCTTTCCCTGCCCCTTTGCCAGTGATATATGCTGCATCTCTCCTCACAGGCAAGGAAAGGAAGCTTAGGGGGTATGGGGAGTGCAGGAGGACCCAGCATTCCATGTGCCATTAATCTATGTTTTATGCTGTCTTCCCAGGCATCTGATTCTGTTCTGCTCTATGGGAAGCCTCTTATTTAAGGGGAAGAGGGTGAAGAGGCCTGGCTTTGCCACCTGAACCACCTGAATACTCCAGAGAAACAGCCCCTTTCTTCACTGTTTCTTCTTTCTCTGGCTTTCAAGTTTATAAAAGCATATTGTGGGTCTGGTGGTTATGGAATGGTGGTGGTAACAGTGGTGTGATGGAAGTGGTGGTGGTGGTAATGATATTGGTGGTGGTGATGGAGGAGGTGGTGGTGGTAATGATATTGGTGGTGGTGATGGAGAAGGTGGTGGTGGTGGTAGTGATGGAGGTGCTATTGGTAATGATGGTATTGGTGGTGATGATGCAGGTGACGGTGGAGGTAGATAATAGAGGTGGTAATTGTGGTGGTGGTGGTAGAGATGGTGGTAGCGATGGAGGTGATGGAGGTAGTAGAGCTGGTGGTAGTGATGGAGGTGATGGAGGTGGCTGTGGTGGTGGTGGTGATAGTGATGGAGGTGATGTTGGTAATGATGGTATTGGTGGTGATGATGGAGGTGATGGTGGAGGTAGATAATGGAGGTGGTAATTGTGATGGTGGTGGCGATGGAGGTGGTAGTGGTGGTGATGATAATGATGGTAGCCATGGAGGTGATGGTGGTGGTAGAGATGGTGGAGGTGGTGATGGTGTTGGGAGTTTATCTCAAAATCCCATGCTCAGATTTTAAGAGCTAGAAGAGGGCTCCATTTCAGTGAATCTCTGAGGGCCAGCTATATGCCAGGCCCATGGTGCTCACCTCCTTTTCACAGCAATGCCCTGAGTTTACTATCTCCTTTTGCAGATAAGGACACTGAGACCAAATATCAAATGACCTGGTCAGAGGCATGGAGAAGTTTTTTTCTGTTTTTTTGTTTGTTTGTTTGTTTGTTTTTTGTTTTGTTTCTGTTTTTGTTTTTGTTTTGAGAGAGAGAGTCTTACTCTGTCACCCAGGCTGGAATGCAATGGAACGATCTCAGCTCAGCTCACTGCAACCTCCACCTTCTGGGTTCAAGTGATTCTCCTGCCTCAGTCTCCAGAGTAGCTTGGATTACAGGTGCCTGCCACCATGCCTGGCTAATTTTTGTATTTTTAGTAGAGACGAGGTTTCACCATGTTGGCCAGGGTGGTCCCGAACTCCTGACTTCAAGTGATCCACCCGCCTCGGCCTCCCAAAGTGCTGGGATTACAGACGTGAGCCACCTCGCCTGGCCTATGGAGATGTATTTAAAACCTGGGTCCTTTAACTTCTAGTCCATTTTTCTTCTCTATGCCATCATGATGCCACCCACATTTCACGGTAGGGGAAATGGAGATCCAGAGAGGTCAGGTAATTTGCCTAAGGTCATGCAGCAGTTAGAAGCAGAGCCTGGCCATTTCATCTGCACTCCTAGGTCTCAGCAGCCTTCTCATCACCAATGGCTGGGGGTCTCACTGAGAAGGTTAGAAGGACGACCAGCGCATTGCAGAGGCTCACAGCCATGACAGAGGCCCAGAGCCAGACCTCCTCAGGTTCCTGGGGCAGGCTCTCGATCTGCTGTCCTTCTGCCCCTGCACACTGTCAACTCCAATCTCCCCTCCAGCCTCAGAGTGAGAGTGACAGACAGGCCAGCCCTGGCCAGCCCATTAAACCTGACACCTCCTCTCCCAGATTTGGCTGTGGGCCTCCCTTAGCCTGAGCACCATGCTGCGGCAGCTCTGACTGGCACTGAGGTGGGGTGGCGGGGCTGGCATTCCTCTACTATCTCCTCCCCATCTGAGCTCTGAGGTGGTGAGCTTGGGGATCCAGTCATCTTGCTCTCCTTTTCCTTTACCAGTCTCAGACCTTAGTTTCCTGCCAAAAAAAAAAAAAAAAAAAAAAAAAAGAGTAGCTCTACCTTAACCCACTAGCAGTTAGTGAAAAAGGGAAGAGAGAGTAAGAATTGTGCCCAGGCTCTGTATCGTCCACAGGCCCCCTCCCCCAAGAAACCTTCTGGGACTCATCCCACCCCGTTCCACTCCCTCTGAACCCTCTGCACCATTTCTCCTATCTCAAAGCTATGTGTCTGGCTCTAATCTGAGTCATGATGATGATGGTGGTGGTGGTGGTGGTGGTGGTATTGGCAGTGGCAATGGAGGTGGTGGTATCGGTTGTGGCGATGGAGGTGGTGGTATCGGCTGTGGCGGCGGTGGTGGTGGTATCGGCTGTGGCGGCGGTGGTGGTGGTATCGGCTGTGGCGGCGGTGGTGGTGGTATCGGCTGTGGCGGCGGTGGTGGTGGTATCGGCTGTGGCGGCGGTGGTGGTGGTATCGGCTGTGGCGGCGGTGGTGGTGGTATCGGCTGTGGCGGCGGTGGTGGTGGTATCGGCTGTGGCGGCGGTGGTGGTGGTATCGGTTGTGGCGGCGGAGGTGGTGGTATCGGTTGTGGCGGCGGTGGTGGTGGTATCGGTTGTGGCGGCGGAGGTGGTGGTATCGGTTGTGGCGGCGGAGGTGGTGGTATCGGTTGTGGCGGCGGTGGTGGTGGTATCGGTTGTGGCGGCGGAGGTGGTGGTATCGGTTGTGGCGGCGGAGGTGGTGGTATCGGTTGTGGCGGCGGAGGTGGTGGTATCGGTTGTGGCGGCGGTGGTGGTGGTATCGGTTGTGCCGGCGGTGGTGGTGGTATCGGTTGTGCCGGCGGTGGTGGTGGTATCGGTTGTGGCGGCGGTGGTGGTGGTATCGGTTGTGGCGGCGGAGGTGGTGGTATCGGTTGTGCCGGCGGTGGTGGTGGTATCGGTTGTGGCGGCGGAGGTGGTGGTATCGGTTGTGGCGGCGGAGGTGGTGGTATCGGTTGTGGCGGCGGAGGTGGTGGTATCGGTTGTGGCGGCGGAGGTGGTGGTATTGGTTGTGGCGGCGGAGGTGGTGGTATTGGTTGTGGCGGCGGTGGTGGTGGTATTGGTTGTGGCGGTGGTGGTGGTGGAGGTGGTGGTATTGGTTGTGGCGGTGGTGGTGGTGGTATTGGTTGTGGTGGTGGAGGTGGTGGTATTGGTTGTGGCGGTGGTGGTGGTGGTATTGGTTGTGGTGGTGGAGGTGGTGGTATTGGTTGTGGTGGTGGTGGTAATGGCTGTGGCAATGGAGGTGGTGGTATTGGTTGTGGCAATGGAGGTGGTGGTATTGGTTGTGGTGATGGAGGTGGTGGTATTGGTTGTGGTGATGGTGGTGGTGGTATTGGTTGTGGTGATGGAGGTGGTGGTATTGGTTGTGGTGATGGTGGTGGTGGTGGTAGTGGTGATAGTAGTAATGGTAGAGGTGGTAGTGGTACTGATACAGAAGGAAAGTGCTGGGAAGGGAAGAGCATGGTCCCTTTAAATGATATGGAGGCGGGTAAGGAAAGTGCTGGGTAGAGGAGGGCGTGGTTCCTGACTAGGGCTCCACCCCCATGGATCTAGGTGAGGATAGGCATTCCTGTCCAAATGTTGCATTTCCCAAGACCACCCTGGCCTGCCATGCCCCATCCTCTGCCTATAAAATCCCCGAAATTCTAGCAGGCACCCACAAATGGCTGGACATCAAGAGGAGCATGTCAGAGGAGGAGCACGCGGGCTGCTGGATGTCGAGAGGAATGTACCGATAGTCCCTGGCATGATGGCAGGCCATCGACCATCGACCAGCTGAACTAGCAGAGTTTGGCTGAGGCAGAGTTTGGCTGGGAAGTCAGAGGAGAGTGGCCCAACTGCAGGGGAAAACCATCCCCCTTCTGGCTCCCCCATCTGCTGAGGGCTACTTCCACTCAATAAAACCTTGCACTCATTCTCCAAACCCATGCATGATCTGATTCTTCTGGTACACCAAGGCAAGAACCCCAGGACACAGAAAGCCCTCTGTCCTTGTGACAAGGTAGAGGATCTAATTGAGCTGGTTAACACAAGTCGTCTATAGACGGCAAAACTAAAAGAGCACATGGTAACACATGCCCACTAGGGCTTCAGGAACTGTAAGCATTCAACCCTAGACACTGCCATGGGGTCTAAGCCCATCTGTATGTTCCCCTAGAGGTTTGAGTAGTGGTGCGGGGCACTGCCAATCCCCCTGTGGCTACCTGTGAGGGAGACAAGGGAACTTTTCTCGTTTCAGTACTCTGGGATGGTCAGAGTTGGATAGGAACTCCTGGATGGAGGGGAGGTTGACTGGTTACTACCTTCCTCTATGTCTCCCCACCAACTCGTTTTTTTTTTTTTTTTTTTTTTTTTTTTTAGAGACAGGGTCTCGCTCTGTCACCCAGGCTGGAGTGCAGTGGCATGATGATAGCTCACTGTAGCCTTGAACTCTTGGGCTCAGGTGATCAATCCACCTCAACATCCCAAGTAGCTAGGACTGTAGGCACACACCACCATGCCTAGCTAATGTTTTAAGTTTTTGTAGAGATGGGGTCTTGCTGGTTACTCAGGCTGGTATCAAACTCCTGGGCTCAAGCGATCTTCCCACTTCAGCCTCCCAAATTGCTGGGATTACAGGTGTGAGTTACCATGCCTGTCTCCTGCCCTCAACTCTTTAATAAGATATTTATTGAGCATCACCCATAAAATAGGTACATGCTAAGCACCTTCCATGTAATAAATCATTTAATCCTTCCAACAATCAAGAGGTAGGTACTAATATTTTAGAGATGAGATAGCAGAATCACGGAGAGGTTGAATAATGTGCCCAAGGTCATACAGCTCACAAAATAGCAGAGCCTTGGCCAGGCATCGTGGTTCACACCTGTAATCCCAGCACTTTGGGAGGCTGAGGTGGGAAGATTGCTTGAGCCCAGGAGTTTGAGATCAGCCTGGGCAACATAGCAAGAACACATCTCTATTTTAAAAAATTAAAAATTGGCCGGGCACGGTGGCTCAGCCTGTAATCCCAGCACTTTGGGAGGCTGAGATGGGTGGATCACGAGGTCCTGGCCAACATGGTGAAACCCCGTGTCTACTAAAAATACAAAAATTAACTAGGTGTGGTGGCACGCGCCTATAATCCCAGCTACTCGGGAGGCTAAGGCAGGAGAATCGCTTGAATCTGGGAGGCAGAGATTGCAGTGAGCCAAGATCGCGCCGCTGCACTCCAGCCTGGTGACAGAGCAAGACTCCGTCTCAAAAAAAAAAAAAAAAAAAAATTAGGAGAGCCTAGACTCAGCCACAGCCCCACATCAGAGTCTCAGCTCCAACCCTGCTCTCTCTTCCTGTCTCCTGAGCAGAGCTCTCTCCATGGGGCAGAGCTGGTGGGTAAGTTGAGCTGGAGACTTCTAGGGGCTCCACTGTCTTGGGGTTTCCAGGGCTAGGCAGAGCCATTCTATCTTCCTGCCTCCACCCAGGCCTCCATCCCTTAGGAGCTCTGACAGGGGAGGTGGGATGGTGGATTGAGGGGGATGTTAGGCTCCTAGTGGCGCTGGTAGCAGTGGGGCGGGGCTCTGTCTGGCCCGGTGGGGCAGCTCACTCCACCTCCTGGCTGGGGCTCCCGCCCTTGGGAGTTCCATCCTGCCGGCCTCTCTCCCTCCCAGGATCTCATTATATCCCTAAGAGAAACTGACAGCCTTAATATCTTACTTTGCAAATATAGTTTATTCCTTCAATAAAGCCGCCAGCGCAGGGGAATGTTTAAGACTCGCTCTCCCCCGAGAGCCTCATTTGAATTTCTAAAGTCTTCAGTCGGCTTCTCCAATGGGGCAGCTGGGTGAGGAAAACGCAGCAGCCGCTTAGAGGGGATTCATTTCCTGTCTGGGTCTCCGCCGCCGCCGCCGTAGATGGGGGAGCTGAACTGACGGAAAGGACTGCTGGCTGCCTGGATGCTGGGGGGCAGAGGACAGGGAGGCCTTGGCCTGCGTCTGTCCTCTGGTTGGGGCGGGAGGGGGTGCATGCCTGGCTCATGCTCACGTGGGTGAATCTGTGCATTCACTCGGGGGCCTCCAGCCTCCATCCTTGTAGCCCAGGTTCTTCCTCGAGGGCCCAGCTCAGGGGCCCCTCCAAGGGACCTCTCAGCCCGGGAGCTACTCTATGGGATCCCCCTGCCTAGGGACCCCTCCGCTGGGTCTCTACGCCCAGGGGCCCCCAAACAGTATCTCTCAGAGGCCCAGGCCACCGATCCCTGGGGATGGGGCCTCCTCCCTGGCTGGACCCCCTCACTCCAGGGCAGCCCCCATCCCAGGCCCCCGTGGGAGTCTCTAATTAAAGGGCCGGCACGCCCCTTGGGGACTCATTAGGCCCACTGTGCAGAGAACATTTAATCATTGCTCAGAGCATCGATTGGAAAATCAATTTCTTTGTCTCTCCGCACGCGGCGCTGGAGAAGTGGGGGGAGCGCTGACCTCCTTCTGCTGCCATGTAAAGTGCTGCACATTTAATCAGGGAACAGAAATCAATTAGCCACTTACGAGGCTGGCTTTAGTTACCGAGTCGGCAGGGCCTGCGCTGCAGTTTGACGCTGACAGAAGCGAATCTCAGCGCGCTGGGCTGGTCAGCGCCGGCCCGTCCCCACAGCTGTCCAGGGCCCTCGGCTTCTCTTTCCCACGCACTAGCACCTGCCATCTAGAAAGGCCCCCTAGACCCGCCCCACAGAACCCCTGGGAAGGCTCCCAACCCCCCAGCCTCCCTCACTAACCTCCTTTCCTGTGCTCAGTTCTGCCAACCCTGAGAAGCCACCTGGAGACTCAGATGCAAATCTCAGCTGTGCTGCAGAACGCGGAGACGGGTGCCTGTAGTCCCAGCACTTTAGGAGGCCAAGCCTGGCGGATTGCTTGAGGTTAGGAGTTCGAGACCAGCCTTGCCAACATGGTGAAACCCCGTCTCTACAAAAAATAAATACAAAAATTAGCCGAGTGTGGTGATGCACACCTGTAATCTCAGCGACTCGGGAAGCTGAGGCACGAGAATGGCTTGAACACAGGAAGTGAGGTTGCAGTGAGCCGGGATCGCGCCATTGCATTCCAGCCTGGGCAACAGAGCGAGACTCTGTCTCAAAAAAAAAAAAAAAATTATATGGACATGGTGTTGCACACTTGTAGTCCCAGATACTGGGGGAGGAGGGATTGCTGAGCCCAGGAGGTCCAGACTGCAGTGAGCCATCATTGAGCCACTGCACTCCAGTCTAGGCAGCAAAGCAAAACCCTGTCTCAAAAATTAATTAAATTACACAAAATAAACACAGACCTCAGCTTTGCTTCCTACTGGCTTCCATGATATCAGTGAAGTTTTGAACTGGACTCTCAAGCACACTTTGCTCATCAAATGGGAATAGTAATAGTTACCTACCTTACCAGCGTGTTCTGGAAATTCAATGTGATCATCTTTATGAAGCTACTACCAAATCGAGCTCAATTGAAGAGAACTTTGAACTCAAATCAGCGGGACCGTGCCCTTGCCACCCCACAGTCAGCCAGGGCAGATGAGGGGACAGTGTGTGGGAGTGGGAAGGGGGACCTCTGGCCACTGCTCTCCTTCAGGACAAGGACAGGTGGGCCCAGTGTCCCCCTTTGCCCACTCTCGTTTCCCTACTGCCTCCTGGGGGTTGGGCCGGAAGCCCCTTTGCACCTACTCTCCACCTCCTATTTGTGCACCCCCTATAGCCACGCATGCTGGCTGCTCCCTCACCTGTGACTGTGCACTCCCCCCCCCAGGCTTTCCAGTGATGTCTCACGCACCCAGAGTTACATACACCCAATTACATAGAGTTGGACGCGGTCTGCACGGCCCATTGCACACCGTTTCGCAGTTTCTCCCACAGTCACAGTCCCAGCTTCCTGGTGCTCACACGCAGCTTCACACACAAGCACCCTCACCCAGCGCCACCCGCATGGGCTCACCCGTGGGCCCCCACCCCACAGAGTTGCACATTGGTGGCACACACGCATGCACACACACACGCACTCACACTGGTTCCGTAATAATATTAGACATGCCATTTCTTTTGCATGACAGTTCCAGTGGAGATGCTCAGAGCTGTCACTTGGATGAAAAATAATGCATAATCCTCATCTTCCTTCCTTCCCTTCCTTTTCTTTCTTCCCTGTTTAATGAGCTCCTAAAAATATTCCTTGCCGTCTCGCCGAGGCTGTGGGCTAACTATGAGTCGGGCCTCCCCCACCAACTGTCACCATCCTCGTTGCCTCCCTCAGCCCCCTGAGTGGGATGGAGGGTGAAGCGGTACAGTGAGTCCTGGTGGTTGGCCCAGTGGAGGTCAGGCCAAGGGGCTCTCACCCAGGCCTCCCGAAGATCTCAGAGTCCCACTTGTCCCCTCTCTTGGCTAGCCCACTTGAGCAGGGGATGAGAGAAACAGAGAGACATGGGGGAAGAAAGATAGGCAGGAATCTCCTTTCGGTACCTGACCACTCTCAGCTACCCCCTCTGCAGCGCCTGAGCAACTGCACAAGACCAAACTTACCTATCACCCCTTCTACCCCAAGAAGAAAAGGTCCCTCTCCACCCCCTTGCACACCTGGTTCATCCTCCCTCCCAGAACTCAAAGTGAAGGGGAATGGGAGAGACAGTCAGAGCCCCCTCTGACCCCCAGCTTCTCCCAGCACCTTATCTTGGCTCTGTTGGGAAAACTGCAGTGCTCAGTTTCCTCCAGTTCATCCTTTAAGCCCCAGATCAAAGTCAACTCCTCCCTGAAGCCTTCCTGATTCACACAGAAGGGGATATTTGTTCACTGCAGATATCAACACACTTTAATAATAATAAATTTACCAGCCAGGCACGGTGGCTCATGCCTGTAATCCCAGAACTTTGGGAGGCCAAGAAGGGCGGATCACCTGAGGTCAGGAGGTCAAGACCAGCCTGGCCAACCTGGTGAAACCCCGTCTCTACGAAAAATACAAAAGTAGCCAGGATTGGTGGTGCACCCCTGTAGTCCCAGCTACTCGGGAGTGGGAGGTGGAGGTGGAGGCAGGAGAGTCGCTTGAACCCCGGAGGCAGAGGTTGCGGTGAGCCAAGATAGTGCCACTACACTCCAGCCTGGGCGACAGAGCAAGACTCCATCTCAAAATAAATAATACATAAATAAATAAATTTGCCAAGGAAAGCTATTGTGTGTGGTACCTGGTGGGAACTCCTGTGTGTCGTTTCCTTATTTACGTGAGTCATTCTCACCGGATCTGAGTCCCTCCCAGCTGGGGACCTCACTAGGCCACCCAGCTCTGGCTAAGTGAGAGCTCATATTCCCCGAGCGGTTGGAGGGACAGATGGATGGATTCATGGACAGATGGATGGGAGATGGTGTAGGAGGAGGAGTTCAGGGTCCCGAGTCAGGGGCCTGAATGTTCACCCAGTTCCCGCCCACATTCACTGAGACTTGGGAAAGGCAAAGCTCTCTCTAGGCCTTGGTTTCTCCATCTGTAAAATGAGAGAGCTGGGTCAGGTGGTGTCTGAGAGCTCGGAGGTCTCTTGCAGCTCAGGTAATCTTCATTCTGTGATTCTCTACAGTGTCAAGCAGAGTAAGCCTTTCTAATGCTTTTCACTTCCCGCCTTACTGGCTGCAAGAGGCTGGGTGGTATGACGAACAGGACAAGGAGCTCTCTGCACAGCTATCTGGAGCTGTGTTTTCCCAGCCTGTCCTCTGTCTCCTACTTCTTCCATTTTTTTGTTCTAGTCTCCTTAATTCCACTTTTATGACTTCCTTTCATTCTGTTCCTTTTCTTGCTTTTTCTGGGCCCGCATCCTACCCATTAGTAGCTCATAGTGAGCAGCCCCCTCTGCCTCCTTTCCTCTGCCTCCCTCTCCCAGCTCCACCTGCTTCAGAAGCCCCCTCCCTGTGGCCTCCCCATCTCATCCCAGCAGCTCCAGTCCCGAAAGGTTAAGCTAATAGCAACTCCTTCCCCATCAGCTGCTCTTGTTTGCTCTACATAATTGCAGGAGAGGGGGGCTGAGATGGGAGGGCCCTCTCAGTGGTTACGAGGTATAGGGATGGGGCTGTGCAGCCTTGTCCCTGGGAAGCGGGGCTGGGGGAAGGTGGTACTTACAGAAATGCAGTGGTAGGCTGTGTGGGAGCTGATCCAATGGGACAAGAATTGGGCAGAAGGCCAGCTGCAGCATAGATGCCTAGAGAAGGGGGAGTGGAGTCCAGAGAGGGGCTACAAAGGAGGAAAATAATCATGACAGTGGCCATAAGTGGCATTTGTCAAGCACGTACTATTTGCCAGGCACTGTATCAAGCACTTTACTGGCGTTGTCTCACTGAATCTTCCCAACAGTCCCAGGAGGCAGGTTCAGCTCTTGTGAACATTATTTTTTTTTTCTTGTGCCCATTTTACAGGAAACTGAAGCTCCAGGAGGCTAAATCATTGTCTGAAGTCACGTGTTGCTAAATGGCAGAGCCTCAAGCAGAGACTGCTGTCAATCACTCCTGCTCAGAGACGGTCAGGGCTTGCAGGGACCTGGGAGGCCATTGGGTCCAACCCATTCATTATCCAGAGGGACAGAGGGAGATAGACTAGTCTAAATTCACACAGCAAGTTGTTGACACAACTACGCAGAGAATCCAGGCCTGATACAGAAGGAGTTGTTCATCTTCTGAGCCTAAGTCCCCCTGGAGACTTCCTGTGGATGGGTGCTTGGGTGAAGGGTGGTGATGTAGACAAGGCCAGCCCCAGCTGGAGAAGGCCATGTTGTGCGTGGTGTGTGCACAGTAGAGGGGAGGCCCACCTGGAGAGCTCCACCTGTCTGCCAGGGAGCAGCAGCCCTGGCCTTTTGCTGGGTTGAGTATCTCCAGTAATTCAACAGGAGCCTAGGGGAGCCCAAAGCAGCACACATGGAAGGTGGGGCAGGCTGTGTCACAGTCAGTGGGAGTGAATTTAGGTCAGCCCTGGGAAGTTGGATCAGGAAGTCAGTATGCCTGGGTCTCAGTCCATCACAGCTGCAGACTTGGGGCTGTGCTGGCCTCCACATTCCTGCCTCTCATCTCAGGTCCTGTCTCACTGGCACATCTGCTCCAATCAGGACAGCTTACCTCTTGTTTTCCTCCAAGCAATGGACACTCTCAAGGCAGGTACTTCCTCCCACTTTAGATTTGAGGGCTTCCCAAAGCAAGGACTCTTATCACACTGGAGCTTCGAGGACAGGGATTGAGTCTCCTCCATCAGAGTGGACATTCACCTAAGGCTGAGATTGTGTCTCCCCCATCAGAGGCCCCCTCCAGCCTCTACCCCTGTGATCTAATGGTCATAGCAGCTCCAGCATTGGCTCCATCCTGAAACATCCACCCCACCCCCGCCCCATCCCCATCTCACAGCAATGAGTTACCCTGTCCCTTCCCGGCTCCTGCCTGGGGACCCATGAGACTTTCCTTGCAGTGATGTGCTATCAGATGGGTTCAGCTCTGACCAAGTGGCCCCCTTCCCTCTGCCTGGACCCTTAGCAATGGTCGTCAGAGCAGCTACCCTCTGTCACTTCGTGGTGAGCATCCATAAGCCCTTGGCAGGGTATGACCCTTTCCCACCACTCACACCACAAATGGGACCCTCACAACAATATAGTGGCAGGGCTGGGGGAGAGGGGTGCCTCAAAGGCCATCTTTCTTGAGAGGGGGGGTCTTCTAGGCTCTGCTGGGACACACTGCCTCTTGAAGTAGGGAAGCTCTCTCTTATGGAGAATGACCTGCTTTTGGAGAAACTATCCTCAGAGGAAGCCAAAATCCATCTCCCTGTGACTGTCCCATGGAAACCCAATGCTCCCGCTCATCTGCCTGCAACTCTGCAGCTTGCCCAGTGCTGGGTTACTCCCATATCTGCAGCTCACCGCGTGCCCGGGTGCAGGCCCCCAGCTCCCACCAGCACTGCAGGGGGCAGCTGTGAAGGGCCTGGCGGATGAGCAGGCAATCTCATTTGTATTCTGAGTGGCCAGGCTGTGCCATGGCTTTCTCCAAGAGAACCCTATCCTCTCCCTCAGCTCCGTCTTTCAAAACTTCTCCAAGCAGCATCAATAATGGGAATCGATTCATCAATGAGCATCCTGGCCTCTCAGGCCCCATCCCCACTGTGGAGCTTTGCTGCATCCCTAAGTACTTCAGCTTCTTGCCCACTCCATCCCCCATGTCCCATGCAGCACTTCTAGGGACCTGGCCCTGCCTTCCAGCCTGCCAGGATCCCAGGAGACCAAGCCTCCACCTCTGCCTCCGGACAGCTTTACTTTGGCTGAGCAAGGAGGATAGCCTAGGCCTAGAGGAAGACATGAGGGCAGCGAACCTGGGGCTGAGCTCAGAGCTGCTTGAGCCCTTCAGGCCCCATTCAGAGTGGGAGAGGGGGTGTCATGCCTTAGAGATGTGGGGACTGACCCCCTTATCCCAGCCTCCAAACACTGACGACCCAACATCAACCTCTTAACACTGCCTAGCTAAGACTGATCATCCACCAAAGTACTGACCACCCACTGACCCAACCCAGCCTCCTAACACTGATGGCCCAGGCCCAGCCAACTGTCTAATGTCTCCCCAACCATCCACTGATCAGCTTGATGGCCCAACAGTACTATGGATGCACAACCAGAACCAACTGCCTGTCATGACCACCCATCACCGAGATCGCTACAATCAACATCCAATAATGACCTTCACTACAGACCTACCCTAATGGACCACCCCAAATTACCTGTCCGTAACCAGTCTCCACTGCCCATCTATCCAACAAGGATCCCCCAATCACTGATCATCATGTCACTTCCTGCTGGACCCTTGTGTGTCACCAGCAACTCTTCAGATGGCTGCTGGCTACAGCTAGATTTCCCTGGCACTGGCTGGAACTAATCTGAACCTCCTCCAGCTCCTAGGACTTGTCCAGTTGGCCAGTGGTGAAGCTGCTGGGTGTCTAGACCTGTCCCTCTCCTTCTCACCAGGCCCTATCGACTCCTACCAGCCAGTACTGCCCAGCTGCACTACAGTTGGGATGGGAAGAATTTTCTTCACTGCAGAGGAAGGAGGAGAGGGGAGGCAGAGGAGGCCCAGAAGGGCAGAGGCTGGGAGCAAGGGGAGGAGGGAACAAGGAGTTAAGAAATGGCCAGGGCAGGTCAGGCACGGTGGCTCATGCCTGTAATCCCAGCACTTTGGGAGGCCGAAGTGGGAGGATCACTTGCGGTCAGGAGTTCGAGACCAGCCTGGCCAACGTGGTAAAACCCTGTCTCTACTAAAAACACAAAAATTAGCTGGGTGTGGTGGCATATGCCTGTAATCTCAGCTACTCAGGAGGCTGAGGCTGGAGAATTGCTTGAACCTGGGAGGTGGAGGTTGCAGTGATCTGAGATCATGCCATTGCACTCCAGCCTGGGCGACAAGAGTGAAACTCCATCTCAAAAAGAAAGAAAGGAAGGAAGGAAGGAAGGAAGGAAGGAAGGAGGGAGGGAGGGAGGGAGGGAGGGAGGGAGGGAGGGAAGGAAGGAAGGAAGGAAGGAAGGAAGGGCGGGCCAGGGCAGAAAGGAGGCTGAGAGGTGGGAAGGGGGTGCAGTTCTCAGCATGTCGGCCCTGCGTGCTGCCTCGGCCCCTCCTGACCCCTCCTGGCTGCCCTTGCTTGATGGAAAGCTCCACAGAGACTTGGAGACTCAAGCAGAGCAAAAGCTCCTGATCCCCCTTCACCAGGGACTGAGGACCAGGGCCATTCATTAGACGAAGGAGCAGCTGCTCTGGGCCCAGGGACCGAGTGGCAGGAAATCACTCTGTCTCTGGAAGCTGTGGCCTGGCCCCGGCCTCCCGGGTTGGGAGGCTGTCTGTCCACCCTTGTGCTCTGTGGGGCCCACCCGGGGATCTGCATGTGCTAACTGTAATCCCTGCCTGCTGCCAACCTTGGAGCCAGGCCCAGGAGATTCCATATGCCCGAGGAGAAACCGGCTCCTGGACTGACTCTGACTTGCCATGGTCAAGTCATGTCCCTTCCCCAGGCCTCAGTTTCCCCATCATTCAATGAGGAGACTCAGTTCTTTCTCTGAGGAAGGAAGCTGTCTCTGGCTGCCCTGAGGGGGGATCTCTGGGCTCTCTTCGTCCTCTCGTGGGCACCACCATAGGCCCCCTGGACTTGTCTGGAGCTGAAACAAGGCTGAGCCCAGTGGCAATGACTTCTGGATTCTGGGTCCTTTATCTGCTCTCTAGCCCCGCTTTGGGAAGAGTCACCGTCTGCTCGGGTGCTGGACTCACATCACCGGCTGAAGCCGGCGGGGCTCAGGAGCTGGAAGGCTGCTCAGGGCTGCTGGCTCAAGACAGAGGGCGAATGTGGGAAGCACAAAGGGCTTGGGGAGCTGAGTAAATTGGAGATGGGGGAGATGGAAGGCAGGCCAAACGTCAAGATACCCACCCCGCTTCCACTGGCCACCTCCAGACGATACGGTGGAAACTCGTAGAGTGATGCAAGGACTGTCCTCTGTCATGAGAACGTTCTGAGTTGGTGGGAAGGAGACAAGATGTCCCAGTGGTTCCTCCCAGCTGCCGGCGTCTCTGAGGCTCGGAGTCTAATGCTGACCAGGCAGCAGCTGCCTGCTCTGCTGTTTCCTGCAGGGGTGGGGACAAGGGAGATGGATAAGATGTGGCTCCTGATGGATGGGGTCCTTTCTACCCAGTGGAGGAGATGGGACTGTTGTCCAAGAAATCACAGGAGTGCAGCATTCATTGAGCCTCTACGTGTAGATACACACACACACACACACACACACACACACACTCAAAGATGGCAGGAGTGAGGTTGCTTGGTATAAACCACAGGAGTTAAGGAAGGAAGAACTCAGGAGGCTTCAGACAGCTCGGAAGCCTTCAGCAGGAGGCAGGAGTTAGTCTGGGTCTTCAGGACTCCTGGGACATGGCTTCATGGAGAAGAGGGTAGTCATTCCAGGCAGAGGGAACAGCCCGTGCAAAGGCACAGAGAGGGGATGGTGGGAACACGGGCAACAGAACCAACTTGCAGGAGCCAAGGGAGCAAGCAGGATATGGAAGAAGCTGAGGAGGAGTGGTGGTTAGGGGACCTCTCAAATGCCCTTTTATTTTATTTTTACGTTTTATTGTTTTGAGATGGAGTCTCCCTTTGTCACCCAGGCTAGAGTGCAGTGGCGCGATCTCGGCTCACTGCAGCCTCCGCCTCCTGGGTTCAGGAGATTCTCCTGCCTCAGCCTCCCGAGTAGCTGGGACTAAGCACACACCACCATGCCTGGTTAATTTTTATATTTCTAGTAGTGACGGGGTTTCACGATGTTAGTCAGGCTGGTCTTGAACTGCTGACCTCAAATGATCCACCTGCCTCAGCCTCCCAAAGTGCTGGGATTACATGCGTGAGTCATCGTGCCTGGCCTCAAATGCTCTTTTAAGGCATGAAGATTCTTTTCTGATCCCCACATATGAGCATATGGTATGATTGGTTGTGTATGCTTAAGGGAGAGATAGGGCAAGATGTTTGAAATATGGGCCATTTTAGAAAAGCAGGCAATTTTGGCAGTGGAACCTTTTACTTTTGCATTTTCCCAGCCCTTCCTAACTTGCAGGTCATACCAGGTGGAGCTGGGGGCCATCTTCCAGGAACGTGCATCCCCAGAGGTGGATAGAGGAGGGGTACCATTTCCACAGGACACAGCCAAGGACCTCGTACCTACGTGAGGCACAGGGCCCTGGGTATCCTGCTTCCTGACTTTGCCTGCCTGCCCTAAACTAAGCTGCCCTTCCCACTTTAGTTCAAAACCAATCCTGTTCTTGCTGGTCCCAGGCCTCCTCTGAACAGGATGGAAATCAATGAACAACTTGCTGCTATTTGTAGATCTCATTTCCCTGCTGGTCCCCCAACCCTGGATGATCCTGACCAAGTTCAGCCCTGCCCATGCTACTCAGTCAGATGCACTGGCACTGTGCCCATCCACTCGGAGCCCAGTGCTCAGTACTGGGGCTGGCCCAGGGGAGCCGCAGCCCAGAGGCCCCTGCAGGGGGCAGGGCTTATCCTTTAGCTGGGACTAGAGGGTATGGATCCCTGAGAGCCTAGAGGAGATAAGGACAAAGCACAGACTCAGGAATCTGAACTGTTAAGAAAACCCTCCAAGGGATTCAAGGGAAGCTGGTGCAAGAATTGCTGGGAAATGAACAGCAAGCACTGGCTACTGTCAGCTTCCCTTCCACCTGCTAGCTGTGTGACTTTACTTACCTTCTCTGTGCCTCAGCATCCTCACCTGTGAAATGATGGCACGAAGAGCTCTGGCCTCGTTGAGCCTCTGCCTGGAGGGTTAACAGAGGAAACATAGGCATAGGGCTTAACTCAAAGCCGAGCACTTAACAGGCATTCGTCAGTGATTGACAGCAGCAAGTGAGACCAAGGGCCAGGAGCACCAGCACACTGGCCTTCTGCCTGGCCAGCCAGCCCCTCCTGGACACCCTTAGGGTCCCTGGGTGGGTAAGCTTGGTAACCTGTCCTAGAGCAGTGTGCCCATGCTGCACTCAAGGCCCATATTAGTCCCCTGGATGATGAGCGGGAGAGGCTCCCAGGAGGATGAGCAGGGGTAGGCTTGGCCTCGTGGAGGGAAACAAAACATTGACTCCCTAGGAGTTCCTGATCTGCCAGTCAGGATGATGCTGTTGAGGAAGCTGTAAGGTGTCGCCTTTAGGAGGGGTCAGGGAGGGGTCCCAGCAGGAGGCTAGACACTTCCATGGGTGCTCAGTCCCTCAGGTTAGAGGGAAAGCCATACAGAGCCTGGGGTGGTGGGGGCCAGTAAGGCAGAGGGGAGCTGGATGCTTCCTTCCCACTGGGGGTGGGTAGTCAATTCCAAAGAACCACAACCCTTTCTCTTCTTTGATCTCTCTCTCTCTCTTTGTTGCCTTGCCTGTATGTATGGTAAAGCTTTCTCTTCTTCAAAGGGGCCCCAGGTGCCCAAGACTCCCTTCCCACTACCTTGAGACACACAGGGCATAACAGTTACAAATGTGGAGTTCAGCTCAGCTTGCTTGGTTTCTTTTTTCAACTTTATTGAAGTATAATTTACATACAATAAAATGTACACATTTTAAGTGTTCAGTTTGATGAGTTTTGACAAATTTATAGACACATATAACTACCACTACAATGAAGATATAGGGCATTTGCATCATCCCAAAAAGCTCCCCTGTGCCTCTTCCCCGTAGTTCCCCACCCTTCCCCCAGCCCCCGGCAACCACTGATCTGCTTTCTGTCACTATAGATTAGATTTGTCTTTTCTGGATTTTCATATAAATGGAATTATGTAATATGTACTCTTGGTTTCTGGCTGCTTTAACTGAGCAGAATGTTGATGAGATTCATCCTTGTTTTTATGGTGGTACTTTATTCTTTTTGTTGCTCAGAAGTATCCCATTATTTGCACATACAACAATCTGGCCACTTGCTGATGGACATTTGTCTTGTTTCCAGGGTTTCAGTTGCTGTGAATGAAGCTACCATGAGCATGTGTGTACACACAGGTCTTTCAGTAAACATATATTTTCATTTTTCTTGGTTAAACACCTGAGAGTAGGATAACCGAATCTTGTGGTTATTGTATGCTTAACTTTTCAAGAAACTGACAAACTGTTTTCTGAAGTAGTTGCACCATTGTACATTTCCATTATCAGCATGTGAGAGTTCCAGTTGCTCCACAAGCTCATCAACACTTACCATGGTCAGTCTTCCAATGGCTGTGCAGTGTATGTAATTGTGGTTTTAATTTGCATTTCCCTGATAACGAATAATACTGAATTTTTTTTCATGCACATATTGGCCATCCTATCTCTTCTTTTGACCCTTTTACGATGGGATTGTTTGTCTTCTTCCTATTGAATTGTAAGAGTTTGCTGGATACAAGTTCTTTGTCAGATATATGTATTGCAAATATTTTCTCCCAGGATATGGCTTGCCTTATTTTCTTAGTTGTTTATATCTTGATTCTAGGCTGGGCATGGTGGCTCATGTCTGTAATCCCAGCAATTTAGGAGGCCAAAGTGGGTGGATCATCTGAGGTCAGGAGTTCGAGACCAGCCTGGCCCAACATGGTGAAACCCCATCTCTACTAAAAATACAAAAGTTAGCCGGGCATGGTGGCACATGCCTGTAATCCCAACTACTCAGGAGGCTGAGGAGTAGAATTACTTGAGCCCGGGAGGTAGAGTTAGCAGTGAGCCAAGATTGCACCACTGCACTCCAGCCTGGGTAACAAGAGTGAGACTGTCTCAAAAAAAAAAAAAGAAAGAAAAAAAAATCTTGATTCTATTAGTTCCATGTTGTGCACTCTTGAACAAGGTACTTAGTCTTTCTGACCCTTCATTTCCTTATCAATAAAATGGGTCTAAAAGTACCTAGCATATAGAAGTGTTGTGACATTTAACTCAATTAATATATGTAAAATACCTAAACCCAGAGGAGGTCTTCAACTCGTAGTGGTCATTACTGCTATTATTAGGCTGGTGCAAAAGTAATTTGCTATTAGTTTCAATGACAAAAACTGCAATAACTTTTACACCAACCTAATATTTTCAGGCAGTTAATGGCTTCTCTTTCCCCTCTCCTGGATCTGGCCCTGATAGGTTGATATCTCTTTTCTGTCCATCTAGCTCCTGAGGATCCCATGGGCAGGCAAGGCAGGGACAGGATGGAAATAGGATGATGACTTAAGTCATCCTGTGCCCATCCTGCCCAGACACACAAATTTGGGAACCACAAGGTACTGAGCCCAGGGGCCCACCATCCTGGAGCCTCAGAGAGAAGGAAAAAGTCTCTGGGACCCCATAGCTCCTACTTGTGGACCCATGCACATTCACAATTCCTTAGTCACAAAGTCTACACAAACATATGTATGCCACCCCATCACACTCTGCCTGGCACCTGCACAAACTCAGACACTTACACGGGAAGAGAAATGCAGCCATCACTCTACTCCCCAACCCCCACTGCCACTGATCAGGAAGAGCCAGCTTACTGGCCAGACCATGCATAATTCAGAGGTTTGGCCCAAAATAGTTCTATCAGGCCCAGATTCTCCAGTGGGGGCTAGGGGAGGAGCAGGAGCAGCAAAGGGAGTGGGGAGAGACATCTCAACTTGGAGAAGACCCTAGAGTCTGCCTCCTGCCCTAGGTGCCTGGGCAGAGCCTGGGGGCCAGGGGAACTTCAGCGCAGCCTGAAGCACTCACTTCCCAAGTTCCCTCTCCCCCCCACACATCCCCAAATCCTCCCACCCTGGGGAGACAGGGTCACCCGCAGGCAGCTGGGAGTGCCAACACCTGGCCATTCACACCTGCTGGGGCCTGGAGTCCTCACCTGTGTGTGTCAGGCTCCCCAGCACCTCCCCAGGGCCCAGGCTGAGAGGGACACTGCTGAGTTCTCAGGCATCTTTGTCCCAGGTCTCCTGTCTTCACTTCACCAATCAATCAGTTGATAAGTCCACAAATATTTACTGAGCACAAGCCCGGGCAAAGCTGGGTCCTAGGACTTCAGAGGGCACCTGGCTGTGCATGGAGAGGCTCAGAACTTGCTGAGGAGGCAGGAAATCCACAGAAAGGACAAAGACTGGGTCAGAGAGGGACAGGCCATGGAGCTAGGGATGCAGGCGGGGAAAAGCTTCCAGCTGAAAGCCTGACTTGAGCTGGGCCTGCCCAGGTGAAGGCCTGGATTCAGAGAGATGGAAAGGCAGGTGGGAGGGACAGGGTCGGCTGGATGGGGGCAGAGGGTCCGAGGCTATCTGGATGTTAGTAAGAAGATTGGCTGATGGAACTGGAGTCATGTGAGGAAGTCATGGGGCAGGACTGGCATGGCCTTCAACCTTTGGTAGTTCAACAAGGATGGGGACTGCACCATATACAACTCCCGGGGGTTTCCCAAGATTCTCCAACGTGATGTTAAGTGCTTTGCTTTGGAGTCAGCCTACTGGGATTCAAATCCCAAAATCACTATGTCATTGCCCCATGACTTTGGGCAAGTGACTTAAGGTGTGTTTCCTTATGTGTTAAATGGGGGTAATAACAGTTTGTACCAGCCGGGTGCAGTGGCTTACACCTGTAATCCCAGCACTTTGGGAGGCTGAGGTGGGTGGATCACTTGAGGTCAGAAGTTCAAGACCAGCCTGGCCAACATGGTGAAACCCTGTCTCACCAAAAATTAGCCGCGTGTGGTGGCACACGCCTGTAATCCCAGCTACTTGGGAGGCTGAGAGGCTGAGGCAAGAGAATCACTTGAACAAGGGAGGTGGAGGTTGTAGTGAGCCGAGATCGGGCCACTACACGCCAGCCTGGGTGACAAAGCTAGACTCCGTCTCAAAAAAAAAAAAAAAAAAAAAAAAGTCTGTACCTCTTGGCCCTGTCGAAGAGATTAAATAAGAAGTGGACATATATTGGGAGGCTGAGGTGGGCAGATCACCTGAGATCAAGAGTTCGAGCCAACATGGAGAAACCCCATCTCTACTAAAAATACAAAAAAATTAGCTGGGCCTGGTGGCAGATGCCTGTAATCTCAGCTACTCAGGAGGCCGACGCAGGAGAATTGCTTGAACCCGGGAGATGGAGGTTGCGGTGAGTTGAGATCGTGCCACTGCACTCTGGCCTGGGCAAAAGAGTGAGAGGCCGTCTCAAAAAAATTAATAAATAAAAAGAAGTGCACAAATAGTGCTCGGCTTGCCTCCCACGTTCTTCCCACCTGCGTGGAGACAGACGCAGCAGCACAGAGTGTCTTCAGGACCTGGGTGGCTGACCAGGAGAGAGTGTTACTGCCCAGCAGTGAAAAGATGGTGTTGGTGGGCCGGGTGCGGTGGCTCATGCCTGTAATCCCAGCACTTAGGGAAGCTGAGGCGGCGGGTGGATCATTTGAGGCCAGGAGTTTGAGACCAGCCTGGCCAACATGGCGAAACCCCGTCTCTACCTAAAAATACAAAAATTAGCTGAGTTTGGTGGTGCGCACCTGTAGTCCCAGCTACTCAGGAGGCTGAGACACAGGAATCGCTTGATCCCGTGAGGCGGAGGTTGCAGTGAGCTGAGACCACGCCACTGCCCTCCAGCCTGGGCGACAGAATGAGACTCCATCTCAAAAAAAAAAAAAAGAGAGAGAGAGAGATGGTGCTGGTGGACAGAAAGCAAGAGGGCCTTCTGACGGAGGAGGTCTTTCAGCTGTGATTTGAGACAAGGTGCCTGATCCAGAACTAGAGGCAATGTGAACTGGTGGGCCCAGTGATATGGGGGCCATGTAATCCGTGGAACACCACACTTTCCATGACACCCTGGGAGTCACAGGAGGGTTTTGGTTTTGCTTTCCTGTGTTTTTTCCCTGCACAGAGTCTGAATGAGGGTTGCTTTGACTCTACGTTCTGAAAGGCTCCTTTCCTCCTCTCCAGCTCGGGCTCCATCCATCTCTTTGGGCCTCTGGCTCAGTCTCTCCATCACTCTGCCTCCACCTCTTTTGGTCTTACTGATTTTGTCTTTCCCTGAGCCCCTTTCTCCCTCTCTTCCTGGTTCCAAGCCTCTCACAGGCTCTGATTCCATCTTCCCCACCTCTCCTTTGCGCTCTCTCTCTCTCTCTCTCTCTCTCTCTCTCTCTCTGTCGTCTCTCCAGGGACCTTTGTAAAACTCTGCACTCTCTTCCTGGAGACTGGGGGCAGCTGGGGAGTGGGGATCGGAGTCCCTGCCTCTAGGGGCCCATGCCCCAGGCCCAGCTCTGTTGATTAGGGCTTTTTTCAGAGGACTGGAGACATCAATGACTGTTACAAGCTTCACCAATGCTGCTAATATTAGCCCAGGAAGGCAGCTCACTGATGGATTAGGAGAAATTAAGAATTCAAATTCTGTAATTCGAATTGGAGGGCTGCTGCTTGCTGACAGCTAATACTTCCCCAGAAATTAATACTTCCCCAGAAATTAATGAGTGAAGGAGGGATGGCAGCACTGGTTTTCTTCTTTGACAATACAATTTTCCCCCGTGATCCACACCTTTGAAACCCCCATCTCCAGGCAGGCACTCGCCTGAAGGGCCGGGGTCCTGTTTGTCTCAGATCTTATTTGTGGATTCCAGAAATTCTCGGGAAGTGGCCTTCTCATTCCCAGCTGAGCCCTCTGCATCTGCCTGCTGGTGCCTCAGCATGAGGCCGGCTGGCTCTGGGAGAGGCAAGGTGAAGCTGGAGAAAGGACAGGGTCAGGGCACCGGCAGAGCTTGCTTTCAGTCCCCTCCTGGCTGTGTGTGACCCTGACAAAGGTCCGAACCTGTCTGTAAAATGGAAATTATAATTTCCCGCATTAGGGGATGTTGGAGGCACAGAGGCAAGCATCTCACAGCTACCTTCCTTCCTCTCTCACCGCTTCCCTTTCTCCCTGGGCATTTCTGCTGTTTGGTCCTTCAGAATACCCACCAACCTCCTCTCAGCCAAACCACACTGAGACCTCCTTGAAACTGCCTCCCCAGGAAGTCTGCCTGGGCTTCGTTCTGTTGAGATTGACTGGCTCCTGAGTGCTCACGGCCTCATTTCTGAACCATCTCTCCTGCTGTCTCAGAGTTTTAGATGATTTCTAAGAAGAGAGTGTCCTGTCTCCCAAACCAGATTGTTATTCTCCTGGAGGTGGCACTGGCCCTGTGCCTCAAACCCAATAGGTGCTCAGTACCTGGCAAATGAATTGAACCAACACCTTCTGTCCTCTTTGCGCCTGCCTCACTGTCCCTTCACCCATGCCCAGTGATGCTTGTTGATGGCAGGTGGGTGCTGGGGCTGGGGTCTGGCCAGTCTTCCCTGCAGTCCCAGTGCCCATGTCTTGGGTGGGGGGGAAGGGTGGTGGGGGAGACACATTCCTGCTGTGAGTAGTACATTCTCCAAAATGGCACCTTTAAGGCATTATATATATATATATATTATATATATATATAATATATATAATATATATATATGTTCTCAGTCTGTTGCCCAGGCTGGGGTGTAGTGGTGCCATCACAGCTCATTGCAGCCTTGACCTCCCAGGCTCAAGCAATCCTCCTCCTTTAGCCTCCTGAGTAGCTGAGACTATAGGCATGGCTGTACCCAGCTAAACTTTTTTTTCGTTTTTTTTTTTTTTGAGATGGAGTCTTGCTCTGTCACCCAGGATGGAGTGCAGTGGTGAGATCTCAGCTCACTGCAACCTTTGCCTCCTGGGTTCAAGCAATTCTCCTGCCTCAGCCTCCTGAGTAGCTGGGACTACAGGCACGCGCCACCACACCCGGCTAATTTTTGTATTTTTAGTAGAGACGGGGTTTCACCATATTGGCCAGGCTGGTCTCGAACTCCTGACCTCGTGATCTGCCTGCCTCGGCCTCCCAAGGTGCTGGGATCACAAGCATGAGCCACCACGCCCAGCCACCCAGCTAAATTTTTAAATGTTTTAACTTTTTTAGAGACTAGGTCTCCTAACACTGCCCAGGCTGGTCTCAAACTCCTGGGAACAAGTGATCCATCAGCCTCAGCCTCCCAAAGTGCTGAGATTACAGGCATGAGCCACCTAAGCGATTTTTTTTAAAAAGTGTTGAGTGAGGCAGGAGGATCACTTACGCCCAGGAGTTTGAAGTTACAGTGAGCAATGACTGGGCTACTGCACTCCAGCCTGGGTGACAGAGCAAGACCCTATCTCTAAAAAAATAAAAAATATTTAAAAAGCATTGGCTGGGCACTGTGGCTTATACTTGTAATCCCAGCATTTTGGAAGGCTAAGGTGGGAGGATCACTTGAGCTCAGGAGGTCAAGACTAGCCTAGGCAACATAGTAAGACCCCATTTCTACAAAAAATTTAAAATATTAGCCAGGCATGGTGGTGTGCACCTGTAGTTTCAGCTTCTCAGGAGGCTGAGGCAGGAGAATTGCTTGAACCCAGGAGGTAGAGGCTGCAGTGAACTATGATGGAGCCAATGCACCCGAGCCTGGGTAACAGAGCAAGACCTCATTTCTAAACAAAATAAACAATTTTTAAAGAAGTGTTGACATGGTGTTTGTTAAGGTGTGGAGAAAAGGAGTTACAGAGAGCCCTGAGAAAGCCAGACCTCAAGACCATGAAGATGCGTCCTTCCTCCTGGCCCCTCAACCTTTCAGCACACCCCTCCCCTCTCCTCCTGCCCCAATCCCAGGCCCACTCTCGCTCCTGGCACCTGGCTGAGCTCTGGCTCGGGGTGGGGAGGGACATCCTTAGCTGCGAGGCAGATGGGCTCTACAAGGCTCAGCGCCTACAAGCCCCTGCAGAATTGGCCACCAAAGAGTTGGTGCTGGACTTCTCTAGCCTCATGGAGAGCCAGAGCACAGGGAGAACCAGTGCAAATGGCTTCCTTCGTTCCTGGGAGGGGTCTTGGGGGTCACCTAGGACCCTCTCTTTGACAGATGGGAAAACCAAAGCTCAGAAAGGTTAGCATATGTTCAAACACCAGTCATCTGTCTAGCAGGGAGAAAGGGTGATCCCAGGAGCAGATAAATCCAAATCCCTTTCAAAGGCCCTCCTGGATCCTGGAAAATCAAATGTTCTTTCCAACTCTGCTTCCTTGGGCTAGTGTTTGAGCAAAAGTCTATTCCAGGTGGGCTGGGACTGGGGGCAGAGGAGGGAAGGAAATTGGCAGGAAAGTAGTTTTCTAAGTGGCTGATGGCTGCTTTGGGCAGGAGACAGGCTGCTAGGAACCTGTTCCCTCCAACCCCCTCCAACCCCCTCCAACCCCCTCCAACCCCTCCAACCCCCTCCAACCCCCTCCAACCCCCTCCAACCCCTCCAACCCCCTCCAACCCCCTCCAACCCCCCCAACCCCCTCCAACCCCCTCCAAACCCCCCCAACCCCCTCCAACCCCCTCCAACCCCCTCCAACCCCCTCCAACCCCCTCCACAACCCACTTGCCTGGGAAGCCTTTCTCCCCACACCCATTTTCTCTTTCCGGCTGAGGCTTACCCTCCATCTACGATGAACGTGGGGGGCCTGGGGAGAGGTAGGGGGCTGGGAAGCAGTCCTGTCTGCCTTTCGAACCTCATGGGCAGGTGGGGCTCCCCTGCCTGACATTCCTATGCTGCTCCCGCCCCCGCGTGGCTCCTCTGATGCCCAAATCGCCTTTTCCCAGATCCAATTAAAACAGCGTTTGGAGCAAGGTTGAAATAATCACATAATAATTTTCTCCAGTAAAGTTACTGGCTGGAGCCCGATTTGAAAGCTGAGCTGGTAATTGAATCTGAGGGGCAGCGACAGAAGAGGAGCTGGGGGGAGTGGTGGAGACTCCTTGTGGGGCCCAGAGGCTCCCGGCTGTGATTACCCCTCCCACCATTGGTAATAGGTGTTGCAACCCCCTCCTACTGTCCATCTCCATTTCACTCCCTCCCTCTAGTAACAGATGTCTCTTGGGGCTACAGAACTCCCAGACTTCAACAGGAGAACAGGCCCAGAGCCCATGCCATCAGACTTTCTCGGTTCACAGGCCAGACTGGGGAGGCCACATGCCCACAGTCACCCAGAGAGGTCAAGCAAAGCCAGGACTCCAACCCAGGTCTCGGACTCTCCAGCCACTGTTTTTTTTGTTTTTTTTTTTGACAGAATTTTGCTCTGTCGCCCAGGCTGGAGTGCAGTGGCACGATCTCAGCTCACTGCAACCTCTGCTTCCCGGGTTCAAGTGATTCTCCTGCCTCAGCCTCCCAAGTAGTTGGAATTACAGGCGCATGCCACCACACCCAGCTAATTTTTGTATTTTTAGTAGAGACGGGTTTCCACCATGTTGACCAGGCTTGTCTCAAACTCCTGATCTCAGGTGATCCACCTGCCTCAGCCTCCCAAAGTGCTGGGATCACAGATGTGAGCCACTGTGCCTGACCCAGCCACTGCTTTAATCTCCACTTCAGGTTTCCTGACTCCCAGGCCCTCCCCACTCTCTCCTGCTCTGCCCATCTTCCTCCACCATCTCCCAGGATTTCCTGGTCCCACCCTAACCTCTCTGCAGCAGGGAGGGGAAGTGACTACCTGCATGATCTCTGGGCCAGCGGGCTGTGCAGCAGGGGCTCCCTGCACATCAACAGCTGACATGACCAGACTGGGCAGCCCTGCTTGGTCCTCCACCATGTCCTCCCTCTCAGCATTTGACTGGGGGCTCAGACTATCTGCCATGTGTGGCTCATTCATTTCTTCCCTCCTCCCTTTCTTTCCTCCACTCTAAATATTCTTTATGTCCCTACTGCCTGTGAGGCCCTGAGCAGGATCCTCCCGCAATCGGGAGGTATAGACAGAGCGGCAGCTGTGCTCACAGGCCCGTGGCAGAGGTGAGCAAGTTAACACAACAAGAGGGGGCCCTCACCTGCAGCTGGGGGACGGGGCATCCTGGCTGAAGTGACCTCTAAGCTGACGTCTCAAAGCTGAAGAGAAGTGCGTGACTCAAGACAAATGCAAAGGCTGGGAAGCAGGAAACGCCCGGGTGTGATCTTGGGCAAGTTGAGGTCTCAGTTTCCTCATCTCTAGAATGAACTCCTGGCTCAGTTTGCCTCGTGAGATTCTGGGGAAGAACGAACATGGAGGTGTCTGTAAGATGGAAAATCCCACTTAACTGATGATCGTTTTTTGTTTTTTTTGAGACAAGATTCTACCCTTGTCAAGGCTGGAGTGCAGTGGTGTAATCACAGCTCACTGCAGCCTCGAACTCCTGGGCTCAAGCAATCCTCCTGCCTCAGCTTCCCCAGTAGCTGGGATTACAAACGTGAGCAACCTTACCTGGCTAATTTTCTTTCTTAAAATTTTGTGTAGAGACAGGGGTCTTGCTATGTTGCCTGGGCTGGTCTCAAACTACTGGCCTCAAGTGATCCTCCCACCTCAGCCTCCCAAGGTTGAGGATTAAGGCGTGATTAAGTGCTGGAATTACAGGAGTGACCCATTGTGCCCAGCCAATGATTGTTGCTAATGGAGGGCATTTGTCCCCTATCCTAGACAAGGGACAGAGTCTGGGGGCGGGGTGGGTCAGTGGTCGGGGTGGTGAGGGAGGCCGGAGGTGGGAGGAATGGGAATCGAGGACTTGCTCTGCAGAGTCCTTGTGGCTATTCGAGACTGGAAGCCAGCAGCTGGATGGGGGCGTTTTCTCACCACATGGCTGGGAGTTGTGGGGATGGAAGAAACCATAGGGTTTGGCCGGGTGCGGTGGTTCACACCTGTAATCCTAGCACTTTGGGAGGCTGAGGCAGGTGGATCACCTGAGGTCATGAGTTCGAGACCAGCCTGGCCAACATGGTGAAACCCCATCTCTACTAAAAATAAAAACCAGCTGGGCATGGTGGCGCGTGCCTGTAATCCCAGCTACTCGGGAGGCTGAGGCAGGAGGATCGACTGAACCTGGGAGATGGAGGTTGCAGTAAGCCAAGATCGCAGCATTGCACTCCAGCCTGGGCGACAGAGCAAAGAAACCACAGGGTTGGTGGCTGCTGGCAGGGCTAAGTCTGGTTCCTCTGGCCAGTGCCCAGCTTCCCCACGCTCACTATCCTCTGGGCCTGGGGCATGCTAAGCCCCAGGAGTCAAGGTGGGACTCTGAAGGGATCTACTCCCCTCCCTGCACCTCTCAGCCAATCAATGTCTGCTCTGCCCTCCCTGACTTCAGCAGAGTTGGTGCCAGATCCTGGAACTCACTGATTGGTTGAGGGAGCAACCCCTCTGCCCACCCCTCACCATGGAGGCTTTTGGAGAGACCTAGCCATGGGCAAGCTTTGTGCCCTGCAAATGGCTCAGTGGTACCAACCACTGAGCTGCCTGCCCCTGGGCCCTCATAAGACCATGTCTGCAGCCTCAGTGGCCTTCTGGGCACGGCTGGCCTCCTGGTCAGCAGCTGTAGGGGTGAGTCACGGCTCTCATTAGAGCTTAATTAATCAATTGAGCTAATCAGACAGCTGTGATGTGCTGTGGTTGCAGATGGGGGGGAGAGGGAGAGAGTTGGAGCGTGAGGGACTGGTAAGGCGAGCTGGGGCTGGCAGGGCCTGGAGTGGCGGCAGGGCCTGGAGTGGCAACAGAGTCTGGTGGGTTGGCAAGGGCGGAGGGCGCTGGAAAGGAGGATGAATGATCCTGACAAAGGCCCGTGATAGGTTGCTCTGAAAGGTGACCTTGGCAAGGTGCCAGAGACCGAGGCTGGGGGAGGAGGAAGCAGGACCTCTCCCACCTCCAGCTTCCTCTCTCATTTTTTATCTTGTTAAGTGTGTCTCCAAAGCTTTTTGAAATCCTCCACTGAATGGGATGGGAAAAGGAGACAAAGACAAAAAAAGGTAGGTCCTCACATTCCCAGTGATCCCAGTCTGATGGGGGAGGCCAGAGGTCTACTGGCAGCACAGACAGAGACCCAGACTAAGAGATGGAGACAGAGACACGGTGTCTCTCCAGGTGAGCTGCTCAGGCTTGGACATCTGGACTGGGTGGATGGGGAGGAGCCAGAGGGACCAGAGCCAAGGGTAGGCGGGAGTCCAGTAAGAATATTGGGAGGAGGGGAGCGCCTGAGCGGGTTTTACAATGTGATGTGCAAAATCTTGTTTCATCTATTTTTTTCTCACATCCGACCTTGGTGTTACCTTGGGGTGGGGAGCGAGCAGGGCAGGAAGTGCAATGGTGGGAAATGGGTTCCGAGAGGACTCATGGACAGCTGGGATAGCTCTGCCCTCCAGGGGCTTCCATTTCCAGAGGCTTACCGGGAGTCTGAGGCTGTGAGAGAGAAAGATCCAGGGCCTGGGACATGCAAGGGGCTACGGGAGATGGATCAGAGGAGGGCAAGCATTTCTGATGAGGCTACCTGGTAAGGATTCCTCCCAGAAGAGGTGGCATTTGAGCCAGGTCTTTCAGAATGGATGGATTTCAATCAGCAGAATTGGGTGTGGAGAGGAAGAAGGATGTTGCAGGAGGAGAAGCGGCCCAGGCAAAGGCAGAGAGGCTGGACAGCCTTAGGCAGGGCCAGTTGGCACAGCAAGTTGGGCCGGAAACAAGGTTACTGTTTGTGTCAGGTGGAAAGAGCTTGATGGTGAAGGGCTCTTGGAATCCCAAACCAAGGAGTTTGAAAGGGAATTTGGTAGACACTAGGAATCACTGTAAGTCTCTAACTGGGAAGAATAGGCTGAAAGTAGCTGTACAGAGAGGATGTCTATGGAAACAGTTCTTTGTAGGATGGAACCAAGAAGGAAGAAACCTGAAACAAGAAGAAAGAAATGGCAGGTGTGGTGACTCACACCTGTCATCCCAGCACTTTGGGAGGCTGAGGCAGGCAGATCACGAGGTCAGGAGTTCAAGACCAGCCTGGCCAACATAGCGAAACCCTGTCTCTACTAAAAATACAAAAATTAGCTGGGCATGGTGGCACATGCCTGTAGTCCCAGCTACCCGGGAGGCCGAGGCAGGAGAATCGCTTGAACCTGGGAGGTGGAGGTTGTGGTGAGCCAAGATTATGCCACTGCACTCTGGCCTGGGCAACAGAGTAAGACTCTATCTCAAAAAAAAAAAAAAAAAAAAAGAAGAAGAAGAAGAAGAAAGAAAGAAAGGCCGGGCGCGGTGGCTCATGCCTGTAATCCCAGCATTTTGGGAGGCCAAGGCGGGCGGATCACTTGAGGTTGGGAGTTCGAGACCAGCCTGACCAACATGGAGAAACCCTGTCTCTACTAAAAAATACAAAAGTAGGCAAGCATGGTGGTGCATGCCTGTAATCCCAGCTACTCAGGAGGCTGAGGCAGGAGGATCGCTTGAACCTGGGAGGGGGGAGGTTGCAGTGAGCCGAGATTGTGCCATTGCACTCTAGCCTGGGCAACAAGAGCAAAACTCCGTTTCAAAAAAAAAGAAAGGCCAAGTGCAGTGGCTCACACCTGTCATCACAACACTTTGGGAGGCAGAGGTGGGAGAATTACTTGAGGCCAGGAGTCCAAGGTCAGCCTGGGCAACATTGAGAAGCCCCATCTGCACAAAAAAAGAAAAAAAATTAGCTCGCTGTGCTAATGCACTACAGGTGCATGCACCTGTAGTCCTAGTTACTTGCAAGGCTGAGGAGGGAGGATCACTTGAGTCCAGCAGTTGTAGACTGCAGTGAGCTATGACCATGCCACTGTACTCCATCCTGGGTGACAGAGCAAGACCCTGTGTAAAAATAAATACATAAATAAGTAAAAGAAGAGGCTGGGCCAGGTGGCTCACACCTATAATCCCAGCACTTTGGGAGGCTGATGCAGGCAGATCATTTGAGCCCAGGAGTTTGAGACCAGCCTGGGTAACGTGGCAAAATCTGGTCTCTACCAAAAATACAAAAAATTAGCTAGATGTGGTGTTGCGTGCCTAGGGTCCCAGCTACTTGGGAGGCTGAGGTGGAAGGATCTCTTGAGCCCAGGATGTTGAGGCTGCCATGAGCCATGTTTGTGCCACTGCACTCCAGCCTGGGTGACTGAGGGAGATCCTGTCTAAAAATAAATAAATAAATAAATAAATAAATAAATAAATAAATAAAGTTAAATCCCAGATCTATCCCTTAGTTGCAGTCTGCAAAAGAAATAACTGAGGGGCTGGGCACCTCAAAGTGTAATCCTAGCACTTTGGGAGGCTGAGGCAGGTTGATCACCTGAGGTCAGGAGTTCAAGACCAGCCTGGCCAACATGGCAAAACCCCGTCTCTACTAAAAATACAAAAATTAGCGGGTATGGTGGTTTGACTATAATCCAGCTTCTCCGGAGGCTGAGGCAGGAGAATCGTTGAATTCTGGGGGCGGAGGTTGCAGTGAGCCAAGATTGCGCCACTTCACTCCAGCCTGGAAAGAGTGAAACTCAAAAACAAAAACAAAAACAAAGATATAACTGAGGGCTCACTGTGGCTCTCGGGACCTGGCAGGTGGGCTGGGGGCTTGGTCCTGGGGTAGCCTGGTGCTTCTCTCCACACTCCTCCCCAGGCAGGGCAATTGTGCAGCTAGGACAGGGAAGACCAGTGGGAAGTAGGGGCTGGGACCACTTGGGCACAAGATCAGCTGGCCCAGGTGTGAGATTCAGGTTTCCAGGTCCCCTTCCCTGGCTCCCAGCATCAGCAGAAAATGTCAGACTAGACCCACGAGGGCCTCCCAGCCAGCACTCGGCTGCCTTTGCATTGCCCTGAAATAGCCCTGTCCACTCCTTCCCACAAACCCTCGCGCCTAGAGCAGCTGAGAAGGAGGTCCTGGGTATCCTGGCCCCACCCCAGCGTGTCCAGCTCACCCACTGCTGGATGTGCTGTGTGGCTCTCAGAAAATCACACCCTTTCTGGGCCGCCCATCCTACCCTCTTTCTCCAGCCTCCCACTGAAGTTGGAGGGCCCCTGCAGACTCTGGGAGTACAGCCAGCAATAGCCAACCAAGGGAGGGGCGGCCTCAAAAGGGGCTCCCTCCCTCCCTCCTCACTTTCTCTTTTCCTCGCGCACGTTCATGGCTTACAAGCATACTGTCTTTGTATAAGAAACCTTTTTACAGCCTTTAAAGCAGGGTTGATCACAGCTATTCCCATTTGAGTGATGGTGCAGTTCCAAGAGGGGCCTTACCTTAGATGCTACAGCCAGAAGACTAGGCACTGACTGGGAATGAGAAGTACCCAAGCCCAGCTGTCAGGCTCTTCCCTCCAAACCAGCTGCTCTAGTTGCCAGGAGACTCTGGAAAGGAGAGCTCAGTGTCTGCCCCAGCCCGGCCCCTATCCTGGCGAAGTGGTCATTAGTCTGCCTCCCCCAGAGAGCCCCTGCTGGGGCACTGTAATGCCTCAGAGGCCAGAAAGTTGCTCCCACCCCCAGCAAAAGGGGGGCTCTGCCCTGTATTTCTCAGGGGCTCACTTCACCTTCTGCCTCCAGAGGTCCCTCCTCACTATCACAGGGAGGGGGCAGGGGTCGGGGCAGAAGCTCCTATCCTGTGGGCTTCTCATTCCAGATCTCTGCTGGCCCGGTGCGGTAGCTCCTGCCACATGTGGCTTCAGGGCACCTGGAATGTGGCTAGTGCCACATGCTGAAATGATATTTTAGATATATTGGGTTAAGTTAAAAAATATTATTTGAGGCCGGGCGCAGTGGCTCACACCTGTAATCTCAGCATTTTGGGAGGCCGAGGTGGGCAGATCACCTGAGGTCAGGAGTTTGAGACCAGCCTGACCAACATGAAGAAACCCCATCTCTACTAAAAATAGAAAATTAGCCAGGCGTGGTGGTGCATGCCTGTAATCCCAGCTACTCGGGAAGCTGAGGAAGGAGAATCACTTGAACCTGGGAGGTGGAGGTTCCAGTGAGCCGAAACTGCACCATTGCACTCCAGCCTGGACAACAAGAATGAAACTGTCTCAAAAAATATATATAATATATATATATAATATATATAATATTATATATATTATATACTATATATAATATATAATATATATAATATATACTATATATATTATATATAATATAATACATATTTAATTTGAATTAATTTGAAGTGTTTCTTTTCACATTTTTTTTTTTTTTTTTTAGACAGGGTCTCACTCTGTTGCCTAGAGTGCAGCAGTGCAATCACAGCTCACTGCAGCTTCGACCTCCTAGGCTCAAGTGATCCTCTCAGCTCAGCCTCTCATGTAGCTGAGACTACGGTATGCGCCACCACTCCTGGCTACTTTTTTTGTAGACGTGACATATCCCTATGTTGCCCAGGCTGGTCTTGAACTGATCCTCCTGCCTCAGCCTCCCAAAGTGTTGGGATTACAGGCGTGAACACCGTGCCTGGCCTGTTTTTACTTTTTTAAATGTGACTATTAGAACATTTAACAGTACATTGGCCGGGTGCGGTGCTTCACGCCTGTAATCCCAGCACTTTGGGAGGCCGAGGCAGGCGGATCATGAGGTCAAGAGATGGAGACCATTCTGGCCAACATGGTGAAACCCCGTCTCTACTAAAAGTACAAAAATAAGCAGGGCGTGGCAGTGCTCGCCTGTAGTCCCAGCTACTCAGAAGGCTGAGGCAGGAGAATTGCTTGAACCCAGGAGGCAGAGGTTGCAGTGAGCCGAGATCACACCACTGCACTCCAGCCTGGCGACAGAGCGAGACTCCGTCTCAAAAAAAAAAACCAAAAACAGTACATTGGCCTGGCATGGTGGCTCATGCCTGTAATCCCAGCATTTTGGGAGGCCAAGGTGGGTGGATCACCTGAGGTTGGGAGTTCGAGACCAGCCTGACCAATATGGAGAAACCCCATCTCTATGAAAAATACAAAATTAGCCGGGCATGGTGGCGTATGCCTGTAATCCCAGCTACTCGGGAGGTTGAGGAAGGAGAATTACTTGAACCCAGGAGGCAGAGGTGCGGTGAGTGGAGATTGCGCCATTGCACTCCAGCCTGGGCAACAAGAGCGAAACTCCGTCGTCAACAACAACAACAACAACAACAACAACAACAACAGAACATTTAACAGTACATATATGGGCTGGGTGCAGGGGCTCATTCCTGTAATCTCAACACTTTGGGAGACTGAGGTGGGAGGATCACTTGAGGCCAGGAATTTGAAACCAGTCCGGGCAACATAGTGAGAGCCCCATCTCTACAAAAAATACAAACAAATAAACAAGCAAAAAATCCCCCAAAACTAGCCAGGTGCTCAGGAGGCTAAGGTGAGAGGATTGTTCGAGCCCAGGAGGTTGAGGCTGTAATAAGCTATGATTGTGCCGCTGCACTGCAGCCTGGGCCACAGACGGAGACCTTGTCTCTTAAACAAATTAGTTTAAAAAAATTTTTTTAAGTGTATATGTGGCTTACAGTATATTTCTAGTGGGCAGGGCTCCCCAGATAACAATAGCCCCTCAGCCCTGTCCAGTGTTTTGTATAATCTCTTTTAAAAACTCTGAGACCAGTGGGGTAGGGGCCACCTGCCTCTATTTTACAGACAGGGAAGGTGAGACTCTATGAGGTCAGATGACTTGGTCAAGGTCATATAGCCAGGAAGGGGTGGAGGCCCAGGTTTTCCTGACTCTAGATCTGAGACAATCCAGAGAGATGTCCCTGCTTCCCCATGGGCATTGACCCACACTGGATCACTCACTACACCCAGCCCCTCCTGCAGCCACTGCCCCCTTCCCACACTCCAGGAATCTTCCACTAGAAACAGCCCCCTGACAAATCCCATTAAGACAAATGCCTCTTGGGCCTCTGTTGAAGCCGAAGTCTGATTTGAGTTAGACTCTGGCCTACGATTCCCCGTCAAAGCTGCTGCCTTCACCCTGCAACTAAAGCCATGGCTCCTTTGTACCTGCTGCCACTCACATACATCAGGGTAGAAGAAGCAATGGCCACTGCTCCCTGGGACATGCCCATTTCTCTCCCACCCATACTCCTCCACCTGGGTTCCGCCTTATCTAGCTACTCCTTGAAGATGGGCATATTCAGTGATTCTAGGGGACTGTTTCTTTAATTTCCCCCCCGTCTGTCCCTGGAACGTGATAAAAATACCCAGCATTGATCTTTTTTTCTTCCCTTTCTGCCAGGATAATGTTTACCCAGGTGTCAATCAGGAGAAGAATTTGGCTTCCTAATTTCTCTTCTCCTCCCTGGGGGCCGCACATCTCCCTGCCTCGCATGGACACTGAGCTGGAATCAAGGTTACTAATAATCCCCCAGCACACACAGACACCGAAAGCACATATATTAAAGTCACATATTGATTTATATTTTCGGGTCCCTCTGCCTTTCTGCCCAGCCTCAGCCTTTCTCTTTGCCAAGGAGAAAAAAGAATTACACAGCCATATTTTTCGCCAAGATGTTTAGTGTAAAGAGCATTGTGTCTGAAGGTAATTCCCGCTCTCCCACCCTCTTTGCGGGTATTTTAAAAAAATAGTGTGGCATTGCCTATCCATATGCATTTATCTTTTTGCTGTTCGTTGTTTCAATTTTCCCTGAGGGTACCAAAGAGAGATTTAAGGTAGACTGTCAGAAGGTCTTCCTGGCTTGACAAATGGTGGGCTGCCATCTCCAAAGAGGCTGGTTGTTTCGCCAGCAGAGATAATCCTATTGCAGGTAGGGGTGGAGTGGGTAAGAGTGAGTGTAGAAGGCAGGGCAATGGATTCAGCAGCCTCTAGAGGTCACCCCAGGCTGGGTGTGGTGACTCATGCCTGCAATCCCAGCATTTTGGGAGGTCGAGGCGGGAGCATCACTTGAGGCCAGGAGTTTGAAACCAGCCTGGGCAACATGGTAAGACCCTGTCTCTAAAAAAAAAAAAAAAAGAAAAAAATTAGCCACGCATGGTGGTGCACATCTGTAATCCTAGCTATTCGGGAGAGTCACCTGGGCCTAGAAGTTCAAGGTTACAGTGAGCTATGATGGCTCTGCTGCACTCTCATTTGGGCTAGAGTGAAACCCTGTCTCTAAAAAAATTAAAAAAATAATAAAAGGCCGGGCACAGTGGCTCACACCTGTAATCCCAGCATTTTGGGAGGTCAAGGCGGGCAGATCACGAGGTCAGGAGATCAAGACTATCTTGGCCAACATGGTGAAACCCCGTTTCTACTAAAATACAAAAAATTAGCCGGGCGTGGTGGCGCACACCTGTAGTCCCAGCTATTCTGGAGGCTGAGGCAGGGGAATCGCTTGAACCCAGGAGGCAGAGGTTGCAGTGAGCCGAGATCGCACCACTGCACTCCAGCCTGGTGACAGGGCAAGACTCTGCCTCAAAATAAATACATAAATAAATAAATAATAATAAAAGAGATTACCCACCAGTTCAAATAGCACCTCATAATTACTGGCTGTGGTCCCATTTCACAGATGGGAAAATCAAGGAGTGAGTTTGCTTCCCATTGGCAGGGAACTGAGGCTCTGGATTCCATATCAACCTTGCCTTTCCACCTGGATTCAGGATTTGATGGGAAAATAACTTTCCTCCAGGTGGGGCTGACTCTTGCACTGAGACCCTGGGGGCGGGACAGCTGGGGGGTAGTGCTGGCAGAGGAGGAGCCTCATTCTTTAAAAAGGGCTCTCAAAGCACTAAGCCTGAGGCTCACAGTCTTCCCCTAACCTCTCCTCCCACCCAGAGGCCCTGTCACTCTGGCAGAGCAGACAGTTAAAAATGCCAGGCTAGGCATTTGACTCCAGTTCCCTCAGGGGCTCTTGGGATGGGAGCAGTGTTGAGCATGGGAAAGGAGACTCCCACACAAACTTGGCCCCATCTTCTTCATGCTGGTTGTGAGTTTCCTCCCCTCTCCCATACTTCATTTGCTCCTCACAAATGCTCTGGGAGGTAGAGGGTGTCAGCCGCATTTTACACATGGGAAAATTGAAGTTAAGTACTTGACTAGCAACATGTAGCCAGGAGAAGGCAAAGCCTCAACTACAGCCCAGCTGTCCTGATTCCCCCCTGCCACAAGGCTGGCCTCCTGGTACTCAGCTTGGCAAGGGTCAGGAGCCCTTGGTGACCTTTTTCAGATCCCTCCGGCCTCCTTGCCTGGCTGTGGCCTTGGGATCATGGCTCTCTCATTCTCCACCCCTGGTACTGGAAAAGCGGCTTCTCTTTTGGTTGTGCCCAGATGCACTTGGGCTGGGGGTCAGGACTTTCCCTGATGGAGCTTGACCAGGGTCCTGGGGCCTGTCCAGCCCCTGCCAGAGACTCTGGGGATGCTGGCTGTCTGCTGCTTTCCCTTTGGTATTTTTCAGTGGCTTGGTTGAGTCGCCTCGAACTCACTGTCTCTCATTTCATTCTAGAGCCTGTTTTAACCCCTAGCAGGGTGAGAACTAATATCTGTGGAAAGTCACTGTGTGCCAGCCCTGGGCAGGGTGCTGTCCCTCCATGCTGTTGACCCCACAAGGTGAAGGTTGAGCCCCCATGTTATGGGGGACTCCGAGGCTCAGGGAGCATAAGTAACTTCCCCAAGGTCACCCAGCGGGTAAGGGGAGTTCCTATGACGGGGCCTGGTCTTCCTGACCCCAAGTCCTTGCTTTGAGCTCGCTCCACCCATCTGCTGTCTCCGTCAGACAAGCCAGGTGGGGGCAGGGGCCAGACAGCGCAGGGCGCGGCGGGAATCAGCAACAAGGACCCTCCCGGGGAACTTTTCCCATTGAAAATCTGTTCCCTCGCGGCCACGGGTGATGTCTGGCTGGAGCTGATGAAAAACGTGCAGTGTAATGGAGGAGGGCGGCGAGGGCGGCGAGGGCGGCGCGGGCGGCCCGGGCGGGGGCAGCGTGGCATTGAGATTCTGCGGGGCGCGGGGGGCGGCGAGGGCCCTGACACTGGCCGGGTAATTGATCTGGAGGTGCCAATTTGCAGCAACTAAATATTTGGTTTCTGCCTTTGCCCGCTCCGCGCTCTGCTCAAACAAACTTCAATTAAAAGCGAAAAGCGAGGGGTGGGGAGGCGGCTCACCCGGGTCCCTGCGGCCCGATCGATGGCGCGGAGCCCGCGGGCTGGCGAGCGCGGCGCGCCGGGCGGGGACACGGCGGACGTGGGCCGGGCGGGCGCCCTCTTCCGGATCGCCGAGCACCGGGCGCCCGGCCCGCGGGAGGCAGCGCCCGAGGGTGGGATGGCGGAGGCGGTGCTAGGAGCCCGGGAGCCGCGGCTTTAGCTCAGCTCAGCTGAGCGGAGGGGTGGCCACCGTGTGCCAAGCGGGGGTCACACACAGGGCCAACCCCAACACCTCCACCGCGGAGTGTGAGCCTGTGTACTAGGCTAGAAAACCCGGGGAAGGAGACGTCGCGGGGCGCTGACCCTGTTCTCCCTATGCACCTCTCCAAACAAACTTTGAAGATGACCTTGTTGTTCGGTGCAATCACTCAGGTCTTTCCTGAGCGCCACTGGGTGCTGGGTGCACTGGGCTCCAAAGCCAGTCTCCTCTTCCATGTCTGTCCACCCCTTTACTCTTGGGTTGGCAAAAGAGCTGCCAGTGAATCCATCCCAGGACCCAACCTTGGAGGGGTCTGAAGGGGAGGGCTTGGAATTGGGAGAAGAGTAGTGAGATCCTGGGGGTTTGGAGAGGGGTCCTGGGAGGTGGCCACAGCTTGGAGCAGAGGAGGAGATCATTGGGTCACAGTTGCCTTTTTTGGGGTTCAAGACAAACAGCAACAATAGTCATTCACTGGGTGAAGTTAGCCCACAGGGAAGTTTCTCTTCCTCAAGAATCTTCCAGTCCTTTGAGGGTAGAGGGGAAGGGCTGGGAAGAAGAGCTCACCACTGTGCGACAGGCAGAGCATCTCTGGTCAGCCGGGTAGGGCAGCCTGGGGCACAGGAACAGTTCTGGGAGAGATGTGATGGGAGGAGGTGGGGCTGGCAAAGAGGCATCCAGGTCGGCATAGAAGGCAGAGGTAGATTCAGATCCAAGGAAAGAGGAGGGGAGCTGGGGTCCTTTCATCTGAGTGAAATTTTCTTGAGGGCCAGAGGCAGGAGCTGAGGCAGAGGAGCTAGGAAGGTGAGGGAGGGGGCCCTTGGCCTTTCCCACATTTCTGTGCCCCACCTTCCAGGGTGGAAGACTTACTCCTTCACCAGATGAGGCTGCTGCTAGTTCACTCAGCTGTGGGCTGTGGCCCCTTTCCTTCCCGCTCCCTGTCGACCCCTTCCCCTGTCCTCCTAGGTACCCCGTGGCCCACAGCGGGCTGTTAGAGCACAGGTCTTGCTTGTGTGGACCCTAGCCTCCAGGCCCTCAGATGCCCACTCCTTGGTGCATAGGGCTCTGGGAGAGGGTGGTCCTGCTATCTCGGCTTCTATCCCTTTTGACACTAAGATGCCTCGCTTGCCGGACCCTCAACCACACTCAACTCCCAGCTCTGTCTCTCTTAGTGGCTTGGGGCACCAATCTCCCCATCACACAGAAGTTGGATCCAGAGCTCCGCATGAGGCTGAGGATGAGCCTAGGGCTGGCCTGCCCCTAGGAGCCTCCCCCACCCCCCACCCCTCAGGGGTGGGGGGCTGCAGCACTCCCAGCCTTCTGCCTGAAGCCCGTTCCCAGCCTGTAAGCTGGGCGCCTGCTCCCTTGAATTCCCTCCCTCCCTCTCCCTTCCTGAGCGCTGAGCTGTGGAGCAGAATGATTTCCTGTAATTGGCCAGCAATCCGGCCGCCCGACTTGTTCTATCGACATGCTGGTTAGCTGGAAATTGTATTGGAATCTAAGTGACTGGGAGCGGAGGGGAAGGTGGGGAGCAAAGAGAGGCGGTTTGGGTCCCAGCTGGGTGCAGCCTCAGCTCTGCAGGTGGGATGAGGAACCACCAGCCACGTCTCTCCTGGAAGGAGCAGGAAAGCAACCTATAGCACCACATCACCTCCTTCCTTTTGCTCCTTCTCTCCCACCATGTCCGGGGGTCTCCCTGCCCACTCCTATATGACCCCATGGCCTGAAGTCATCACTGCCATCGCATTCCCCCTCCTGCTCTGAGACTGTTTCCTTCTGACCTAAAGTGCCTTGGTGAGAACTAGGGGCGCTCAGCAGCGCGCCTATCCTGCTCCCATTCAATTTCTAGCCATGGAGGCTCATCATGGAAGGTCCTAAACCTTTCCCTGCCTCTGCCCTGCCCCCCATGAGGAGAGAGAGAGAATGAACATTTGAAGAAGAGTTGTCAATTACTAAAGAGCCAAAGTGTATAATGGGGGCAGTGCAGATAGCCGGAGGAGCACTGTACTGGGAGTCAAGAAGCTTGGTGGTTATACCTGTTGGCTACTTAGGCCCCTTGGCTCAACCTCTGAGCCTCTGTAAAATTCTGGACCTGTCTGCCTCACACAGCTGGGAGATTTCAAGGGGATAACTGGAACGTGCTTTGTAAACTGTGAAACTGCGAATGACCTTCGGGCCAGTCGGGCCTGGGGGTGGGGGTGTTTTAGAGGCCTGCCTGCGCCCTTCGTCCCCCGCCCAGAAGGCGTGTGCGTCTTCACCCTCGCTGGTGTCTTATTGCTCCGCTCCGGGTGCTAAGGCCCAAAGTGAGGGAACGGAACGCGGAGGCTGCAGGGTCCCGTCGCCGTCGCGGTGGGTGGGCAGGGGACACGCCCTTTGGCACCCAGGGCCCGCAGCCCAGGCTCAGAGGACGTGGGCGAACAACGCACCTTTTGAGTTAGCGCTCAGGGTCAGGCAGAGCCTCCGCGCCCACCTGGCCCGTGCTCCCGCGGCAGCTGCTCGGCAGGAGTCTGAGGCCGCCCGCGGCCTGGGAGGAGGAAGATTAGGCCGCTCGGCGAGCGCCCGCCGCGGAGGCCCGGCCCAGCCCGGGAGGGTGCTGCCACCTGCCGGCCGAACGGCAGGCCGCCGGCTCGGGCGCGGGCCTGGGTCCCGGAGGCCCGACCTCTGCAGTTGCTGAGCGGCCTCAACTTCAAGTCCCCTTCGGAGAAAGTAGTCCTTCTTTTAAGGCCGCCTTGGACCCCCAAGGCCGGGAAGGGGATCCTGGGGCAGGGAGGCAAGAGGAGCTGGAGAGGGAGCTCTGGCGAGGCCCGGGCAGGGCAGGGCTGAATTCGAGGTTTCTCCACACCTGCCATGCTCTGACATTCCTGCTTCAAACCCAGCTCACTGGGTCAGGGAAGGTTAATTCTCTGGAACTTTACAGTTTGCTAAGGGTTTTCAGTGTCCTCCACTATGAAGCCTAACGATGTATGAGTAGAAACTAAAGGCAGGAGGTCACATGGCAAGCGGAGCCGGAATGCGAGCCCAAGGCCCAACCCCAGGCTCCAGCTCCTCCTGACAAGAGGCTCAGGGCACAGGAGAGAGTTCAGAAGCCTGGCTCTGCAACCTGGACCAAATCCATCTTTCTGAGCCTGGGATGGAAATAATCAGTGTTATGTTAACTATAGGGTCTTACACATCCAGCAGTGCCTGGCATGCTGCCGATACTAGGAAGTGCCATTTCCTCAATTATTGGGGTGATAGGGCACTGTGGGGGTCCATACCTTCCCTCTCCTTTCTCCGTCCTGGCGGATCGCACCAAACCGAGGAAGTGGCAGGCTCCTGCCACCCTCATCCTGCCTGGCCACCCACCTGGCAGCCCACCACTGCCTTACCCGGCCCTTCTTTGCCCCTTAGGGGTTTGCAGCAAGTTAATGAGCTAGACTCAGCACAAGCGGCTCTGGGAAAGGGGGCACTAAGTATGGCCACCACAGCATTTGCATCCGTCACACTCATTTCTAGCCTTAATAGGCTTCTGGCTGCAGGATCAACACATCAGCAAGTCTGCAGGCCCTGGCAGGGAAGGCTTATGTCTGCGCTGGTCTAATTGGGTTGGGGAAGGCAGATGGGGAGGCGGGGCAAGAAGGTGTGACGCTGCCTCAGCCCTCTACCCACCTCCCACAAAGGTGCCTCGGGCCTGGCTGCAGTCCTCCTGGGACCCAGGGAGAAGCCTGATGGCAAGTGCACCTTCTGGGGCCCTCACCTCCCCCTGAGCTCCGGGAGGACTCCAGCCCAGTGTGGGAAGAAGCCAAGTCTGGGAATCTTGGTTGGTCTGGGGCATTTCAGATCAACACACTTTATTAAACACCAACAGCGGGCCAGGCTCTGCACTAAGAACACAGAGATGAATAAGACACTGTCCCTGTCCCTAGAGGGCTTACAGTCTAGTAGGAAAAACCAGGCAAGTTTCGGCTAATTACTGTACTGTTGGATTAAGGTAAAATGTTGAGGGGGAGTTGGTATCCTAGACCACCTAACCCAGCCTGGGGCTTTAGACAGTGCCTGAACTGAGAGCTAGTTGTAGGTTAAAAAAAAAAAAAAAAAAAAAAAGGAAGAAGAAATAAAAGAAAATAAAAGGTATCCCAGGCCAGGAGCAGCAGGTTGAAGGCACAGAGGCAAGAAACAGCAAGGATGGTGTACACGGAATACCAAGAGGTCCAGGCGAGAAGCAGGGGTGGCAGGCAATAAGCAGGATGTGGGAGCACTACACAAACCCTACGTGGGGAGAGGGGTCTCCCAGAAGAGGCTGGTCCTGCCTGGCTACAGCGTTACCCACGAGAGAATCCTTGCTGCTTGCTGGCAGCAAGCCATACTGGGGGGCCTGGGCCTTCAGTATAAAAAATATCTCAACCTAGGGGAGGGCCTTGTTGACTGTTTGAACATGGAAACCCTTGGTCCAACATGATTTCCCGTGGTCCACTGAGGAGGTTTAGGCCACAATGGGGTAGGTGCTTAGAGAGGATTCAAGCCCAGTGAACCCTTGGCCTCCCAGCTCTGAGGAGGGCCACAGAGCCAGTATTCCCTACCCCCACCCACAGAAATGTATAGCAGTCTCTGACTGTTGCTTTCACACACCATCACGGTTGCTGTTCTGTAGGTGCTGCTCAGGGAAGGTGGGAAGGACAGCAGGCTATTTCTTGATCTCAAATAGGATACACTCCAAAGACGGGATGGCCTGGCACAGAGGCCCAGCCCTGATTCGGAGAGTCCGTGTGTGTGTGTGTGTGTGTGTGTGTGTGTGTGTGTGTGTGTGTGTGTGTGTGGGGAGGGGGCTGAGAGGAAACAGGATGTGTTACCTGGCTTCAGCCTCCAAGGAGATAGATGGAGGCCTGGGGCTCCCTGCCTTGAGTGCCCCACTAGGCGTAAGGCAGAAGGTAGTGGGTGAGCAGGTAGAGGAGGCTGGCAATGGCAGCGAGCCCTGTGAGGACCCCAAACCTCAGCGGCAGGTACTCCAGGGAGCGCTCCAGCTCAGTGTGCAAGAGGATGACCTGGCGTTTGGTGACACTCCACTCGCCCGAGTTGTCTAGGACATGGCGGGCCATGCGGGCCTTGTCTGTCAGGGGCAGCTGGGCATTGATGCGGGCCTCTGCGTCCTTGCGGTTCAGGCTGTTCCGCCGCATCAGCCGTGCCAGCTGTGTGTCCCGGTCGCTAAGGATAGGGCAAAAGGGCACTGTAGGTCCTGCCTCCCTCTCACCCCAAGTTACAGGGATAGGCAGCCCTGCCAGGCCCAGCCTGAAACAGAGAGCATGGGGACTGGATCTTCCCTCCAACCCTACCCTGCTCTGGGCTACTTAGGGTCCCACAGCCAGGGAGGGAGGCTTGGAAGCTCACTGGCTGCCTCACACCCCACTCCACTCACTGTGAGGAACCCAGAGCTCTATGGGCTACGGAAGCCCCTTAATACAAACAAGGGGGGAACTTTGGCCACAGCTCTTTTTTTTTTTTTTTTTTTTGCCATCTGGGGTCTCTTTGCTTTGCTACTAGACCTGACATTCCCCAGTCATAAGGTGGGAAGATTTCATCACCTGGAACCAGCTACATCCTGGATCCCTGGATGGGTGACCTTTACTGAAAGGCCTATGCCTATGAGCTAGACGCTTCCTGCAGTTCCCCTGGGGGCCTGGGTCTTCAGTATCAAAAATACCTCCTTGGGCCATCACAGAGACCCCCTCTCCTTGCTGCTATACCCCTCCCCTGAACATTTAGAGTAAAAGGATTGTGCTAAGATGGTATCTCTTGTGCTTAATGCCACTGATGATGTGGGACAGACAAGCCCAAGGTGCTTCAAAGAGGATCAAGGACATGAGAATTGGTCCCCCTTAGTTGTGGGACAGGATTCAGCACTGCAGATTAGGTCGGACAATATCAAGTCTCCCAACTCCAAGAGAAATTCAAAGAATACCTCCTTCACCCACCCTGAGGTCACCATCTGGGTCCTTCCTCAGGAAACTCCCTCTCTTGCCTTGGGCTACAGTCAGTCCTCTGGAGCGGGGTTACCTCTAACACCCCTCTAGCTCTAAGAGCTACTTCAGCCCCTCAGTGAGGACAAGAGCACAAGGGGTTGCAGCAGCTGTTTTCTACCATTTGGGGTCTTTCTGCCTTGTCACGAGGCCTGAGTTTTCCCAGTTATAAAATGGAAGGGTTTGATCACTACATTTTGGTTCCTTCTTTTTTTTTTTTTTTTTTTTTTTTCCTGAGACAGTCTCACTCTGTCGCCCAGGCTGGAGTGCAGTGGCGTGATCTTGGCTCACTGCAACCTCTATCCTCCAGGTTCAAATGATTCTCCTGCCTCAGCCTCCTGAGTAGCTGGGATTACTGGCATGCGCCACTAAGCTCAGCTAATTTTTGTATTTTTTTTTTTTTTGAGACGGAGTCTCGCTTGCCCAGGCTGGAGTGCAGTGGCACAATCTCTGCTCACTGTAGCCTCTGTCTCTTGGGATCAAGAGGTCTTCCTGCCTCAGCCTCCCAAGTAGCTGGGATTACAGGCGTGCAACACCATGCCCAGCTAATTTTTGTATTTTTAGTAGAGACGGGATTTCACCATGTTGGCCAGGCTGGTCTTGAACTCCTGACCTCAGGTGATCCACCCGCCTTGGCCTCCCAAAGTGCTGGGATTACAGGCATAAGCCACCGCGCCTGGACTTTTTTTTTTTTTTTTTTTCTTTTTTTGAGATGGAGTCTTGCTCTTTCACCTAGGCTGGAGCGCAGTGGTGCGATCTCGGCTCACTGCAACCTCCGCCTCCCAGGTTCACGCCATTCTCCTGCCTCAGCCTCCCGAGTAACTGGGACTATAGGCGCCCGCCACCACACCTGGCTAATTTTTTGATTTTTAGTAGAGATGGGGTTTCACCATGTTAGCCAGGATGGTCTCGATCTCCTGACCTTGTGATCTGCCTGCCTCGGCCTCCCAAAGTGCTGGATTACAGGTGTGAGCCACCGCGCCTGGCTTTTTTATTTTTAAATAAATATAGAGACGAGGTCTTGCTGTGTTGCCTACACTGGTCTCAAACTCCTGGGCTTAAGTGATCCTCCCACCTTGGCAGTTTGGTCCCTTCTTAGGGATTCTGGGAAGCAGACCAAGTGAGGCCAAAAACAAATGCAGCCACTTGCCATGAAAATGAATTATACGAGCTATAGATTTCCTCTGTTACGGGGTCAGTGTACTGTGGCCATTGTGGGGCCAATACCCACCTCGCTGAGAACAAGGACTAAATCCAGCCTTCATCAGGGAGACCACATATCTGTGGGTGGGAGAATCTAGTGTGAGATTAGAGATGGCCTGGGGCTCCCAGTAGGTGCACATCCTCCTGAAGGTGTGGCCCAGACCACAGAGCCTCCTGGATGTGGGGCAGCACCTCCGACAGCCCTTCCTGGGGCTCAGAAATGGTCCTATTCTAGTTAGTCTAAGACTTGGTACAATTTGTTGTAATAGGATTTTTACCCACTTATTCCACAATTGACAAATTTTTCAAAAACATGAAATTGGCTGGGCACAGTGGCTCATGCCTATAATCCCAGCACTTTAGTAGGCCGAGGAGGAGGATCATTGAGCCCAGGAGCTTGAGACCAGCCTGGGCCACACAGCAAGACCCAATCTCTACAAAAAATAAAAAAATTAGTCAGATGTGATGCTGCATGCCTGCAATCCCAGCTACTCAAGAGGCTGAGGTGGAAGACTGCTTGAGCCCAGGAGTTTGAGGCTATAGTTAGCTGTGATTGTGCCACTGCACTCTAGCCTGAGCCCTGTCTCAAAAAAAAGAAACCAGCATGAAATCATGTTTTGGTATAATCACACTTCAGGAGATGTCCTAAGTAATTTCAAATGCACCAGGGGTAGTCTTTCAGTTAAAGAAATCCACAAGGGAGTCCTTATTTTTGTAAAGCCTAGATCCCTTTGGTGAAAAGCATCACCACCTCTCTGGCATCTCTCAAGAGTTATACACCCACACCCACTGAAAGCAGGGCATGAGTGGCACCCAGGACTCTGGCAAAGGCTCCTCTGGCCGGTGAGTGGGGCTGAAGGTCTCCTGGAGAGCACACACAATCAACAAAGCCCCACTCACCCACCAAAACCCATGGCCACCTCTGCTCTCGGCAAACAGACCAACCTCAAAGAACAGCACAGGAAGGGCCGGGCGCAGTGGCTCATGCCTGTAATCCCAGCACTTTGGGAGGCCGAGACAGGTAGATCACAAGGTCAGGAGTTCAAGACCAGCCTGACCAACATGGTGAAACCCTGTCTCTACTAAAAATACAAAACTTAGCCGGGCATGGTGGCGTGCGCCTGTAATCCCAGCTAATCAGGAGGCTGAGGCAGGAGAATCACTTGAACCTGGGAGGCAGAGGTTGCAGTGAGCTGAGATCGCGCCACTGTACTCCACCTTGGGTGACAGAGTGAGACTCCATCTCAATTTAAAAAAAAAAAAAAAAAGCAAAGCACAGGAAGGACAAATGGCCAGAGGTGGGCGCGGGGTCATCTGGTGAATGCACATGCAGGTGTCGGCCCCTGCTGTCTTCTCATCTACACTCTAAGATCCTTTTTTTTTTTTTGAGATGGAGTCTCGCTCTGTCGCCCAGGCTGGAGTGCAGTGGTGCGATCTCAGCTCACTCCAAGCTCCGCCTCCCAGGTTCACACCATTCTCCTGTCTCAGCCTCCCGAGTAGCTGGGACTACAGGCGCCCACCATGATGCCCAGCTAATTTTTTTTGTATTTTTAGTAGAGACAGGGTTTAACCGTGTTAGCCAGGATGGTCGCGATCTTCTGACCTCATGATCCGCCCACCTCGGCCTCCCAAAGTGCTGGGATTACAGGTATGAGCCACCACACCCGGCCTTTTTTTTTTTTTTTTTGAGACGGAGTTTCATTCTTGTTGCCCAGGCTGGAGTGCAATGGTACGATCTTGGCTCATTGCAACCTCTGCCTCCTGGGTTCAAGTGATTCTCCTGCCTCAGCCTCCCAAGTAGCTGGGATTACAGGCATGCACCACCATGCCTGGCTAATTTTTGTATTTTTAGTAGAGATGGGGTTTCTCCATGTTGGTCATGCCGCTCTCGAACTCCTGACCTCAGGTGATCCACCTGCCTCGGCCTCCCAAAGTGCTGGGATTATAGGCATGAGCCACTGCACCCAGCCTTTTTTTTGAGATGGAGTTTTGCTCACTCTTGTCGCCCAGGCTGGAGTGCAATGGTGCAATCTCTGCTCACTGCAACTTCCACCTCCTGGGTTCAAGCGATTCTCTGGCCTCAGCCTCCCAAGCGGCTGAGATTACAGGTGCCCGCCACAACACCGGGCTAGTTTTTATATTTTTAGTAGAGATGGGGTTTCACCATGTTGGCCAGGCTGGTCTCGAACTCCTGACCTCAGGTAATCCACCCACCTCGGCCTCCCAAAGTGCTGGGATTACAGGCGTGAGCCACTGCACCCGGCCTCTAAGATCCTTTAAAAAAAATGTTTTTATCCCTAAATACAAAGCTCCAATCGTGCTACTAAGGCAAAGAGAATTCCAGGTCTTCGTGGGGTTTGCCTGACCTTAGTTAGCCTCTCAAACAGGGAATGAAGAACCCAAAGAGGCTGCAGGTTTACTCACATAAGGCAGCACGGCCCAGTGCAGGAGCTGAGAGGATGCCTGCGTCCCTGCATTGGGCTCAAGGGATTCAGACTGGGCTTTCAACGACAGCCCATGGGGACCCAGGGGGAAAGGCAGGGGGATTTTCAGGGCACTGAGCACCACAGGCTCCGCCTCCAGCGTGCTGGGAGCCTCCAATGCCTTAGGCCCTTGAGGGCCAACCTATGCCCAAAATACCAGCAGAGCCAAGTGCCCACCTATGTGTCTGCTGTACTTGTGGGTGGCATCCGGGAAGCTTCTGGGTAGCAGAGATACCCTGCGGACTCATCTACTTTCACCCCACTGGGACAGGGACTCATTTTCCCCCCACAGGTTGATCCTCCTGTTTGTCAAACCTGGATTCTGGTTGGCTCCGTGTCCTGGGGAATTCTGAGAACAAAGTGCCTTCCTTAGCTGGGCTGACAGTCCCTTCCACGAAACCTTCTGTTCGTAACAGGTGTTGCCAAAGGGTGACCCTGGACACATTCTGTAACTGCCCCCTCTTTAATTTTATCTTCAGTAATAGGAATATCAACACCTGTCCTGACCACCTCCCACTGAGAGGTAAACTGTGCAAAGTAATAAAGGTGCTACAGGAGGAAGAAGGAGCCACTGAGTAACAGTGGCCCAGGGCGAGGCCAGGCATCTGGGCTGAAGTGCCTGCAATGGTCAGCGGGGGAGCGCTCCCCAAACACTAGAGAAGCCCGCGGGCTGTCCCTTCCCACACCTGCCCCCAGGACTATCCGCGTCAGGCACAAAGGTTGGTTTCTACAGACCCTGAGCACTGCTGCCCAAACCCCCATGCCTCTTGGCCGCCCCGTGGGGAAAGGGCAAAGTGCAAAATGATGTGGGCTGTTTCCCAGATACCCCCATGGTCCTCCCTTCCAGCCAGGGCATGCTACACACTCACCAGTATACTACCACGGTGTGCTTCATGTACTTGAGCAACTTCTTGGTCTCAAACAGCAGGGGGATATCCAGAATCACGTAGCGGTATCCTGGGGAGAGGTTGGAAATCCCCCAAGTTCAATTCTGCAAGCGCACACTGAGGACTGATGATATGCTGGGCCCCACCGTCCAGAGCGCCCAGCAGAGGGGCAGGCCTTCCAAGGACACACATACCCTGCACACTGGCCGGTTCCAATGCCGTGCAGAACAGAAGGCTGCAGAAAATTATTTCTGGATAGCTGATCAGGGAAGACCTTGTAGAAGGGCTGGCACTTGTGCTGGCCTTGAAAAGTGGGGGGCAGGTCTTTTGATACTTGAAAATGAGAAGGTGAAGGTGAGGATTCCACGAATGAGAACCACCACAGCACAGGGAGAGGGAGGCTCTACTGTGCGGGCTGAAGCAGAGGCCTCAGGCCGTGTGAGGCAAGGAGGTGATCAGGGCAGGCACTAAGGGTTTAGTTCACCTTGATCTTAAATCTCAAGTTGTTATTTCTCAGAAACAAACAAACAAACAAACAAAACACCCAAAAGATAGGTTCTCCCCAAAGAGCCAGGTGCAGGCCCAGCCCTGCTGACAAGAGCCAAGGTGGGCTGTCTCTACCAACTCTCCATGAGAGGCTCACGTTGGGGCGGCAGCAGCAGAAAGAAGCTGCTTCTCCCATCAGAGGCAGACCTACAGCCAGGGTAAGGCCTGGATCTGGAGTCAGAGCGGGCAGTTATGCCTAAAACTGTATTACACTCCTGCAGTGTAAAAGGCACTGGCTGGACCTCCCACCACAAGCCAAGGCCAGTCAAGGGCAGCACCCCCACCCACTGTGAGTGAGCACATCCGTAGGCTGCTGTGGGCTACACGCTCCTCGTTCTTTTTAGGTCAGTGACCCCTGTGCATGTGTACAAAGCTGGGAGGGCTCCAGGAGAGCAAGAAGGGTAAGAGATAGGAAAATGCTTCTCTGCCCAGAGACCCCTGGCCTGGCTGGGGCAGGAGACTGCACCCCTGGAGCATCCCACTCCAAACACTTCCAAGCACAGAACCAGACACACATCACACCAATTCCAAGGGTGTCACGGGAAACTTGCACTCAAAGTGATGCAGGGACAATGGCGGTGGGGGGGTGGCAATCTCAGCTGCTTGGTTTCCTGTTCCCCAAGACCTGCTGCTCAGGAAGCCCAAGAGAAGCCCACAGTTGAACAAGGGGGTTAAAACCATAGGCTCTGATGACACACCTTGGTTGGTAGCCCCCCCACCTTCCCCACCATGTGACCTTGGGCCCCCTTTTGTGTAAACCTCATCTGTGTAAATGAGTAAAAAGAATACCTACTTCACAGGATGATGGTAAAGATGAAATGAGCCTTGAAAATATGTGAACCATGCAGTACTACTCCTTCACCAGTCCCTCGCTAGGTGCCCCAAAATGATAGTTACTGTTGCAGGGGGAGGCCAACAGTGTGGTGCGCCTCCCTAACTTGGAGCAGAAGCCAAGACTAGATCCTCTCCGGGCCTCTTATCTCCCTTTCCTGTTCAGCTCCCATCACTTCCTCTCCCCTTGCTGTCCTTTCTCCGGCCCCTCTGGGGAGTACGTGGTCAGCTATTTGGTTCACCAGCAAAGGGCTATTCAGCTGTCACATCCCTCCTGTCTGATAAGCTCTGCAAACCATCCTGACTCTATTAAGACATCCGTCTGCCTACACAGAGAAGTCCCCAACAGCTGGTGATCTTATCTGACGTTTGATTATACCAACTTTGACAGTTGTATTTGTTATACTCATCAGGGAAAAACTGGGACTGTGGAAGCCACAGCTGTCGTCCTCATTTTTCACCTTATCGAGCTCAAAAGGGCTCTCTGGCTTTTATTTAAGTGGTGGTGGTTGGGGAGGCGGGAGGCTGGGTGGATGACACAGTGAAAGAGCTTTGGAGCTGGTGACATTATCCGATGTTTAATTTCAGAAGGGGAGAGCCACTGCCGCCTCGAAGCCCTGCAGATATACCAGTAACTGGCATGGGAGAGAATGCAGAAAGGGCAGGAATGAAAGGCAGATGACTTCACTCTGGGTGGGGGACGGGAAGGACACTGGCACAACATAGGAGGCAGCACAAAGAGTCCAGAGGGAGGACTCTTCTTGAGGGAGGCAGGGAGGAGGCCTGCGGCATGGTGCTGAGATGGAGCGCACACGCTGGTTCAGCAGAGAAGATGCGGGAGCCAGCTCCAGCCCGGACGGGAGGGGGTTGGGGTCAGCATCATGGATGTCTGTCGAGTCATCCCTCTTTTGGAGGGAGGTATTGGCCACAGGGGGATGAGGGTGGGGGGAGGTTGCTCACTCAAGGCATGACAGAATAAGGGGCTTGGCCATGGTCACAGTGTAAAAGGCTCCCCCAGCCAGGCACAGTGGCTCACGCTTGTATTCCCAGCACTTTGGGAGGGCGAGGCAGGCATATCATGAGGTCAGGAGTTTGAGACCAGCCTGGCCAATATAGTGAAACCCGATCTCTACTAAAAATACAAAAGTTAGCCAGGTTTGGTGGCATGTTCCTGTAGTCCCAGCTACTCGGGAGGCTGAGGGCAGAAGAATCGCTTGAACCCGGGAAGGGAGGTTGCAGTGAGCCGAGATCGCTCCACTGCACTCCAGCCTGGTGACAGAGCGAGACTCCATCTCAAAAAAAAAAAAAGGCTCCCCTATACCCTCGTGGAAGGAGAGTCTCAGTGTAGTGACTGAGAGTGGGGTGACAGGCAACCAGGCCTTCAACTCGGAGGCCCAGGCTGGAGGCCACATGTGCCAAAGGCTGGCATGCAAATCTCCAGCAGCCCTAGGCCAGCCTCTTGCCAGATCCCAAGCCACCGCCCTCTGTTCTCCCTCCCACTTCTGGTGACTGACCCCAACCTGTAAAGTAAGCATCAGGCCACCCCTGTGCAATGCTGTCCTGAAGAACATGGCTTAGGCCAGGTGTGGTGGCTCATGCCTGTAATCCCAGCACTTTGGGAGGACAAGGTGGGAGGATTGCTTGAGGCCAGGAGTTTGAGACCACTTTGGCCAGCATAGTGAGACCCCATCTCTAAAAATAAAATAAAATAAAATAAAATAAAAAAGAACAGGGCTTGAACCATGGCATATAGCTTGGAAGAAGGTTCTTGCCAACTGGCCCCAGGCCTCTGATTTCAAATACTCCCCTTCCCCTACCCACCCTGGCCATCTTGGTCCCTTCCCAATTTCCAGTCTACAAACTTGCTTTCCCAAATGGCTCAGCCAGAACCAAACCTGCCCCTGACTGCAGTTTACATGTGTGATTAACTGACAGTCACTGACCTGGACCCTCAGTCTTCCTAACATGCTCACGTTGGATTTTTTCTTTTTTTTGAGACGGAGTCTTGCTCTGTTGCCCAGACAGTCTGAGTATAGGGTGCAATCTCGGTTCACTGCAACCTCCACCTCCCAGGTTAAAGCGATTCTCCCGTCTCAGCCTCCCGAGTAGCTGGGATTACAGGTGCACACCACCATGCCCAGCTAATTTTTGTATTTTTAGTAGGGACGGGGTTTCACCATGTTGGCCAGGCTGGTCTCAAACTCCTGACCTCAAGTGATCTGCCTGCCTCGGCCTCCCAAAGTGCTGGGATTACAGGCATGAGCCACTGTGCCCAGCCTCATGTTGGATTATTATCCCCACTGCACAAATGAAAAAATGAGCTGAGGGCGAGATCACTCAATGAAGTCACACAGCTAGAAAGTCAGGGTTGGGATTTGAACTCAGATCTATGGCTCCATTATTCACCAGCTCTTATTACTCCCATCCCTACTAGAAAAACCAACTTACTTCCTGGGCTCATGGCTCGAAAGCCTCATGTGTCTCTTCTCATTAAACTGTCAGCCTCCTTAAGAGCTGAGGGAACGTGCTTCTTTCCTCTGGGGCTGGTACGGGGCTCTGTGTGGAGGGGATGCCAGTAAGCAGTATGAACTCATCAGCTGGGATAACCAGCTCCCCTACCCTGGCCAAACTTTCTGCAGAGGAGAAGGGCCCTGGCCCTGGAAGGAGGCCCCGCCCCCCGCCCCAGGCCCTGGCACTTACCCCGGAGGAAGTACTTGAACGTCTCCTTCATCATCTCCTTGCGAATCTCGGGGTGGGTGATGGCGTTGAGCAGCTGCCGCCGGTCAGGCTGGTTAAAGATCAGGTCCCCCAGGACCTTGCGATTTATGTCGCCGTTCTCCAGCAAGACCTCAGTGCCGAAGACCTCTACGATGCGCCGGTGGGCAGGGTATCCTGGCTGCACGACTGTGGCAGGAGGAAGAAGCTGGGTCACTCCCTGAAGCCTCAGGGCCAGTCAGAGGACCTCAGTGACCAGGGGCAAAATGATGGGGGAACTCGGGTGCTTCTTTCAGGTGGAGCAAAAGCAAAATGAGGGTAGAGAAAGCAGTGAAGGAAAAGAGCAGAGTGTACAGGATCCCTTGTGCTGGTAATGGGGTACAGCTGGGGGGTTTCTAAAAACAGAAAATAGAAGAGCAGAGAAGGCAAGCACGGGGCAGAGACAGAAGTCAGACCAGGGTCAACAGGAGCCTTCCCCTCCTCTGAGACTTATAAAAAAAGGAGGCATGGCAGAAGGCCGGAAGCGTGGGGAGCTGCTGTGCACGGCCCCCCAACCTGCCCCTCCAACTCACCGTGCCGGGCCATCACGTCCACGTCAATCACCGCACAGCCCAGCTGCTGGAACACCTGGATCACTGAGCTCTTGCCTGAGGCAATGCCCCCTGTCAGGCCCACCAGAAACATCTTCCAGGAAAGAGAGCTGTCCGCGAGACTACGGAGCCAGGAGCTACAGAATCACTGGAGAGCAGGGCAAGTGTGGCCGATGGGGGCGGTCCACCAGAGGAGTGCCAGAAGGACCTGCTTGGGAGAGGCCAGCGGGACTGATCAGTTTGGGCCAAAATAATTGGGAGAGAGGAGGCAAAGGAAGTAAAGGGAGACAGCTTGGCTGGGGAGGGACATGTCCTGAGCTTGGGGTGCTCTGGGGCCATCTGGAGAGGAGAAACCCTCCAGGAAAGGCCTCCAGTATTTTAAAAACACTCGCAAAGAAGGCAAATGTGGCCAGGAGTGGTGGCTCACACCTGTAATCCCAGCACTTTGGGAGGCCAAGGTGGGTGGATCACCTGAGGTCAGGAGTTTGAGACCAGCCTGGCCAACATGGTGGAACCCCATCTCTACTAAAAATACAAAAATTAGCTGGGCGTGGTGGCGTGCACCTAGAATTCCAGTTACTCAGAAGGCTGTGGCAGGAGGATCGCTTGAACCTGGGAGGTGGAGGTTGCGGTAAGCTGAGATCCCACCACTGCACTGCAGCCGTGGGTGACAGAACCAGATTCCTTCTAAAAAAAAAAAAAAAAAAAAAAGCAAACGAACACTATAAATTCAGCAATCAAAAGCTGAACAGGCAGGGCAAGGTCAGGTGCTGTTAGGCAGCATGCTTCCTGGACGAGGCAGGATCCCCTTGGAGGCCAACTTCCTAGAGGAAGGAGACACCTGTCTCTCTGTGGTAGACCCACAGCACTCTTCAGATGCCCACTGGTCCCCCTGGCCTTTACTTTCTAGTCTAGGAGACTGAGGCTCAAAGGAAAGAAATGGCCTGCCTGCAGCCATCCACGGAAGATGCAAAAGAGACCACAAATAGAGTCCAGGTGCCTGGGCCCTCTTTTGCCCCAAGGCCTCCTCCCCACAGAAGGTCCCATGGATCACTTCCCCTTGAACGCCAGCACTAGGACTGCCTGGGTAGCTGATATAGATGGAGACGCACAATCCTCTTGGCCCAGATGGGGAACTGAGCCGCAAGCAGTGGCTCGGCAGCCACTAAGGCCGAGGTTTAGAAAAGTACCACTCTTGCCAAGAAGGAATGTGAGGGAAAGGCCAGGAGGCTGGGCGATGCTGGTGGTGTGACTTTGAGCTGGCGTCGTGGTTTGTGGCGTCCTCAGACCAAGCAGCGGCAGCACGGCACAAAGGTTGGGGCATGGCTTCTTCACACCCAGCTCCTCCACTCACATGTGCTGCAACCCCGGGCAAGCCGCTTGCCTCCCTGAACCTCAGTTTTCTCATCCATAAAATGAGGTTTAGGATCATAAGACTGCCTTGGCTGGGCGTAGTGGCTCACGCCTGTAATCCCAGCACTTTGGGAGGCCGAGGCAGGCAGATCATGAGGTGAGGAGATCGAGACCATCCTGGCTAACATGGTAAAACCCCGTCTCTACTAAAAATACAAAAAATTAGCCAGGCCTGGTGGCGGGCGCCTGCAGTCCCAGCTACTCGGGAGGCTGAGGCAGGAGAATCGCTTGAACCCAGGAGGCGGAGGTTGCAGTGAGCGGAGATTGCGCCCCTGCACCCCAGCCTGGGTGACAGAGCGAGACTCCGTCTCAGAGAAAAAAAAAAAGAAAAAGAAAATGCATCTGCAGTCCATGGTATGTTGCTTGATAAATGGTAAATATCCCAAAAATGGAAGTGAGGATAGTGATACAGGGTGAAAAGTAGGAGTTACAGTTCCACTGCAAGGCATAGAAAGGAAAAAAAAAAAGACTTTCATGAAATCATGTCCCTATTCCTCCAACCTCAGACTATCACACCATAAACTTTTAAGGAGTCATGGTGCATTTTCTGGAGTAAATGAGGTTACCATGTCTTGGACTTTGTTCCCAGGCTGGAAGCAATTAAATCAAAGGCCAGGTCTCTCCCACCCTTCCTTCAGCCTCAAATCACTTCTCCAGGACTGTAAAATCTGCCATAGGACTTTTTTTGTTGCCGTTAAGCAGCAGATTTACTGTCCTAATTACACTTTGCTTGAGCTTACACTGAAATGAGTTTGCCTCCCGTGAGGACACACCAAATGACAGGGGAGGCAGCTGCTTGGATGTGGCTGAGTTGGTGCCTGGCTTGGGGCAGCAGGGGACCAACCTAGAAATTGAAATCTGCCACTGCTCATTCTCACCCCGGAAAGCCAGAGGTGGAGAGAGGAAACTATCCACCACGGAGTCATCATCCAAATGGAGAGACCTAGCTACATTAATCAACTATTTAACAATCATTTCTAGGCCACGCACGGTGTTCACGCCTGTAATCCCAGTGCTTTGGGAGGTTGAGGCAGGAGGATTGCTTGAGACCAGGAGTTCGAGGCCAGCCTGGGCAATACAGCAAGGCTCTCTCTCTATTAAAAAAAATAATAATTTCTCCTCCATCTCTCTGAGGCTGGTGATCTCCCTCTAGGTCACAAAAAGGACAGGGTTCAGTTGTAAAAACAAACAAACAAAACAAACAAACAAAATGTCAGCCACTCAGCTGAAGCTTTGAAATAGAAAATCTAGAAAGAATTTTTTTTTTTTTAGATGGAATTTCACTCTTGTCGTTGCCCAGGCTGGAGTGCAATGGCGCATCTCAGCTCACTGCAACCTCCGCCTCTCAGGTTCAAGCGATTCTCCTGCCTCAGACTCCCAAGTAGTTGGGATTACATGCAGCCGTCACCATGCCCAGCTAATTTTTGTATTTTTAGTAGACATGGGGTTTTGCCAGGTTGGCCATGGCTGGTCTCGAACTCCTGACCTCAGGTGATCCACCCACCTCAGCCTCCCAAAGTACTGGGATTACAGGCGTAAACCACCACGCCAAGCTTCAAGAGCTTTTTTTTTTTTTTTTTGAGACAGAGTCTCACTCTGTTGCCCAGGCTGGAGTGCAGTGGTGTGATCTCGGCTCACTGCAAGCTCTGCCTCCCGGGTTCACGCCATTCTCCTGCCTCAAACTCCCGAATAGCTGGGATTACAGGTGCCCACCACCATGCCTGGCTAATTTTTTTGTATTTTTAGTAGAGATGGGGTTTCACCATGTTGGTCAGGCTGGTCTCAAACTCCTGACTTCAGGTGATCCACCCACCTCGGCCTCCCAAAGTGCTGGGATTACAGGCGTGAGCCACCATGCCTGGCCTTTTTTTCTTTTCTTTTCTTTTCTTGAGACAAGAGTCTCTCTCTGTCCCCCAGGGTGGCGTGCAGCGGTGCAATCTGGGCCCACTGCAATCTCTGCCTCCTGGGTTCAAGAGATTGTCCTGCCTCAGCCTCCCGAGTAGCTAGGATTACAGGTATGCACCACCATGCCTGGCTGATTTTTTTGTATTTTTAGTAGAGACGAGGTTTCACCATGTTGGCCAGGCTGGCTCAAACTCCTGACCTCAGGTGATCTGCCCACCCAGGCAGTTCTGATGTGTAACAGCGCTCAGGATAAATTCTAACTCTTCTTTTACAGCAGTGGAGACTGAGGACCAGAGAAGGGAGGGGACTTCCCACCAGCAGCTATTATCAAAGGCTGGATGCAGTTCAGGGCTCCTAACCCCTAGTCTAGACCCCTGCCTTTAATGTACTCAAGGAATGAAAAATTAATTTACCTTTAGACTAATGAGACAAAGTAAGGAAGATGAATCTGTTTGTAGGCAAATCGATTCAGAGCCAAAGAGAAATAATTTCTTGATTATCATACTGTTTTCTTCCTGCAGAATGGGGGCTGAGGGGGTGTGTGGACAATGGCCAGAGCACAGATGGAAATTCCAGCCTCCCGGGTTACCTAATGAGTATCCTCCCTTCTCAGTGCCTTGACCGAGTGTCTGTGGAAACAGACCAACAGCTGCTTGGCCTCCATCAGGAAGGCCAAGCGGACAAAGGAGCACACGCCCAGGGAGGCTCCGGGTCCCCAACTTAAAAGGGCCTTGACAAATAACAGCTGTTCCTGTCCAACAAGCCCCTCTGTAGCTCATTCCTTCACTGACCATCCACTGAGCATCTCTGTGCTCTGCAGGAACGGTGCCAGGGACCTCTTGGGTAACCAGAGGAAAACACAAGTCTTGCCCCTTGGGAAAACTGGAGAGCTAGATAGTACCAGATGAAAACATCTGAGAACAGAGCGCTGACAGGTAAGCAGGAATGGTCAGGTGGTGCTGGCCCTGGGCCTGCTGTATGAGTGCCTTCCCACTCACTTGGCTGCGCACAGATCTACTGGGATCTGCCAGGGAGGAAGTTGCAGCCCACGGTGCTCCCAAAGCTCAGCAAGGAGGAAATAGAGGCTTAGGTACCCAGCGGCCTCCAAGTCACACCTAGACCTGCCAGCAGCTCCCTGTCAGGCCCACATGAACAAACGACCACCTTTGATCACCTGTGTTCATGACCCTCTTTCTGCTCTGGTCAAGTCATCATTCTCCAGAATCCGATCTGGCTTCCCACATTCCACTGCCGCTTACACAGAGGCAGTACATTCCTCACAGCAAGTGCTAAACCTGGCTATAATCTGAATTTACTGCGAAACTTACAAAAGGTACAGACACCCAGGCTCCATCTACCCCAGCCCACTGAATCTGAATCAGCTAGGCCCAGAACCATGGCTAAAATGAAAGGCTGTGGACTGGAAGTGGAAAGTCCTGGGTCCTGGTCTCTGAATTCTGTGATAAAACTACCCATGTGACTGCAGGAAGTCTTCTCTCCAGCCTGGCCCAGGGTGGTAAGGACTCCATACAAGAAACAGCTGAGCCCCGGGTGCCTTCCCTCCTCTGAGCCTCAGTCCCCACACTTGTGAGTGAGAGGGGCTGGAGTTTCAGTGCCAAGAACGGTGCAGCTCCCCAGGGAGGCTGAGAGTCACACTGGTGATTTCTTCCTCCCCTTCAGTGGTTCAGAGCTCTCCTGGGAGTGGTGAATAAATGCTCCCCTGGGGCCAGGCGCAGTGGCTGTAAGGCCAAGGTGGGCGGATCACTTGAGGCCAGGAGTTCGAGACCAGCCTGGCCAACATGGCGAAACCCCATCTCTACTAAAAATACAAAAATTAGCTGGGCGTGGTGGTGCATGCCTGTAATCCCACCTATTCGGAAGGCTGAGGCAGGAGAATTGCTTGAATCTGGGAAGCGGAGGTTGCAGTGAGCAGAGATCATGCCACTCTGGACTCCAGCTTGGGCAACAAAGTGAGACTCCATCTCAAAAAAAAAAAGGCCGGGTGTGGTGGCTCATGCCTGTAATCCCAGCACTTTGGGAGGCCAAGGCGGGAGGATCACCTGAGGTCAGGAGTTCGAGACCAGCCTGACCAACATGGAGAAACGCCATTTCTACTAAAAATACAAAATTAGCCAGGCATGGTGGCGCATGCCTGTAATCCCAGCTACTCGGGAGACTGAGGCAGGAGAATTGCTTGAACCCGGGAGGCGGAGGTTGCGGTGAGCCTAGATTGTGCCATTGCACTCCAGCCTGGGCAACAAGAGCAAGACTCCATCTCAAAAAAAAAAAAAAAAAAAAGCTCCCCTGGCAAACCAAGGGATGACATTACTGTTGGTGGCCTGGGAATCTTCCTCCTCAACACCAAAAGCTGTTCACAGAACTGGCTTGGCTGGAGGCGGAAGGACAACACCAAGTCCACAGTAACAGAGAAGGAGCCAATGCACTGTGCAGGAGAAATGGAAGCTGGATTCTGGGACCAATCCCAGGTATGGGATTCATCAGCCAAGGAGGAGCCAGAAAGAAAAGCAAGCCTCTGATCCCAGGGAAGCCACACCCCATCCTTTCTTTCCCTCATTCTCCATGTCAGTGAAAGGCAGCAGGGTGCAAAGAAAAGGGCAAGGAGTTTGGGTTAGAGCTGGTGCCTGCGCTCCAACTCTGCAGTGAAGCTCTAAGGCCTGTGAAATGACGATCAGATTCTATTGTGCTCCACAAGTGGTGGGCTCTTTTGCATCGGGTGTCTCCAAATTGCCTCTCAGTTTTTACTTCTTGGGCCCAGTAGCCCCAAGAAGAATAAATACATTCAGAGAATGGTCTGTCTTAGAATCTCCTCTGGCAGTGTTTCTCTTAGGGAAAAATTAATGGGCTAAATAAAGCCCTACTGCTCTGGGAGGTCTGGCCAAGTTCTAATCCCACTAGGCCCACTCTGTTAGCCTAAGCCACCAGCACCTGTGCCCTGACCACTCCAGTAGCCTCATGACCTGACCCCCTCGTCCCGGCCTGGCTTCTCCCCAAGGTAGCCAGGGTCATGGCTTAAAGGAGTCATCTGATCATGTCACTCCCATCTAAAACCTTCACTGCCTTCTCCCGCCTCCTCCTGGCCCTTCACAGAGGTCTCCAGGCCCTGTGTGACTCCCTCAGTCACTCCCTGTCCACGATGCCTGGTGCCTGTCACACTGATCTTCCTTCTGTCCCTGAACATGCGGGCTCTTTTTTTTTTTTTGAGACGGAGTCTGGCTCTGTCGCCCAGGCTGGAGTGCAGTGGTGCGATCTCGGCTCACTGCAACTCCGCCTCCCGGGTTCACGCCATTCTGCTGCCTCAGCCTCCCAAGCAGCTGAGGCTACAGGCGCCTGCCATCATGCCCGGCTAATTTTTTGTATTTTTAGTAGAGACGGGGTTTCACCATGTTAGCCAGGATGGTCTCAATCTCCTGACCTCGTGATCTGCCTGCCTCAGCCTCCCAAAGTGCTGGGATTACAGGCGTGAGCCACTGTGCCCAGCCACATGCGGGCTCTTTTCGACCCCAAAGCCTCTGTGCTGGTGTTCTCTCTGCCAGACTCACCTCAGGGCTAACTACTCTTCAGTCACCCTGTACTGACTGTGTCAACCAATCAGACACCAGGCACGAGAAGGGGTGGTGGGGGGAGCAGGGGAGGGGTAAAACAATAAACTCACAGTACCAGTAAGTGTGGTGGTGGTAAGTGGGTAAGGGTATCAAGAGCAATGGGGGGCCATGCATGGTGGCTCACGCCTGCAATCGCAGCACTTTGGGAGGCCAAGGTGGGAGGATCACTTGAGCCCAGGAGTTAGAGGCCAGCCTGGGCAACAAAGCGAGATCCTGTCTCTTAAAAAAAAAAAAATAGCTGGGCATGATGGCATATGTCTGTAGTCTCAGCTACTTGAGAGGCTGAGATGGGAGGACTGCTTGAGCCCAGGAGTTGGAGGCTGCAGTGAGCCATGACTGTACCACTGCACTCCAGCCTGGGTGCAGAATAAGACCTGACTTAAAAAAAAAAGAGTGACAGGCACATCATTGTCTGACCCAGGACCTGAAGCAGCATGGGAGCAAGTCACATCCCCTTGGAGGAGCCTCATCCAATCCCCCAACCCAAATGATGCCCCTGCCATCTCTCACCACTCCCTTTACTTTCCCTCCTTTGGACTCGTCATGCTTTGGACTTTCATTTCTGTTCATGTGACTTTTTTTTTCTTCTTTGAGACAGGGTCTCACTCTGTCACCTTCTTCCCTTGGGACAGCTCAGGACTTATGTTGGAGGCAAATTCTGTTCCTTCTCATCCCCCATTCAACAGACCCGCCCCTGCGTGTGCCAGGCCAGGACCTGGCTCCCTCGGCTTGCAGCCCCTGTCCTCCTCCCCTTGCCGCCTCTCAGGATTTCACACTGGGGCCGCCTGACTAGCCAGACAGAACTGCTTTCCTAAGGGGGTGTATCTGTTTTGCACCAATGATCAATATAATCATTCATGAAAACGAGTCATTTCCTGCCTTGGGACCCAATTATTTCTCGAGGAACCAGTGGTTGCAAAAATATATTGTTTTCCAGTTAACTATTAAGTGCTATTTTTGTATACGGCTTCCCCACTCCTAATCTTTCATTATTGGTGAGAGGTTGCTGTTTAAACCTTCAAGTCCAAGTTCTCTTCGTGGGCTAGGCCCATTAAGCCGCCACCTCCTCCAGGCTGCCAGTTACCTGGAGAGAGCCACAAGGAAAGGAGCTGGCGTCTGCCTCCCTCTGTGTCCTCCCTGCTCCCTTTGCCAACACCAAGGGCAGGGAGGGGACAGGTCTCTCTTCTCTACTTGAGCACTCTCCAAGCACAAACCATCACTCCAGCTTTCATGAATGAGCAGGGAGGCTGTTTGGACTGGACTACTTTGTTGCCATTTATGCAAAAAAAGGATCACAGGGACTGCACATTCTCAGAGGGTTCAGAGTCAAAGGGACCTTGGTTGGGATTAGCTCTGTCCCTTAACTAGCTGTATGGCTGTAGGCAATTTAATTCAGCATCCTGAGCTTCTCTTTCCTTGAGTATAAAATAGGATTTGCGCTTGAACCTGGGAGGCAGAGGTTGCAGTGAGCTGAGATCGCGCCACTGCACTCCAGCCTGGGTGACAGAGTGAGACTCTGTCTCCAAAAAAAAAAAAAAGATCTGTAATGACTACTCATGGGGTCGTGTCAGGATTAAATGAGGTGACAACATAGGTCACAGTCACCTCATCTTCCCCAACTCAGTGTGTGACATGTCACAGCCACTGCAGTCTACTCCATTTGTAGTGTGATGGGTTACTTAAGGGTGTATGTATGTCCGCCACTTGAACCCTGCAGGCTGGGCGGTAAGCCAAGGCCATGGTGCCCAGCTGAGGAGCACGTGTCCCTGAGAACCCAAACATCCTAGGGCATAGCTGGGCACATACCAAGGAAAATAGTCTCATCACACACACCGGAGGCAAAGAGCCAGAAAATTAGCTTAAAGGCAGCCTGGAGACGGGAGGCGGCACGGACGCCCAGAGCTGTCCTGCTGCCACTGAGGAGTGCCCTCCATTTAAGTCCTAATACGCTCACCTACTCACGAAGCTGGACTTGTCCGAATCATTCTTTGGTCTCTCGGCTCCCTCCGGATTTGGGGGAATGTTTTTCTATACAATTCTGGGTTTTTCTCATAACTCCATTTCCCTAAACAGTACCTCCCTCCTCCCTCCTTCCACTTGTATAGGCCAAAAGCCTCGGAATCCTCCTGGCCTCTCTCACACCCTCCATCCAACCCGCAGTGCCCGGCCAGCGCTACCTCCCACCTGCACAGCCCACAAGGAGCCCCCGGTGCATGAGCGCCACCATGTCGCTGCGGAAGCCCTGCAGCAGCCTCTGAGCCATTTCCTGCTGCACCTTTGCTCCAAAGTTAGGAACAAACTTTGTTTGCTCCTAACAAAGCAGCTAGTGTGATCCTTTGAAATGCAAGTCAGATCATGTCAGGCCTCTGCTCACAGCCGTCTAACAGTTACCATCTCAGTGAGTACAAGCCAAGTCCATGGAGAGTCCTACAGAAGCCTCATGAAAGAGGCCATCTATGTCCTCCCAGCATCTCCAACCACTCCCCCCTACATCACTGCCCTCAGGCCTGTGCCCCAATGTCCCCACAGTCCCAGACAAGGCTCTTCCCCAGAGGGCTGCCCCATTCACTCCCTTCTCTGCCCAATCGTCCCCCCATCAGAGACTGTCAGGTCCTGTCCCGCTGAACCCAACCCCCGTCTGGAACTGGCTGGAATCACCTTAAAAGCTGTGGCAAGCGGATGGGTGCGGTGGCTGACGCCTGTAATCCCAACACTTTCGGAGGCTGAGGCAGGCGGGTCACCTGAGGTCAGGAGTTCGGGACCAGCCTGGCCAACATAGCAAAATCCTGTCTCTACTAAAAATACAAAAATTAGCCAGGTGTGGTGGCACGTGCCTGTAGTCCCAGCTACTCAGGAGGCTGAGGCAGGACAATCACTTGAACCTAGAAGGCAGAGGTTGCAGTGAGCCGAGATTGTGCCATTGCACTCTAGCCTGGGAGACAGAGAGAGACTCCATCAATAAATAAATAAATAAATAAATAAATAAATAAATAAATAAATAAATAAAAGCTGTGGCAGAAGAGTTCCCACAAGGGAATGCCCTAAACTGTCTCAAGACAAGGCTGGTTGGGATTCTAAAGAAAGAACCACTAATCGCCAGGGTGATCAGTCCAAAGCATTTATAAGCATTCATTAGGGGAACTTCCTTACAGAGTGGGCTGCACCACTGCTCTCAATGGACAGCGAGAGAAATGAGGTGTTCTACCTAGGTATGTCGACAGCAAGAGGGTCAGGGCATGGAGTTTATATGAAGGTTTAAGGAATTTGGCTCAGGGCCAGGGCCAGTTTCTTTCAGTATTTTGGGCAACAACCTAGATACCTTTATCTAGGTATCTAGATATCTATAGGCACCTTTATCTAGGTATCTAGATATCTATAGGCACCTTTATCTAGGTATCTAGGTGCCTGGGAATGTTCAAGGACCCAGTTTGGATTCAACCCTGCAGCTAGCTGGATCACAGCCTGGTCAGGACACGGACAGAAAGCAGGGGAACTGGGGACCTTACAGAGAAACTGTCCCCAAATATATAAAACAGCACCCCTGCTTTATCCTGTAGCCTCCTTTTCTTCACAGCGCTGACCAACGTGTCACCACCCAACACATTACTTGGCTTTGTGTTGATATCTTGCAATCTGCCTCTCTCTAAATCTGGGTACTGCTGTATCCAAGGTGCCAAAAACAGGGCCTGACAAATAGGCCCTTAAAAGATACTTGTTAGCCAGGCACAGTGGCTCACATCTGTAATCCCAGCACTTTGGGAGGCTGAGGCAGATGGATCACTTGAGGTCAGGAGTTCAAGACCATCCTGGCCAATATGGTGAAACCCTGTCTCTATTAAAAATACAAAAGTTAGCCGGGCGTGGTGGCGTGTGCCTGTAGTCCCAGCTACTTGGGAAGCTGAAGAAGGAGAATCACTTGAACCCGGGAGGGGGAGGTTGCAGTGAGCAGAGATCGCACCACTGCGCTCCAGCCTGAGCAACAGAGCAAGACTCTGTCTCAAAAAAAAAAAAAAAAAAGATACTTGTTGAATTAATACATAAACCATGCAGCAAAATATTTAGCTCATGGGCAAGCTGGAACTCAACATTAACTTTTTTTGTTTTTGTTTTTGAGACGGAGCCTTGCTCTGTTGCCCAGGCTGGAATGCAATGGTGCGGTTTTGGCTTACTGCAACCTCTACCTCCTGGGTTAAAGCGATTCTCCTGCCTCAGCCTCCCGAGTAGCTGGATTACAGCCACTGCCACCACGCCCAGCTAATTTTTTTTGTATTTTTAGTAGAGACGGGATTTCACCACGTTGGCCAGGCTGGTTTCGAACTCCTGACCTCAAGTGATCCGCTTGCCTCGGCCTCCCACAAGTGCTAGGATTACAGGCGTGAGCCACTGTGCCTGGCAACATCAACTATTTTAAAATGAGAATCACAAAACCTTTCCACATTACTTCCCACCTCCACATTCCTGGACTGACAATATATTGGGCTAAAAGATGAGGAAAATGTGGGAGAGAGTGCCTAGGAAGGTGAGCTTCCCAGCAGGCGGAACTAGAGTGTAAGAGCAGCACTTTCTCAAAGTGAGGAAATGGAAGTTAAAAGAAGTTCTGGCTGGGCACGGCGGCTCACGCCTGCCTGTAATCCCAGCACTTTGGGAGGCCAAGGAGGGCTGATCACGAGGTCAGGAATTTGAGACCAGCCTGGCCAATATGGTGAAACCCCATCTCTACTAAAAATACAAAAATTAGCCAGGCGTGGTGGTGCGTGCCTGTAGTCCCAGCTACTCGGGAGGCTGAGGAAGAAGAATCGCTTAAACCTGGGAGGTGGAGGTTGCAGTGAGCCGAGATCGTGCCATTGCATTCCAGCCTGGGCGACAGAGCGAGATTCCATCTCAAAAAAAAAAAAAAAAAAAAAAAGCAGCTCTATGTTTGCCCACGGTAGTGCCAGGTGGCCTACACACAGGAGAATGAGAACACTTAGGTGATGCGTGAAGATTTTCTGAGAGGCACAAAGGTAGAGTTTCAGCGTCATAAATTTCCAACTCAATTCCCACTGGCTCTCCTACCCAGCTCCTCCTTCACACTCACCCATCTCCCATGTTTCAGAGAAAGGCATAACCATCCACCCATGCTAAATCATACTGAGGTGAGGTGCACGGTCCCACAGGGTGAAAATCCCCTGGGCACCAGAAAGGGCAATTCAAAAGGTCAGTATTCATGCTAAGAAAGTGACTGCCTACAGTGACTAAGGAACAAATCCTTGCATGAGTCAGGTGGTTTCTAAACCTTGGCCTTCAAGAAAGTTAAAGGAGGACCTAAAAGAACTGTGGACTGACAGATTATTAATAATTCAATGTGATTTTTCGGCCCATAATTCAGAAGGTGTTCAAAGAACTGAGTGATATTGCTGAAAAAAAAAAAAAGCCTTCAACTCCTGTGTATTTAATTTACATGAAGAAACTTTTTCAATGGTTACAGCCAAAGAAAAAAAAAAGCACTCTGCTCACTCTAGTAAATATACAAATAAACATGGATAGATACATGAGGTTTAAAAAGCTCCACCCAGCTTATTTTTTTCGAGGCAGAGTCTTACTCCATTGTCTAGGCTGGAATGCAGTGGTGTGATCACAGCTCAGTGAAGTTTCAACCCTCCTAGGCTCAGGTGATCCTGCCACTTCAGCCTCCCAAGTAGCTGGGACTACAGGCATGCACCAACACGCCCGGCTAATTTTTAAAAATTTTTTGTAGAGATGAGGTTTTGCTGGGTTGCCCTGGCTAGTCTCTTTTTTTTTTTTTTTTTTTGAGATGGAGTCTCACCCTGTTGCCCAGGCTGGAATGCAGTGGCGCGATCTTGGCTCACTGCAACCTCCGGCTCCCGGTTCAAATGATTCTCCTGCCTCAGCCTCCCCAGTAGCTGGGATTACAGGCACACGCCACCACACCCAGCTAATTTTTGTATCTTTAGTACAGACGGGGTTTCGGCATGTTGGTCAGGCTGGTCTTGAACTTGTGACCTTGTGATCCGCCCACCTTGGCCTCCCAAAGTGCTGGGTTTACAGGCGTGAGCCACCGCGTCTGGCCCCTGGCTAGTCTCAAACACCTGAGCTCAAGTAATCTGCCTGCTTTGGCCTCCCAAAATGTTGAGACTACAAGCATAAGCCACCACACCCGGCCCACTTAGCTTATTAAGAGAAATACTCAAATAAAACTTTGTTAACATTGTTTTTATCAATTGTGTATTTTATAATTGTGACAACTCAATCCAAAAGAAACATTTAATACTCATGATAACACAATTTTAAAAAAGTTTTAATTTTGTATGTATTTTTGTTGCAGAGAAATATGATAAACCAAAGGCTTTCAGGCATAAAATGTATTATTACATGGTCAGGCACAGTATCTCATGCATATAATCCCAGCACTTTGGGAAGTCAAGGCAGGAGGATCACTTGAGGCCAGGAGTTCAAGACCAGCCTGGGCAACATAGTGAGACTCTGTCTCTACAAAAAAATGGAAAAAAAAAAAAATTAGCTGGAATCCCAGCACTCTGGGAGGCAGATCACTTGAGGCCAGGAGTTTGAGACCAGCCTGCCTGGCCAATATGGCAAAAGCCCATCTCTACTAATAATACAAAAATTAGGCCAGGCATGTTGGCTCATGCCTGTAATCCCAGCACTTTGGGAGGCCGAGGGCGGATCACGAGGTCAGGAGTTTGAGACCTGCCTGGCCAATATGGTGAAACCCCGTCTCTACTAAAAATACAAAAATAGCCAGGCATGGTGGTACATGCCCATAGTCCCAGCTACTCAGGAGGCTGAGGCAGAAGAATCGCTTGAAACCGGGAGGCAGACGTTGCAGTAAGCCGAGATCGTGCCACTGCACTCCAGCCTGGGTGACAGAGCGAGACTCCATCTCAAAGAAAAACAAAACAAAAATTAGCCAGGCGTGGTGGCATGCACCTGTAATCCCAGCTACTCAGGAGGCTGAGGCTTGAGAAGCATTTGAACCTAGGAGGTAGAGGCTGCAGTGAGCCAAGACTGCGCCACTGCACTCCAGCCTGGGTGACAGAGTGAGACAGACTCTGTCTCAAAAAGAAAGAAAGAACCATAAAAATAGCCAACCAGCAGCACAAGGGCTGTTCTGCCTATGGTGTAGCCATTCTTTATTCCATTATTTTCCTAATAATCTTGCTTTCATTTGGAAAAAAAAAATTGGCTGAGCATGGTGGCGAAAGCCTGCAGTCCCAGCTACTGGGGAAGCTAAGGTGGGAGTATTGCTTGAGCCCAAGAGGTCAAGGCTGCAGTGAGCTGTGATCCCGCCACTGCACTACAGCCTGGGTGACAGAGACCCTGTCTCAAAAAAACAAAAACTATTACATTAGAAAAAACTTCTGTGAGGAAACAAAGTGGAAATATGAGTTCAAGAAGGAAAAAGGGCCAAGCATGGTGGCTTACACCTCTAATCCCAGCACTTTTGGAGGCTGAGATGCAAGGATCACTTGAGACCAGGAGTCAGCCGGGGCAACATAGCAAGACCTCGTCTCTACTAAAAATAAAAAGAAAAATCAGCCATATGTGGTGACAGACACCCGTACTCTTAGTTACTTTGGTGGCTAAGGTGGGAGGATTGAGCTCAGCAGGTCAAGGGTGCAGTAACCAGTGACTGCCACTGCACTCCAGCTTGAGCAACAGAGCAAGATCCCATCTCGGAAAAAATAAAGGAAAAAAAGAACGATTTGAAATTTCGATGGTTAAATAAAAAGTGGTTCTTTTTTTTTTTTTCAAAAGATGAGGGAAATCAAATCAAATGGTGTATATTTAGACTTCACTGCAGGTTTAAATGAGGATTTTAACAGCTTTATTTTAAAATATCAACATTCACAATTAACCAGAACTTTTATCCTCTGTAATCTTCAAAATAAAAATGTGAAAGTTTCAATCTAAAGCTATCAATCTAAAACTGTGCCAGCAGGTAATTTTCTTTTTCTTTTCCTTTTTTTTTTTTTTTTTTTTTTTGAAACAGAGTCTTGCTCTTGTCACCCAGGCTGGAGTGCAGTGGCACGATCTCAGCTCACTGCAACCTCTGCTTCCTGAGTTCAAGTGATTCTCCTACCTCGACCTCCTGAGTAGCTGGGATTGCAGGCACCCGCCACCACACCCAGCTAATTTTTTTGTATTTTTAGTAGAGATGGAGTTTCACCATGTTGGCCAGGCTGGTCTCAAACTCCTGACCTCAGGTGATCTGCCTGCCTCAGCCTCCCAAAATACTGGGATTACCAGGCGTGAGCCACCGCGCTCGGCCTCCCAGCAGGTAATTTTTTCTTTCTTTCTTTCTTTTGAGAAGGAGTCTCACTCTCTTGCCCAGGCTGGAGTGCAGTGGCACGATCTCGGCTCACTGCAACCTCAGCCTCCCGGGTTCAAGCGATTTTTCTGCCTCAGCCTCCCGAGTAGCTGGGACTACAGGCATGCACCACCATGTCCGGCTAATTTTTTTGCATTTTTAGTTGACACGGGGGTTTCACCATGTTGACCAGGCTGGTCTCGAACTCCTAACCTCGGGTGATCCACCCTCCTCAACCTACCAAAGCGCTGGGATTACAGGCGTGAGCCACCGTGCCCGGCCCAGAGGGTAATTTTCAAAACAAAGCTAAGTTCGTGGCTTGCCTGCCTTCAGCTATCAGCCCTCTTCTTCTCTCCTTAAGGTACAGGCACCAAGAGGGGCTCGGAGACCATTTAAACGTTATTTACCAAGGGGACAGATTCAGACCTTGGTGAAGACAGACAGAGGAGGATTTGGTGGGAATTTAGGGCCCTGCTGAGACAAAAACCACCCGAACCCGTCTGTCCACTTTCTATCCATCTACCAGATCTCTAGCATTTCACCCCTTTCCCCAGGCCTATGCCAGCACTGTGCCACACCAACTCAATCTTGATTTATTCAGGTAAAATGAGCACTCTCCCTCCTGCAAAAACAAACACGTTTAAGACATAAAACATATTCAAAGGCTTCCATTTCCTCACCGTTAGAATTGAGACTTAATGTCAAAGTTCACTTGGGTAGGTTGAATCATTTTCCCACAACTAAGGGAGAGTGAAAAATCTTTGAAAACTCTGTAAGCAAACACCTGAAATGCCAACGCCTCCTTTGCGGAGCTGGGGAAGGAAGAGACGGGTGGCCGGATGGCCTCCCTCACTAGTTGGTGGGCGTGAGATCCACGCCGCCCCAGTCCCGGGGGCCTTCACTAAAACCTTAACTGGCCTCCCAGGGGAGAGGGAAGCGGAGGAGAGGGGTCTGAAAATCGGAGATGATCACTCAGCTCAACAGTAAAGCACTTTATACCCACCCTATGGGACAGATACTGTAGCTTTATTCCCATTTTTCAGATGAGCAAACTTGGGATCGGAAAGATACCCCAAGGTCACACAACTGAAGTGGCAGAAGCTAGATTCAAGAATCAATCGGCCCGCAAAGTTCTAAAGGGCAGTGGCTTTGGTCTGATCCTGAGTTTGAATCCACAATCTCCAGCCCTTTCTAGCTGTAAACCTTCCTGCGCGTCCTCAGCCGTAAAACAGAGGAAATAACACGTTGCTTGGTAGGGTTGCTGTCAAGACAATGGGCCGTGGATATAAAAGCACTTGCCTTAGTGCTGGCCGCATACGACGCGCTCAATACATCGTAACTCAGGCTTTCAAAAGAGGCCCGTACGCCCCACTAGGCCGCGAAATTGGGTCGCCCGGGGCGGTGGCAGCCCCGCGTAGCAGCCGCGGCCAGGGCCCGCCCCCTCCCCGGCGCCCGGCTGGCTCTCACCGGCCCGCGTGGCGCGCTACGTACCCAGCGCCTCCGCCGTGGCCCAGGCCTCCGCCTCTAGCCCAATCTCCGCAGCGCTTACAGGCCGGCTCAGCGGGCGAGGCGGGACCTCGGGAGCGCGCGCCTGCAGACCGGACGTCCGGCCAGCAGGCGGGGCCGGGAGAGGTTGGACGGGCGGGGCCGGGAGAGGTTGGGTGGGCGGGCGGGGCCGGGAGAGGTTGGGCGGGCGGGCGGGCGGGGCCGGGAGAGGTTGGGCGGGCGGGCGGGCGGGGCCGGGAGAGGTTGGGCGGGCGGGCGGGCGGGGCCGGGAGAGGTTGGGCGGGCGGGCGGGCGGGGCCGGGAGAGGTTGGGCGGGCGGGCGGACGCGGGAGAGGTTGGGCGGGCGGGCGGACGCGGGAGAGGTTGGGCGGGCGGGCGGACGCGGGAGAGGTTGGGCGGGCGGGCGGACGCGGGAGAGGTTGGGCGGGCGGGCGGACGCGGGAGAGGTTGGGCGGGCGGGCGGACGCGGGAGAGGTTGGGCGGGCGGGCGGACGCGGGAGAGGTTGGGCGGGAGAGGTTGGGCGGGAGGGCGGCCGGACGGACGCGGGAGAGGCCGGCGGGGAGAGCTCGGCCCCGGAGCACGGCACAGAGGTCCCCCGCAACCCCCGACCCGGAGCCATAAATTTTCCTTTCCCCGGAGCCGGGAAGGAGAGGGAGAGAGAGGAGAGGGGCAAAACTGCAGGGTCCTAACTTCGGATATAAAGCTCGGCCACTCGCTACTTGTGCAGCCTTGGCAGAGGTGATCATGAGCACTTTCCACCTGCCAGGTCCTAAGAGCACTTTGTGGGATTATCTCAGCCCGCACAGTCCGCAGGGTGGATACTATCATCATCCCCATTTTACACAACAGGAAACTATGTTTAGCGGTTAATCCATTTGCCCTCTCATACAAAGTCATGTGATTGCAGAGCCCGCATCCTGTCCATACAAGCCTAGCAAGCCACTCAGCCTCTCATCCTGTCTCCTCTCAAAGTGGGGATAATCGCAGCCGTGCAGCGTTGTTGAAAGAATACATAAAAGCCGGGCACGGTGGCTCACACCTGTAATCTCAGCACTTTGGGAGGATCACTTGAGCCCAGGAGTTCGAGACCAGCCTAAACAAGAGTGAGACTAACCCCCGATCTCTACAAAAAAAAAAAACAAAAAACAAACTAGCCAGGCATGGTGACAGTGTGGTCTCATTTACTCGGGAGGCTGAGGCAGGAGGATGGCTTGAGCCCAGGAGGTCAAGGCTGCAGAGAGCCATGATGGTACCACTGCACTCCAGCCTGGGCAACAAAACGAGACCTTGCCTCAAAAAAAATAAAGCATCTAGGCCGGGCGCTGTGGCTCACGCCTGTAATCCCAGCACTTTGGGAGGCCAAGGCGGGTGGATCACCTGAGGTCAGGAGTTTGAGACCAGCCTGGCCAACATGGCAAAATCCCGTCTCTACTAAAAATACAAAATTAGCCGGGCGTGGTGGTGAATGCCTGTAATCCCAGCTACACGGGAGGCTGAGGCAGGAGGATTGCTTGAACCCGGGAGGTGGAGGTTGCAGTGAGCCCAAGATCCGGTCACTGCACTCCAGCCTGGGAGACTACAGCAAGACTCTGTCTCCAGTTAAAAAAAAAAAAAAAAAAAAAAAAAAACTAGTTATCTAGTTATGCCTCACATATAGCAGGAAGTTGTTTTTGTTTTTTTTTTGTTTGGTTTGTTTGTTTGTTTGTTGAGACAGAGTTTCGCTCTATTGCCCAGGCTGGGGTGCAGTGGCAGGATCTTGGCTCACTGCAGCCTCTGCCTCCCAGGTTCAAGCGATTCTCCTGCCACAGCTTCCCGAGTAGCTGGGACTAGAGGTGTGCGCCACCACATCCAGCTAATTTGTTTTGCTTTTGAGATGGAGTTTTGCTCTTGTTGCCCAGGCTGGAGTGCAGTGGCATGATCTCGGCTCACTGCAACCTCTACCTCCCGGGTTCAAGCGATTCTCCTGCCTCAGCCTCCCAAGTAGCTAGGATTACAGGCATGTACCACCACACTCGGCTAATTTTGTATTTTTAGTAGAGATGGGGTTTCACCACGTTGGCCGGGCTGGTCTGGAAATCCTGACCTAGGTGATCCACCCACCTCGGCCTCCCAAAGTGCTAGGATTACAGGCGTCAGCCACCATGCCCAGCACATCTGGCTAATTTTTGTATTTCTAGTAGAGATGGGGTTTGGCATGTTAGCCAGGCTGGTCTCAAACTCCTGACCTCAGGTGATCCACCCACCTCGGCCTCCCAAAGTGCTGGGATTATAGGCATGAGCCACGGTGCCTCACCAGCAGGAAGTTTTTAATTAACACCTACCCTGTCTCCCTTCCCTTTCCTTAAACTGTATCTCTATTCTCTACTTCCTTTAAGGTAGGAATCTTGCCTATCTACTACTACAATACCCAGTGCCCTGCACAGTAGGGATTCAGTATATTGAGGAATTAAGTAATTTAACATCTTTCTCAGATCACCTGAGTCCCTGAAAGCTTTCTTCCTGACTTCAACAGTCAAGGAGACCTACTGCCATCACCCAATAAAAAGGATTCCATCTTGTGTCCAAAAGGGCCATTTGGTACAAACACCCTGCCAGTATTTGAATCTCTTCCACATTATCTCTGCCATGTATACATGTACATGTCCCATGTTGGGGAACTCACTGCCACTCAAGACAGTTTTATTTATTTTTTTTTTTGAGACAGAGTCTGGCTCTGTTGCCTAGGCTGGAGTACAATGGCGTGATCTCAGCTCACTGCAACCTCCGCCTCCCGGGTTCAAGTGATTCTCCTGCCTCAGCTTCCCTAGTAGCTGGGATTACAGGTGCCTGCCACCATGCCAGGCTAATTTTTACATTTTTAGTAGAGATGGGGTTTCACCATGCTGGCCATGCTGGTCTCGAACTCCCAACCTCAGGCGATCTGCCTGCCTCAGCCTCCCAAAGTGCTGGGATTACAGGTGTGAGCCACCACACCTGGCTGACAGTTGTTATTTTTTCAAGTCCAGTCTTGGCAGTTAGAAAGTTCTTTCTTAGGCAGTATCTCTCCTAGTTTTAAACCGTGGGGCCATACAGAACAAATCTAATTCTATTTTATAGAGCCAGATTTAATGGCTCAATTCCCTTCCTTGATCAAACAATGTATAGCTAACCTAATCCTGTGGTTCTCACCCTTTTCCCTACTCCTGACACATCCAAGGGATACCCAGACTCCCACCAGTAATCATGGCTGGCCAAGACAGGGATAGGAACAGGCCTGGCCTGTCCCCCCAAATTATCTGGATCTTCCTGGGACACAGTGTTAGGAAACCGTCCAGATGACCCTACTTTTCTCAGATACTGCCTTACAGTATTATAACTATTCATGTACAAGTGAGAGCCTTGTCTTCCAAGGAGGTATCCTTGTGGTCCGATTTGCCAAAAGCAGCTGCACCTCTGCCCCAGGAAGATCCCATAGGAAAGGGTGAAGGGCTGCTACAGGGCCTTCAACCCAGGCACCTCCTCCATAATGAAACTTGGGCTTTGGAGTTTCCATGTGATGCCATCAAGGGCTTTTTCAGCTCAAATATATGTCTTTCATGATTCAGGATGGCAATAAGAAACTTTGAGCTGGCTGTAGCTACTTACACAATCTCATTTTATCCTGAGAGTGGCCTGCATCTCAGTCACCTCTGTGTCCTTAGCATTTAGCATGATGCCTGGAATACAGTTCTGCTTCTCATTTTGTTTGATGAACAACCCTGAGTCCATTAGAGATGACTCCTTTGGCTCCTGGTTTTAAATTTATTTTCTGTACGTTTATTTATTTATTTATTTATTTATTTATTTTTGAGACAGGGTCTCACTCTGTTACCCAGGTTAGTGCAGTGGCACGATCTTGGCTCACTGTGACCTCTGCCTCCCAGGCTCAAGTGATCCTCCCATCTCAGCCTCCCACTGAATAGCTGGAACCACAGGCACACACTCCTCACTTTCTAAGCTCCAGTCCTAAGTCATATCATTCTCATTGCCATACCTCAAAAGCACCCAAGTCTCAGGCACCTGGACTTTCTACCTAGAAGGTCCACCCCAGTTTGTTTACTGTCCTGATGAACATTCAGCTAAGCCACCATGTCCCCCCAGGATCTCCTGCCTCTGGACAGCCTGTGCTCCCCACTTTCTTAGGCACTGTGCTAGAACTGTTCTACCCCTGACTCTCCAGTTCCTGCCATAGAGGCTGACAAGTCATCAGTGTTCCCGAGGTTGGAATAAATGAATCACAATCTATCTCATGGCTTCGTAGGTCCACCAGAAGAAAGGTTATATGTGGCCGGGCACAGTGGCTCACACCTGTACTCCCAGCACTTTGGGAGGCCAAGGCAGGGGATCACCTGAGGTCAGGAGTTTGAGACTAGCCTGGCCAACATGGTGAAACCCCTTCTCTACTAAAAATACAAAAAATTAGCCAGGCATGGTGGCTCGCACCTGTAATCCCAGCTACTCAGGAGGCTGAGGCAGGAGAATCGCTTGAACTCAGGAGGCAGAGGTTGCAGTGAGGAGAGATTGCACCATTGCACTCCAGCCTAGGCAAAAAGAGCAAAGCTCCGTCTCAAAAAAAAAAAAAAAAGAAGGTTATCTCTGACATGCTGGAAGTACAGCAAAGGCCTTGATCTGTGATGGACATCATGAAGAAAACTTTTCTTTGGTTATCATACCAGTAATGCTGACTTCCTGGGAAGGGAAATACTAATTAAGTGGGTATTAATTCTGTCCTAGACACTTTTAGGGCTCTCTATGTAAGTCTTATTTTACAGATAATGACATCAAAGCTCAGAGGTTAAGTGACTTGCCTAAGGTCATTCATTAAGTCAGAGGCAGAGCCAGGATTTAGAACCCAGGGAGTCACACTCTGCCTGCACTCTTTTTTATATATATTTTTTTTTTCCCAAGACAGAGTCTTGCTCTGTCGCCCAGGTTGGAGTGCAATGGTGCGATCTCGGCTCACTGCAACCTCCACTTCCCGGGTTCAAGCAATTCTCCCTGCCTCAGCCTCCCGAGTAGCTGGGATTACAGGCGTCCACCACTGTGCCCAGCTAAATTTTGTATTTTTAGTAGAGACGGGGTTTCACCACGTTGGCCAGGCTGGTCTCAAACTCCTGACCTCAGGTGATCCGCCTGCCTTGGCCTCCCAAAGTGCTGGGATTATAGGCATGAGCCACCGTGCCTGGCCCTTTTTCCTTTGAGACAGAGCCTCGCTCTGTCACCCAGGCTGGAGTGCGGTGGCGTGATCTCCGCTCACTGCAAGCTCCGCCTCCCTGGTTTACACCGTTCTCCTGCCTCAGCCTACCAAGTAGCTGGGACTACAGACGCCCGCCACCACGTCTGGCTAATTTTTTGTATTTTCAGTAGAGACAGGGTTTCACCATGTTAGCCAGGATGGTCTCGATCCCCTGACCTCATGATCTGCCCGCCTTGGCCTCCCAAAGTACTGGGATTACAGGCGTGAGCCACTGCGCCTGGCCCTTTTTTCCTATTTATATAGAGACGGGGCCTTGCCATGTTGTCCGGGCTGGAGTGCAGTGGCATGATCCTGGGTTCCAGCGATCCTCCCACCTCAGCCTCCCAAGTAGCTAGAACCATAGGTGCATGCCACAATGCCACGCTAATTTTTGTATTTTTTTTAGAGACAGGGTCCTCTATGTTGCCCAGGCAGGTCTCACACTCCTGGGCTCAAGTGATCCACCCATCTCAGCCTCCCAAAGTGTTGGGATTACAGGCATGAGCCACCTCACCCAGCTATATTTCTGCATAACTCCATAAGGCAGAACCGGGCCAGCTTTTCACAAACCAAAATTGTTTCAAAGTGGAAAGCTCTCGGCTGGGCGCAGTGGCTCATGCCTGTAATCCCAGCACTTTGGGAGGCCGAGGCAGGCGGATTGCCTGAGCTCAGGAGTTGGAGACCAGCCTGGGCAACATGGTGAAACCCCGTCTCTACTAAAATACAAAAAATTAGCTGGGCATGGCGGTGTGTGCCTGTAATCCCAGCTACTCGGGAGGTTGAGGCAGGAGAACTGCTGGAATCCAGGAGGCAGAGGTTGCAGTGAGCCGAGATAGTGCCACTGCACTCCAGCCTGGGCAACAGAGTGCGACTCCATCTCAAAAAAAAAAAAAAAACAGTAATTCAGGCCAGGTGCAGTGTCTCACACCTGTAATCTCAGCACTTTGGGAGAGCGAGGTGGGCGGATCACCTGAGGTCAGGAGTTCGAGACCAGCCTGGCCAACGTGGTGAAACCCTGTCTCTACTAAAAGTACAAAAATTAGCTGGGCGTGGTGGCAGGCACCTGTAATCCCAGCTACTTGGGAGGCTGAGGCAGGAGAATCGCTTAAACCTGGAAGGCAGAGGTTGCAATGAGTCGAGATTGTGCCACTGCACTCCAACTTGGGTGACAGTGAGATTCCGTCTCAAAAAAAAAAAAAAAAAAAAAAAAGCCTGGGCGTGGTGGCTCACACCTGTAATTCCAGCACTTTGGGAGGCCAAGGCAGGTGGATTACCTGAGGTCAGGAGTTTAAGACCAGCCTGGCCAACGTGGTGAAACCCCATCTCTACTGTAAGTACAAAAATTAGCCAGGCATGGGGGTGCGCACCTGTAGTCCCAGCTACCGGGGAGGCTGAGGTGGCAGGATCACTTGAATCCAGGAGGCAGAGGTTGCAGCAAGCCGAGATTGCGCCATTGCACTCCAGCGTAGGCGACAGAGCGAGACAGTCTCAAAAATAATAATAAATAAAAATAACACACAAAATATCTTTTTATCTTTTATTTTATTATTGTAATCCCAAAGTGCTGGGATTACAGGCATGAGCCACCACGCCCAGCCTACTTTTTATTTTTTTTGAGACAGAGTCCCACTTTGTCACCCAGGCTGGAGTGCAGTGGCAGAATCTTGGCTTACTGCAACCTCCGCCTCCCAGGTTCAAAAGATTCTCGCGTCTCAGCCTCCCAAGTAGCTGGGATTATAGGCGCCCACCACTAAGCCCAGCTAATTTTTTTGTATTTTCAGTAGAGACGGGGTTTCGCCACGTTGGCCAGGCTGGTCTCGAACTCCTGACCTCAGGTGATCCACCCACCTCGGCTTCCCAAAGTGCTGGGATTACTGGCATAAGCCCCAGCGCCTGGCCTGGCTTTATTATTCTTCTTCTTACCTCTGACCCCCCCCTTCCCTGCAGCTGCAAATAGGGCAATCGCGTTGAACAGCAGTCTTAGACCCCGGAGAGTTGAGTGTGGTGACAGCTCTCAGACTGAGTGGGCATCTTTGACTGCCTTCCAAAGTCAAATATAAATGACTGAGGATTATCTGCTGCTTTGGATCATAATTACTTATGCTTATGCCATTGATATAAAAACAGAGTTGAGTTGGCCGGGCGCGGTGGCTCACGCCTGTAATCCCAGCACTTTGGGAGGCCGAGGCGGGCAGATCACGAGGTCAGGAGATCGAGCCCACCCTGGCTAACACGGTGAAACCCCGTCTCTACTAAAAATACAAAAAATTAGCCGGGTGAGGTGGCGGGCACCTGTAGTCCCAGCTACTTGGGAGGCTGAGGTAGGAGAATGGCGTGAACCCGGGAGGCAGAGCTTGCAGTGAGCCAAAATCGCGCCACTGCAATCCAGCCTGGGCGACAGAGCAAGAGAGCGAGACTCCGTCTCAGAAAAAAAAAAGAAAGAAAGAGTTGACTATATTTAGTTCTGTGTTTTATTTGTGTTTTCTTTCCCTGAGTCAGATGGGAACTGTTTCTTCCCGCCCTGCCATTCTTCCCATGTTGAGATCTTTCCCAAAGGCAAAGATCATTTCCCTTTTTGGCCATGGAGCACTCTGATGGTAAGAATTAGTCCTCTCATCACCCACCACACTCAACCCGAATAGGAAATTTCCAAGAATGGGAACCATGTCTTTGGGCACTTAGGCGAGATTACTCAATCAAAAGAGTGAGACTCAGGGACTGAAACATTCAATCAAGGTTAAAAACAGATTAAAATGTGGCAGTTACCTTTTTTCCCCTGATATAGAATACGCACTGGAGTCACAGTTACCTTTTAGTAACTGATTTCCTTGAGTGAATAGTGTATCAGAAAATGGGACTTTTATGGTGGCAAAGAATTCAGAGGGCCTGGGGCACACAGATCTGGATTTGTATACCGATTTGCCACTTAACCAGCTATGTGACTGTGCAATTTACCAACCTCTCAGGGCCACATTTTTTCATCTGTCAAAAAGGTCAATATGGCCAGGTACGGTGGCTCACACCTCTAATCCCAGCACTTTGGGAGGCCGAAATGGGCAGATCACGAGGTCAGGAGTTCGAGACCAGCCTGACCAACATGGTGAAACCCCGTCTCTACTAAAAATACAAAAATTAGCCAGGTGTGGTGGCGTGCGCCTTTAATCCCAGCTACTCAGGAGGCCGAGGCAAGAGAATCGCTTGAACCCAGGAGGCGAAGGTTGCAGTGAGCCGAGATCGCACCACTGCACTCCAGCCTGGGAGTCAGAGAGAGACTCCGTCTCAAAACAAAACAAAACAAAACAAAGGTTGAATAATAATAATAGGACCTATATTGTAGACTTGTTGAGAGGATTAAATGAGATAATGTACGAAATGCCTTACTACAGAGTCTGGCACTTATTAAAGAAAGAGTTGATGTGGGCTGGGTGCCGTGGCTCACGTCTGTAATCCCAGCACTTTGCGGGGTTGGGGTAGGAAGATCCTTAGAGGCCAGGAGTTCGAGACCAGCCTGGGCAACAAGGCGAGACCCTCGTCTCTACAAAAAATATATAAATTATCCGGGTGTGGTGGCTCATGCCTATAGTCCTAGGTACTTGGGAGGCTGAGGTGGGAGGATACCTTGATTGCAGTGAGCTGTGATCTTGAGCCATTGCGCTCCAGCCTGGGCGACAGAAGGCGGCCGTATTTAAAAAAGAAAAAAGAAAGAAAGAAAGAAAAGAAAAGAAAAAAAGGGTCGTTGTGGAAAATTCTTGTGGGGAATTAAAGGGACCACGTGTGCGCGAAAGAGCTTGGCGAAGATAAGTACCTGGAGGCCAAGATGAGGCGGCGAGCCCTGCCTCCCTAGCAGTGTGGTCTCCTGGCTTAGGGTCAGTGCTTCGCACAAAAAAATCCACTGCCTCTCATGAGACCTTGAACTGCCAATGACCGCAGGTTGCCCAGACTCCCGAGTGAGGAAGGCGGCCAGGAGTCAACTAGGCTTCTTGCGGAAAAGCCCACTCTAAGAAGGCCTGGGGCATTCCGGCTCCAGGCAGGTAGCACCCGCGGGCCTCAGGCCCTTTCACTTACCCGGGAAACGTAACGGTCCTTAACGGCAGCCAATAACGGCTCCCAGCGGCCCAGGCACTGGCAAGGGCAGGCTGAAATCAAACCTCGGATTTT